>NC_000018.10:25286206-25911206 GCF_000001405.40 Homo sapiens | reverse complement strand
TGGCAGTTCATGTAGCCAAACAGCTGAGTGAGATACCGATAGAGGCAGACTGTTAGGAAACTAAAAGAGAGATGAAGGAGTGAGACAAACAGAATCCTGCTAAAATCACTCTCATCTTTGGATTACTGTGAGTATACTCAACTTTACCTTCCTTCACTTAATAATTTAAAAACACTTATATCTTCTCTCTTTCTCTCTCTCCCACACCCCCACCTTGATCTGTATTTATGGACCTATAGCATAGAAAGATGTAATTTATTTGACAATAATAGCACAAAGCAGATGGGTACACAAAAGAGCAAAATGATTACTTTAAATTATTTATTTGTCTATTCTTAATTTTTTTTTTTAGAGACAGAGTCTTGCTCTGTCACCCAGGCTGGAGTGTAATGGCACGATCATAGATCACTGCAACCTTGAATTCCTGGGCTCAAGTGATCCTCCTTCCCCAGCCTCCTGAGTAGCTAGGACTACAGATGGGCACCACCATACTCAGCTAAGCAAAGTTGTATTGGTGTAAAATGACACCAGATGGTTACTGAAATCGTGGGAACAAATGAAAAGAAATGGTAAATAAGAAGGTTAATATAATAAACTTTATAAATAAATAGTCTCATTTATTTGCTCAGCTTCTTTAAAAGACATAAGATTATATAACGTTATAATGTAACAATATATTCTTGGGTTTATAACATATATAAATATAATATATATAACAACAGTTGTACAAAAAAGGGGAAGAGGAAATAGCGCTATAAAGAAATAACATTTTTATATGTCACTGAAATTAAGTTAGTATAAATCCGAAGTAGATTCTGAAAACTTAAGATGTATGTGATAAGTCCTAGAGGAAGAACAAAAAATAAAAATAAAAAAGTATTTAAAAAGTCACTAAAAATTTAAAGTGTTACACAAGGCAGTATTTGTTTAACGTAAAGAAAAGGAGTAAAGGAGGAAGAGGAGAATAAAAAGACTCGAGAGAAACCTATAGAAAACAAAAAGTCAAATAGCAGTGTAAATTCAACCATATCAGTAATAACATTCAATCTGAATAAATTAAACAATAGAAACAAGTAGAGATTGGCAAACTGGATATAAAACAAGATCCAACTATATGCTGTGTGCAGAAATCACACTTTAGACACAAAATACAAATATGTTGGAAGTAAAAAAAAGAGAAATATATCTACCATGCAAATAGTAACCACAAGAAAGCTGAAGTAGCAATACTAACATCAGATAAAACATATTTTAAAACAAAAAAATGTTACTAGAGCTATAGATGGGCATTTTATAATGATAAAAGAGTCAGATTATCAGAAAGATACATGTATATATATGTGTGTTTGTGTGTGTGTCTGTCTGTGTGTCCCTAAGAACAGAGTTTAAAGCTATGTCAAGCTAAAACGGACATAATTGAAGGAAGAAATGGATAATTCAACAATAATAGTACCACTATGAAGAAGATCATTAATGACATAAAATAGTTGAACATCAGAAACCAGCTATATTTAATAGGCATCTATAGAGCACTTTACGCAACAACAGCAGAATATACATTTTTCTCAATTGTGCATAGAACATTTTTCAATATACATACCACATGCTAGGCCATAAAAAACTAAAAACAATAAAAAGAAATGAAATCATATGGATTATGTTTTCTGAACACAGAGGAATGGAATTAGAAACTAATAACAGAAAGAAATTTGGGAAATTCACAAATATGTGGAAATTAAACAACACACTCCTAAATAACCAATGAAAATTAGGAACTATTTTGAGATAAATAGAAACACAATCTACCAAAAGTTATGGGATGAAGCTGAAGCAGTGCTTAGAGGAAAATTTATAACTTTAAATACCCATATTACAAAAAAAGAAAGATCTCAAATCAGTAATGTAACTTTTTATCTTAAGGAAGTAGAAAAAGAAGAGCAGACCAAATCCAAAGCTAGCAGAAAGATGGAAAATAAAGACGTAGAGCAGAGATAAATAAATAATTGAAAAATCAGTGAGAGAAGCAATGAAACAAAAAATTGGGTTCCTTGAAATTGTCAACAAAATTAACAAAGCTCTATCTAGACTGAGCAAGAAAAACAGAAGACTCAAATTACTAAATCAGAAAAGAAATAGGAAATATCACTACCAACCTTAAAGAAATAAAATGGATTATAAGGGAATACTACAACCAATTGTATGTTAACAAATTAGATAACTTAGATGAAATGTACATATTCTTAGAATGATACAAACTACCAAAAATAACTTAAGAAAAAATAGACAATCTGACAATATCAAACTATAACAGGTAATGAGGCTAAACAAGTAATTGAAAATATTCCCACAAAGAAAAGCCCAGGACCAGATGGCTTTACTAGTGAATTCTGTTAAACATTTAGAGAAGAATTAATACCAATTCTTTACAAACTTTTTCAAAAAATAGAGGAGGGAAATCTTCCCAACTCATTCTATGAGGCCAATATTACCCTGATACCAAAAACCAGACAAAGACATCACACAGAAAAAAACCTCAAACTGGTATTTTTACTAAATATAGACACAAAAAACCCTCAGCAAGGCTGGGCGAGGTGGCCCACGCCTGTAATCCCAGCACTTTGAGAGGCCGAGGCGGGCGGATCACGAGGTCAGGAGATCGAGACCATCCTGGCTAACACGGTGAAACCCTGTCTCTACTAAAAATACAAAAAAATTAGCCGGGTGCAGTGATGGGCGCCTGCAGTCCCAGGTACTCGGGAGGCTGAGGCAGGAGAATGGTGTGAACCTGGGAGGAGGAGCTTGCAGTGAGCCGAGATCGCGCCACTGCACTCCAGCCTGGGCGACAGAGCGAGACTCCGTCTCAAACAAACAAACAAACAAACAAACCCTTAGCAAAAGATTAGGAAACCAAATATGACCAAGTGGGACTTATCCTACGAAAGGAAGGTCTGTTTAACAACTGAAAATCAGTTAATGTATTATACCGTATCAATAGGATAAAGGACAAAAATACATTATCACTTTGTTTGATGCAGAAGGTTATTGAACAAAATCCAAAACCCTTTCATGATAAAAATACTAAACAAACTAGGAATGGAAGGGAACTTCCTCAGTCTCATAAAGAATATTCATAAAAAGCTTAGAAGTAACATTATATTTAACGGTGAAAGACTGTATGCTTTCCCACTAAGATCTGGAAAAAGACAAGGACGTCCACTCTTGCCGTTCTATTAAAGGTTGTAGTGGAGAGATTCTAGCCTGGGCAACTAGACAATAAAAATAAACAAAATCACCCAGATTGGAAAGGAAGAAGTAAAACCATCTCTACTTGCAAATGACATAATCTCATATATAGAAAATCCTAAGGAATCCTCTAGAAAATTAGAACTAACAAATGAGTTCAGCAAACTTTTAGTATATATTCGGTTGGTGCAAACGTAATTGGAGTTTTTGCAATTACGTTTGCACCAACTGAATAATATCAATATAAAAAATTGTATTTCTATATACTAGTATTAAACAATCCAAAAATGAAATTAAGAAAACAATTTTATTTACAATACCACAAAAGAATAAAATATGCAGATGTAAAAGTAAAAAATATGTGTTTTAAATCTATAAAACATTGTTGAAAAATTAAAGAAGATCTAAGTAGAAGGACATCTTATGTTCATGTATTGGAAGACAGTATTGTTTAAATGGCAATACTTGCTAAATTCATCTAGAGATTCAACACAATCCTTGTCAAAATCTCAGCTGCCTTTTTTTGTGCAGAAATTGACAAACTATTCCTAAAATTTATATGGAAATTCAAGGGATCTGAAATTGCCAAAACAATATTGTAAAAGAAGACCAAAGTTGGAGGACTCACACTTCCTGTTTTCCAAACTAACTACAATGCTACAGTAATCAAGACAGTGTGATAAGGAAAAACATATAGATCAGCAGAATAAAACTGAGCATCCAAAAATAAATGACCACATTTAATGTTAATTGATTTTTGAAAAAGTTGCCAAGGATGATCTTTTCCACAAATGATGCTAGGAGAACTTAACGCAAAATAATGAATTTAGATAGTTTCCTTGCACCGTATACAAAAACTAACCCTAAATGGAGCAAAAATCTAAATGTAAAAGCTAAACTATAAAATTGTTGGAAGAAAACATAGGAGTAAATCATCGTGACCTCATATTAAGTGAAGCCATCTTAGACATGACACCCAAAACACAAGTGACCAAAAAAAATTAGATAAATTGAATTTCATTATAATAAAAAATCTTTTGCATTTCAAAAGACATCATCAATAGAGTGAAAAGAAAACTACAGAATGAGAGAAAATATTTAAAAATCATATATCTTATAAGGGCCATGTATCCAGAAGGTATAAAATAGTCTTACAATTTAAGAATTAAAGACAAATAGTCCACTGTAGAAACAGGTAAAGAGGACAGATGTGGAGGCTTGTGCCTGTAATCCCAAGACTTTGGGAGGCCGAGGTGGGAGGATTTCTTGAAGCCAGGAGTTTGATTCCAGCCTGGGCTACAAAGTGAGCTCCACCTGTACAAAAACAAATTAAAAAAAAAAAAAGCTAAGCATGCTGGAGCATGTCTGTAGTCCCAGCTACTGGGGAGGCTGAGGTGGGAGGATAGCTCAAGCCCAGGAGTTTGAGGCTGCAGTGAGCTATGATTGTGTCACTACACTCCAGCCTGGGAGACAGAGAGAGACCCTGTCGTTAAAAAAAAAAAAAAAAAAAGGCAAAGAGTCTGAGTAAATATTTCTCCAAAGAAGATATACAGATGACCAATTTTCATATGAAAAAATGTCCATCATCATTAACCATTAGGGAAATGCAAATCAAAACTGCAATGAGATATTCCTTCATAGCCACTAGTATAATTATAATAAAAATACATATAATAACAAATATTGGTGGGGATGTGGAGAAATTGGAACCCATATACACTTCTGGTTGTAATGTAAAATGGTGCAGTTTGAAAATATTTTGGCAGTTCCTGAAAATGTTAAACATGGAGTTATCATAACCCAGCAATTCCACCCCTAGGTATATTCCCATGAAAAACAAAACACACATTCACACAATATCTTGTACTTAAATATTCATAGCAGCATTATTCACAATAGCCAAAAAGAGAAGACAACTCAAATGTCTATAAGTGATGAATGAATAAGCAAAATGTAGTATTTCAATACAATAGAATATTATTCAGCTATACAAATAAATTGTGGCATAATACCATAGGATATTATTCAGCAATAAAAAGGAATGAAGTACTGATGCATGCTACAATATGGATGAATCTTGAAAACATTTTGCTAAGTGAAAGAAGCCATTCCCCAAACACCAAGTATTGTGGGATTCCATTTATTTTAGATGTCCAGAAAAGACAAATCTATAGAGAAAAAATGGATTAGTTGTTGCCTAGGCGTGGGTGTTTGGAGAGAAATGAAGAGTGACTACTAAGAGATACATAGTTTCTTTTTGGGTAATAAAAATCTTCTATATTGAGATTGTGGTGATGGTTACACGACACTGTGAATATACTAATAACCATTGAATTTTATATTTCAAATGTGTGAGTTTAATGGCATATATATTATACCTCAGAGCTGTTAAAAATAATTATAGTTATATGTGATTGGTTTACCATATTGTCCTTCAATCTGCTATGGTTTGCATGTGTCCCCCAAGAGTTCACATGTTGGAAACTGGGTTGTCATTGTGGTGGTGTTGAGAACTGAGGCCCTTGGGAGGCAATTGAGTCATGAGGGCATGCATCATTTGTCCTTCTGCTTTTCTGCCATGAGATAGTGCAGCAGTAAGGCCCTCACAGGTGCTGGCCCACTGACCTTGGACTTCCTGGCCTCCACAACCATGAGCTGAATAAACCTCTATTTCTTACAATTTACCCAGTCTGTAGTATTCAGTTACAGCAACATAACTAAGACACATACATATACAGTCATGTGCCACAAAATGTTCTCGTCAATGACAGACCGCATATATGATGGTGGTCCCATAAAACTATAATATCATATTTTTACTATACCTTTTCTATGTTCAGATATATAAATACTTACTATTTTGTTACAATTGCCTGCAGTATTCAGTACAGTAATGCTGTACAGGTTTGCAGCCTATTGCTCCTAAACATGTATATATGTTGCTTATATAATCACTGTAAAAAATTATATTACAATATCATTTATGTAAATGTAAGGACCATTTCTACACATAAAGTATATATTTTACAGGAATACATGCATATTAGGAAGTGAGTCAAAGATATAAAATGGGTGTCCAGGTGAGTGAAAGGAAAGGATATGAGGCAGGTTGAAGATAAGGAGATAGGTGTTGGGGGGTGGAGAAGAGACAGAGACAGGGATAAGGGATAGCCTAGCTGTGTAGTAGGGTATACCATCTAGGTCTGTATAAGTACACTCTATGATGTTTACACAATAATGAAATTGGCTTATAACACATTTCCTGGAATGTATTCCCCTCATTAAATGATGGATGACTGTATGCGTAATATACATATAACATTAATATTATATATAATAGACACTAATATATATATTGTACATGAACATGCCTATAATATATTTATATGTATTGGATGTTAAAGATTATTTTTAACAATACACCTTTACTACAGTTAAATTAGGAAATATACACAAGAATCATCCATACTTCCAAGCATTAGGGAAAACCAGTTAATATTCTGATATTTATGCTTCCAGATATTCTTCTTTGCAAATATACATAACATATTGAGAAGAAGTAGTATCATGCTACCCAGGCTGTTTTGTTTTCTTTGTACTTTAGGCACAGAAAATGGTGATCGTTCTCTTCTGTACATGCAAGGCCTTTCTTTTGCTCCATCTGTTTCTGTCTCTTCTCCACCCCCCAACACCTATCTCCTTATCTTCAACCTGCCTCATATCCTTTCCTTTCACTCACCTGGACACCCATTTTATATCTTTGATTCACTTCCTAATATGCGTGTATTCCTGTAAAATATATACTTTATGTGTAGAAATGGTCCTTACATTTATGTAAATGATATTGTAATATAATTTTTTACAGTGATTATATAAGCAACATATATACATGTTTAGTTATAAGATATTAACTAAATTTCTGTGGCAAATATGCTTTATTGTGGTTAAAAAGCACATAACACATACCATTTTCATCATTTTAAGTGTACAGTTCAGTAGTATTAAGCATAATTCACATCATTGTGAAACAGATCTGCAGAATTCTTTGGCTTGCAACTCTGCAACTCTACACCCATTAAAGAATAACTACCCTTTCTTCTCTCTCCCTAGTTCCTGGTAACCAACATCCTACTTTTTGTTTCTTTGAATGTAACTACTTTAGATACCTCATATAATAGGTGGGATCATACAGTATTTATCCTTTTTATAACTGGCTTATTTCACTTAACATAATGTCCTCAAGGTTCATTCATGTTGTATCGTGGGATAGGATTTTCTTCCTTTTTAAGACTGGATAGTATTCCATGGTATGTATATCCCACATTTTATTTACCTAGTCATTCATCAGTGGCCGTTTGGGTTGCTTCCATCTCTTGCCTATTATAAATAGTGCTGCTATGAACACAGGCATACAAATATCTTTTTGAGACTGGCTTTCAATTCTTTTGCTTATATTCCCTGACATGAAATTACTGGATCAGATAGTGGTTCTATGTTTAATTTTTTGAGGAACTTCCATATTGTTTTCTGTAGCAGCAGTTGTGTCATTTTACAATCTCACTGATAGCACAAAAGGGTTCCAATTTCTCCATATGCTTGCAAACCATTGTTCTTTTCTTTTTTTTTAATAGCACTCATCCTATTGGGTGTTAGGTAATAACTTATTCTGGTTTTGATTTGCATTTCTCTGATGATTAGTGCTGTTGAGGATTTTTTAAAATATATTTTTGGCCATTTGTGTATCATTTTTAGAAAAATATCCATTCAAACATTTTGTCTATTTTTTTCTTTTTTGAGACAGAATCTCACTCTTGTCACCCAGGCTGTAGTGCAGTGGCGTGATCTTGGCTCACCGCAACCTCTGTCTCCTGGGTTCAAGCGATTCTCCTGCCTCAGCCTCCTGAGTAGCTGGGATTACAGGTGCCTGGCACCATGCCCGGCTAATTTTTGTACTTTTAGTAGAGATGAGGTTTTGCCATGTTGGCCAGGCTGGTCTCGAACTCTTGACCTCAGGTGATCCACCTGCCTTGGCCTCCCAAAGTGTTAGGATTACAGGCGTGAGCCACTGCACCCAGCCTTGTCTATTTTTTAATTAAAAATTTTTTTGCTGTTGTTGAGTTGCAGCATTTCTTTATATATACCCTGGATATTAACCCCTTCTCAGATATATGATTTGCAAATATTTTCTCCCATTCTATAGGCTGTCTTTTCACTCTGTTGACTGTATCCTTTGTTCCTTCATGCGCAGAAGTTTTTAAGTTGGATGCAGTCCTATTTGTCTAGTTTTGCTTGCGTTGCCTGTACTTTCGGTGTCATATCCAAGAAATCATTGCCAAGTCCAATGTCAGGAAGCTTTTCTCCTGTGTTTTCTTATAGGAGTTTTACAGTTTTAGTATTACATTTAAGTATTTAATTATTTTTGAGTGAATTTTTTTGCAAGGTGCAAGATAAGGGTTCAACTTTATTCTGTTGCAGTGCAAAAGAACACCGTTTGTTGAAGCAACTGTCCTTCCTCTACTGAGTGGTCACGGTGCTCTTGTTGAAGTGTGATAGAATCTTACTCAGTTTCCTCACTGTAACACATGGATAACGATAATACAGTAGCTTCCTATATTAGTTTCCCATTGCTGTCTATCTTAGTCCTTCTATGGCAAAATATCATAGATTGCATGGCTTAAACAATAGAAATTTCTTTTCTTAAAGTTCTGCAGGCTAGAGAGTCCAAGTACGAGATCTGGCTGAGTTGATTTCTGGTGAAGGCCTACTCCTGGTCTTGCAGATGACCACCTTCTTGCTGTGTTCTCATATGGCACAGAGAGAGAAAAAGAGAGAGTGAGAGAGAGAGAGAGAAGGAGGGAGAGCGTGCAAGACAGAGGGCACTTGTGAACGAGTGCTAGCCATCTGGTGTTTCTTCTTATAAAGACACTAATTCTTGGCCAGGTGAGGTGGCTCACACCTGTAATCCCAGCACTTTGGGAGGCTGAGGTGGGCGGATCACGAGGTCAGGAGTTCGAGACCATCCTGACCAACATGGTGAAGCCCCTTCTCTACTAAAAATACAAAAATTAGCCAGGTGTGGTGGGGTGGTGTGTGCTTGCAATCCCAGCTACTCAGGAGGCTGAGGCAGGAGAATAGCTTGAACCCAGGAGGCAGAGGTTGCAGTGAGCCGAGATCATGCCACTGCACTCCAGCCTGGGTGACAGAACAAGACTCTGTCTCAAAAAAAAAAAAAAAAAAAAAAAAGACACGAATTCTTTTATATCAGAGGTCCACCCTTTTGATCTCATTTGACCTTAAGTAATTAATTAACCTTAATTACTTCCTTCCTCCAAATACAGCTACACCTTAACATATGAATTTTTGAGGGGGACACATACATTCCATGCATAACAACACCTAACAAATTATTAAAACTTTGCAGCTTACAATACAGTCATTTATTATCTCATAGTTTTTTTTCTTTTTATTAAGATGGGGTCTCACTCTGTCACCCAGGCTGGAGTGCAGTGGCATGATCTTGGCTCACTGTAGCTTCTGCCTCCCAGGCTCAAACAAGTCTCCCACCTCAGCCTCCCAAGTATCTGGGACTACAGGCGCATGCTACCACACCTGGCTAATATCTCAGTTTTTGTAGTAAGAAGTACAGGCAGGCTTGTCTGGATTCTCTGTTCATGGCCTGACAAGGCTGAAGTCACAGTGTTGTCCAGGTTCTCATCTAGAGGTTCTGGGGAAGAATTTACTTCCAAGTGCATTCAGGTTGTTGGGTGAATTCAGATCCTTGTGGTTGTAGGACTGTAGGACCAAAGACCTCACTTTCTTTCTGGCTGTTGCTTGAGAGCTTTCCTCAGCTCCTAAAGAGGCTTGGCATGTGATCCCCTCTGTATTCAAAGCCAGCAGTCACTCTTGTACTTCAAATCTCTTACTTCCTCTTCCGCTACCAGGCAGAGAAAACCCTTTGCTTTTAAAGGTCTCGTGTAATTAGATAAGACCCACCCTGATAACATCCCTTTTGCTGCATAAGGTAACATAATCAAGGGAATAATGGCTTCTCATATTCACAGATTTCCACTACCCCTCAAAAGGAAGGTGTCAAGGCTGCAAGTCAGTTGAGTTCATTCTTAGAATTCTGCCTACAACACTCGCACAGAAGAAATTCCACTTGTGATGACAGCTTCAGCCCATGCCCATGGAGTTCCATCTTGCCTGTCGTCTTCCCTTCCTGCCTCCCAGTTGGTGAGAACTTTGTCCTGTGCCCACGATCTTCACTTCCTCACTGTTTTTGGTCTTGGACATCAGATCCTAAATTTGTGTAAGTCAATTTCTTGTAAAAAATCTCTTAATATATAGGTATATAAGATATATATAATCTATAGGTATATATTAAGATATATAATATATAAAGTTCTGCATGTTTGGAGGACAAGAAGAATGGCATAAAGAGGTGGATATAAAGGGGTGTTCACAGTTTAGACATTTCTATATTGCTTAACATTTTTATGGGAGTGTATTCATGTAGTTGTGTAATTAAATACATATGTGAATATTTATATATACATATCCTATTGGTAATATTTACCTGGTTGAATCCTGACTATACCACATTGCCTTTTAATTGCCGTTAAAAGTAATGGCAAAAACTGCAACTACTTTTGCACCAACCTAATGACTTTGATGACTACATGAGTTAATATATGGACATATTTTAGAAAAGTCCCAGACTCATGGGGGTTTCTAATTAGTTCTATATAAGTATTGGTTGACATTATCATAATTATTATCCCTCAAATATGTTTTTAAGATTTATCCATTTTGTCTCATGTACATCCAGATGGTAGCTTCCATCTGATGCATAGTATTCCGGAATATATATCCTTCGCAATGTGTTCATTCGTTCCTTTAGTGAAGGATGCTCCCATTGTCTCTAAGGCCCTGCTGCCACTCACCTCCATGTACGTGTTTCCCGAGCTTGCAATGTTTGCTGGGCATTTTGGGGTTTCCCTCAGGCATGTGTCCATTAGCAGTCAGCCAGAGATGTGTGGAGCTTTCACTACCCCCGCCCTTCTAAGGTTCTCTCACTTCCAGTGTTGCCTTGTTTTAGCGCTCTGTCTCCCATCCTGAGCCCAGATACCTCTGGGAGGTGGAGCTGAGGGTTTTGTCACCTGAGCTTAGAATGCTCTCAGGAAAGAAAGCCACAGAGTCACTTAATTTACCCAAGTGGTAGTTTTCTTTCTTTTCATTTTTTCCTTTTTCTTTTTTCATGTTTTGAGATGGAGTTTCACTCTGTTGCTCAGGCTGGAGTGCAGTGGCGCCATCTGGGTTCACTGCAACCTCCGCCTCCTGGGTTCAAGTGATTCTCTTGCTTCAGCCTTCCTAGTAGCTGGGATTACAGATGTGCACCACTACATCCAGATACTTTTTGTATTTTTAGTAGAGATGGGGTTTCATCATGTTGGCCTGGCTGGTTTTGAACTCCCAACCTCAGGTGATCTGCCCTCCTTGGCCTCCCAAAGTGCTGAGATTACAGGTGTGAGCCATTGTGCCCGGCCTGACTGGTAGTTTTCATGAGTAAATACTTCTCCAGATGTTATCTACTTTTAGTCATTTTCCAGTGACCTGAAATTGATTATCTTTTAAAAAAACATGGTTGTCCAGTCTTATATTTATTCCTGTGGAGGGCACTCTCCTAATCTCCTCACATCACTGTTACTGGAAGATAAGTTTTGGAACATTTGTCCGTGGAACCCCATCACTGTGCCATAAAACAGCACAGAGACCATATGGAGAGGCCATGTGCAGGTTCTCTGGCCAACAGCCCAGCTGAGATCCCAGATGACAGCCAGCTTCCACCTGCCTTTAGACGATCCCAGCCCCAGCTTTGAGTCACCCCCATGTGTGAACCTTCCCAGCTGAGGCTCCAGGCATTGTGGAGCAGAGACAAGCCACCACTGCTGTACCCTTCTCAAAACCCTGACCCACAGAACCAGGAATATGATAAAATGTTTTTTTTAAATGCCACTAAGTTTGAGGTAATTTATTATGCACTAATAAATAATTTGAGGAGCTTTGGAGTATGATGATTGGAATAATTTCCCTAAAGTGATGAGTGCCTGAGTATGGAACTGCAGCCTCCATTTCTAACATCATTTAGTAAGGAAATCAGATTCCATTTACAGGTTTCAACTTTTAGCATTGTGTTCTGATACAGAACCTACCTGTTTGCTTGCTTCGTAGAGCTATTGCCACTCCGAATGTTTGATTCATAACATAAATCCTAGTCGTTCTCCATACTGCTGAAAACTCCAAAGGAAGAAAAGATGTTTTTAATTGTTTATAAAAGACATTCTATTTCTCTGGAAATGATTACTCCAAAATTCAAGTCTAATTTTGCCCCTATAAAATATGTTGTAGTGGGAGAAGTACTGGGTGGGGCAGTCGGAAAACCTGGATTGGAGCCTGGGTTCATGAAACAGGACCGGTCATATAAATTCTACAAACCTTAGTATTGTCTTAAAAAACAAAGGTTTTATAAGTGGGAGTTGAACAATGAGAACACATGGACACCGGGAGGGGAACAACACACACCAGGGCCTGTTGGCCGGTGGAAGGCTAGGGGAGGGAGAGCATTAGGAGAAATACCTAATGTAGGTGACCAGTTGTTGGGTGCAGCAAACCACCATGGCACGTGTATACCTATGTAACAAACCTGCACGTTCTGCACATGTACCCCAGAACTTAATGTATATAAAAAAAAGCAATCTTTTTATGAAAAACTAAACAAGAGGATATGGAATACACTTTTCTAAAATAGCTATTTTTTCTTTCACTGCATCTTTTTATCATTATTAAAAATTATATTTGCATTAATAAATATTACCAATGTGATCATAAAAAAACAAAGGTTTTTTGGCTAGACAATTTTAAGGACACTTCCAGTGCTAACATTTATGATTAGTTACAAAGGCCTGGTAACTCCTTAAACATTCATGCCTTTGTGAACAGAATTTGGCGCTATCTTTTAAAATTTAATATTTGCACATTCTTCATCTCAGCAGTTTCATTTTTAGATATTTAGCCAACAGATATACTTGCATAAGTATATCAAGATAGTTCAAGGTGTTCATTACTGTATTGTGTATAATGGGAAAATATTAGAAACAACCTTAAACCAATAGGGAAATGACCAAATAAACCATGATACATCTTATTGTTCAATGCTGTACAACAGATAAAAAAGAATGAAAGAGGCCTATAGGCGGCGATACAGAAATATGGTCAATACATAATGTTAAGCAAAAAAGCAAGTTGCAGAGCAAGCATATGGAAAGATCATGTTTTTGTAAAGTGAAACAAACCGAAGCTATTTATTTATGCGTATACACAGGACTGCAAAGAAAGACAACAAATATCTCGAGTTGTTTTCTGCCTGTGGTCATTCTGAGTGACATGAAATGGCTCTCATTAGTAAGGATGTCCAGTTTTATATTCATTTCTGTGGAGAGAATTCTCTGGACCTCCTCACACTTGGTGGGGGGAGAAAGATGGAGGTGGGGTATAAAAGGGTGTTCACAGATTAGACATTTCCGTGTGGCTTAAGTTTTTTATGGAAGTGTATTCATGTCCTTATGTAATTAAATACGTATAGAAAAATTTATCCTCTGTTGTGAATTTCATTGCTACTTTCGGAAGCCAAAGTTTTGATTCAGAGAAAAGAATTTCTAAATGTCCATGAAGTTCCTATTTGCCTGGGAGAAAAAAAACAAAACAGGAGCAGCTGCCAGGATTGAGAGCATGTTGCCAGTTGAGCAAAACAGCAGGGGGACCTGCTGGTCACCAGATTTGTCCACCCCCGTGCAGGTGCCACTGCTGTTAATAAGAATTACTACTTACTTAAAAAAAAAGTTGGGAGATGAGGGACTAATACAGAGTATCTGTTGATAATAAAATGGGAATATATATGACCCAGTTATTTAGATAAAACATAGTTCCGTATTCCTTTGATTACCACTTTTGTTGTTAGCTTTAAATGTAAAGAACTTAAACATTGCTGTGTAGAAAGAAAGAGTGATCCCAGAGAAGCTCCTGTCTGGTGTTTAATTAAACTATAATATGTGGTGAAATAAATTAAGCATCAGTGAAATTACGAGTAACACTGAATGTGGACTGGGATGTTTTAAGATGATGCATTCATAAGAGTATTTCATCTAGACAAACTGAAAATGTCCCAACCTCACCATTTTTAATCCTTTCTTGAAAGCACTCTTGTGCAAGTTATCTTTGTTGAAGAAATGTGGTTGAAGATGGAGAGTATTTAATTAAGAGTTATAGAAGCTAAAGGTGGTAACAAAAGAAAATATAAAAACTCACTTTACAATTGGTTTCTGAATATTATATTTTAAAAAGTATATATGATATCTTTCCTGTGTGTTTCGTAGTTAACAAAAATATGTGGTCACGTTAATTAATATGGTTATGACGACAACATCTTGACCTATTTTTCTATCCACTTATTAAAATAAACCATTGTACAGTATTTCTATCAATGCTAAAAATCTAGATATTTACCACTGGTGCCCACTAGGGGTCATGCTACCTACACGGGGGAAGTACCGATTGTAGTACGGGCGTTGCTGTGTTGGCTGGATGCAGAAAGGATTCCTTTGAATGATTTTTGTTCACGTTACGGTATAGAGGAAGACGGTAGCATTGCTTTTCCTCAATCAGTTTTCAGGGTTTCTGTCCTCTAAATATGAGAAATTATTTGAGGATTCATGAAAATAGATTTGAGAAAAAGCACTGAGGAAAGAGGCTTTTGTTTTGTTTTGTTAGGTGGCAGAAAGAAAACAGAGCCTTGCCTGAGAGTGAATATTCAATAGGCCAGAGGACATAAAGGTGAGACAACTCAGTAGTTAAGATCACTTAACAGAGGTGGGAGGATCACTTGAGCCTGGAATTGAAATCAGCCTTGGCAACAAAGTGATGCTGTGTCTGTACAAAACAATAAAATAAAATGAGCTGGGCATGGTGGCACATGCCTGTGATCCCAGCTACTTGGGAGGCTGAGGTGGGTGAGGTGGGAGGATCGCTTGAGCCCAGCAAGTCAAGGCTGCAGTGAGCCGAGATTGTGCCACTGCACTCCAGCCTGGTCAAGGGAGTGTGATTGTCTCAAAGAATTAAAAAAAAAAAAAAAGTCTCTACAGGGTCTGACACTGAATCACAGTTCAAAAAATGGAAGCTACTGTTGTTACCAAAATAGTTGCCTTCATTTTCGAACTTAAAATAGCCAAATTTCTTGTTAGTTTCTTTTCTGTGTCCTCAAGATGAGCAATTAGAAAGAGAAACTTATCTTTGTTTCCTTTTCTTTTAAAAATTTTCCCTCTGAAAGAATGTGTATTAATTTAACACAAATTTGAGGAAGAAATTTACTATACAGGGGTGAGGGGGGTGGGGAAAGTGAATAAGATGGCTTCTTTTCTCATCTCAAAACAACAACAAAACAAACTCCCGATCCAGTAAGGGAGAAAAGAAATGTTCACAAAGCACCACAATTAATATTCTAAAAGCTGTATAAGCACGAGTAATGATAAATAGGGTGGATTGGTGGAAACTGTGTGCTTTTAAGTCTGACAGGCAAAGATTTCATTCAAAACGTTCTCTGAGCCTCAGGTTCAGTATCTGCTAAGAACAATAATACCTGCCTTGCAGGATTGTTGAGAATTAAATGAGATAGTTGTAAAGCCCCTAATAGGGCTGTAGTTTGTTGCCTTTCTTTGTCTCTATGTCAAGGTTTTTCTCTGACCTTCCTCACAGAGGAGAAAATATGTTTGAGGAAGATGTTTCTCTTCCAGTGGGAGTTCAGAAAGAAAATTCCAGGTTAGGGAATCAGGGAATGCTTCACTGAACAGGTGCATTTGAATTGCATCTTAATGTTTGTGTAGGATTTTAAAATGAAGATTTAGAAGGAAGGACATTCTGCGTGGTGCATATGGCTTGCATGTAAAGACTTGGAGGCACCCTGGCTTCTTTTGGAGCCCTGAGTAATTCAGCTTGACAAGAATTATGATACATATAGGGAAAGAGTTGGATGAAGTTGGATTGGAATTTAGGGACATATCAAGAAAAGGCTTAAATGCCAGGCTGAAGAGTTTGGCCTTTTGGAGGAGGAAAGAGAGCAGTTGGATATCAACTCTAAAAAACAGAGATATGGGGCCAGGCGCGGTGGCTCATGCCTGTAATCCCAGCACTTTGGGAGGCCGAGGCGGGTGGATCACCTGAGGTCAGGGATTCCAGACTAGCCTGGCCAACATGGTGAAACTCTGTCTCTATTGAAAATACAAAAATTAGCTGGTCGTGGTGCCAGGCACCTGTAATCCCAGCTACTTGGGAGGCAGAGGCAGGAGGATCACTTGAACCTGGGAGGTGGAGGTTGCAGTGAGCTGAGAGAGTGCCACTGCACTCCAGCCTGGGCAATGAGAGAGAAACTCTGTCACAAACAAACAAACAAAACAAAGAAAACAGAGATATGGGATTTTAAAAGAACATTCTTTCCCTTGCTTTTGGGATGAGGCTGGGAATAAACTTACTCCTGAGCAGGCATTTATAACATATATTTAACTTTCATATATATATTTATATATATTTCCCTTTTAGTTGCAGAGAGCATCTTTCAACTGAATCTAGCATGGGCTGGCACTACAGGGCTCCCAGGAACCAGACTTTACTACCTACATACAGCTCATATGCCAACATGTTGCCTTTCTCCAGCAAAGATGTTCGGTTCTAGGAAATCAGGAATGTCAGAGGTGACTCTAATAAAAACAGCAGGCTGTTTTGCCTCCACATGCGCGTTTCAACTTGAAACTAATCAGCTACTTTGTCCCTTGGCAGGTGTAACTATAGTTATAGATCCTTACTGTGATACAATGTTCCTTACACTAACACACCATAAATTACCATTCTTTTTCATCATATCAGATGAGATCAGGTTAAAATGACATTTCGAGTAAGGAAAAAAATAACAGAAAATGCCCCTTAAGTTGTTCTGCCGTGAGGGGGGAGCTTCCTATTCATGTGGTTTGGGGATGAATTTCAAAATCCCATTTGTGCTTATTCTGCTCTGCACTTTATTTATTCTGGAGACAAAGGAGAATGAAATTCTTGGAAAAAACTTTTTGAAATCCCACTATGGGTAGCTGGTGGATCACAGTGCTAGAAATACCAACGAAAGTAATATGTTGATTCATAATGATTTATTCTCTGTAGTTTTGGGGCCTATTCTTAAACCCCAAGAAAGGAAAAGAAGTTAGTTATAAGTAGGAGGAATTCCCATACTCATTACTCATTACTTCTGCCCACAGCGTTCAGCTGTATTTATCAGGACAACTTTGCTAGGTGAAGCCACGCACAGCTTTGGAGGCAATTAAGGGAGGAGACCAGGTAAAAATAAAGCTTTAAAAAGAAACACCAAATATTGAATGCCTACTTTCAAACTATTAGGGTTTTCTTTTTGAAAAAATGTCCATGTTTTTGAAAAAAAGTATGTATCTGTGTTCATGAGTGTGTATTCCTCAAGGTAAATGAGTATCACTGTAGACGGATAGATTCTTACTTTATAACCCCTAGTGAATATTAGTCAGACAGGCTGTATTCAGTTGAAACAGTATGAACACAGTATTGTGGTTGGGGTTGATTTATAGGAAGGTAAAGGTGGTTGATGGGCTTGTAAGGTCCATTAATGTGTGAGACCTCTAGCTGGAAATCAGGAGATATTTAGAATGGAGAATATTGTGATTCCGTTGGCAGGCGACAATATTTAAGTGTTGTTACAGTTTACAAAATCCTTTCATTTATATTATCTTAACAGCTGTACCCCTTATTGTAGCACACTCAGGCAGAAAAAAATACGTTAAGATTCCTTGCAAAGAACCCTGCTAACCTGATGGCCCACTTGGGTCCCAGACCAATCTTTAACAATAGCTGAAGGAGTCCTCTAACTTTGAAAAAGAGTAAAAGGGTTTGTTGAGACTGGCAGAACCCATCCTCTGGAGTGCATAATTTAGAGTTTACCAGTTAATTTAAAATTAAGTTCATGTACCAAAAATGACAATTGAGATAAAGTGCCTATGGGATCAACTCCAATCCCTCTTCACCAGAGAACTGGTAAAACCCTGAGCAGCTTGAGCTCCGGCCAGATTCTTCCCTTTCATCGACTTGTCTCTGCACCAGTTGCTGATCCTTTCTGTCTACTATTATGTCCTTCATCCCAAGTAAATCACTCACTTTGGGGAGGGAAGATACAAACAAGGATTATAGAGAACTCAGATTTTCTGACAGAAATTACTCAAAGTTCAGACCAAGTTCAGGGTCTTCATGGATATATAATTAGGGTTCTAGTGCCTGCTCTTTCTAATTGACAGGAACATTGCTTTATGCAAGGCTACAAGGAAATTCATGGACTCTGTTAATCAGAAATCTGGCAATCCAGGCTTCACCTCCTCTTTCCCCACCGACTTGATTGAAACTATTTTTCAACTGGCCTCCATTGTACTCCAAATCACCAAAAGCTAGGGGAACGAACTTTGTGGGAATATTAACAAGCTGGTCTGTCTAAAGCCGTAGCATTCTGCAACATTATTTCTACTAGCCTAATCCTGAGAACGTCCAGAAAATACAATAATCCTATTTTGTTTCCCTACAAAAATAGTCTATGTGTGCTAGGCGCATGGTTCACACTAGGAGGTAACTGAATTCTGCTGCAGTCCATCAACTGAAAAGCCTGCGCCTGCTACTGTCCACAGTGAATTTTGTTTGAATTGAGAGAGACTCTGCCCGGGTTGGCACTTGACATTAAATAAAAATTTTAACAATTGTCTTGAGCTTTATGAGTTTAAGGAACTTGTTTTAATAATCTGATTTTTAGCAGAGGAGAGCGTTAGATCATCTAGTCTTAGGTGTTTTTGAAATGTAAAAGTGCAGAGACAAATCTTATTTGTTTTTGAGAGTTAAATGCATTATTGAGAACATGAATGTTTCCGGACTCCAGTGGGTTTACTTTCTTTCTTGGGCAATAGACTAATCCTCCAACTCCACTAACTATTTGCTAGAGAAAAACTAACTTCACTTCTGTCAATAGAGTTCTTGGACAAATTTGATTTTCTCTTGATGAAAATTAATATTCGGCCGGGCATGGCGGCTCACACCTGTAAACCCAGCATATTGGGAGGCTTAGGTCAGTGGATCGCTTGAAGCCAGGAGTTTGAGACCAGCCTGGACAACATGGTGAAACCTCATCTCTACTAAAAATACAAAAATTAGCCGGGTGTGGTGGTGGGCGCCTGTAGTCCCAGCTACTTGGGAGGCTGAGGTATAAGAATTGCTGGAACCCAGGAAGCGGAGGTTGCAGTGAGCCGAGATTGTGCCCCTGTACTCCAGCCTGTGCAATAGAGCAAGACTCTGTCTCAAAAAAAAAAATTATTTCTGTTTGTGCCTCCTTTTCTCTGTGAAGACAGAGTAGAGTCTCATATTCTGTCACCGAGCTCATGATTAGGCTACCTTTGTCCACAAAGAACCTGGAAACTCCGGGTGGGCTTGGGCTGAACTTTGAGTACTATGATACCACTGATGGGTTTAGAGTAGGTATTTCCAAGGTCTTGTATCTAGTGGGTAAGATATTTTTAAAATTGTCGTGGATACATAATAGGTGTATGTATTTATGAGGTACATGAGATTTTGATGCAGGTATATAATGCATAATAATCACATCAGGGTAAATAGGGTATCCATCACCTCAAACATTTATCCTTTCTTTGTGTTATAAACAATCCAGTTATACTCTTTTAGTTGTTTTAAATTATACAATAAATTATTATTGACTGTACTCACCCTGTTGAGCTATGAAATAGTAGATCTTATTCACTGTATCTAACTATATTTTTGTACCCATTAGCCATCCCCACGACCCCAGCCACCCCTGCCCTCCCCTACTACCCTTCCCAGTTTCTGGTAACCATCATTCTACTCTCTATCTCCATGTGTTCAATTGTTATCATTTTTTTTTTAGCTCCCCAAAATAAGTGAGAATATATGAAGTTTGTCTTTCTGTTCCTGGCTTATTTCACTTAGCATAATGATCTCCAGTTCTATGCATGTTGTTGTAAATGACAGGATCTCATTCTTTTTAATGGCTGAATAGTTCTCCATTGTTTATATGTACCACAAATGTTTGCCATTTGTATGTCTTCTTTTGACAAATGTCTATTCAGATGTTTTGCCCATTTTTAAATCAGATTATTAGATTATTTTTCCTATAGTTTTTTTGAGCTACTTATGTATTCTGGTTATTAATCCCTTATCAGATGGATAGCTTGAAAATATTTCCTCTCATTCTGTGGATTGTTTCTTCACGTTGTTGGTTGTTTCCCATGGTGTGCAGAAGCTTTTTAACGTGATGGATTCCATTTGTCCATTTTTGCTTTGATTGCTTAAGCTTTTGGGCTATTACTCAAGAAATCTTTGCCCAGACCAATGTCCTGGAGTTTCCTTAACATTTTCTTGTAGTAGTTTCATAGTTTGGGGTCTTAGATTTAAGTCTTTAATCCATTTTGATTTGATTTTTGTATGTAGTGAGAGATAGGGTTCCAATTTCATTCTTCTGCATATGGATATATCCAGTTTTTTTAGCACCATTTATTTGAGACTGCCCTTTCCCCAGTGTATGTTCTTGGCTCCTTGGACAAAAACGAGTTTACTATATATGTATGGATTTATTTCTGCATTCTCTATTCTGTTCCATTGGTCGGTGTGCCTGTTTTTATGACAGTACCATGCTATTTTTGTTGCTATAGCTCTGTAGTATAATTTGAAGTCAGGTAATTTGATTCCTCCATTTTTTTCCCCCTCAGGATAGCTTTGTCTATTTGGGGTCTACTGTAGTTCAGTATAAATTTTAGGATTATTTTTTCTATTTCTGTGAAGAACATCATTGGTATTTTGATAGACGTTATGTTGAATCTGTAGATTGCTTTGGGTAGTATGGACATTTTAACAATATTGATTTTTTCCAATCCATGAACATGGAATGTCTTTCCATTTTTTGGTGTCTGCTTCAGTTTCTTGCATCAGTGTTTTATAGTTTTCATTGTGGAAATCTTTCACTTCTTTGGTTAAGTTTATTTCTATGCATTTAATTTTATTTGTAGCTATCATAAATGGGATTACTTTCTTGATTTCTTTTTCAGATTGTTCATTGTTGGCATATAGAAATGCTGCAAATTTTTGTTTGTTGATTTTGTATCCTGCAACTTTACTGAATTTGTTTATCAGTTCTAATAGTTTTCTGATGGAGTCTTTAGGTTTTTACAAATGTAAAATCATATCATCTGCAAACAAGGATAATTTGACGTCTTTCTTTCCAATGTAGATACCCTCTATTTCCTTCTCTTGTTTCATTGCTCTAGGTAGGACTTCCAGTACTACGTCGAATAACAGTGGGACTAGCTGTGGGTCTGTTGCATATGGCCTTTATTGTATTGAGGTATGCTCCTTCTATACCCAGTTTTTTGAGGGTTTTTATCATGAAGGGATGTTGAATTTTATCAAATGCTTTTTCAGCAGCAATTGAAATGATCACACATTTTTTGGCCTTCATTCTGTTGATATGATGCAGCACATTGATTGATTTGCATATGCTGAACCATCCTTGCATCCCTGGGATAAATCCCACTTGGTCATGATGGATGATTTTTTAAATGTGTTGTTGAATTTGGTTAGTATTTTATTGAGGATTTCTGCATCAATGTTCAGCAGGGATATTGGGCTGTAGTTGTCTTTTATTCATGTGTCTTTGTCTAAGTTTGGTATCCAGGTAATACTGGCCTCAGGCCGGGTGCAGTGGCTCACGCCTGTAATCCCAGGATTTGGGAGGCCGAGGCAGGTGTATCTGAGGTCAGGAGTTCGAGACCAGCCTGACCAACATGGAGAAACCCTGTCTCTACTAAAAATACAAAATTAGCCAGTCATGGTGGCACATGTCTGTAATCTCAGCTATTCGGGAGGCTGAGGCAGGAGAATTGCTTGAACCTGAGAGGCAGAGGTTGTGGTGAGCCAAGATCACGCCATTGCACTCCAGCCTGGGCAACAAGAGTGAAACTTCATCTCAAAAAAAAAAAAAAAATACTGGCCTTGTAGAGTGAATTTGGAAATATTCCCTTCTCCTCTATTTTTTGGAATAGTTTGAGTAGGATTGGTATTAGTTCTTCTTTAAATGTTTGGTAAAATTCAGCAGTGAAGGCATTGGGTTCATGGCTTTTCTTTGCTGGGAGACTTCTTATTATGGCTTTGCTCTTATTACTTGTTACTGATCTGCTCAAGTTTTGGATTTCTTCATGGTTCAATCTTGGTAGGTTTTATATGACTAGGAATTTATCCATTTCTTCTAGATTTTCCAATTTATTGGCATATAGTTGCTCAAATCAGCCTCTAATAATCCTTTGAATTGCTGTGGTATTGGTTGTAATGTCTTCTTTTTTATCTCTGATTTTATTTATTTTGATCTTCCCTCTTTTTTTCTTACTTAATTGGGCTCAAGTTTTGTTGATTTTATCTTTTCAAAAAGACCAACTCTGTTTCATTGATCTTTTGCATTTGTTTTGATTCAATTTCATTTATTTCTACTCTGGTTTTTATTATTTCTTTTCCTTGAAGAATTTTGGGTTTGATTTTTTCTTGCTCTTATAGTTCTTTAAGATGCATCATTAGCTTGTTTATTTGAAGTTTTTCTACTTCCTTTTGCAGGTGTTTATAGCTACAAACTTTCCTCTTAGCCTTGGCTGTATTCCATAGGCTTTGATATGTTGTGTTTTCATTATCATTCGTTTAAAGAAATTTTTCAATTCCTTCTTAATTTCTTCATTGACCCACTGGTCTTTCAGGAGCATATTGTTTAATTTCCATGTGTTTGTGTAGTTTCCAAAATTCCTCTTATTGATTTCTGGTTTTATTCCACTGTGGTCAGAGAAGATACTTGATATGATTTCAATTTTTTTGAATGTTTAAAGACTTGTTTTGTGACCTAACATATGGTCTATCCTTGAGAATGATCCATGTGCTGAGAAGAAAAATGTGTATTCTACAACCATTGGATAAAATGTTCTGCAAATATCTATTAGGTCCATTTGGCCTATAGTGCAGATTAAATTCTTTGTTGATTTTGTGTCTGAATGAACTGTCCAATGCTGCAAGTGGGGTGTTGAAGACTCCAGCTATTATTATATTGGAATTTCTCTTTAGCTCTAATAATATGTGCTTTATATATCATGTTATTAATGATAAGTAAGGACTTATTCTTGCTATTTTGTTATTTGTCTTCTGCTTCTTCTGTGGGCTTCTTTTCCTTCTTTCCTTCCTTCCTGTCTTCCTTTTATTGAAGGTGATTTTCTCTGGTGGTATGTTTTAATTTCTTGCTTTTTATTTTTTGTGTATGTTATGGACTTTTTTTATTTGAGGTTACCATGAGGCTTGCAAATAACATCTTATAACCCATTATTTTAAACTGATGGCAAGGTAACACTGATTGTATAAACAAACAAGCAAGCAAAGAGAAAACTAATAAAAACTCTACACTTAATCTCCCATCTTTTTAACTTATTGTTATTTCTATTTATGTATTATATTGCCAATGTCTTTAAAAGTTGTTCTAGTTATTATTTTTGATAGGTTCATTTCTTAGTCTTTCTATTCAAGATATGAATAATTTACATACCACAGTTACAGTGTTATAATAGTCTGTGTTTTATTTGTACTTACCATTACCAGTGAATTTTGTACCTTCAGATGATTTCTTATTGCTCATTAACATCCTTTTCTTTTAGTTTAAAGAACTCCCTTTAACATTTCTAGTAGGACAGGTCTGGTGTTGATGAAATCCCTCAGCTTTTGTTTGTCTGGGAAAGTCTTTATTTTGCCTTCATGTTTGTGAAGGATACTCTCTCTGGATATACTATTCTAGGATAAAAGTTTTTTTCCTTCAGCGTTTAAAATATGTCATACCTCCCTGTCCTAGCCTGTATGGTTTCCACTGAAAAGACTGCTGCTAGATGTATTGAAGCTCCTTTGTATGTTATTTGTTTGTTTTCTCTTGCTGCTCTTAGGATCCTTTCTTATCCTTGACCTTTGGAAGTTTGATTATTAAATGTCTTCAGGTGGTCTTATTTGGGTTAAATCTGTTTGGTATTCTCTAACCTTCTTGTACTTGAATATTGATATGTTTCTCTAGGTTTGGGAAGTTCTCTATTATTATCCCTTTGAATAAAATTTCTACCCCAATTTCTCTCATTTCTCTCTTTACTTCCTCTGTAAGGCAATAACTCTTAGATTTGCCTTTTTGAGTCTATTTTCTAGATCTTATAGGCATGCTTTATTCTTTCTTATTCTTTTTTTCCTTTGTCTTCTTTGACTGTGTATTTTCAAATCACCTGTCTTCAAACTCACTAATTCCTCCTTCTGCTTAATCTATTATGCTGTTAAGAGATTCTGATGCATTCTTCAATATGTCAATTGCATTTTTTAGCTCCAGAATTTCTGTTTGATTCTTTTCAATTATTTATATCTCTTTGTTAAATGTATCTGATAGGATTCTGACTTCCTTCTCTATGTTATCTTGGATTTCATTGAACTTCCTTAAAACAGCTATTTTGAATTCTCTGTCTGAAAGGTCACATATGTACCTCTGTCTTTCCAGGATTGACCACTAGTGCTTTATTTAGTTTGTTTGATGAGATCATGTTTTCCTGCATAGTCCTGATGCTTGTGGGTATTTGTTGGTGCCTAGGCATTGAAGAGTTAGGTATTTATTGTAGTTTTCACAGTCTGGGCTTGTTTGTACCTGTTCTTCTTGGGAAGGCCAGATATTCCAAGAGACTTGGGTGTTGTGATCTAAGTTTTTGGTCACTGAAGCTGTATTTGCTTTAGGGGGCAACCAAAACCCAGTAATGCTGTGACTCTTGCAGACTCATAGAGGTACTGTCTTGGTTGTCTTGGGTAATATCAGGGAGAATTCCCTGGATTACCAGGCAGAGACTCTTGTTCTGTTCCTTTACTTTCCCCCAACAGAGTCTCTCTCTCTTTCTGTGCTGAGCTGCCTGGAGCTGAGGGTGGGGTGACACAAGAACCCTTGTGGCCACCACCACTGGGACTGCATTGGGTCAGGCCTGAAGCCAGCACAGCACTGGCTCTCACCCAAGGCCCACAGTGACTACTGCCTGGCTACTGCCAATGTTCACTCAAGGCCCTAGGGCTCTACAATCAGCAGGTGGCAAATGCAGCCAGCCTTGTGTTTTTCCCTTCAGGGTAATGAGTTCCCCTCACCCCCAGGTGGGTCTGTAGATGCCATCCAGGAGCCAGGGCCTGGAGTTGGGAACCTTTGGAATCAACCTGCTACTCTATTCTACTACAGCTGAACTGGCATCCAAGCTGGATGACTAAGTTATTCCCACTCTTCCATCCTCTTTCCTAAAGCAGAAGAGTCTCTCCCCATACCCATCACTAACCCAGGCCCACAGTAAATACTGCCTGGCTACCACCAATGTCCACTCAAGGCCCAAGGCTCTTCAGTAAGCTTGTGGTGAATGCTGCCAGTCTTGAGTTTCTCCTTTAAGGGCAGTGGGCTCCCCTTTGGCTCAGGGCAGGTCCAGAAATGCCATCCAGGGGCCAAGGCCTGGATTCGAGGACCCCAGGAGCCCACTTGCTCCTCTACCCCACTGCAGCTGAGCTGGAACCCAAGCTATAAGACAAAGGCCCCTTGACCCTTCCCTCTTCTTTATTCAAGATGAAGGGTTCTTTCTCCATGGCCACCACAGCTGAGAATGTGCTGGGTCATACCTGAAGCCAGCATAGCTCTGAGTCCCACCCAAGGCCCATGGCAAGTACTCCTGGCTACCACTGGTCATTATTCAGGGCCCAAAGACTTTTTGGTCAGCAGGTAGTGAATTCTGCCAGGACTGAGTTGTTTCCTTCAAGGCAGTGGGCTTGCTTCTGGCCCAGGGCATGTTTGGAAATGTCATCTGAGAGCTAGGGCCTGGAATGAAGGAAGGCCTCATGACTCTGCCTGGTGCTCTATTCTTCTGTGGCTGAGCTGGTATCCAAGTTGCAAGGCAAAGTCCTCTTCACTCTCTCCTCTCCTCAAGCAGAGGGAAGGAGTCTTTTTTGGAGCTGCAAGCTGTGCTGGCTGGGACTGGGGAAGGGGCGACACAAACACTCTTTTGCCTCACTAGGCTGATGTCTCACTATAGCACCAGGACTTGCCCTGGAATTTCAGTCCTTGTGGACTTGACTGCCTTTCAAGTTTATTTAGAACCCCAGAGCACTTTAGCTCATGGTGGCAGGACTTGCCAGAACTCAGTTTCTGACTGGTGGGATGAGTAATCCCCCTCTGGTGAGGGCTGGTCTGTATGCTCTCTCCATGGTTGCTGGCTGAGCTCTGCCCCGTGTTTCTTTCCGCTGTGATGGGGCAGAACTGAGTTCCAATCCAAAGACCCACAATCACTGTGCTCTCCCTCCCTCAACCACGCAGATTGTCTGCACAATGCCGCTGCTGCTGGGGGCTGGGGAGGGGTGGTGTAGGCAATTCAAGACTGCCTTACCTACCCTTTCCTTCATATGATATTGAAACCAGGTACTGTGATCACTCACCTGAAATTTGGTTCTTATAAAGGTGCTTTTTTTGTGTGTGGAAAGTTGTTTAATTTGGCGTTCCTGCAGGGGAGCTGATTGCTGGAGGTTTCTATTTGGCCATCTTGCTCTGCTTCCCTTCAGTGGGTAAGATTTTTGAAGATGGACTTTTATAAGCATGTAAAGGTGCACTGAACAAAAACAAAATGCCACTTTTTGCTTTAATTTTCCCCCCTACTCTTCCCCCCCTATTCTTTGGCACAGGGTAAAAAAAATGGTTGAACAGAGTAGTTTTTTTAAAAAAAGGCAGAAGAAAGAAAAATAACCCTGTAAAATTGAAGTTTGCATTGTATTCACATTTTTCTTTTCTTTTTTGCTGAAATAGATATTGATGTTGCTTATACTTACTCAAGTTTGGGACTCCAAAAATTTCAGGGGAAAGTTGTTTAATTTCATTTATGGGCTGAGGTTTTTGTTTTTATTTTTGAAAGACACCAGGATTGAAGGAGCTTTGAATTCATGCACAAGCAAAAACCAATCATGCTGAACAATTACCTGTAAATAGATTTTACTTGACTCACAGTAGGCTAACAATTGTTTACCAAAGGCTTGCCCATTAGGATATTTGGGGGTTGTTGGCAGGACTAACACCAGGCAAAATTGCCAGGTAGGACGTGCTTTCTAGGGAGGCAGTACTACATAGAAAAAAAGCAGGGGCTTTGGAAAGCAGCTGTTCAGGAAACCGAGTTTAGTTCTAGCCCAGGCACTTGCCAGCTGTATGATCTTGACATATTTTTTATTACCTTCCATAAAAAGTGCCTTGCTATCACTTCACTCTGCCTTATTTTTCTTCATAGCACTTATCACCATCTGTTATACTATGCATTCATTTTAAGAATATGTGTTGTCTATCCCCTCCAAGTAGCCTGAGTTAGTTCCTCGAGAGCAAGGACTTTGCCTGTTTTCGTTTTTGCAGTATCTCCAGGAACTAGACTACTGCTGAGCATATCTAGCACATGCTCAGTAAATATTTGTTGAGTGAATGAATGTCAATTGGGAGTAATAACCCTGCCTTACTGGAGTGGTAGGTTAAATACAGCATACATGTGAAACAACTAGCCGAGTGGACAGTACACAGAAAGGGCTCATTAAATATTTGTTCCTTTTACTACTTCTCCCAAGTTTCACCCCGTCTCTGTATTCCCCTTGTTTTGAAAATCTCTAACTTTTAGGCATTCCGTATTCAGGTGGCCCCTTCAAAACCTTTTCTCATAAAGTACAATTGTCCCTTGGTATTTGTGAGGAACTGGTTCCAGGACACCCCATGAATACTCAAATCCATGGAGACTCAACTCCCTTTTATAAAATGGCATAGTATTTGCCTGTAATCTATCATCCAGTATACTATAAATCATCTCTAGATTACTTATAAAACCTAATACAATGCCTATACATCACTTCATTTGCATGGATTAAATGTGGTATGTGGTGCAGGCAAATTCAAGTTTTGCTTTCTCGAATTTTGCTCTATTTTCCGCCCCCGAATATTCTTGGCCTGAGGTTGGTTGAATCCGCGGAATCCGCGAATGCAGAACCCATGATCACAGACATCCAACTGTATTTGATAGAAGTCCTAAACCCTAGGGTGAATTTAATCAAGAGATGACCGCTCTTGGAAACATGCACTTATAAGCCTTATTTTTAATTGTGGAATAAAAGGAACTGATCCTCCTTAAAGGAATTTAAGATATTAGTCAAGCAGATGGGAGAGGGGCAGTGGAAAGATGGAAATGCTAGGTGCCCCTGAAATCATAGTATATTGCTGATTTTCTACACTGCCTGTGAGGATGGCTGGCCCTGTGCAAGTCTCAGAATTCTTGGCTGGTCTCAGCGTCCTTGGTGAGATCAGATGGGGGTGCCTGCTGCTGAGGTCGATTAAGAACCCCTGGAAGAAGCACTTGACTGTGAACCAGGAGACGAGTTCTAATCTGAAGTTTTCCACCAATTAGCCTTGAAATATTCAAGTAATGTATTTCATTTGACAAAACATGTGTCTGGAAGTAAAATAACAGTGATAATCTTCAAGGCCTTCAGCTAAGACACGACAGCACAACACTGTGTTTTATGTATTTCCATTGGATTTTATGGTTTAATTATGACTTGACCCAAACTAAACCGTGGACTGCTGCTGATAAATAGAATGATGTTTTTGTGTTATTTTTTCAGAGGCGGGGTCTCACTGTGTCACTCGAGCTGCAGTGTAGTGGCGTGATTATAGCCCTCTGCAGCCTCCAGCTCCTGGGTTCAAGTGATCCTACTAACTCAGCCTCCTGAGTAGCTAGGACTACAAGCATGTGCCACCATGCTTGGCTAATTTTTAAATTTTTTGTAGAGACAATGTCTTGTTATGTTGCCCGGGCTGGTCTTGAACTCCTCAAGGGATCCTCCCACCTCTGCTTCCCAAAGTGTTGGGATTACAGGTGTGAGCCACTGCACCCAGCACTTACTGTTTTTAATAACTTTTCTTGGTGTGATGATAATAGTAATAATAATAATATAGGTTTAATAGGAGAAATTTGAATATGAAGAAAGACAAAGAAAATAAAAATCACTTGTAATCTTACTATCAAATATATTCATTATAAACATTTTGGTATATTTCATTCTTTGTTCCTTCTATCTCTAGTCTATCTCTATTTCTAACCTATATTTGTATATATCATCCTGTATAAAAAATAATGTGTTCGTTTTTCAATTAACATGAATATTTTCTATATAGTAACTGTTCTTCAAAATCATGACTTTATGGAGGGTGTAATATATGTTTATACCATAATTTATATGACCATCTCAATTGCCATATAGTCAGCTTGCTTTGTGTTTTCATTGTTATAAATTGCGTCAATCTGGAATTCTTGATTTGTCACCAAACATGTTCCCCTTTTAGGCCTCCCTATCTCAGCAAATGACATCACCATTTATTCCATCACTCAAATCAGAAATACAGAAGTCATCCTTTCCCTTATTTAAAATCCACTTCCTGTCCATCTCCCAACATTGCTAGTTCTAGTTCCAAAATGGACCTTCCGCCTGCCCCTCCTCCTCATCCCCACTGCCCTGCTCTGGACTTGCACTTGCTCCACTGCAGCCATTGCCAAACAGCTACCTCTGCAGCTCCTCATGTGCCCTTGTGTCCATTTTCCACATGATCTTTTAAACCCATGTGTTGCATCATGTCATTCCCTGCTTTGGATCCTTCAGTGGCTTCTTAACCGCACTTGCATAAAATTCAAAGTCCTCTAAGCCCTCTAGACCCTACATGATCTGGCTCCTGGCCCCCTTTCCAATCTGATGATAAGTCATTCTGTTACTTGCTTACTGTTTCCTGGTCATGTCAGCCTTTGGCCATTTCCCAGAGGATGCCATGGGCTGTGCTGCATTCTTCAAGGACGTTGCACTTGCTGCTTCTCTCTCTTGCGGACCCTCCCCCTTGCTCTTTCCGTGACTGGTGCCTTCTTATCCACCATGTCTCGGCTTTAATACTGTTCCCTCAGCTGGGCTCTCCAGATACATGTTGTCTCCAGTACTACCCTTTATCTCCACACAATGCTTATTTTCTTCATAGACCCATTTTGGCAACTGGTATTTATTTATTTATTTATTTATTTATTTATTTATTTATCATCTGTAGAAGTTGTACAAGGACAGGGACCACATCTGTTTTGTACACTTCTATAGCCCCAGCATATAACACAATGCCTGGAAAATGGCAGGCTCTAAATGAAATACTCTCACATGTATAAACCTCATTGATAAGCTCCAAACTGGAAATTAAAACATGATTTTTTGTCCAAAATAATAGAACATTAAAGGCTGACACTCCTAGTGTTGGAAGGAGGGGGCAGAGAAATGCACATTTTATCTTATTTTATTTTTTCAACTTTTATTTTGTTTTCAGGGGGTATATGTGCATGTTTGTTACATGGGTAAATTGCATGTTGTTGAGGTTTGGGATACGAATGATCCTATCCCCTGGGTAGCTAGTTTTTCAGCCCTCACCCTCCTTCCACCTTCCCTCCACTAGTAGTCTCTCATGTTTATTGTTTCCATCTTTATATCCCAGTGTACTCAATGTTTAGCTCCCACTTATAAGTGAGAATATGCAGTATTTGGTTCTCTGTTCCTGTGTTAATTTTCTTAGAATAATGGCCTCCAGCTGCATCCATGTTGCTGCAAAGGACATGATTTCTTTCTTTTTTTTATGGCTGCATAGTATTTCATGGTGTACCACATGTACCACATTTCATGGTGTACCACATGTACCACATTTTCTTTAGCCAATCCACCACTGATGGGCATCTTGGTTAATTCCATGTCTTTGCTTATTTATTATACAGCAGCTGCAAATTTCCAAAGCTTGTGTTCTACTACTTCCAGCAAACTTCTAGGCTACAGATAACCCATTGGTCTGTTCACTTGAAACTATAACTACAGATACCACCTCTACCTCCCTAATCTTACCCCCATCCTTCTGGTGGAGGAGGGGGGATATAGTCAAATAAGATCTATCAGATAAAAATGAAAACTCGTGGGATGAACTGACTACTTGAATTCCCTTCCTGCTTAGCATTTCATTCAAAATAGTTATATATAGTTATAGATGTGTGAGTTCACTGGCTGAGACCCAGACTGGGGAGGTAAAATTTTTACTAACAAGGTTTTATTAAATCTATGAGATAATTGCAAGACCCAGGATGTTTTGAACCTAATGGGACGTCAGTGCAATTGAACTCCCAAACAGCTGTCATTCATTTTGGGGTAAAATTTGTGAATTAATCCCTTGATGTCTTTTTTTTCCACTTCTTTTCCTTTTGGTCTGTAGGAAGTGTGCCTCAGCTAAAGGTTAAACTTTTAAAACTGTTCAGGAGGCAAATCCTTTCAAAGCTTTGTGTGGAAAATATTCTTTTAATTCAAATTTGGTGAGAGTTGCCAGGGTAGCAAATTAAAGATTTATTGTCTGGGAATTTTTGGATCACAACCTAACATAGGTCTGGTTGCTTTATTCTAAAATGTTTGGAGGTTTTCCAGCCACTGAGCTTTCTACTCGGGCCAGGTATTGGAAGCATAGCCAATGCATTGATTGATTAATCAAAGCAATGCATGTTGTGAATTCTGTTTCTGTGACAGATATTTATAAAAAGATGTTGATGTAGCTATTTTTTTTTGCCAGATTATTGCATGTTGGCAATATTTTTGTACCATGATAACCACAAAAATATACCCTCTAGTTAGGCAGATAAAGTTTGGAGGATTAATACAGTTTTGCAGGAGTGTTAACTCATCAAGCAGTGGCATGTCCAGGATTACACACAGAAACAAAGATGCGGTTCCGGGTGACTGTGCCTTGTAGCTGCTCAACCCAGATCAAATGAAATAAAGTGAAAAGGTATTTTAAACTTCAGAAACTTCAGTACAAATGGAATGTTACTGATGTGAACTCCCACAAGGTACCAAAATAGATGCACTTTTACTCTGTTTTGAAATTAATTCCAAGTCCAGGGAGCAGAATACATAATGTCTGTAATAATTTCAGAGTGAATCCCAGGGAAATTAAACATTAAATCTGGCTGAGATTTCACATTATAGGAATTATCGAATGTGTGCCATTAGCAAACATCGTTCAGCAACTTACTGTATCCGAAGCTGTGAGGTTTAAACAAATACTCCAGTGTAACATTTTACTTGTTAGGAGGCGTGACCAAACAATCAAATTACCAAGAATAAAATGAGAGTTCTAAACAGCCTGGTGTTGTAAATAAAACTAGTCTTAGCTCTGCACCAGGCATTGCTCTCTTTGGGTACCTTTGAATCCAAAAGCCAAGGGAAAAGTGTATAAAGTAAGTTTATTTCAGTGGAGAAAAAGATGGTTCTTTTTTAACCGTATTTCCCTTCTTTCCTCCCATTGCTACTACTGCTGGCTTTCTCTCAGGTGTCCTTCTATTCATTCTCTCTTTCTCTCTCTCTCTGTTTCTCTTTACAAATAGTTTATCTTTCCCCAAAACCTTATTACAGAACAGAAAAGACTGGTATCTTGCTGGCTGAGGTGAATATTTACTTGTAAATTGCTTTTATGAACTTAGATGACTGATAGCTTGCACTTTTTTGCTTACACTGAATGAACTAATCTGGTTTGGTTCCCCTCATTTTAACACGTGTGTCTCCACACACTGGTAGAGGACCTGTCTTGTGCATACGGTCCCCCTATGTGTGGCATCTCTGGCAAAATCCCCAGGCTGAGCCATCCCCAGAGGCCACCTGCAATCCACGGGATTCTGTTTCCACACTGAGCTTTTACCCGTCATGAAGAAAGACTCCAGAAGTGCATTGGTGGTGAATGAGTACCTTCCAGCTTCCACGGCATTTCTAAGGGTCAGTAATTCATGACCTTCAATAGAACTTCTTGCATGGCTCCCAGGAGCTATGTGGCTAGCATAAGACTTAGAATAATAATAATAAAAAAAATTCCAGACCCTGGTAGCATCTGGTCTCATCACCAGACATGCCCTGTTTATGTGGAGCCAGTTGCTCAGGTGGTGAGCACACGGAGAGACGCAGGGGTTAGTTCCAGGGTCTGCCAGCACCCCTCCCTATGACAGCTGGTGGGAGAAGCATGCTGTTGATCTTATGGGGGGTCAGGGCACTGAGTATGGATGTGGATGGACCCCAGGAGTTGGTCACTGCTCCTGAAAAAGAACACAAAACTGGCCAAAGCTTATGGCTGGCTAATACATAAATAAATAAATAAATAAATATGTTGAGTGTTTTCTGAATGAACCAAAAATCAGTCCATGTTGTCTGATGAAAATTTTTTTGTTGTGTTTTTAATAAATGACCTTTCTAGTGACAGGCAATTGGAGCTGTTGCCGAAATCTGGGCTGTGTGGTTGATGTGCACAAGAAGGCCAGCAGTTGTTTGCCAGCTCTTCCCTCTAGGGCTGTAGTTCTCTTTGTGCGGTGTATGAAGGGATACTTTCCCATTTTAAAGCCCCTGAGTCTTTAATGCACACAGGTATATTGTAACTTGCAGTCTGACAGCAAAATAAAAGTCACGATGTACAGCGCACTACTTCAGTATATTTTTTCCATGTATGACAATGTGGAGATGGAAACTCTTTTAAACTAAGCAGAGAGCACCCAGGAGCTAAATCCAAAGCACATAAAACAAAAATCCCAATTTAACAAGTGGAAGGAAATATCACACTCTAGCTATACTATACATAATATTAAGAATTTTATTTTCTGCTTTTTCAAGAAAACCTCCCTGCACTTTAACCCCCTGTGACTTGCACAGCCAACAAAAAGGCCTTTGCCCCCAACTGAAATCCCCCTTTCCCTGATGCAAACTGAGCTGCGCACCTGGGGTGACAACCTGCCATCCCCGCCCGCTCAGTAATCATCAGCCAGTCTTTCCTTTTCCTGGGGACTGGAATGTTTTCTCAGCTGCTGTCATTCCTCTCTGGGTTCTAGCAAGAGGAGGGCGTGTGCAATGTTGGGAAAGGGCTTTGGGAAAATAAACTATCTCAGTCGCCTGAAGGAGTAAGTTAGTTGGAAATAATGACACCACTTGGAGATAAAATTCAACAGCATCTTTTCCTTTTCATTGAACACATCGCTGGGTTAGTTTCTGACTTCAGTGCATTACAGATTAATCTTTTCCCCCTGTTGTACTTCACCTTTAAGGAAGTGTCCACATCTGGACATGCTAACTGTTTTGCTGACAGTCCTCCAGGGCAGAACTCTCGAGTCACAGAGCAGCCTAATCAGCAGAAGGGGTGAGTGGCTGAAACTTCCAGGATGCTTTCTAAGAGCATTTAGCCAGATGGAAAGAATCATTGTTTGCTTAAATGCAAATGTCCCTTATATATCATTGGCACTTTTCCTATGAGATTTTCCTAGGAGAGTGGCTTGCTCAGGAACTCTCTATTCATGACTTTTCTTTGGGGATTTAAAGAGTTCAAATGGCCAATGTTCAGTGTCTGCCTCTCGGTACACTATAATGAGTCTTATTTCAGCTAGCTCTCTTTTCAGGTTTGGTTAATATTCATCCAATTTTTCTGTAGTAAGGATCAAGAGCTAAAGCTCTTCAGGGTGTGTCCCCTTATATCCAGATCAGAATTTTCCCTTTAAGGGCAAGTGAAGGCAAAGGCTTTGTTTGGACCCAAAGCAAAATGTGAGCTTTGGCCACTCGTCCTCCTGCTGTTTATAGCGTGGCCTCCTCCAAGTCCTTAGAGCCACAATTAACTTGGTCCTTTGCCATTTGTCTTAGTCCATTTGTGTTGCATAAAAAAAATCTGACGTATAAAGGAAAGAGATTTATTTGGCTCACAGTCCTGCAGGCTGTACAAGAAGCATGGCGCCAGTATCAGCTGCTGGTAAGGGCCTCAGGCTGCTTCCACTCACGGGGGAAAGTGAAGGGAAGTTGGTATGTCTGGAGATCACGTGGCAAGAGAGGAGGCAAGAGAGAAGAGGGAGATGGCAGGCTGCCAGGCTCCTTTGAGCAAGCAGCTCTTGTGTGAACCAATAGAGTGAGAACTCACTCATTACTGCGAGTATGGCACCAAGCCATTCATGAGGGATCTGCCACCATGACCCAGACACTTCCCAGCAGGCCCCACCTCCAACACTGGGGATCAAATTTCAGCAGGAGGTTTGGAGGGTCAAATATCCAAGCCATAGCACCATTTGTATATCTCATTGGGCCAAGTGACATTAGGGCTTAAGTAGCTCTTTTGTGGAAGTAAGTAAAAGCAACTACCTTTTCTTTATAGTTATCCTGCACTGATAACTAATCATTCTTTTTAAATTGGTAGAGGGCTCCCAACTTCAGCTATAAGACAATGCAAAAGGCATAACTTTAGCTACAGAAACTATCAAGTGTTCTGAAGAGCAGCTAGGAGAACCTGTTTAGGGTACATTTGGACATTTGCCATTTTTTGAATCATTACCTAGATTACCAGTTTTCAAATGAGTCTGGTCCCCAAGATATTTTCTCAGTGGAGGAATGGGAGGTATAAAAACCCTAGAGTTCACCTATTCCTTGGCCCCAGTTGACTCCAACAAAAATTAAGTGTCTTGGAAGTTAATGAGGAAACCAAGAATGATTTACATTAGACACTTGTAGTATAGATGGTTTATCAAAATAATATTTGTGTGCCTTGTTTGATAATGTGGAGTTTTCACTAGGAGACAGCTACAGCTTCTCTTTCATCCATGAGTGGCCATGTGACTGGTTCTTGCCAATAAAACATGAGTAAAGGGTATTTGTAGTCACATTCAGCTGAGGCTTTTAAGTAGGTAGGGTCTCTCATTTTCCTTTCCCCTGGATGGAAGCAGAGTCCTCTAATGCCCTAGGGGGTGGTGGCAACACAAGACAGAAGAAGCCTGGATCCCTGAATCACCATGTGGAGGAAATCACCCAAATGACCAGGAAAACTCTCATGGGATTGTTAGATGAATGAGAAATAAATTCTATTGTGTCAAGCCGCTAAAATTTTGGGGCTTATTTGTTGTGATAGTTAGCATGACCCTAATACACCAATAAGATGGTGTCTGATTTTTATATCAAATGAATTAATAATTCACTTGGAAAAAAAGCATAGATGTTTTGTTACTATGAACATTCATAGCACAAGATGGTGGAGAGCCCCCTAGAAGGCCATTGATATCACCAGAACTTAATCAAGAACAAAAGGTCCATCATTTTAATTTCCAAACTGATCTTACATGATCTTGCCATGAAAATGGATGTCTTCCTTATGATATACATCTGTATTTTAAAGTCGGAGAGCATCTGTGCATTTTCTCTGGTGCTTGTGTTGTTATAGAGGTAGATATTGTGAGTCCTGGTGTTGAATGCTTATGTGAACTAAGTACAGTATACCTCCTTATCCTTGGATATGCTCCAAGACCCCCAGTAGATGCCTGAAACCACAGATAGTACCGAATCTCATACACACGACATCTTTTCCTATACATACATACCTACGATAAAGTTTAATTTATAAATTAGGCATGGTAAGAGATTAACAACAACTAATAATAAAATGGAACAATTCTAACAGTATACTATAATAAATGTTCTGTGAATATGGCCTCTCTGTCACAAACTATCATATTGCACTGCATTTACCATTCTTCTTGTGCTGACATGAGAAGATAAAATTCCTATGTGCTGAGAGGAAGTGAATGATGTAGGCAGTGTGACGTCATGTCAGGCTACTGTTGGCCTTGAAGATAAGCACTGTGATACTACTGCAGTTCATCTGATAACTGAGATGGCTCCTAAGTGAGTAAGGGGCAGGTATACAGCTTGGAGACTCTGGATTAAGGGATGATTCATGTCCAGGCACGTAAATTATTTCTCTTGTTTTTCTTTTTTTGAGATGGAGTCTCATTCTGTCGCCCAGGCTGGAGTGCAGTGGCACGATCTCAGCTCACTGCAAGCTCCGCCTCCTGGGTTCATGCCATTCTCTGGCCTCAGCCTCCCGAGTAGCTGAGACTACAGGCGCCCGCCACCATGCCCAGCTAATTTTTTTATTTTTATTTTTATTTTTAGTAGAGATGGGGCTTCACCATGTTAGCCAGGATGGTCTTGATCTCCTGACCTCATGATCCGCCCGCCTTGGCCTCCCAAAGTGCTGGGATTACAGGTGTGAGCCACCGCACCCAGCCGTAAATTATTTCTTTGTGGAATTTCCTACTTAATATTTTCAGACGTTGTTGACTGCAGGGGACAGAAACTGTGGAGAGTGAAACCATAGATATTGGTGGACTATTGTATAGTGTGAGTTAACTTTCTAAATTGAGGCATTTGCTTTTGTCTTGTGAAGGAATGCTATAAATTCCAGTTAGTTTGAATCTTTTACTCCTTTCCAGCTTTAGCCAGCACCTCTGGAAGTACTACTCAGGGGACTTATACGAGTTTACTTTTGTAAGAAAAACCCCAACCTAGGTATAAGACAATAAAAATAATAGTTAAAATAAGTCACATGGTTTATTAATGGAAACCCATGCATAGTCACTGATGTGGTTGCAACAATAACTCTAATCTTCAGAAGCACAGATGTTAAACTGCTTTGCCTCTCCAGATGTGCTCACGCGGGGTCTGTCGAAATGGGGCAATATGTAGTCTAAAACACGCCGCCCTCTCAGAGAACAGAGAGGTACTTACTTAGTCCAGTTGTCCAATGTCTTTGTTTTTCCTCCAACAAAGATCAAAACAGAGCTCTTAATGTGTGTTTGGTTTAAATTTAATGGCATACAGTATTTGCTCCCATCGGCACTTCCTCTCACCTGTGGAGATAAACTGTTATTTTACTACAAACCCATATGGTTTCCATCTCTGTCTTGCCTGGCTTGATGCAGTATCTGTTTACTATGGAGTGGTCAGCAAGTCCTGCGAGCACTTCATGCAGCGTGGTAGTGTGCTGAATTTTATATTTGCTCTTTTCTGTTCAGCTTATGTTAGTCCCATCTTAAAATAAACACAAATTCATTGAAAAGTATTTTCCATCAGACTTAGCCTTAAATACCATCAAACTAGCTGAGACAGGAAAGCACCATGAAATTCTGTAATTGCTTGGCATATTGGTTCTTTCTTCACTTTTATGCCATTTTCCCAAATAAACTCTAATATGAAAAATGCATTTTTTCAAGGAAACCATTCTGATTTTTATACAAAATATATTGAGCACTCTCCTTTTTTTTTCTTTTTCTTTTTTGGTCTAAGAGGGATAATAATTCTTGTGGTACTTTTATGATATAAAGGGCTCAGATTCCCTTTTAAGAAAGAAAAGGCAGCAGAATCAAGATTCACTCATTTATCTAATTCAATTAATAAATGCTTTTAGAGCACACTGAAAGTGTCAAACATAATCTGAAGAGGCACTGTGCCTCTAGGAGTAGTTAAGACAGATATGGTACATAATATTATAGGACTTAGTGGGTAATAAGCACAAGTAATTTAAAATCTGATGAGTGTTACAAAAGGGGAAGTACAGGGATCTGGGGCTCGTAGGGTGTCAGTTGTTCCATTTTGAGGTGTCTTCCTCAGATAAGGAGAACCTAAGAATTCTATGAAATGAACATGCCAGTAGAGCCTGTTTATAGTGCACTGAGTTATCAATCAAGTGCGATATGTAGATTGAGTTGGCTTCCAAACATTACAGAATCTCAGATTGGGATAAAGATTATCTTTCCGACTCAGTGGATTACGGTGAAATATGCAACAAAAGTGGCACAAACAACAACAGCAACAACAATAATGATGTTTCATGAGGAAAAGTTTGCTAGGGTTTACTGCATTTTATTCTTTCCCAGGTATCCTTTCTTTTCGTCCTTCCCCCGCTTCCTTCTTCCTTCTCTTTTTCTTTTTGCATAAAGCAATAGTACTTAGAAATGAAATACTAAATTAATGATGCTCCCACCAGTTAGAACAAAACAAAAAGCAACACAAAGTGAAGGGGAAAATAACTCGCCCTTGCTTTCAGTGATCATTCTACACTGGACAACACAGATGGTGATTATTTGAGTGTGAAAATTGGGTTGTAAAATGAATATCTTCAAAACTGTCAGGAGTAAATGCCCTTTTGCAGGCAAACATGATACTGAAAGAATTCCAGCAGCTTGCTGCCCAAGGCCCTTCATTCCATGTAAATTGAGCTTAGAGGAAAATTTGTCTCTAAGAGAGAGTTTTTGATAGTGCCAAGGCACACTTGACTGAGAAGAAAAGGAGATTATGAGTTCTCGAGTATTTTGTAGTTTGTGGTTGAGAAACAGGCATCAGGCTCTGGGGTTTGAGGTGCAAAGAATCTGCTTACATATTTTGTGGAACATGCACAAAACAGGATTAATGGAACCAGGTAATAGCCAAACTGATCTCAGTTGAATAGCCAAGCTTATCTCATCTGTCTTCTCTTTCTGATTGAGATGGGGAAAGGTAGAAAACTAGGTAAGAAAAATGAATTCATCCCTGACTACTCAAAAATTCCATTTTTTAAAATTTAAAATTTTAATTTTTGATTTTTTTTGAGATGGAGTCTTGCTGTGTTGCCCAAGTTGGAATGCAGTGACATAATCTCGGCTCACTGCCACCTTTGCCTCCCAGGTTCAAGTGATTCTCGTGCCTCAGCCTTGTGAGTAGCTGGGATTACAGGTGCCCGCCACCATGTCTGGCTAATTTTTGTATTTTTAGTAGAGACGAGGTTTCACCATGTTGGCCAGGCAGGTCTCGAACTCCTGACCTCAAGCGATCTGTCCACCTCGGCCTCCCAAAGTGCTGGGATTACAGGCATGAGCCACCGTGCCCAGCCAACTATTCCCTTTTAAAACAGACACACAATCTGGTTATGAGACACAAGTTTTAAGAATGAATCAAAGGCACACAGCTCCTTCAGATATGCAAGGATGGAAGGGGATGCAAACAATGCAATTATACAGTTAAACACAGGGCATATTCTAAGCCAAGCCCTTATCTTCTGCAGTGTTCTGGAGAGAGCTTGGTACAATTTGAAGATGCCAAAAAGCACAGGATTACAAAGGGCTATCAGAAAAAAAAGTTTCAATCAAAATCCACAAGAGAAAAAGTAAGTTTCTTCCTTACCAAGAGTCCTTTTCTCCCTGGGAGGTGGGAGAGAATATTAGCATAAAGAAGCAAGAATTAAGTAGCGCTCTTCTCTTTTTGTTGATACCCCAGGGGTGGCTCACTTGTATTAGAGAATCTTTACAGTCCTTAGGGTTTCTGAACAGATGTTTTTCCTCCCTTAAATGGTGAAGTACCCCCACCTCTTGGCCAGGTGGAAGTGGATGAGTCTGGACCACTGGGATCAGTGCAGGGAAGAGCCCAGGGGAAATTTCCTGGGGACATAGAGCCACATTTCAGTTTTCTTCCCAGGGAAGAACAGATTGTCAGGACACTGGATCCAAATGAGTGGGACGTACTAAATTCTTAGCAAGTGCACATTAAAATCCAGGGTAGGAGAGAAGGATATAATGGAAAGTCTTCTGGGAAGCTGTAGCTTTTATCATCTGATGGGAGCTTATCCAGGCCATCCTTTAAAGAGATCTGAGACTATGTGTGAGAAAGAAAATGGAGACCAGCCCCAGGCTGCAAGAACCCAGTGAGGGACCAAGGGTTCAGCTTGCTATCTGTGGCGCACAGTTAGATTCTAGTTCCTACCAGGGACCAGGAGGGAAAAACTGGGCACTGGAAACCATGGCAAAAGGGGTAATTAGGGTATACATAAAGAGAGGGTAAGCAGGGAAACCCTTACCAGATGCTCCTGAAATTCCTGAATGACTAAATCTATCCATGAGGCACATTCGATGATGGGTATGAGAACTGCAGACTGTGTCTACACTTCACTTGCTGGAGAGAGGCGGGGTGGATGACCCCAAGCCCATGGCCAGAACTGGCTCTCTGATGCAGGCAGGGACCAAGGGGAGCTCTCTTTGCTGGTGACTGATGCCACTGAAAGAGAGAGAAAGAGAGAGACAGAGAGAGACAGAGTGTGTGTGTGTGTGTGTGTGTGTGTGTGTGTGTGTGTGTGTGTGTGTTAGGAGGGTCATTGTAGAATTCTGGGAAGACCCAGGATTTTAAAAATGCGTAAGTTGGCCAGATGTGGTGGCTCACGCCTGTAATCCTAGCACTTTGGGAGGCTGAGGGGGGTGGATCACCTGAGGTCAGGATTTCGAGACCAGCCTGGCCAATGTGGCAAAACCCCGACTCTACTAAAAATACAAAAAATAGCCTGGTGTGGTGGTGGGTGCCTGTAATCCCAGGTACTCAGGAGGCTGAGGCAGGAGAATCAGTTGAACCTGGGAGGTAGAAGTTGCAGTGAGTCGAGATGGTGCCACTGCATTTCAGCCTGGGCGACAGAGCGAGACTCTGTCAAAAAAAAAAAAAAAAAAAAATCCTTAAGAATCACTGGAATTTCAAAGACAGACTTTTCCCAAGTCATACTATCTGAAACACTACTGTTGATCATTCCAAAACACAACGGTTATGAGACCCATTTTACAGGTAGAGAAAATAAGAGAAAAAAAAAAAAAACTGATTCACTTCAGGCTACCCAAGTTAGTTATAGTGATAATTGTTTTTCAGATTTAGTAACCCAAATTTGCTTCTCCACATGACCTTAGTTTATTATATAACAAAATATTTCATTCTGTTTGGTTTTACGTCTGTAAATCTTTTCAGAGTCTGTTATTGTGGAAAAATATTTTAAAAGCTTCATGTTTCTGAGAAATGCTTTGGTGTATGGTCTTTACCAGAATTTCTCATTAGTGGCTTTGCACCAGATTGATGCTTCATACAGCTCAATTATTTGAATTTTAGCCTTTTGATTTTAAATTATCAGTTATTCCTTCATTTTTGTAAGGCATAGGGAAGGATTGTGGAAACGGGTAGATTATAAGGGCTGACTCTGAAATTGCAATTGACGTTGCTTCAGTTTCTGATTTGTTCAGCCCATTATAGTTTATTTCAGAGGGTTCTGTAGAAAACAAAGAAAACACCAATATAGGGCAAAAAGAAAAAAAAAAGCAGAAAACAAACCAAAAACAAAACCACAATAAAAACAAGCAAAGAAGGCAAAAACTCAGGGAGATAAAGACAGCCTCACTAATGAGTCCCCAACTGATTAAAAGTAAATACATTTCTATTCCTAGAAAAGTGTAAGTAACATTTGTTGCCACAAACTGTTTAGCTTTAGCAAAAATAAAGAGTTGCCCTCAAATTTGTTATGGGAGGACAGCAACACTGCAGCTAATTATTTCCCAGGTGCCTCTGGCCTGAATTTAAAAATGAGCTACTAACGGCAACACAGGAAATGGGCCCATCTTTGGCCCCAGCTTGACAGATAACTCATCATTATGTTTGTCTTTAAGGGGACTCTGCATCATGGTTGGGCATTGATTACATGCATGGTACCAACTAGATTCATGGGAGTTCCACAGTATAACATGGGGTTAAGTACTTGAGCTCTAGAGTAAAGGCCATCTGGGCTTGAATCTTAATCCTGCCTGTGTGACTTTTAGCAAAATACTTGTGTCAGTTAGCTTTGGCTGTGTAACAAACTATCCCAAAATTCAGTAGCTGAAAAAAATCACGATGTATTTGTACATGATTTGATGGGTTGACAGTTCAGCTGGGTTCAACTGGGACAGCATCATTTTGCTCCACACAGTGTTGGCTGGGCTCACTCACACGTCTAGGGCCTTGGGTAGGGCCCTTCTCTATGTCTTCTCTCTTCATCTAACAGGCTAGGCTGGGTTTTTTTATATGGTGGCTGAAAGTTCTCAGCAGCAAGAGAGGGTAAGCTCCAATGAGCAAGCATCTATCAAGCCTTGACTTATGTCTCATTTGCTATTGTCCCATGAAATAAATTAATTCACATGACTAAGACCAAATTTAAGGTTTAGAAGGCTGGATGCTGTGGCTCATGCCTGTAATCCCAATGTTTTTGGAAGCTCAGGTGGGAGTATGGCTTGAGGCCAGGAGTTTGAGACCAGCTCAGACAACATAGCAAGACCCCATCTCTTTTTTTTTATTATACTTTAAGCTCTAGGGTACATGTGCACAACGTGCAGGTTTGTTACATATGTATACATGTGCCATGTTGGTGTGCTGCACCCATTAACTCATTTACATTAGGTATATCTCCTAATGCTATCCCTCCCCCCACCCCACAATGAGTTCATGTCTTTTGTAGGGACATGGATGAAGCTGGAAGACCCCATCTCTTAAAAAAAAAATCAGCCAAGCATGATGGTGTGCACCTATAGTCTTAGCTACTTGGGAGGCTGAGGTGGGAGAATCCCTTGAGGCCAGGAGTTCGAGGCTGTAGAGAGCTATGATTGCACCACTGCATTCCAGCCTGGGCAACAGAGTAAGATTCTATCTCAAAAAAAAAAAAAAAAAAAAAAAAAAAGAATCCTAGAGAAATAGATGCCACTTTTTGAATAGGCATACATATAGAGAGCTGTGAATAAATTTGGGATCACAATAATAACAATTGGCCACACTCCTTTTCTAAGCTTCCAGATTCTCACTGGTAACATTAAAATATAATAGTACCTACTCACAGGGTGCTCAGCACAGGGCTCAATCAGCATAAGTTGTAATTATATTATAGCCAATTAAGAAAGGGAGAGAGAAAGAGAAACTAGGGAGAAGGAATAGAATGGAGGAAAGGGGTTGAGATTATGTCTTGAAGGTTGGGATGGGGAGGGCTCTATGGAGAGTATGTTGTTGATGCTACTATGAAGAACTAATCATTATTTGGGTCCTGGTTACCTGTTATCACTGAACTTTGTGGTTTTTATTAGCTCATTGACAATTTAGAAACAGTTCTTTCTATAGCAGGAAAACAGATTCTCGGTAATTTTAAACGTCGAGAGTTTTTTTCATCACAGTGACTATGTTTGGATGGTGGAACCACGGGTGGATTTTCTTTTCTCTATTTTATACATTTTTAATAATGGGATCTTATAGCTTGTATAACAAAAAGCATTTAAAATAGCTCAGTTTTAGAACAAAAATTCTTTCTTATTTTTCAGTTCTTTTAGAATTCTTATGGAATTCTAGACAATTCTGCATTTATTTGTAAAGTGGACAATTTTCAACATTTTCTTTGTAACCTCAGAGGTATCAGTCAGTTTTCTCACCATACCCTGAGGATTCCCTTGACATGTGTAAGCTATCCGCCCATCTGCGTTTTTGAGAGATTAGGACTTCCTAATTCCAAAATGCCCGAAGGTTTCATTTGGAACCAGCACTTGTTTATGTGATAGTACAAGTCAAAACTACATTTAGCTCTCTGGTCTGCTGGAAGTTGGGTTCCATAAATTTAAAATGATCTTTACAAGTATAGAGTTGGAATAGTCACCATATAAATTTTGAGAAGAATATTAAATGAGTAATTACACACATTCTAGGCTGAATTAATTAAACTAGCCTGAAAGTTTAAACGTATTCTCCTCACTCCTTGCCAAATTTGTTAGAAAATGGAAAAAGAAATCACAGCTGCAGTTGGGAGATTTAGACCAGATTTTTATCAGATGAACTTTCTAAGCACAGTGGGATATATTTACATCTTTCTGCATCTGAAGGGCCAGATCAACCCCCATTTCTCCAAGTGTGGTCTGTGGACCAGTATATGTGAGATCCCCAGAGGGGCTTTTTAAAATTTTTATTTATTTATTTATTTTTTAGATGGAGTCTTGCTCTGTCACCCAGGCTGGAGTGCAGTGGCGTGATCTTGGCTCACTGCAACATCTGCCTCATGGGCTCAAGCGATTCTCCTGCTTCAGCCTTCCAAGTAGCTGGGATTACAGGCATGAGTCACCATGCCCAGCTAATTTTGTATTTTAGTAGAGACAGTGTTTTACCATGTTGGTCAGGCTGGTCTCAAACTCCCGAACTCAAGAGATCCTCTAGCCTTGGCCTCCCAAAGTGCTGGGATTACAGGCATGAGCCACTGCACCCAGCTCCCAGAGGGGCTTTTGACAGATCAGACTCCTTTTTGGGTGCCCTGCACTTGCCTTTAGGTTCAAACCTGGGGCTTTGAGGTATGAGAAAAATGTCATTTGCTCCAGTGCAGCCTCCTCTGCTGTGGAACCAGAAGCTCTTGCTCCTCTCCAGCTCTTGACCCCCCACACGCCACCTCTTACCCTGAGTTTCTATTTCAGTGGCGACTGATTGTGTATCTAGACAAGGCATCTGAAGATATTTTCTGTAAAGGGCCAGAGACAAAACATTTTAGGCTCTGCAGGCCGCACCATCTCTGTTGCAACTACTTGACTCTGCTGTTGTAGCTCAACAGTAGCCTTTGACAATAAGTAATGGGTGAGCATGGTTGTGCCTCCGTAAGACTTAACTTGCAAAATCAGGCAGCCAGCCAGATTTGACCAACCCCGATCTGGATGGATTCTGATCTGGAGTTTTTTGGTCTTTTCCAACTCCAAGCCCAGAACAAAAAAATTTTTTTTTCTATAGTAATACTCTGCTCAGTTCCTCAGAGGACCTAGATTTATGCAAAATGAGGTCAGAGAACATCTGTGTAATCCTGCAGTCTTTGCAGAAGAAATAGAGGCTTCCAGAATAGGTTATGCTTCACCCCAGGGGATACGGGGTGGAGTGGCAGGTTTGGGCCACAGTGTTTGGAATGACTAACCATTTTCTAGTTGGAATAGGATGGAAGGATAGCAAGGTGAAGTCCATCTATAAGGTCATCTGTTGAGTGGGCAGCTGGGCTAGGAGGTGAACTCAAAGCTTACTTTGTATTCTCTAGAATCCAGTTCTCCTACCTGAGCTAGCATCAGAAACACTGGGGGCTGGGGTGGGGAGCACTCCATAAAGTGCAGATTACTGGGCCCTACCTCAAGGGTTTGCTGGATCAGTAGGCTTAGGTTGGGGCCAGAGAATCTGCATTTCTGTTTTTTTTTTTGAGATGGAGTCTGGCTCTGTCGCCCAGGCTGGAGCGCGGTGGCCATGATCTCAGCTCACTGCATCCTCCGCCCTATGGGTTCAAGCGGTTCTCTTGCCTCAGCCTTCCGAGTAGCTGGGACTACAGGCGTGCGCCACCATGCCTGGCTAATTTTTGTATTTTTGGTAGAGACAGGGTTTTACCATGTTGCTAGGCTGGTCTCAAACTCCTGACTTCAGGTGAGAATCTGCATTTCTAACCAATTTGTGAATGATGCTGATGTTGCTGTCTGAGGAAGGCACCTCGAGAACCACAGCACTAGAGAAGGCCACTCTTATCATACCTGGCCACAGCTGAACATTCTCTTGTTTTATGAAGCTTTCAAGCAGTTTTTCTCTGGTAAACAGACTTAAAGTGCTTTCTAGATTCAAGACTACATCGTCTTTATTTTCCTTCTGAGCAACAAGTTCCACACCCGAATGAGAGTGGCACTCCTCATTGGCATTATTAATTTTTGATATGAAGTCTATCTAAACGTGGTCAGTACACCAATAATTGGTATGGTAAACCGCCTGACTGTAATGAGGCTGTGGCACCAACGCTTTCTGCTCCCGAGAATGGTGACATGGTCAGTCACTCGGCCACTCTCTGGAGCAGGTTCTTTCCCAGTCCCCATGGCACCTCCACGCTCTGCTTCAACCTCTCCTGTTTTCCTAATACATTCAGTCACATTTTAATGGCTGAAATGGCTTTGAAGCTTTCCCCACGGAACCAATTTTCACCCTCAGCGAAGGGCAGCTCCTGTCCTTCAGCAAGGAGTGTGCTTCAGTGATAAGTTTTCACAGGAGCCCAGAACTCAAATGTGTTTTGACTGTTGCCCTGATGGCAGCGTGTTAACATTAGCACCAGAAGTAGATCTGTCATGGAGCTTTTCTGATGAGACAGGCTCTCCAAATTAATTGAGGCTGATGGCAGATTTTGTCATTGAGATGAGATGTTGCCCACAGCTAGTTAGACTGCTGGAATATTTGGTGCTAATGACAGGGTTTCATTGAGAGACATGCTTAGGAGAGTCACAGCTAATATGATTCTAGATTCTTCCAGGAAAATGGTGAACTTATAAACTACAGGACATTGATATAAAGGTAGCTATTTTGCACTAGCCACAAATTCATGACTTAGATTCATTAATAAATGCTTTGGGGCAGGGGGGATAAAAATTGGCCAAGCAAGCTGTTCAACTGCAATATCAAAAGCTTGAAAATCTTTAAAAGTCCTTGGATATATTATACGTATCTCCAGAATTCTGAACAAAACCGACATCAGTTAAAGTTGCTTCTGTTGATTGTAATCCAGCAGAAATATCATAACTCTTGGCTTTGCCCCGGGCAAACTTTTCACTGAAGTCATTCATTTTGCTTTTTGTTATGGTTACCTAACCTCAGTCAGAATGCAGCAGGCTACCAAAAAATGTGAGGCAGCCATCTGGAAACTTCCAGTTTCTAACATTTCTCTGCTTTGGAAATGGGATGGAGTCTACCGACTTTTTCCAAATTTGATCTTTATTTTAAAGATAAAAAAAAGCATGACTAGGCATGGGAAGGGACTCAAATGCCAGCATGAGAGAAGGACAGTGGGTCTCACAACCCACACACATGCCTGGGATCGCTAATTTGGCCAGTTGCCTGGAAATATTAGTACCACCGGCTACCCCTCTCATTTTCTCAGAGGAAAGCCCTAGGACATGGAGTCTAAGCAATAACTCCTGCTCCCAACTGGAAACGCCCCAAGTCTTCCGGTTCCAGAATGAAAGGGTTATATTGTTTTAAACTTTACAGGGCACACTATAATTACGTGGCTCTTTTAGATGTTTTAAACTTTAGTATATTTGGTCCAGAAATCACCCTTTCTGAGAGCTCACTTACCATAGGTAGTTTCACTCTTAACTGGTAACTCAGACCCATGACAAGGACTCATGAGGACTCATGAGGAATCAATCCTCTTTGCTTATTTTGTTTCCATGGGCAAATCCTTCTATAGCTCACTTTGGGGGCTCATTTGTTCACATAGAAAAATACATATTCTGCCTTTATAGGTGCCTGGCATGGTGCTGGGAAGTGAGTCACTGAGAAAGATAATGTCTTGTCTTCTGACTTGGAGTTAGTTGTGCAGACAAATAATGGTAAAGTGGGATGATCTATATGCACAGATTTGTATGGAGACTTACAGGAACATAGGGGAGGGGGAAATAATTGTCGGAAGAGGTTAAGAAGGTGATACTGGATTAGGACCCGGAAAATGAGAAGATGTTTTCTAGGAAGAGAAGTGGAAAGATATTTCAAGCAAAGGTCATAGCTTATGTGGCAGAGAAAATTTGTGCATAGAAATTGTCAATGTGCTCCTCTGTATTTTTTAGATTTCTTGTACTTGAATTGGATCCTTGTGATTGAATAGGGTTGAATTGGATCCTTAGTGAATAGGGTTGTGAGCAGAAATGATGCATGACTTAGTATCCTAGGCACTCAAGCATTGGCATGCTTCATCCATTTCTCCCTTCTCCTGCTGCCACATACTTGGTAGAAATGTGTTGAGCCAACTGAGTCACAAGAAACAGGGAACCTGGATCCCTAAGTCACTGGAAAGAAGAGAGCCCTCCTTGACCTGCATGGTACTTTGTGTGAAAGAGTAATAGAATTTTATTGTGTTGTGTGTGTCTATTGTGGCCGTTTTCATTAATTACTCTGATACAGCATGTGAAATATTTGAAGACATAGGAGAGTGTGGCGTACCTGTGGAATGTTCAACACCTCAATAGAGCTGGAGGCTAGCATATGCAGGAAAGAATTTACAGCTTGGTTGGAACCAAATAGGAATTCTCTAAGCCGTGGTAAAGAGATTGCATTTTATTCTTGAAACAACTGGAAGGCATGGGAAGTTTTTATGCAGGGTAGTCAGGTAATCAGAATTAAATTTTGGAGATAAAACTATGATGGAGTGCATAGAATGAGTTGGAGTGGGGACACCCTGAGGCCAGGGATAAATTTGAAGTTACTGCAATAGGCTGGGTAAGAGATAGTGAGGGCCTAGGTTATGGAAATATTCTTTGTATTTTTGCATCAGTGAAATTTCTTAGGTAAAGAAGGAAAGTTGCCTCACCCAGCAGGTGAGGATGGCAAACTCCTGCTCACCTGTTTTTGTAAATAAAACTCTATTGCAATGAAGCTGCACCCTTTTGCTTATGTGTCATCTACGGCTGCTTTCACAAGACATGGACAGAGTCAAATAATTGCAACAGGAGCTATGTGACCCCCAAAGCCTAAAATATTTACTAATGTGTCCTTTTAAGAAAAAGTTTGCCAAATTGTACAGATAGGGATTAGTTGAACCCTGATAACATGGTCAGAGATACCTGTAACTTGGTTAATTGTGTCAAGGATTAGTTTGTGCCAACTAAGTTCAAATCTGTTACTATGTACCTGTTTAGCTCTCCTATGTAGCATCACGGTAGCATTGAGAAGTAACCTTCTCTCCTCCCCACCTCTCTCACTGCTGGGTTTCCATGGGAGTTGGAGATGAATGTGATTGACGAGGCAGTAAGGATGGGATATCCATTGTTTCTCTAGTAAAAGGGGTTAATAATGGCTTACAGGTGGCCACATATGGATGGCCTTTCTTTATTTAATATTTTTCTCAACAGGGGGTGAGTCGAGCCATAATCCTTTAAGTGACTGTCTAGTTAATTATCTACTCTGTTGTCCCATATTTCCCACATGTGGATTCTAAAATCCAGACGTAATGGGATGGTATAAAAAGACTGTTTTGATCTCCGGTCATGTCTACATACATGCACACATAAAGATGACATATACCTCACATAGTTATGCACCTAGCTTTTAAATTTAACTATGCATCGTGTAGTTTGTTCCTTTTCAGTAAATATCAAGCAGCCTCATTCTTTATACTGGTAATTAAATCAGTATTTTGATCTTTATTTGACTCTTATATTGATTCAGAACTTGGAATGGAGAGTATGTGCAATTTAGGAACCTTCTCAAACTCCTATATAAATGATATAAAGTCTCAAGTTTGGACATCCATTCTGGGACCTAGACATTGTGCTGGTGATATGGTTTGGAAAAAGGCTTTGGAAAAGGTGGATCTGTCAGATTTTTCTTTACAATCTGTGACATCTTTATTGCTGGTAGTCACAGGTGTGTGGCTATTTTTATGAGGCACAAGCTATGGGAGGGGGGTTGCTGTTTTTGACCTTAGCAGGTGCACTGGGTATAAAATAAAAGTATCTTTTGTTGTACAGTTTTTTTGGCTTTGGTAAGTGGAAACATTTTGTTCTCTTTACATGTTTCTCTGCAGGCCAGGACTTAGAAATACTGGTATGTATTGTTCCAACCTTTAAATTATAAAGAGATTGGTAGCAGTTATTGGTCAGCTGCTTCAAATCCTGTTCTTTAACTTGTTTTGACTTGTAACCAGTTCTCAGGTCAAAGAGGGAACAATGGCAAGACCACCTTCTTGGTATCATGTGGTTTGTTTGTGTGCTATTGAAGCCAATGCCCTTCTTCACCCAACATGGTCTCAAATTGACTTTCTCTTGTTAATTATATAATCTTCTATTACGGTTGTAGATTTCAAGGACCCATGCAGGGTTCAGATGCAGGCAGATTTTTGTTAGTAAACCTCTAAAGGGGAATGGGCGCTTACAATACAAAGATGTCATCCTCTTAAGTTAGGTGGAGGAAAACCTCAATGGAATTACTGTAATTCCATCTTTTTAATATAATAAAAGCAATTAAAAAGCTTTATGTAGTACTCTAGGAATCAGGTTTGCTGAGACTCTCCAGGAAAAACTGAGTAGGTTTAATAGCAGGCTTTGATTTAGAAATAGGAATAGTAACAGTGGGAGATTGAAAAAAAATCATTCTGATTAGGAATCATTTTTTGAGGAAGAAAGTTTCCTTAAGAAAAGGCTGAGATTAAGTAGCCTAAACAAAACAGATAGAAAAGGCAAAGTGAAGTCTTGCAATCGTAAGGAAAGGTTGGGGTCTTGGAGGCCCAGTAAGGCAGATCTGAAAGAAGGACAGAGGTTGAGCTCCTGGAGGCCTCATGTTCCAAGAAATTCTTTTTATTTTTTGACCTACTTGACTCAATCTACATTTTTCAGCAATTTAACCCCACAACAGAATAATACATATTTGTGTCAAATACTGATAAGGCACCCATAAAGATATAGAATATTTTCTCCCATAAAACATTAAAAAATTAATATACTAAAAAGTTTACAATTATAATTAAATTAGATATCAGTAACAGAAAACAGAAAATTTTGAATTATTTAGAAGTTAAGCAAAACATCTAAATCACTCATGATTCAGAGAAGCCCACAAAAGGAAATTTAAAGTATTTTGAAATGAATACAAATAAAATATAGCATGTCAATATTTATGGAATAAAACTAATATAGTGCTTAGAGTTAAATTAAATGCTTATATTAGAAAAGAGGAAAGCTCTCAAATAATCAGACTAACTACTGACTCTATGCAATAAGAAAAAGAGCAAATTAAACCAAAAGCAAAAGGAAGGAAGATATAATAATGAAAGTAAAAGAAGCCAATTTAATTAAAAATAGAAAAGACAGTAATGAAAATTAATGAAAGTAAAAGCTTCTGTTTTGAAAAATTAAATGATTAGTGAAATTCTATCTGGACTAACAAAAGAAAAGAGACAAGAAACTAAATTTAGTATCAGGAAAGAAAAGGAAATGTCACCATAGTCACCAGGAATATTAAAATAGTGATAAGAGAATATTGCAAGTAAATCTCTGCCCATAAATTGATAAACTGAAGTGAAAGGGACCAATATCTTGAAGAACACAAACTACCAAAACACATCCAAGAAGAAACAAAACATCTGGATAGCATCTTATCTATTAAGGAAATTGAATTTGTAGTTAAAAATTTTCCCACAAGGGCAACTTCAAGTCTTGATGGCTTTGTAGGTAAATTCCATCAAATATTTATAAGATAGATAATATGAATTCTCCTCCATCTCTTCCAGAATTGTTTTTCTTTTTAAAAATTAAATTACGTTTAAAAATTTAAAATTGACACAGAATCATACATATTTATAGAGTATATGGTGGTATTTCAATACATAGAATGTCTAGTGATCTGATCAGGGTAATTAGCATATCCATCATCTCAAACATTTATCATTTCTTTGTGTTGAGAACCTTCAATATCCTCTTTCTAGCTATGTGAAACTATATAATATGTTATTGTTCACTATAATCATCCTGGAGTGATATAGTACACTAGAATGTATTGATCCTATCTAGCTGTAATTTTGTACCCTTTAACAAATCTCTTCCTATCCTTCCCTCCCCCCTACCCTTCCCAGCCTCTAGTATCCTCCATTCTACTTATTACTTCTATGAGAACTACTTTCTTAAGCTTCCACATGTGAGTGAGAAGATGCTGTGTTTATTTTTCTGTTCCTGGCTTATTTTACTTAACATAATGTCCTTCTGGGAGATTCTTGGTCAAATTCTCCTTTGTAGGCCTAATATTCCCTTAACTCCTATCGTGTATTTGATGATTCAGTCACCCCTTCTTGGGGGAAAAAGAAGAAAGTAATATATCGGTTGAGTTAGCTATTGTTTTCAAGTTAAGGCACATCAAAATTTGTGTATGCTTTTCCCAAAAGATAAATTTTATATTATTACAACATATGGAATATATAATGCTTGCTAAGTATTCAAAAATTGTGGAAGCTTGATCTTTGAGGTTAGTTTATAAAATCTGCTTCAAAGGAGGGAGTGGAACTGTCATTGGTTGTCTTCATTGCCAAACGTTTCTTTCTCAGGAAATTGTATAAAGAATGAGAGCACACCCACCTGCTGCCCTACTTTGTAGCAGTTGTCTGGTTATAGGCCAGACCTCTATGCTTGCTCCCCTCAAAGCCAAGGGAGTCCAGGCTGTTGTGGGTGCTTGAAATCATTCATCTCACAAGCAAATGGCTAAAACCCATGAGTAATATCTCAATGTTCAGTAATCTATGTAGAGTCAAGGCCAAAGCAGTGGTAATAAACCAATTATTGACTGGTCTCTAGGTCAGTCAATGGTTCAGGCCTGTAGAGACTGGTCTGTCACAGGATTTCTTAGAAACCACAGGATGTCTAAGTCTCTTAGAAGTGAGATGGTCTGAAACATCTGCCTCCTTGATTATTTTAAAAGAAACACAATACAATCTTGTCCCAAAGATTTTGGCAAGCATCTAAAATACTGGGCTAGACTAATGGGAAAGGAAAAAGCAAATATAGTCAGGCATATTGCTTGTCAATAGGAGAGTAAGAGAATTAACAGATCAGGGGAGGGACTGGGCACAAAGAGCTCCAAAAGAGGAAGACAGGCAAGGTCTCGGAGAACAAATGAGAATGATTATCCCTGAGGGATGTGAGAAGCCCCAGTTGTGAGGGGTGTATTTAATGCCGGGATAAAGAGTCAAAATAAAAGCCATTGGGAAAGCTTGGAGACTGAGATAGCTGTGTCCAGTGTGCTATCCTTTTGCACAGATTTAAGTTAGGAAGACCAGGGAGATGGGAGATGAAAAATTTAACTAGAATTAGATGAGTTTTGGTGTAACCCAGAAATTGTAGGTGGGAATGTAACCATTGTGTATCCCCTGAGAGAAGGTTCCTGGGAAATACAGTCTTGTGCCATCTAACAATGTTGTGGTCAATCATGGACCGTGGATATGATGGTGGTCCCATGAGATTATAATACTGTATTTTTACTGTACCTTTTCTATGTTTAGATATGTTTACCACTGTGTTACAGTTGCCTGCAGTATTTAGTACAGTAACATGCTGTCCAGGTTTGTAGCCCAGAAGCAACAGACCATCCCATATAGCCTCGGGCTCCAGGAGAATATGCAAGAATAGGTTAAGAGAGATGAGTATCTGGGGCAGAAAGAAAAAGAGAAGCAAAAGGAAAGAAGGCTCTGGGATCTAGTCCTACATGTGGAAGAGGAGGAATGGACTCAGCTTAAGGATTAGGCTGCAATGGGAATGACGCAGCTCACCTGCCTGTTGCAATGAGGACAGCAGAGGGAAATGGAGCTCTAGCGGCAGATCCCAATACCACTAGTGGGAGGAGGAGCAAGGGGTGTTTCTGTGTCGCTGAAATAGTAGATGCTATTCTCCCTTTTGTGGATCTCAAGGTGTGGGTCGGTTTGAAGTTATGAGGAGTAGAAGGCCCAATTTGGCCCTAAACCCAGTCTAGTTTCCCCAATTACAAAAGTAACATTTGATCCATTTTGAAGGCCTGAGTCTATTTCCCAGTTTGCTTGGAATTCAGCATGGAGAGTGATCCACTAACCTCAAAAATACCTAAGCTTTCTGTGTAAAAGACTTTATCCTAAGTTCTCTCTATATATCCTTTCATTTACACTTCCCAAAGCCCTGTGAGGGGATTTCATCCCCATTTCACCGATGAACGATATGAGACTCAAAGAGCTTCAGTCATTTGTCCATGGCTCACGTGTCAGAACTGGAATTAGAACATGGGTATGCGTAACTCCAGTGCCCTTCTACTCTCAATGCCTCTGTGAAATCACTTCATTGACATGTGATTAGCTTGAGCTCAGTGGTCTATTCTGTGATGGGAACTTCTATACAGACAGCCAGCCTTTCTATTGGTTTCTCTTCTTCTCGTGGTAGTTTTGGGAGGAGCCATAGATAGTGCTGCTGATATGTGCTTCCTCTTCCCCAACCTTCCATCCCAGTATGAGCATCCTTGAAAATAATCATCAGGAACAGCTTGGATTATTTATTCCCTTCAAATTCACAGGCTCGTTAGAGTGAAAGACAAGACTTTTAAAAAATTACACTTCTAGGTGGGCACAGTGGCTCACGCCTGTAATTCCAGCACTTTGGGAGGCCAAGGCAAGAGGATTGCTTGGGGCCAAGAGTTTGTGACCTGAATGGACAACATAGCGAGGCCCTGTCTCTACAAAAAATACAAAACAGCCAGGCATGGTGGTGCATGCCTGTAGTCCCAGCTCCTGGGGAGGTGGGAAGGCTAAGATGGGAGGATTGCTTGAGCCCAGGAGTTTGAGGCTGTAGTGAGCTATAATCATGCCACTGCACTCCAGCCTGAGTGACAGAGCAAAACTCTGTCTCTAAAAAATAATAATAATAATAAAGAAAGAAAATCTCGTTTATGTTGCTATCCTCTTTTGTTGGGTTGTGTCTGACAGTTGACCTTGAGACTTGAGAGGTACAGAATGCAGCAGATGAAATGATGTGACCCAACCTCCTTATTTCTTGGCATAGGGGAGAATGATGATTGGGATGGAGCAACTCAGGATAGAAAGCTGCTTGTTACTTAAAGCAGTCATCCATTCAGTCATTTATTCAGTCAGTCAGCTGGTCACAGAACATATTCCGAACCTCTTTTGTGTACCAGGCACTGTTAGATTCTGAGGATAAAAGACAAGAGTGCTAATAACAATAGCAATAATAATAACAACATCATCAGCTAACAGGTTTTGGAGGCTTGTTTTGTACTGGGCATTTCTGCTAAGAGATTTTATAGGCATTAGCATCATCCTAACTTTTAAATGAGGAACTGCTGCACAGAGTGGTAGTAACTTGCCCAAGGTCACACAGCATTGTAAATGGGGAAATAAACAAACATCTTATTTATCCTTGAGGGATTCATAAAATATAGATTAAGATGTGAAAAAGAAATTTGTAGTGAAAAAGTATATTTTTGTAAACAAAAAGAAGGGAAAGGTAATACCAAAAATTCCCAGGAGAAATGGAGAATGTTTATCCTGCAGCATCTAAGAAAGAGGCCCAGGTACATTGACTATTGGCAAATTTGATGAAAATTAAACATAAAAGACCTTATATGTGTTACAGGTGATGTGGTGGCTTGAATTACCCGTTGAGTTCCAAGCTCACACCAGGTTGTACTGGCCTGGGGAATGGATCCAACCCAGCACACCTTGGTAATCTGGAGCAGGTAGACTTGCTGCATTGCGGGAAGAAAAGGAGCAGCCATTTACTCTCTCCTCTGTGCCAGGAACATCCATTACCATGTCCTGCCTGCACAGGCCAGAGCCAATGCAGCTGCTAAGAGAACGGCAGATGACTTCCAATGTAACCTCTCCTAACCAGCACAAAAGCATTTTGCTGGCTGTTTACTGGTTTGCCAGGTCTGAATTGGGTCAAGGCACAAGTAGCATCCTTCTTGTTGAATTTCTTTTAATTAGTTGCCTAATAGCCGCTGTTTCTTTTTCTTGTTACTGCAGCATTCAGGAGCCCCGATTTCCTGTAAAGCACCATATTTTAAGTTCAGCCTCAGTAGTGGCTGTCCCCTTGAAATGCTTCTGCATCTCCAGGGTGGGCAAACCAGCCTCCTGTTTGTGCAGGCTGGGCGGCTGTCTGTGCAAATTGATTGCTAAGTGCTCATTTTCCCACTGTGGGTTTCTGAAATTGCAAATATGGAGGTAGGATGGCAGTGTGTGGGTGAATGAGGAGTGAACTGGTGTGTGCTGCATATGACAAGTGCCTCCCATGTGTCTGCTTTTGAATGTGCCATCCTGGAGCTAATGACACTTCTCAATTAAATTGCAGTTTTGCTCTCAGTAGCTTTGCCCTATTGTCCAGGCCACTTGACCTGTCAGGCAAAGAGGAGACGGTGTGTGGGAAAAGAAAATTCCCTCCCTGCTCACAGAGAGAGAAGCCTGTTCGCATTCTGAGGGTCTCTCAACTTCTCAGAGCTGGAATGGCCTATCTCAAGACATCATCAGATGCAAATAAAACAAAGCCTCTCAGCTCTGGCTGCACAGTATTCTCTATCTGCACTGTGAGTCACCGTGCTCATAGTAATGGCTTGCCTTGTGAGCCGCTATCAAGCGTGTGCGTGTTTTTCTTTCTGAGAGATGACAGTTCCCAAGTGAAAGGACACTTCAGCTCTGATAAAACTTTCCTTCTATTGTTTGAGTTTTGTGTTTGTTTTCTGGCAAAGCCCACTGCTGCCTGAGCATTGTGTGCAGTGGAACATTTTCCATTTTTGTATGGTGAGGCCAGCCATGGTCTTTAGGGGGTTCTTACTAGTATTGCCTGAAGCGAATACCACAGCTCAATAGCAATTTAATATTGTAATCAGGGAGCAAACTGTGCAGTTTTGGCACATTGTGATAATTATTAACTACATCTATTAGTGTTATGGTTCTAGTAAGTAATATTTACAAAAGGTTCCCTGTGTAGGGGAGACCTTGCCCAGACACAAATGTCTGAGTTATTCCTAAGTGATTGTCAGAGGCCCTTTGAGTCAATGTTCATGTTCACTGTTTAAAGATAAAGCATCAATCCTGAGAAATCAGACTTCAAAAGGCCTGGCTCATGAATAACAAATTCTCAGGGTGTAAACCTTAGCTGAGGTTTGGAACATTTTTTGATGAGTTTTTGGGAAAGTTGTCCTGGGGTAAAAATCTCAAAGATAAATTGAGAAATAGAAAGAGAGAGAGAGAGAGAGAGAGAGAGAGAGAGAGAGAGAGAGAGAGAAAGAGAGAGAGAGAGAAAGAGAGCCAGAAGATAAAACAAGGAAATTCTTCTATTTAATCGGTATAATCCAGGAAAAGATTAGTGCATGTTCCCCTTTATGTGACAGCAGAGTAGCTTTGGAATATCAGTGTTTTTGTTCTCCTGGTGTGCTAACTGGGTACAGTGGGCATTGATGGCTGGCTTTTGGGGATGGGAAGCTGTTATATGCTACCAACACCACTCTTTAGCACTGAGATCCAACAAACTGGGTCACACAGGGTCAGTGAAGAAGCTGACCAAAAGACAGACGCTTTCTCAAAGCTCCATAATTCTGCTACTGTTCAAATGATGTTCCCAGACAACATCGTTGCCTCATATTTGTCAAGTTACAAAATAGCATCATATTTTTCCCTCATGAATTTTCTTCAATGGCTGTATTTAATGAATAGAGTTTACTGTTAAGTAGTAATCTGGGCTAGAAGAATAATTTGGTTTCATTTTCTGAATATTCTACTCTTCGACTTCAAAGAAAATACTATTTAATGATTATCCTTATTTGTGACTAATAATGAAGCTTTGTTTATTTGCATAGTTTGATATTCAGACAGACAGACACACAGACACACATACCACACACACACACAAACACACACACACAAACACCCCTCCCTGGCATATTTGTTAAAGGTTTTGGTTATGTGTATAGAAGATTGAGAAGTTGTCTGAAAAGTTTTGAAAAAAAAATCTCAAAGAGGAAGCCTAATCATGGAATTGAAGTGATTGAAAACATATATGGTTGCAGGGAGGGTCTCACTTCACTCGAGAGAGGTAGAGATTTGGGGTGGTTTTACATATTTGCAGTCAAGATAAGCTCATTGACATCAGGTTTTCCCCACTTCTGAAATGAAGCTGAGTGACATTTCTTTTTTACCCTTTCCAATGAAAATCTTGCTGTCCGAGTGCTGTTGGTGCAGCCCAGAGCTCCTTCCCCAGGTCCCCCATCCCTTGGCTGCTGTGAGTAGTGGGTGCTCCTCACCACTGCCCCCTTCTCAGGAGGACTGCCCTGCACTGAGGAGGACTGGGGATTCTGCCTCCCACAGCGGGAAGCCCTGCAGACAAGGACTGACTGCCTCAAGGCAGAGATGACTCTGTCGGGTGGATTGTATTCCAGGCTCTTTGTGGATCAGGCCAAGGGAGGACTTGATCTGGTACCACGTCCTTGCTTGCCTTTACATACTCCCCTGCAGGTGCTTTTGGAAGAACACTCCCTCCACAAATCATGCGGACCAAATCCCTGTCTCAGGCTCTGCTTCTGGGGAATCTAACCTACAACACCTGCCTAATATTGTTGCTTATGGCTCCAGCTTTGGTCCTGAGGGTGTATGTCAGAAAGTTATAAACAAAATGGAATGATATTTCCATGAACTGTGTGCCAAAGAAACTATCCAGCCATTCATCTGTCCACTCATTCATTCACTCACTCACTTGCTCACTCATCCACTCAGTATTTATGATGACCTAAGACGTGGCAGGAACTGGGGTATGCATTATGAAAGTACAAAGGATCATAAGCCATGGTCCCTGCCCTCAAGGAGCTTACAGTAGATGCGGGAAGACATGCATATGGGTGTAGTAGGAAAAGCACAGACTTTGGGGTTGGAGAGGTCTGGGTTCAAATCCTGCTGCTTGCCATTTATTACTGTAAAAAATTAGAGAAGTCACCAAAGCCCCATGAACCTCAGCGTTCTCCCCTGCTAAATGGAAATAAAAATACCTACCTTGTAGGGTGGTTGGGAGAATTAACTCAGTGTTTGGCACAGTATTCACTCAATAAATGGTTGGCTAATACTAAAACAGAAAAGTGGAATGATGTTTTATAAGAAAGTTCCAGCTACAGTATTCAAGTATATGGTATTCTGAAGAGGTAGGTGATTTTTAGCTGAATATATCAGTTAAGATAAGGTTTGGCTTCTAATTTAAAAAAAGTGAATAATGGCTTAAACAAATTAAAAGTTTATTTCTCCTCCAGGTAAAGTCCAGAGGTCAGTAGGTGAACTGGTGTGGGAGTTCTGTTTTGCTGGGTCTTCAGGAACTTGGGCTCCTTCTGGCTCACAATTATGCCATCCTTAGGCTCTGACCTGCATCCTCATGGTTCAAGATAGTACCTAGAGCTCCAGCCATCACAACGGATTTCAGGAAGCTGGATAGAGAAAGAGATGAAAAAGGGAGGTAGGGTATACAAAAGCTTTTTATTAAAATGGAATCCATCTGAAAGCTGACATACTACATTTCTGCTTACATTTCATTGATTAAAAATTAGCCACATGACCACATTTAGCTGCAGGGAAAATTGAGAAATGTAGCTGTTTTTCTGAAAGATTATGTGCCTGACAGCTCAAAGCTGGAGCTCTGTTCCTATGGGAGAAGGAAAGAATGGCTACTGAAGCCAGCTAGCAAACTGGCCATACCTCAAGAATGTCTTCTTGGAGGAGGAGACATTTTAGTTAGAGCTGAAGACTGGGTAAGATTTGGAAATGTAGAGGTTGGGAGGAAGATATTTTCAGTTGAAAGGAAAACTAGAACGAAGGGTAAAGCTAAAGGATTTTATGAGCTAAAGAAAATTATTCATTCACAAACTTGTTCATACACCCAGTATTTATTTACTGTGTAACTACTATGGTATTGTCCTAGGTATTGGGAATACAGCAATAAAAAGACAATCCCCTGCCCCGATGAAGCTTGCGTTGCTCTAGAAGACCCAAATAATTAGCAAATGAATGAATGAATACAAAAATATACAATAATTATAGAGCCATAGCTACTAGAAAGGCATAAAGCAGCCTTGGAGAGTAACTACCATGGCCATGGAAATCCTCTCTGAGAAGATGACATTAGTTCAGAAACCTGAAATGAGAATGAGCCAGACATGCCCCTCTTTGGAAAGTGCTTCCTGTAAATCATCGATAGTTGTGCATTGCTTAACAATGGGGATACACTCTGAGAATCACCATTAGGTGATTTCATCCTGTCAACATCATAGAGTGTACTTATACCAACCTTGATGGTATTGCTTATGACACACCTGGGCTAGATGGTATAGCCTATTGCTTCTAGGCTGCAAACCTATGCAGTAGGTTACTGCATTGACTACTGTAGGCCATTGTAACACAATGGTAAACATTTGTGTATCTAAACATAGAAAAGGTACAATAAAAATACAGTAGAGAGGCTGGTGTGGTGGCTCATGCCTGTAATCCCAGCACTTTGGGAGGCAGAGGTGGGTGGATCACCTGACGTCAGCAGTTAGAGACCTGGCCAACATGGTGAAACCCCACCTCTACTAATAATACAAAAATTAGCTGGGCGTGGTGGTGGGTGCCTGTAATCCCAGCTGCCTGGGAGGCTGAGGCAGGAGAATCGCTTGCATCTGGGAGGTCGCAGTGAGCTGAAATTGCGCCATTGCACTCCAGCTGGGTGACAAAAGTGAAAGTCAGTCTCAAAAAAAAAAAAAAAATACCGTAGAGGAGATTAAAAAATGGCACACCTATATAGGGCACTTACCTTGAATGGAGCTTGCAGGACTGGAAATTGCTCTGGTGAGTCAGTGAGTGAGTGGCGAGTGAATGTGAAGGCGTAGGACATTACTGTACACCACTGTAGACTTTAGAAACACTGTATGCTTAGGCTACACTAACTTTGTAAAAATATATATTTCTTTCTTCAGTAATAAATTAACCGTAGCTTTCTGTAAATTTTTTACTTTATAAACTTTTACATTATCTTTAACTTTAATATCACTTGGCTTAAAACATAACACACTGAACAGTCATTAAAAAAGGTTTTCTTTCTTTACATCCTTATACTATAAGTTTTTTCTATTTTGAAAATTTTCAGTGTGACTTTTTTACTTTTAAAATTTTTTGTTAGAAACAAAGACACAAACACACATTAGCCTCGACCTACACAGGCTCAAGATCATCAATATCCCTGTCTTTGCCTATAAATATCAATATCACATTTTGCCCCACTGGAAGGTCTTCAGAGGGAATAGCACACATGGAGCTGTTGTCTCCTATGATAACAATGCCTTCTTCTGGAATACCCCCTGAAGGACCTGCCTGAGCCTGTTTTACAGTTAACCTTTTTTTTTAGTTTAATAATTAGAAGGAGTATATTGTAAAATAATGATAAAAAGTATAGTATAGTAAATACATAAACCAGTAACATAGTCATTTATTATCAAGTATTATGAGCTGCACATAATTGTATGTGCTATACTTTCATACGCCTGGCAGCACAATATGATCAGTTTATACCCACATCACTCCAAATGTGTGTAATGCATTGTGCTATATTAGGACAGCTCCGACATCACTAGGCAAGAGGAATTCTTGAGCTCCATCATAATCTTATGTGACCACTGTCATATATGTGGTCTGTGATGGACCCAAACATTGTTACATGGTGCATGACTGTACATGTGTAATATCTATTTATATAACATTTTACAACATATAAATTACATACATGTATGTCATTATATAACATTTTATACACAAATAAAATGTTAGGTACTGGTAAGTGCTATGGAGAAAAATAAAGCAGACAGGTGGAATGAAGTATACCAGGTTCTCTTTTTGGAGACAGCTTCTCCATGGAAGTGGCATTTAAGTAGAACCTGAAGGAAATGAGGCAATAAGCCATGTGGCTATCTCCATGGCAGGAGACACAGAAAAGACTTCTGGTTGAAATGCTAACCAGTAGTAAAGAGTGAAACTATGTAGTGAGACATCTGGGCCATACGTTTCTTGGAAACCAAGCAAGAATGAAGAACAGCTTCATGAAGATGCAGGGCTTCCAGATGATGACCACCCCATATTCAGGCATAACCAAAGTCTGGGAATTGTGAGACAAGCATCTAGACCCAAGATGCTGTGTGATTAGCTGAACGTGAACTAGCCACGAGTTATCTTCAAGTATACAATAATGGCTCATATTTTTGAGTGTTTGCTATGTTCCTGGCACTATTCTAAATGCTTTAAAAATGTAGGCTTTATTTGATCATCACAATAATACTTTGAGGTAGTTTATTATATGCTCCAGTTCACAGACAAGGAAACTGAAGCACAGAGTGGTTAAGTAACTTGTCCAAAATTACATACCAGTAAATGGCAGAAGTGGGATTCAAACCTAGGTAGTCTGACTCCAGAACTCTAAGTTCTCTTGTTTCTCAGCTTTCTGCTGTATAGTATCCTGGAGTCTTAATCTTCATGCTTTTATTTCTGCACTTCATGGTGTATAACTCATTCTCTGATTTGTCACAGGTAGCTGCATTTCCTTGAAGAGACAGCATTGCAATAGCAGAAGACAGACTCAATACTTGATCTATTTGGCTTTCAATATAGGCTCTTGAGAATCAAAAGAGAAGGAAAGCTGAGGATGGATTTTATGCCGTCACAGTACACAATAGATTGGAAAAAGAATAGAGGGGAAATCAGGTCACCTTGGAGGACTTGTTGTGGGCAGGGCTGAGAAGGTAGGGTTGGAAATGTCAGGAAGCCATTCTTGAGGTAAGTAAGAAGTAGTAAGTTCATGGAGAAACTGCTGAGGCCCATGGGTAGCATTATCAGAGATGCCCATGGAAGCAGAGCCAATCCTCTAGAAGGTCCCTGTATGTAAGAGAGCATAGCCAGTGGCCTGGGTGGAGCAACTGGGAAGGACTGGACTTGCTCTTCTTGGGACTTGCTCTTCAGGTGAGGATCACCCTCTGCTAGCTGCATGCACAATGTGCATTGCCTATGGATCCTGCAGTAGAAGGAAGTGTACCTGTGCCCAGAAAATGTGTTAAATTGTGCTCAAATGGCATTGAGGGGACAGTCACACTGTCTCCTACTCTTCAGTGACACAAGCAGTGGGGATGTAGAAGAGAAAGTCCAAGTACTGGTGTTTGACGTGGTATGGGCAGGAGCACATGGGTGTCAGGGCTAGTGTGGTGAAGGGCAGGCCTCTGCAGTTACAGAAGACAGTATCATCTGTGGCAGAGTGGGGGCTCAGTTTCTTGCAGTGACATCACATGGCAGAAAGAAGCAAATATATGTACTTGTGTTCTGGGGTTTGGACAATTTAGAGGGAGGGTTGGAGTCCCAAGAGCTACTGAATTTTCCACAATCATGGGAAGTAGATTATCAATAAATATAAAAATATTCCATTTCATTTTTTTGTTTGCTTATTTATTGAGCACCATTAGATTGTCAATGGGACCACAACTGCAGGCATTGCCTGTCTTATACTCAAGGGAGTGGCCCCTTTGTTAAGTGTGGGCCTAGAACCTAGTAGCCATTAAATAATATTTGTTGAATGCATGAAGGCTGAGCCTTATATTAACAAATAAAAATACTATAAAATATTTTTAAAATTAAAAAATTTTTTGATTAGATGTTGTTTTCCTGGGTTGGTTGTTACAAATCCTGTGTCCTTTCAGAAAATTATTAATTGAACAAAATTAGAAAATGCAGCAGTACAAAAATATGTCATTTATAGTATGAATAAAACTATAAAATATTTAATAATTTATATGAATAATATGCATAATACCTTATAGAAGAATCTTATGAAAATTGAAGGCTGAATAGAATGAAATGCAAATTTAAACAGGAAGATCTAGAAGACTAGCAAAAATAAAACTATCTCAACTATACCAAGTACTGATTAAGGAATGGTGAAATACAAACTGGCATACATAACTTGTGAGAAAGAAAAGCAGTATAACCACTTCAGAGTATAACTGGCATTATTGTAATAGTGATGAATTGTAAATAGCCTATGTCCATTAATGAACAGGGAAATGGAGAAATAATCTCTAGCTGTATTTATACAATGGATTAATACCACAAGGCAGTTAAACAGGAATAAACTAGACCTATATGTATCATATTGATTATGTCTCAAAATATAACAGTAAGTGAAAAAAAATCAAGTTGTGTAGAGATAAACATACCACCATTTATGTAAACTAAAAACACAGAATATAATACATTCTTCATGATCAAATATATATACATATATACACACATATCTATAAATCTATTATCTATCTATCTATCTATCTATCTATCTATCTATCTATCTATCTGTAGTTCAAGTATATAAAGGCAGACTTGGACAGGCGTGGTGGCTCACACCTATAATCCCAGCACTTTGGGAGGCCAAGGTAGGAACATCGCTTGAGCTGAGGAGTTTGAGACCAGCCTGGACAACACAGTGAGAGCTTGTGTCTATTTAAAGTTTTTTTCTGAGGTAGGATTAAGGGAAATGAGACCAAGGAAGGAACTGAGGCACTTGGGCTGTTTTGTTTCTTTTATAGATTAAGACATAGAAACATTGGGTGATGGTTACTCAGGTATTTGTTACATTTTTCTTTCTAGTAGGTAATTTTACAGAACCTTTTCAAATTAAAACACATGCATACATAGTTATCTAACCCGCTGTAATTTCTTATAACAAAAAAATTGATCTTGTCAGTTTTCTCTTTGTGTAGCATATGATGGATTAAGGTCCTTTGGCAAGGTCTCCTCAACATGAAATCACAATTTACATAAATATATAAAATAGTATGACTGATTAGCAAGGTCGAAATAAAAAATATATACCTAGGAAACATAATAGAAAATAAGAAAAGATATTCTTTAAGTATTTTATTCATCAAAAATGGACACTTAGACAATTTTACCTTATAATTGACAGAGAAATATTCCCTGTCTGTCTCAAAGGGTAAAACTCGGGTCAGTGTGAGAGGACGGCAGGGAGAGAGATTTTAGATCGACATAAAGAAAACTTCCTATTAGCTAGTGGTTTAACAGTACCAGAGTGCATCTCTTATTTATGTCACAGCTCAGTGCAAGTCAGGAAATTCTCTAGGGCAGCCTTCCTGAGTGTTCTCCATGTGTCCAATCTCCCTTCTCTTGTGTTGGTCCTGCATCAACATGCACTGACCACATTGTTACCAAAGGAGAAGAGAAAATATGGAAGATCATGCAGAGAGTTTGTGTTCAGGCCAGAAAGTGGTGTGCATCATTCTTTCCATCATTAGATTGGCCCCAAACCCAATCACATGAGCCCAATTTAATGCAAAGGAGGCTGGGAAATGCAGTCTTCCGGGATGGCCAAGAAGAGGAAAAGGAAACGGGATCTGGATGCATGACATGGTCTCTGCCCGAGATGCTAAAGCAGAAGAGAGAGTAAAAAGTAGAGCTTTTTATTTTATTTATTTTATTTTTTTACAATGTCATCCTCACTCCCCTCCCCCAGGGGGGAAGATAATAACAACTATAAATTGCTGCCTGGAATAAGTCCCAATTGTAATAGGAGGACAGAAGGTCAAAAGGACTGCATAGTTAGAAAACTTAGAAAAACCTAATATGTTCAAGTCAGCAGGACCTGATGGCTTGCCCTGTAGGATACTGAATGAATTTTCAACTTTCATCTTAGGACTGTTAGATAGTGTTTCCCCCAAATCACAGAGGATTGGAAAATCCCCTAAGGATAGCAAAAGGGTAAACGAGGTGCCCATCTTTGAGAGAGAAAGACAGGATGACCCTGAAAATTTCAGAACTGTGAGCTTAACATCGATACCTGGGAAGATCTTGAAATAAATCACCAAATAATCAATTGAATAGCACCTGAAAGGACATAAAATACTAAGTAGCAATCAGTAAAGCTCTGTAAAGAGCAAATAGTGCCAGACCAATTTAATTTCCTCCCATGATTGTGAGAGGCTATGTAGACCAGTGGAATTGATTGATGGGATCTATCTCAATTTTAGTAAAGATTTTGATTTCTTAACTAAGGCACTGTCTTTGATATGTTATTAAAGTATATTTCTGTCTACACTTCTGCTAGAGGATAGAAGGCTTCACCCCAAGGGGAGTTATCAATCTAGGGGGACATATTGAGTGCTATCTCAGAGGTATTGGGGCTAGGATCTATCCTACTCAATAGCTATTTTGATGGGCTGGATGAAGGAATTAAGATTATCCTCATGAAATTTGCAGCAGGCACTAAATTAGGTGAAGTTGTTGCTGCTCAGCAAGACAGAAATAAAATTCAAAATGGCCTTGACTCATTGAGAAAATGGCTCCACAAAGCTGGGATAAATTTCAATGGGGACAAGTGTAAAGTGGCACGGGCACCCCCACAGCCCTAGAATAGTGGTTTGGGCATACTTGGCGCTCAGCAAATATCTGCAGCACCTTCCTTGCAGTGTTGTTGTGAAGATCAAAGTGTGATAATGATGCGGAAGTGCTCTGTAAACCACAAAGTGCCTTATAAATGGTAAAGGTCTGCCCCAATAAGAGGAAACTTATTATTAAAGGCAAGGAAATATGTCCTGTGAGGAAATGTTAAAAGAAGTGGAGCTGTTTAATCAACAGAAGAGAAGAAAAAGAGAAGATTTCATGAATGTAACCATTTTATAAGGGTTTTAACAAAAGAAATGATTTTCTCATCTCTATTTGTGTGAAGAAAAAATGAACTTGAATAACACAAGACATATTTCAGTTAGACATGAGGAGGAACTTCTTACCTAGGTTGGGTCCCCTATGGGGACACCACGCTTCTCTTTCCTTGTAGATGTTACACTTGGTCAACGTTAGCCAGCTCACTGCATAGGATCTCTGCAGGCCCTTGTTATATCTGTACTATCTGGAATAGGACTTGACATCTAGTATATACACAATAAATATTAATAACGGTTGAATGTGTGATTGTCAGGTATAAAATATTGGCTAAAAACTTGGGGAGTCAACTTTCTTAGAGATCTTTAAAAAATAAGGGTGATTTATTCTAGGAGACAAAATCTTTCCAAACATTGATTTCATGAGTGTATGTATTTTAAAAAGAAGTGAAAATACTTATGATATATTCTCATCCTAGTCTTAGCTTTGGCCCTCATGGATAGGACTACTAGCAAAAGAGGAAAGGAGGCAAAATCTTACGATCTCAGTCCCATCAATACCTTGTTTCTAGCCACAGAACCCTCATGAGGAAAAAGGAAGAGTAAGGAAAGTACAGCTAGCTATTCATGGTATCTGCTAAAATTGGAACCATTTTCTATATCTTAACTGTTCATTTCCACATCTGTTTTTCTAGAATCTCTGGTCCAGGCCACAGAAGACATAATCAGTGGGTTGATGTTGGAGTATTCTCTCCCCAGCTTTGCCCTAAGGCTTGGGAGGTGACAGGATGGGCCAGGAAGGTCTCTGCTCCCATTGTTGGGGTATTTATTACTGGTATTTATTCCCAGTTGGGATTGTAGACTAATCTCTCCCCAGTCCTTCCACTAAAACCTACTTTAAATGGATTATTGCATAATTAAGATGTATCTTTTAAAAATGACATGCATTATTTAGTTTCTAAGTAAAGCCATAAATTTTACACATGAGTGTTCTGGAATTATGCCCAGAAGGGGTCATTCTTTGAGGCAGTCAATCCAGATGGCTGCCTTGCAGCATCTACAATTGCCATCAGTGGCTTGGACCTGGGGTGGGTGTCCATGTCGCTTCTTGTTTTCTGGGTAGCAAGATGAACTGAGTGTGTGTTGAGCTGTATGTATCAAAGGCAGGGATTTTTAATCTGGAGTTCATACACTGGCCTCTGATGTGTCAGTGAATCCCTGTGGCCAAAATACGTTTCCCTGTGTATATGGGTGTGTGCTTTTTCCTGGGGAGACGACCCATTGGTTAAGAAAGAGTGTACTAGGTTTTTAGGAGAAAATCAAGTGGCAAGAGGGTTGGGTTGTCCCTACCAAGATGGAAGGAATGGCAGAGAAAGTGTTTTGGTACAGTTTGTACCATAGGGAGGAGGTGCTGAAGCCGGCTGTTCAGCCACTGGAGTCAGGTGGGGAGTCACTTACCATCAGAGAGCTCTGTCCATTGGCAGCATCATGCCAGCCAGCAGGGACTGCAGCAGGCCCATCCCAGGAGGATGGATGCTGGCAAAATGGTGGGGATATGGACTGCAGCTCCAAACTCAGAGAGGCATGTAAAATTATTTTATTTTCTAAAATACAATTCTATTAGAACCTCTATCACTTTGTGCTGGTAGTGAATTTAATCTCAATTATTTCAGAGTTTCCCCCTCTCTAGGGCCATTAGATGGTTCTAGAGGGTTGACACAATTTCAAGGCCTGGAGAGACCTTGTGGATATTGGTCACATGTCTCCCTAAGCCATTGTTGAGATGGCCATTGTCCAGTCTGTGCCTGGGCAACTAGGAAGGTAACTGGTGAGAGTGATGGGACTCCTGGGGAGTACGCATGGGAGGTGGGCATGGGGTTGATGGCAGGGAAAGCTGACCCTGAGGAGTTTGGGAATCTAGGAACTGGATATGATAAATGAACAGCAAGGGAATTTGGAGGAAAGGTGTGAACCCAGCAGTTGTATCTGGGCCTATCGCTAGTTCAAGGTGATGCCCTGTGTGTTCAGGGTGGCCTGAGACAATGGATAGACTTTTGGCTTTAGGTAGAATTGGCTCAGGAATTGGGGTGGAATTGAGTCTGAAAATGAGGGTCATTATAAACCTCCCTGTGAAGGACAAGAGACATGACTGCACACACCAGGAAGAGCCTGTACATGCATAAAAAGCTTGGGTGTCCATCAGATCATAAATTTACATTTATCTTGAATGGTGATGGCCTATTTCAGAAAAAAGTTAACTTGCCTCAAACTTCAGTTCTATCTTTCCTCCAACTATTGGATAGACATATCACACTTTGGGATCTTTTAAAACAGCATGAGTAAAGTTTCTGTCTAAAGTAGGAAGGTTTTTTGACTGTAAATACCTTGGAGCCAACAGTCATTACCAAGGGTAACAAAATGTAGAGCAAAAATAGCAAAAACCTTGAGAGTAATGATGGTGTCTATAGACACCTTGAGCCCCTTGGTTGTTGTGTTACGTCAGTACTGATCATTGCTACCTTCATCATTTATTATATTTAGAAAATGAAAACCAGCTGAATGAAAATGATGCCTTTACTCCAGCCACCTGCCACTTAAGGAACCTGGAGGATCAGACATTAGGGAAATTTCATGACATCCCAGGATAAACCAAGGCATGTAAGGATTAAGCAATTTGTTCCAAGTCCAGCTGTGGCTCAGTTGTGGAGAAGAGGCTAGGGCCAGTGGTGTTCCTATTTCCCAGCTCCTTTCTTGCCTTAAGTGTTTAGATGCCACAATGCCTCCCTCCTCCCAATCTAATAAAGTGTAATAGTTTCCAAATATGCACTCTCTTTTTTCTTTATTTATTCCTTTTCCCTTGTTCCTTTTCTTTCAAATGAGTGCAGTTCCTCTTGGAGTAATATTTATATTTTTATCCTTGCTTTGTAGTTGGGGAAATGTGGTTGAGAGCTTTGGCAATGCCCTTGTCTGAGGCAGGGCAAGAGGGAAATGTGCCTGGGATTTATTTTCAACCTCAGATGCCCAGATTATATAATATTCAGAGCAATGTCCTTTGAAAAGTGTGTCTCTTGGAGGCTTCTGGCTCTCTCAATGCATTAAGAGCAATGCTTTTCTACTTAAGAAATGATTTTAAAATCCCCTTTCAACCAGTATCCCAAATGAAATTTCACTTCCATTCAAATAAACTAGGGTTAGAAATTTTAGGATGGGTGCATTAGGAGGTCTGGACACATGAGGGTAGCTGGGGAAATACATGTTAGGGAAGCAGGGGCAATGAATGGGGACTTCATATCCTAATGGTAAATGTAAAATGACTTATTGTAATATATTCCTCCAGTTAATGGCTCCATTCTCACCAGAGCAATTTCTGAAAGGATTTAGTTTTTGTCCCTACTGCTACTGGTCTTGATTTTTGCATAACAAGTATAGCACCAACAATAGCTTCTAAACATACTGCTGTTGCTGGGTGCCAGGCACTATTCTCCATGTTTTAACTCAATATCACAACTACCTTATGAGCCATATATTACAGGTTGAGTGTCCTATCTGAAATGCTTGGGACAAGAAGTGTCTCCGATTTTAGATTGTTTCAGATTTTGGAATATTTGCATATACATAATGAGATATCTTGGGGATAGCATCTGAGTCTAAACATGGAATTCATTTATGTTTCATATACACCTTATACACATAGCTTGAAGATAATTTTGTACAATATTTTAAATCACTTTGTACATGAAACAAAGTTTGTGTTAAGTGTGGAATTTTCCATTTGTGGCACCACGTCAGTGTTCAAAAAGTTTCAAATTTTGGAACATGTTGGATTTCACATTTTTGGATTAGGGATGCTCAACTGTATTATCTGCATTTTACAGATTATAAACTGAGGCACAGAAACTCCAAGTGAATGCCTCTAATTTCACACAGCTGATGAGTGTGAAAGACAGAATTGAAACCTGGGCAGCTGGCTCCAGTCTTGAATCTTCTCTAGATTGCATGGCTAGTCTCTTGGTTCCTTTGGGAGTTACCTCATCTCTTCTTTTTTTCTCTACACCCAATCTGAGTGTAGAGAATTTTCTCACAACACTCCTTCCTTTCTATTCAAACTGCTATTAAAGTCTCCACTATTTCCCTCTGGCCTCCAGCACCTCATCATCCATCCAGGCAGCACATTTATGCTTTCTAAGACATTGCCCTCAATGTAGCTGTCCTCTCACCACAAATCAAAAATGGTTCCCAGTCTCACATTCACAGAGGAAAGTCCCTCTCCTGGCATTGTAGGCCATCCCCGTATGCTGCCAACCCAACTTTCTAACCACATCTCCCATTGTCCCTGCATTGGCAAGTCCAGGAAGGGATTGAACCTGCCAATGCATTTCTGTCTGTGCCTTTGCTCTGCTTGCTTGGAATATCTGTCCTTCTCATCACCATTGTATGTCTTTTTATTCCTCAAAGCTAAGCTGAACCCTCAACTTCTCTTTAAACTTGCCCATCTCTGAACTCCTTCAGAACACATTTATCAAACTTGTGTTTTTCTTAAGATTCTCTTTGTGGCTATTGTAGCTCAGGGACTGAGATGGAAAGAAAAGCTTGTATGTGAAAAACTCCCATTTCAGGTGCATTTTTCCTCTGTTTTGAAAAGACAGAAGGCCATAATATTGGAGATTCAGATGGTGATTGTGTATTGGTTCAAAAGAGTTCATGAGTGAAGAGATAACTTTGTACTGGCTAACTGGATGGACCCAACTGAATGAACCCAACTGTGACAGTGTTGTGATTTATTGTGCTCCTGCCCTGCAGTTAGCTAACATAGTTGAGTTAAAAGGTAATTAGATATTTTATCCTCTGCCTATATTCTAGGAATGTGTTGGCCAATGAGAGAGAAGTGCCCTTTTTCTGAAGCAATGGGAAGTGGGAAGCCAGTTTTCCTTGATGGATAAACTGAGACTGGGGGACATAGGATCATTTCTGAGCCCTGGTCATATGCAGAGACTGCTGTAGAGGCTATTATCTCTATTGTCAAGATGATGCCCTAAGACAAAACCTTATTGTCCAGCATCCCCTGGGAAGGAGAGACAGGGATCTTTGAAGCTGAACTTCAACCATATTTTTTGTCATGTTAGTCATCTTTTCAAATGCATTTACTATTCTCCTTCCCTAGACTGCTCTTCCTGTCATGGTATAAACAGTAATGTTAAGCCTTTGTGCACCTGACACAATTTTAGCACAGTGCTTTGTATGTATGTATTACATACATACATTAAGCAGTAGGTGCTTAATGGATACATTTATTGATAATGGTCAGATCAATGAATTCTATCTTCTTTCCAGACCAATCCAAACTTAATGATCTTCATGCTTGGAGAACTCTTGCTCAACTTTAGACACTATTCTTGTGTCCTTAACACACCTTGAGAAGCATGGCTTCTGCTGTTATTTTATTTTACTTTTGCCTTTTCCACATGTTCTAACGGCTGTTTTATTTTTGAGGCAGCATGTGAACAAAAACACAGAAAGCCAGCTGCCTCAACATTCAAATGAGAGTGCAAATTCCTACTATAAGAGGTGTGGTTATATACTTACTCAAATGCTCACATTGTAAGAAGGAATATAGAAGAATTCCTAAAGATGCCCAGATAAATGGCAGTGAACTCAAAATTCATATATGTTTGTTGAAAGATGCCATGGAAAAGGAGTTTTGATTCTGCAACCACAGTAGGAAGCAACTCGGTTGACTTGGGAGAGTTTTTAAAGGTCTATTACTTCAACGTAGAGATCTGACTGACATAAAGCCTGTGCATTTTATTTATGTATTCATTCATTTATTTATTGAGACAAGGCTTGCTCTGCTGCCCAGGCTGGAGGTCAGTGGCACAATCTTAGCTCACCGTAACCTTGAATTCCTGGGCTCAAGTGATCTTCCCATTTCAGTCTCCTGAGTAGCTAGAAATACAGGCATGCACCACCATGCCTGGCTAATTTTTATTTTTTTCGTTGAAATGGGGTCTTTCTATATCCTAGGCTGGTCTTGAACTCCTGGTGCCTAGTGATCCTCCTGCTTCAGCCTCTCAAAACACTGGGATTACAGACATGAGCCACTGTGGCTGGCCAATGCTGTGCATTTAAAGCAGGCCCAGTGCAGCTCTGTGCAAAGCTATTTTAATTGAGCTGGCTGAGTACAGGGAATGAAGTGTCCAGAGGTGAGCTCCAGGGCCTCGGCCCTCTGTGAGGCTTGCTTCTTTGAGGCAGGCTTGGCTCTTTGTCAGTATTTCTGCTGAGCTCAAGGTGTGTTTATAGAATTGATGCATGTGTTCCCACAAAGCATTTTGAAATTTTTTGAGCAAAAGTTTTCTTCAAACATGTCTACAGAGCTGAGATGAATTTACACATCTATGAATTTCTAGCCAATAAATTCCTAGTGTGAGTTTGCTCATTATTTGTTCATTCATTATTCATTCATTTGTTCATTCATTAATTCATTCAGTGTGCTAAATTCTGAAGCTATAAAAGATGAATGAGATCAACTTTCCTCAAGAATTTTATTACCTAGACAAGGAAGACAGTCACTTACAGAAATGCACTAAAATGTTATAGATGCTGATGAAAGTAGGTATGAGATTCCCCATGTCAATGAAAGAGAGGGAGACAGGAAGGGAGGAAGACTGGCCACTGGGATATGAGGATGGTCAAAGTAATATTCATTGAGGAAGCAATTCTCAGACTGAGCCTTATAAAGATAATGATCAGGTAAACAAGTGAGTAGGCATGTGGAGAAGAGGGCAGAAGCCATGCCAGTGGGAGGGATGAGATATGGAAAGAGTAAGAGACAAGATGATATGATCGATGGGGGTTTCCTGGCCCTCCTTTGGTGTGGAATGGCTGGGGAGGAAAGCACAATGCAGGAGGTGGTAAGAGGGGCTGAGGGGGTTTCGGGTCACACTCAGAAGGGTCTTGTGTGCCCTACTCAGGAGTCTGTACTTTGTTGTTTAGACATTGGAAGTTGTTTTTTTTTTTTTTTTTGAGATGGAGCTTGCTCTGTTGCCCAGGCTGGAGTGCTGTGGGGTGATCCTGGCTCACTGCAACCTCTGCCCCCTAGGTTCAAGCAATTCTTCTGCCTCAGCCTCCCAAGTAGCTGGGACTACAGGCGTGCCACCACGCCCAGCTAATTTTTTTGTATTTCTAGTAGAGATGGGGTTAGGAACAAGTAAACCCAGTGACCAGATATTGGTTTTTAAATATGTGTTAGCCAGGTTGGTCTTGATCTCCTGACCTCGTCATCTGCCCGCCTCGCCCTCCCAAAGTGCTGGGATTATAGGCGTGAGCCACCGGGCCTGGCCCTGTTTGTTTTTAAACTAAAGATTTTATTCACATTTTGTCAGTTTCCCCAAGAATGCCCTTTTCCTGTTACAGGATCAAATTCAGAATCTCACATTGCATTAACTGTCCCATCTCCTTACTCTTCTCCAATCTGTGGCCATTCCTCAATCTTTTCTTATCCATGACTTTGACACTCTTGAGGAGTCTGGGTCAGGTATTTGTAACATGTCCCTCAATTTGGGTTCATCTGATATTGTGTCATGATTAGCCCAGGCTTATGGATTTGGGGGAAGAATGCCACAGAGGTGAATTGCCCTGTCAGTGCATGGTATCAGGGGATACGTGAAATTAACACAACTTATTACTGGAGACATGAACCATGACCACTGGTTAAGGTGATGTCTGTCAAATTTCTCTACCACAATGTTACTCTGGTTTGTGTGTGTGTGTGTGTGTGTGTGTGTGAGAGAGAGAGAGAGAGAGAGAGAGAGAGAGATGGGGGTCTCACTCTGTCACACAGGCTGGAGCATAGTGGACCAATCATGGCTCACTGCAGCCTCGACCTCCGGAGCTCAAGTGATCCTCTTCCCTCAGCCTCCTGAGTAACTGGCACTACAGGTGTGCACCACCATGCCCAGCTAATTTTTGCTATATTTTGTAGAGACAGAATTTCGCCATGTTGTCCAGGCTGGTCACGAACTCCTGGACTCAAGGATTTGCCTATCTTGGCCCCCCAAAGTGCTGGGATTACAGGTGTGAGACAACACACCCGGCTACGATGATATTCTTTTTCCCTTTTCTTACTCTGTTTTTTAGAAGTCACTAAATTCAGCCCACACTCAAAGGGAGGGGTGTTAAGCTCCACTTCCTGGAGAGAGGAGTATCAAATAATTGGTGGACATATGTTAAAACAACCACAGTAATTAATAAATATTATAGAGGAGATAATTTGAGGCTATGCAGATATCTTGTTTCTTCTTAATATTTCACCTCCTAATTTTAGTATTCATCAGTGAATCTTGCCTGAAGCAATCATTACTGTGGTGTCCTAATAGTGATTTTCCTCTTTATTATTCCTTTTACATTTATTATTTGGAATTCTTCTGTAAGGAATATTTGTCCTTTCTTCTTCACTTATTTATTTATTCAGTCATTTATTTATATCAGTATGGACTCACAGATACTCATTTAATTCTTTGGATATCCTTTGGGTTATAACCAATGCTAGTGTTAATTATTTTGTTTCTTCAATCATTCTTGCTCTGGCCATTGGGAATTCTTTGAGGTTGTCTCCTGTGTCATTTTGACCTGCCCTTGTCATTGTGGCTGTGGTGTCTCTGAGTGTGTTTTGTGCACTTCCTTACCTTCTGGCATTGCAAGATGCTCCAGGCTCATATTGTGTATGTTGTATCTTCCCTGTCTCAGCCCTGGAATCAGCCATTTCTCCAGAGAGGCTTGGTTGCATATATTGAAGAATGGTATTTAAAAACCAATATCTGGTCACTGGGTGTGATTGTTGCTGCTGTGTCACTGCTTCTAAGTTTTTAAGTAAAGAAATAATATAACTGTAATTGGAGAATGTCCTGGCAGGCAATTGTCAGGGGATACTGCAGGAGACGGTGAGGACACCATGCTGATTGATTGCCCTGGCAAGACAGGAGGATGTACTGAACCTCGGCAGTGGCAGCACCAGTGGAAAGGAGGGTGAGGGAGTTTGTGGCTCATCTAGACATTGGTCTCCAGCAGTTATAGCCTGAGTCCTACTCTGCTACTTGCCGGCTATGACCTTGGACAATATGAATGTCCTTGGACAAGTCATTCGACCTTTCTTTGCCTTAGTTTCCTCATCTAAAAAAAAAAAGCTAACAACACCTGTTGAGAGAATCAAATGAAAGAAAATGTGAAAATCCTTGGCGATTCCAAATCACTGTCCCAATGGGAGGAACTTCAGTGTAACAGCTTTTCCCTATGCTTTTTTTGCTAGTGAGGGTCTAGCTGCTTAGGGAGGCAAAGGAGAATGGGTATTGTCATGGCACAGGCAGGAGAAAATTGCCTAGAAAAAGGCTGAATACATCCAGCCAATCTGGGTGTAAACCAGAAATCTGCAGGTCCCGGGGGAGCAGAGCAAAGCCATAGAACGTATGCAAGGCAGCAGTGACCAGCAAAGGGTGACAACCAGGTGGGAGCTTTTGCCCAACAGCTTCTGCAGAGTTCCCAGGGCGTTCAGGGGTGGTTCCCCAAGCATGGCTGGCCTGGGGCAGTGCCGCCTGCTTTAGCCAGGCACCACGAGGCTATAGAAGGATGTTCATCGGAGACGCTTGACTTCACTGGGGCAAAAAAGGTCACAAAGCATATTTCTGCTCACCCTTGCAAATTAGGATGTATGGTCTGGAAATGACTTTTTCTGATTTGTACTTACACGGTGTGGAAAACATAACAGTATGCCCTTGTGCTGTAGCCCAATATCCCAGGCTGCAGAGGTCTTGCTGTTAGCTAGCCAAGCGCCCACTCTAAGACCCAAGATGTCTTGTGTTTGAGATTTAAGTAATGTATTCCAAACCATTGTGGAGCCCTCAAGGAGGGCTTGAGAAGTGAGTGGTTTTTCTGTTCTGTTCCACGCCTAAGCCTCCCACTGTTTATCTCAGAAGTGTGGGCCCTGGTCCAGCACCCTCACCATAGGCAGAGGGACTTCCTCCTCCCTTCTTCCCATCCCCTTCTCCCCCATCCCTCCTGGGGGCCTTTCCTGTGTCCTTCATCTCCTCCTTGGTTCACTATGCTCAGGAGCTCGCTTCTTGTTCCCTTGCTCTCTGGCTTCTCACTACCTCTCAGGACGCTGAGGGAGGGCTGGGGTGGGGTGAGGCGGGGAAGATGTCTTTAGTGGTTCTGCCCTTGGGATGAATTATCTGCAAAATAATTACATCTTCCCAAGGCACAGGCTAACAATCCTGTGGGGAATTAGGCTGAAAGGGGCCTCGGTGTCTTCCAGCAATATTTGTTTAGTATGTGCAACTCCTAGGAGGAGGAAGAGAGAGGAAAATATACATTATTTCTAAAGAATAAGATAATACCTAATTGTCTTAGGTTATTTGGACTGCGATAACAAAATGGCTTAGCTTGGGTAATTTATAAACAACAGAAATTTATTGCTCACAGTTCTGGAAGCTGGGAAGTCCAAGATCAAGGCGCTGGTACATTCCGTGTCTGGTGAGGGCCCACTTCTCACAGATGATGATTCTAGCTGTATCCTCACATGGGGAAAGGGGCCAACAAGCTCCCTCAGGCCTCTTTTTTTTCACAGTTAAAAATTTTTGGTTGACACATAATTATACAAATATATTGGTTACAGTGTGATATTTCAATACTTGTATGCACTGCATAGTGATCAAATTAGGGTAATAAGCTTATCCATCACCTAAAATAGTATCATTTCTTCTTACTGGGGAGATTCAAAATTCTCTCTTCCAGCTATTTGAAAATATAGAGTAAATTGTTGTTAACTATAGTCACCCTACAGTGCTATAGAATGCTAGAACTCATTCCTTCTATCTAGCTGTAATTTTGTATCCATTACCCAACTTCTCCCTATCCCTGCCTTCCCCTACCCTTCCCAGCCTCTAGTAACCACTATTCTACTCTCTACTGTGAATCAACTTATTTACCTTCCACATATGAGTGAAGATGTGCGATATTTACCTTTCTGTGTCCCTCAGGCCTGTCGCATCGAAGCACTAATCCCATTCATGAGAGTGGAACCAGCATGACCTAATCACGTCCCAACGGTCCCCTCCTTTAATACTACCACATTGGAGAGTAGGTTTCAACATATGAATTTTGGGGACCACCAGCATTCAGACCATAGCATTGAGTGTGTTCAATATTTGAGGCTCTTTGTGCATGAAATAGTCTCAGTATTCCCATCATATAGGCACCATTATTATCCTCATTTTATCAATGGGGAAACTGAGGCTCAGAGAGGTGAAATAACTTACCCATGTCTCACAGCTAGTAAGGGACAGAGCAGGGTTTCAAAATCAGGTCAATCTCTCTTCAGAGCCTACACAATGCCTCCATACAAAGCTACAGAATGATATCTCATATGGTAAGAAATTCTAGGATGGATGTGCATGTCTGAGATCAGAAATGTCTGAGAAAATTGGGGATAAGTGGGTGCCACGAGAGAGGGCATCTGCATCTGAGTAACAGACAGATAGACAGCAATCTGGACAGAACCAAGGCCTGGCTGGGGAGGCAGTTCTGCTGCCACATGGGGGCGCATGACCCCATTCCCTGCACTGCTGGCTATGGCTCCCGAGCCCACTATTTTTCCTTACACAACCTAGCAACTGTTCTTCCACAGCTGCTCCTTTGGTTCAACTTTCCAATACAGCATAGTCTTTTACATAATTTAGGGACTTCTTTAATTTGCTGGGTTTATAGTCCAGAAGGTTTCTAGGGGAAATTTCTTGTAAGTGGGCACTTGAAGTCCAAGGCCTAATGATTTCTCTTTACTTTTTTTTTTTTTTGGTCTCTGAACCTGGATAGGAATGATCTGTTGACATTTTGATCATATAGAGGACATACCAAATTTTGCATTTGCTGAAAGCAGAAAATATTTGCATGCAAAAGAACCAGAAGGTTTGAGATATTCACATTGTACATACCTAATATTTTGAACAAATACCTTTTGCTGCGTAGTAAACAAACCCAAAACTTATTGGCTTAAAAACAACTTAATATCATCTCTCCAAATTCTGTGGATTGACTGGACTCAGCTGAAAGATTCTTGCCAGGAGTGTCTCATGTGATTGAAGTTAGACACAGCTGAGGCTGGAATCAGTTGAAGGCAGGAGACTCAAGTGGCTTCTTCACCCCCATGTTTGGCACTGCAGCTGAAGGCTGGCTTGGAGGAGGGCAGACCAGACATTTTTCTCTTTCCATGGGTCTGTCCTTAGCATGTTGTCACAGGGTAGTTGGACTGTGACACACTAGACAGCTTCCCCCAGAACAAAATCTTCAAGGTTGCTTATGACATAACTTTGGAAGCCATTCCAAGTGATTCTGTCACATTCTCTGGATCGCACGTTCTCTGTGGAAAGGGACTATATATTACTCATGAATGACAGGAGGCGTGATTCACTGCGGGGGGCGGGGGCATCTTTGAAGAGTGATTACCTTAGTTTGCACCCTGCTGCCAATAATTCATGTCCCTCCACGTGCAAAATACACTCACCCCTCCCCATAACACCCTGTCCTCCTCCCCAAATCTTGTTTTATTTAGGCATCAGTCTCATTATCTATTCTATGTAACAAATAATCCATGACCTATTCTCATTACCTATTGCTATATAACAAAGCACGCCATAAGTTAGTGTCTTAAAAACAACTACCACTTTATTATTAGGATTCTGTGGATTGTTAGAGCTCTGGGCAGTTTTGCTGCCTGTAATCTTGGCTCAGGCTCTGGCCATCCAAGGCTTGGCTGGGCTGGAAAGTGCAGATGACTCACTACATGGCTGGCCTTTGAGACTTGCAGTCCAGGTCTTTAACAGAATGAGAAGCATGGGTAGCCCTAGGCTGTGCCTTGTGTAGTTCAGGACTGGTTTGGACCTCTGTCTGGGCCACAGTCAGACTAATCTCAGCCAGTAGACACGTGACTTGCAGGAGATTTCCTTCAAGCTGAATATATATATAATATATATAAAAATATATAAAATATAAAATATATAATATATATAAAATATATAATATATTAAAAAATATATATATAAAATATATATATTTTGTAATTGGTTGGTAGGGCTACAGGGCACCCAGAACTGAATGGGTGAGTACTTCCAATGGCTATCTTGCACACTCACCCTTACTTCAGCCTTCACTAGCTGCTTTAGAAATCACCATGGTGTATATTTTCTCTCTTTCACTCATGTGCTTTCTGTCTTCCGTTCATGGTGACCAGCAGTGAGAAGATTTGGTGGAAAATGTGTATATCGTAAAGGAAACCCATTAATGCTCAACCATTGCCACAATTGCCAGTGCTCCCCCACTCCATCCAGCTAACAAGAACTGTTAGTATCTTGTTTGCCCTCTTGTTACAATCCATAAACGTATGTGGAGTTTGCACAGTTAATCTTGGAGAGCACCTTGCTAGATATGGTGAGAACCAGAAATAGTTCTCCACCCTGAAGGGCTTATTGTACCATAAGGGAGAAAAGACGAATGTACAAGAAACTTTATCATGTTGTGATAAAGAATGAGGGCTGTAGGAAAGTTACAAAAACTCCATGTTGTAGGAGGTCAGAGGACAGAAGAATTCCACTCCCGTATTCTGGCTTTGACTCTCCTTCTAGCTCTAAACAGATGTTTACATTTCACACTCCACTTTCCCCATATAGATAATAAGGAAAACATAACTCCTTTTACAAGTATCACCGAGGAGCAGTGAGAGTCTGTGACAAGGTATCTGTAAAGGTTTGGGATTTTATTTTTGTAGAGTCCAAACACATCTTTAACCTTACAGGTGCTTGGGATGGAAAGAGGAGGTAGAGTGGTTTAGATATGTGTATGTACATGTGTATATGTGCGTGTGTGTGTGTGCGCATGTGCATGTGTGTGACAGTCATGCTCCAAATGAGGCCTCAGGGGGTAATAAAAAGAGGGCCTGCTGGGACCACCAATTTCTTTTTCCCATCTGTGATGGCTGGGGCCCTGTGCTTCACACTGGGAAGGGTATTACTGAACTCTCCTCAGTCTTGTGGTGCGGTCGCCTTTAATTCATATTTGCATGTGTCGTGAGACCAGCCAGGCAGCTGAACACTGCCCAGGAGTGGAGCTTGTGATGATGGAGAGAAATGAAATCACTGTTTAATGAGAATTGGTGAGATAAGGTCCACAGATGGACCATTCGGAGGGCTGTGTTTGAACCACGGTATCCCATTCATTTTATAATACACCTTACTGTGGGCTTAAATTGCATTCTTGGAAAATTTAGCCCAGCATGACTAGTTCTTGTTAGAATAGCATCACTCACCTAATGTTGTGTTCAATAAGCCTGTTGCATAAAAGGTTATCATGTAATTTTTATCATTATAAGTCTCCAGTGCTTCCAGAACTTACCTTCAAAAGAGTGAAAATGATATTTCATATATCCACAGTTGTATTTCAAAGTAAGTTCTAAAAAGCCACATGCCTCAGTTTACCCTTTGGAATTTGCCTATCTTTTTTTTACAGCGTTATTGTTATAAATCAACTTTCTAAAAGAATATACCAGTGATATTTGCCTATAGCTTTCAAGCTTTGATTAATGTTTTAATGGTGTTTGTCCCTATTTTAATCCATGTAGTATATTGAACTAAGCCTGGGGTTTAGAGTTAGATGAGCTAGGGTCTGAATCCCAACTCTTCCCAATTACTAGCTGTGATGATGGTTAAATCACATAGTGATTCTAAGCAATCATTGTCAATGGAGTTGAAAGGATTTAAATTAAGGTAGGTACAAAAGGCATAGCACACTGCCTATCACATAGTATGTACTCAATAATCAATTTCAGCTATTATTATTGTCATCAGTAAGAATGACAAAATGTGTGCTTTAGACCTCTAAACAGCTTGACTAGATCTTTCTCTGAAAATTTCACCTTGCTTTGTTTCATTTGTATCTGCAGAGTCGCTGTTCTTATCAGAAGAACCATTATGCACAGCTAATTTCAGGTTCATGAGTTCTTAAGCACAGTGGGAAACTAATAAATCAATTAAACATATATTTCATAAGAGATTGCTATATTTATATGTGCATACATAAATATAATTTTAACAATGAAAAGTAGCTTGTCATGAATAGTTTATTTCATGAGATAAAAATAAAAGGAAAACAATAAACACTACTTCAAAATGCAATGCTATGTAACACAGAAATGAAATTCCACAAGATCTTGTGGTTCTCTGTGTTACATTCAAAAAGAGTAACAGATAACAAGATGGCTGGCCACAATGTGAGATATACTGTTGGAGAAAATTGTCCAGTGTTTTGAAAGGAAAGGAAAAGCCTTCTAGGAATTTCTCATCACAGAGAATTTAGACTGAAGGAATTTGCCACGGTGTTTTCTGAATAGCCTTAGAATTTTATATTGGATTTAAAAATTGGGTTAGGGAGGGAGTGGCTCCTCAGAATGAAGCTTTTCCAGGCTCCCTTTTACTTTGTTTTTGCCTGGGGCATTATTTTTTGTTTGCCAAGACCAGCTGCTTCCTCGCTAGCCAGGTTTCCGTTTAGTGGCCCAGGGCGGCTTCTCTGATGTCGGGGAATTTGCCCCTCTGAGGTTGGAGCGGGCAGCTGTGTGTCCCCAGGCTGGGCGAGGGGGCTGAGCTGCCTGGAGGCCTGGATGGCTGCATTCTGCTGCCGCACTTTCACCGGTATCTCTTCGCGGATCTTCAACAAATGTGACCTCTGCCAACCTCGTCTGAGCTCATCAGCTCTGCTGCCTCTGGGACCCAGGAGGGAGACAAAGGGGGCTGGGTCAGCGTTGGATGCCAGCTATTTTTTTCCACATGGTCTCTGGGAACAGTTAACTAATCATATCAGACCCAAAAATGATTTAAACCTTTCCTAGCTACTAAGCACGGGAACTGTTGCTGGCACACAAACAAATCCCAAACTATCTCAACATGATAACACAAGCTTTTTAAATTTTAGAGTAAAATGTATCATTAATCAACCATCAACAAGTATTCATTCATTTATTATGTGCTGTGCTCTGTGATGTGGGGGAGACAGAGTGGAAAGCTCAGCCTTCTCTGAACGAGCAGGTTGGATCATTGTGGGTAAAGCTGGTCCTCCACCCATCCTGGATGGACCCCTTTATTACAGAAATGTTGTTAGGGGTTGAATTGCATCCCCTGAGATTTATTTGTTGAAATCCACACTTCTCCCTCCCCTGTACTGCAGAATGTGACCTTATTTGGAAATCGAGTTGTTGCAGATACAGTTAGTTCAGGTGAGTCATACTACAACAGGGTGGCCCCTAATCCAATATGACTGGTGTCCTTATAAACGGGGGAAATTGGGACACAGACATGCACACAGGGAGAATGCCATGTGGACACTGGAGTTATGTTGTTCTAAGCCAAGAAACTGTCAGAGCTGGAAGAGAGGCGAGAGCAGATCCTTCCCCAGTGTCTTCAGAGAGAGCAGGGCCCTACTGACACCTTGATTTTGGATTTCTGGCCTCCAAAACTGGGCGAAAACACATTTGTGTCTTTTAAGCAACTATTAGTATTACTTTGTTATGGCGTCCCTAGCAAACTAATACAAATGCGAGGCTATGTGTCCACCCAATTTTATTGGGGAAAACTGTCAGCTTGCCACTGACTTGGAGCACAGTCTGGGCAGCCTCTTCTCCGTTCAGCTGATGCTCAGCCCCAATGTCACCACTGAGACGGGCCTTCAGGACTGCCTTACCTAAGCAGGCCCTGCGCTCTCCATCCCAGCACCTTGCTTCATTTCCTCTCTGACTCATCACTACCTGAAACAACCTTGCTTATTTTTCTTGATTTTTAAAAACTGTCTATTTTCCACACCAGAGCTTCTGCTCCAGCAGGCTTCTGTCAGTCTGTCCCATGCTTGGCACATAGTAGGTGCTCAAAAAACACTTGTTGCAAGAAGAAACAAATGAAGAGGTAAAGCTTCATTTGGGAATATGATTTTTTGTGTGTAGACAGAACTGTGCATCTGGGCACTGCTGATCCCACCCCCTCCCACCCCCACTTCTTTCCTTTTCTCTCTGTTAGGGCTGGGAGCAAAAGTCTGGGCTTGCTGCATGGACACAGACAACACAAGCCTGAGTTGCTCTTGCTCTGCTGTGGATGAGTGTGGTTTTGTTTGGTTTCACACTTCATTTTGTCTCTGAGCTGCAGAGGACAGCTGGTCAGCTCTCAGTCCTGCTTTGCCACCTCTTGGAAAGGAAAGGCAGTGAGAGGAAACTAGACATGCCAGCCAGGCTAAGGATGAGGGCCTCAGGACTCCCACATGGAAGAAACCCACGGAGGAAGGAGGTTCTGCCAGATCTGCCTCCCTGTGTTCACAGAGTCTCTGGACCTCTAGGTGTTGCACCCAGGCTTTTGTAGTTCACTCTTGAGAGGAAGGAGCTGCCAGGCCCCTGGGCTGTGTAGGGCCAGGAGTGAAGGCTGGGGGCCATGTGTGGGCATATTTAAGCCAGCCAAGGCCTCAGAAAGTGAGGAAGGGGGGCTTTGGGAGACTTCGACTTCCTGCCTTTGAACCTCAGACAAACCTAAAAGGCCCTCGGAAACACTATTTGCTCACGGGATGATAATGTGGCTGTGTTTGTGTTCACCAGCTAGTGAGATATGGAAGGTTTGGACTGAAATGACAGGCAGTGGGTGGAGGGGCCTCCTGAGGAAATACTTCAGATAAATACTTCTGGGATAAGATCCTTGACCAGGGGTGAAAGTGGGAACAAAGATGGAGAGGTTTACATAGACTATATGCTGATTAAATACTGTTTTTATTTGTATGTGATTTACGTTTTACCTACTTCCAAAAAGGATTGGAGGGGGATGACTAGTTGAAGGTGAAGGATGAGGTAAGAATGACTCCAAGTTCTCAAGCCTGAGTGATGGAGAAAAAGAGGGTGTCACTATCTCAGGCAGGAAGAATGGCTGGGAGGAGAAAATATTTGTGAGCAGACAATGATGTGTTCGGTTTTGGATTTGTCACTCTTTAGGTGATGAAGAGACATTCAAATAGAAAAATTTACTAGACTGTTGCAAACATGTTACTCAGAGAATCCCTATCTTTGATAGGCAGGCTGTCTGCAAAAACAAATCTATGTGATTAGTACAGAAATAGGAACTCCTTAATTTATAGCCGTAGCTATTGTTTGCTTCTCACTGCTTTTAGTGTCATATCTTTGCTCCGAAGGAGTTGTAATTTTGAGTATCACATGCATGGGTGAGCACACACACGTGCGCACACACACACTCTCTCTCACACAAACACACAAAGCCTATTTGCTGCAGTTGTATCCCGGAGTCTTGATACTAAATTGCTCAAAGTTTTGCTTTCCTGTGTCCTGGGAGAGCCCTTTGGTCTTCTGTCTTGTCTCCCTGAAGCCACTCGCTTCAGCTCCCCGACAGGCACTTCCGTGTATCCTTCTGTGATCTCTCCCTTGTTTGTGTCTTGAGTAGCAGAAATGCATTCCGGCAAGACTCACCCCTTTGCTGTGACAGATTGCTACACTGCAGAGCCCATTCAAATAACTTTTCTTTTGCCTGCCTGCATTCTCAGAGAAGCTTTTAGTGTCCTCCTTGGAAAACCACATGAAACAATGTGAGCTATCCAGGGTAAGAGCTCAGCAAATGAGTACCAAGTTAGGAGTTCGAAGCAAAATAAAGAGGTTATAGCCAGGAGAAGTTTCCAAGGTTGCTGACGTGTAAAAATGTCTAATTGGCAAGTGTATTCTCCTTAAAGACTCAGAAGAGGAGGGTATCGATCTATTGCTGCCCTCTAGAACAGATTCTTTTGTAGAATCCAAGACAACGTTTTATTTTTATTTTCTTACTGTGTGTGTCAGAATTTAGAATATATTAACTTTCACTAGTACCTAAATCTTAAACTTTCTTTGCTTTAACCCCAAAGTATATTTCCCTTTTCTTTTTCTAACTCTTTATAAGCATAATTTAAAAAATTACACAAGTAAAACTTCCAAACAAATAGAAGGATATAGGATAAAGCTTTTATCTTTTCCCACTCTTGAATTGTGTTCTTCTCTCCAGAGGCAGCATGTGAATAGTTTAATATGTAGCTTTCCATGCCTTTTTCTGTATATTTAAATACATGCCTGGATTGCTCTGTCCCAGTGGTCACTTGCTGGTCACCCATTTTACTTCCTCAGGGAGGGCCTCTCTGATGACACAATGTAAATGAGCTGCCCTCATTATCACCTTTTGCCTTTCACTATTTTGGTTTTCCTCCTGGCATTTATTACCATCAGTAGTAGGCAGAATAAAGCTCCCTTCTCTACAAAGATGTCCACGCCCTAATCCCTGAAACCTGTGGATGAATATGTTCTCTTCTGTGACAAAGGGGACCAAATGTGATACAAGTAAAAGCATGAACCCAAAGGAAGGGAGATAATCCTGGATTATCCTGGTGGGTCCAATCTAATCACACAAGGCCTTAGAAGTGGTGAACCTTTCCTGGCTGAGTCAGAGAGAAGGGCAAGAGATTCAGAGCATGACAAGGACTTGATTTGCCACTGCTGGCTTTGAAGATGGAGGCAGGGGGACACCAGGCCAAAGGATGCAGGTGGCCTCTAGAAACTGGGAATGGTTCTTGGCTGACAGCCAGCAAGGAAACAGGGACCACAGTCCTATAACCACAAGGAACCAAATTCTGCAACAACTTGAAAGAGCAAGGAAACACATCTTTCCCTAGAGCCTGCAGGGAATGCAGCCCTTTCTGGGCAAAACTCGGATTGAACGTTTGACCTACAGAATTGGGAGATAAATTTGTGTTGTTTAAGCTGCTAAGTATGCAATAATTTGTTCTGACAATAATGCAAAACTAACACACCATTTAAATTATTTTGGTCTTTTATTGGTTTGCTTGTTTGTTTATTGTCAGCCTGCCCAATAGAATGTGAACTCCAGGAAAGAGAGACTTTGTCTACTTGGCCCACTACTCTATCTCTACTGACTAGAACAGTTCCTAGCAGGTAGTAGGTGCTAATTTTGTTGTTGTTGAGTGAATAAATGAATATTAATGTGGACATGTTTGTATATGATATCAGATTACACATAATATCTTATGACTTGCTTTTTACACTTAATGATGTATCTTAGATGTCTTTCCATTTAGTTCCTATAGATATAACTCACTCTTTTTAACTGCTACACTACATACAATTTATGATTGGATGTATAATCATTTTTGTTAACCATCCCCTTATTGATGGACATATAAGCTATTTTCAGTTTTTCACTTTGCACATCTCTGGGCACGTGTCCAAATATTTCTATGAGATAGAAATGAAGTTTCTGAGTCAAAGCATAAGTTTTTTTTAAGTTTGATGGATATTGTTAAATTGCCCTCTAAAAATTCTATACCAAGGGACACCCCCAATAACTGATGACAAAACGTTTCCCAACACTCTTGGTAATGTTAGTCTTATAAATCCACTTAAAAAAAAAACAATGACTGGTAGGTAAAAGTATCTTATTGTGTTTTAGTGTTTGCATTTCTCTGATAGTTCCTAATGTTGAACTGCTTTTCTTAAGTTTGTTAGCTATTTGTTTTCTTTTTCATTGAATTGGTCTCTGGCATCAGAATTTAAAAATCTGAATCCTGACTATAGCATTTACTAACTGATAACTCTGGACAAGTTCCTAAATTTCTCTTTGTCTCAATTTTCTTGTCTGTAAATGGAGATGATAATAGTATCTGATCAAAAGAATTACTATGCAAATTAATAGAGTTAATAGATAAAAAGTGCTTAAGATACTGCCTGGCAAATAGGATCCTATCAATCAATATCAGCTATATCTTTGTCCATTTTTTGTCTCTTGGGTTGCTTTATTATTGATTTATAAAAACTCTTTGTATATTATAAAAACTCATCTATTGTCTGAAACACATTTATTGCAAATGTATTCTTCAAGTTGCTTGCCTTTTAGCTTTGGTAGTGATGTATTTTATCTTAAAGAATTTTAAAATTATTTCCAATCTGTCCATCTTTTTCTTTGTGCAGACTATATGCAGTCACAAAATTATAAAAGAATTCTCCCATATTTTCCTCTACTATATTTCTATATTTTTTGTGTTTAGTTCTTGAATTGCCTTGAGATTTATTTTTGTATATGGAGTGATGTAGGAATCAAGTTTTCTTCCAAAGTAAAGACATAATTTCCCCAGAGTCATTTATTGCATATATTTCTCCACTGATTTAAAATACTTGATTGACTGTATGTGTTAAATTCACATATATATGAGATATTTTGTATTTATTCCTCTCTATTTTTTTGAGCTGGAGCATACTCCTTCCCAAATACCACATCATTTTAATTTGTATAACTACATAACATATCTAATACTTGCTAGCACAAGTTCGGTTTGCTATTTTTTCTCTAAATTTTCTTGGATATTTACAAATCCTTTCTCTTTTATATAAACTTTACAATCAGTGTGTTAAGTTTATTCTGGTTGTTTTTAATATACAGGTTAATTGGGGAGAATTTTTACATATAAAATATTGAGCCTTTTAGCATATTATGATTAGGTCTAAACTTAAGCATTTTTCTGTTATCATGATAAAAGCCTTTGTTCATTACATTTTCTAAGGGGACATTGTTGATAAATGAAGCTGCTAGTGGTTTATGTATATTGATCTTGTATCTGGCGATCTTATTTATCTTTTACATTAATCAAAACAGTTTTCCAGTTGATTCTTTCAGATTTCTGGGTAGATAATAACATCATATACAAATAATTGCAGTTTTGTCTCCTTCCAATTTACCATCTCATTTATTTTCTGTGGCTTCTTGTATCGGTGAGGACTACTGTTATGATCGTCATACTTGATGACATGATTTCTTATCCTTTCCTTGACTTAAATGGAAGACGTTTTATTTTTCTCCTTACTTAACTCATTTTGCTTATGTATAAGTAGATTTTTAAATTTTCTATGGCTTGTTCAAAGAGATACCTTTCTTTACTCATTAGAGGGAATATACGCCAGGAAGTAGATGATGTCTTGATATAAAAAAACTGAAAATAGGTTTGTAAAGAATATGCTGTTTTGTACAGTGATGTAAGAAGGAAGAATGGAGGGATAAAGTATAAGAAAAACAGGATGAAAAAGGAGAGAAGAGATAAGAGATGGAGGTTATTGAAGCAAAACAAAACAAAAACAGGAGGGTCCATGTTCCTAGACTTCAGTGGTAGAAACGGTGGCCGGACTGCTTTTTACCCTTTGGGTGGAAGAAAGGACATGTTTGGCAGGAGGAAGGGAAAGGAGACGATGGGTACTAGGTATGCATGGTTCTGGCGGGCATCAGGACTGGGGTGGAATAATGAGTAAAGCCTTAGCAGCAAAGCTGTACCAACACAGTGTTGGAAACCCTGTGCCAGTCCAAGCAATGACAGTGCCCTGCTCAGACACCACTTGACGTTGATGTGGCACAAATGTGTGGCTGCGGCACTGTCAGCTGTGTGCTTAAGACTGGAGTGCAAGTGTGACCTATAGAAACAGCCTTGGGGTCGTCAGGACATTTTCCTTCCTAGAGTCTATTTGGCAGGCACCGCACCCTCCGCCAGTCCACATCAGAACACATTATAGAAGGCTTTAGAATGTTCTGCTAATCTGCACCTTTCCTCAAGCGGGTAAGTTACTTGTAGAAAGATAAAAATTTTCCTGTATAAATAAATTCAGAATAACCATAATTCTGGTGTCCCTCTCTAGCACAATACTGTATCATAGCATATCTTATGTGCACCAGCCTGTCTCTGAAGGTGCAAACTATGACACCTGAAGATTTCCATGTCTACATTATTTTAAGGGTCTTTCCCTGGTAATCACTGATTCTTCTTTCCTTTAAACTATTTACTGAGAAAATAGTTTATTTTAAAATGGCATGGCGTTTGTTCTTTGTCTCTCTTTCTCAAATAAATCTCTATTAAAGTTCCCTTCTCCAGAGCTGGCACTCTATTTTGCAATATCTTTATCATAGCACTTATGTTGCTGTTAATGTCAGTTGCCCTCTTAGACAGGGCGGTCTCCGAAGGCGGGCACTGTGTGTTTTTGTCTTTCCTTCTGTCATTCTTATCACAGTGCCTGGCATGAAGAGGATGATCAATACATTTGTTGGCTAGATTAGTATGTGAAAGAAATGAGCAAGATAGCATATTTAAATGTATTTTTCTTAGTCTCAAGATAGTAGTAAGAGTGGGCTATCATGGCAAACATGAAGATGGAGGAAAAAGTTCTGCCAAATATATTTTAGTAATTTTGCTTAATAAGATGCTTACTTGATTAGTCATGTGAATATTGGTTGATATCAATCTATAATGTCATGGAGTATATCATCATCATCACCACTAGACTATTTTTCAAAGCACAGGAGCCCAAGTAATGATGCTTAACTCATTATTTTCCTCATTATTCCTGTGAAATTGTAGGTGGCAGGGCATTATTTATTTCTGGGCTCTCTGTGTCTGGAAAGTCACCCTTCTTGGTGCAGAGCTGAGCAGATTCTCTTTTTGCTTACAGTCCTTTGTGTGCAGGCATCACACCAGCTGAAGAGCAGAGTCCTTGCAAAGAGGCCAGAGGTCACCTGGCTGCTAACGGAGAAGCCTTTCTGGACTCCTTGAGGAAGGGCACAGGGATGCTCCCAGGGAGGGGAGCCAGCAGGGAGATTGTCCATGCATTTTTAGGCACCAGTTCCCCTTTTCTCCTTCTTTGGCTGGTTTCCCTTTAGGGCCTCTGGGGCTCCAGAATAGATATGTGAGCAGCACAGGCTGCTAGTCTCTGCTTAAACCCAGGAGACTCCTCCTTATTCCCCAGAGAGCTCTTGGGAGGGAACAGAGAGGAAAGTGCTGCTTGCTCTTTCCTAGTGGGGAAAATGAAGCAGGATTAATATGGATACAGCATTTAGGAAGAAAGCCTAATATCCCCAAAGACAGATTTTAGATTCATAAAATCTACACTTATAGGAAGGTACTTTATGAATAAATTGGGTTAATCCCCTTATTTTACAAAGAAGAGAATTGATACCTAGAAATCTCACAGTAGTAAAATCAGGAGTAAAACTCAGAGCCCCTGGTCCAGCATTCATTTGGTTATAGTGACTTGGATTAAATTATTCAGTTAATCATTAAAATTCTTTGGTTATAAAATTTACTTACAACTTTTGAAGAAAGCAAGAGATAGCTTTATTTCTAATCCAAGAATAAGCACTACGTTTTCAAGATGTAGTTTTGAGGAATCTGCTATTTTAGTTACTCAATTATATATATATATATATATTTCACCATGTTGGCCAGGCTGGTCTCAAACTCCTGACCTCAGGTGATCTGCCCATCTCGGTCTCCCAAAGTGCTGGGATTACAGGCGTGAGCCACCACACCCGGCCCACTCAATTATATATTAGTCATACTTCTCCAAAAGAAGTAGAGACACTGGGTCAGCGGATCAAACTGATGTATTATTTGAGTATGAGATCTTAGAAAGATGTGGCCACACATAGAGCAGAGATCAGGCACTGGCAGAGCTGGATTCTGGAGCAAATCTGCCCCAGCTTTTTGTGGGGCCATCAGATGCCGTTCAACTCTGGTAGCTTATCTGTAAAATACTTTCCTTCCCCTGTAGGATCATGAAGACCCACTTGAGACAAGAGATGCCAAGGGCTTTGAAACACACTTTTACTATAGAAAAGAGTTACTTCCGGTTTATGTTAAGATGCAGAGCTATTAGCTTGAGAAATATTCCTGAGGACTTTGTTCCAAAGTGCAAAATATTAGCTTAATTTGTATCGCTGAGAAGTTAAGTCTTCTCAACTCTTGTTAACTTTGGAAAGAGCATTAATGAGGAAAAGGTAGCCGTGCAAGGCATGGGTTTCTACTGCTCTCCTGATGTCTCCAAATCACACGCCTACCCTCTGGCTGGGGCCATCAGCATTAGCGAAAGTTAACTCTTAGGCCTGAAACTTAAAATGTCAACTCTTTCACTTCAAAGCATCCATTCTGTCAAGTATAGGAAGTCTCTCAATTTATGATGTCAGCAGTTTCTTAAATTTGCTTTAAAATAATTCGAATACTTTGGTCTTGATTTCATTTTTGAAATTGTTGAGTGAACATTCTTCTATCTTAAACATCTTAAATAGGTAGGATGTTCTATGAATTTGGGCTAATCCACTCTGTCTGAAACGTGTTACTAAGGGTGACAGAGGCTGGGTGTGGTGGCACCGGCCTGCAGTCCCAGCTACTCAGGAGGGGAGGCTGAGATTGGAGGATCACTTGAGCTCAGAGTTCTGGGCTGTAGTGCGCTATGCCGGGTGTCTGCACTGAATCTGGCATTGATATGGTGACCTCCCAGGAGCAAGGGACCACCAGGTTGCTTAAGAAGAGGTGAGCTAGCCCAGGCTGGGAACGAAACAGGTCAAAACTCCCATGCTGATCAGTAGAGGGATCATGCCTGTGAATAGCCACTGAACTCCAGCCTGGACAACATAGCCAGACCCCGTCTCTTAAAAAAAAAAAAAAAAGAGTGACAAAGGATGTGTTAAATAAAAGGTTAAGGAAGAAAAGAGGACAGTGATTAGAAAGGAAAAACAGTGTGAGCCAAAGAACTCCAGGACAGCTGGGAAGCCGGCTTGGGCTGGGAGATTAGGTTGCCTGCTGAAGTCTAGCTGCTTTGTCTTAACTGGGAGAAGAAAGTTCTGAGCAACAGGTTGTTGATCCATGAAACACATCCCACATTTTCTCATTATAAGCCGTCAGCTCTTTCCACACCTTTCCTGTCAACATATAGGTCACTGTGTTTAATTTTTGTGATACATTTCCCCCATCACTGGCCCTGAGTCAGATGGTAGAGAGAGTAGCTAAATGGTCTTAGCTGCCCACATAACTTTTCCAGTTTTATTTTTTTTTTTGGTTAGGGTTGTTTCTATTTCTGACAGTTCAGAGAGTTGTTCACATAAGTCAGTGGTAAAAATCTCTCGTGTTAGCAGGTGGTGAAAGGATTAAATCATTTTCCGTGAAGTCACTTATGTTGCTCCATTGCTGGTGTTTTATCACTTCTATTTAGCTCTTTCTTTGGTGAAGCAAGGATATCTATATTAGGTAAATGAAAAATGAACTGCACTCTTATTCTCTTGTTAATACAGCTGGTGCTCTTCCAAAAATCATACACTACCGCTGACAAATCACTGTAATAATCACAAGCCTAAGCTTTAATTTCTTGGACCATTTTTACAGAGCATTCATTTTTCAGCTATTACGATGAACAAAATTGATTGTTTTGGAAGAATGTCTAGGGCTTATAGCTTCCTTCCTTGGGGTCTGAAATGTATCACAAGGAACCTCAGTTCTAGTGCTTGTGATAATGCCTGGCTCCAGGAAAGTCTCTCTATTCCTTGTGCCTCAGTTTCCTCATCTCTAACATCTCTTATCCTCAGTTTCTGGGGCTGATTAAGTGATAGAGAAGTACAATTAGTCTCTTAAAGGGAGAACATTAATGCGAGGTATTACTGACACTCAGATATTTACTTTTAAATTGAGAACATGTTCTCTTCCTTCAGAATACATCTTTGAGAATTTAAAATTCTAAAATTATATTTCAAAAATAAAACATGTGGAGATTTATCCCCCAAGGGCCTCCCTGAGAGAACCACTTTGGCTCCAACATGAAATACCTATTTCTATAAACAAATACCCAAGAAAGGCCAGGCACAGTGGCTCACACCTGTAATCCCAGCACTTTGGGAGGCCGAGGCTGGTGGATCACCTGAAGTTGGGAGTTCAAGACCAGCCTGACCAACATGGAGAAACCCTGTCTCTACTAAAAATACAAAATTAGCTGGGCATGGTGGCACATGCCTGTAATCCCAGCTACTCGGGAGGCTGAGGCGGGAGAATCACTTGAACCCGGCAGGTGGAGGTTGTGGTGAGCTGAGATCGTGCCATTGCACTCCAGCCTGGGCAACAAGAGTGAAACTCCGTCTCAAAACAAAAAAACAAACAAACAAACAAACAACAACAAAAAATACCCAAGAAAGAGAATGAACATTACCCAGTAGCCAAAAAATTTTAGGAAGCAAGGTTTCTGATGGGCAGTGGCCCCCATCATCCCTTGTCCTATATCCCAAGAAGCCGCTCAATTATCTCATTGAGCCAAATTTGTGAGAGAGGCAGGTCTTGTTTCTGAAGATGTTCTATACTCCTTTTCTTCTTCTTTTTGTAGCATATTCCCTCTCCTTGGACCCTCCACCCCTGGGTAGCTGATGTCCTCATGGTGCTTCTTAGAGCTCCCTAAGCGTCCTGCCCACACCCGTCATTCCAGGGAGTGCCTTGATTCAGTCTAACCCTATTCCCCAATAAAATTACCCCCTTTTGTTACTTTTCTTCATTACCTTGTCATATAATAGTAACTGTATAATGGTAGCTGAAATCAACTCCATTTAATGAAGGAATATTGTGTTCGTTGAAAGATGATGAATGTGGGGTGTAACTGACTCTGACAGAAAAGCTGTTTGGTATCAGACCACTCCCGATCTGGTTCACCACGGCTATTGCCGACAGACATAGGAGCCTGGTCATGGAAATCCTTCTGCTAGGTCCCAGGAGGACACAGGACTCTAGATTCTTCCCAGCATCTCAGAAGGAAAAAAGGTAACCAGGAGCTTGTGCAACTGATAAGCAATATACACCTCTTTACTTTCCTCTATCTCTGAATAAAGGGGCCAGGCCAAGGATGTTCGAGCCCAGCCTGCCATGAGTTCCAGGAAATGACTGACCCAGAAGCCACAAATGCTTTCAGAAGCCCTGGAATTAGAAATGGTAATGAACTCATAAATGGGTGAGGGGAAGGATTAGCATGTGAGCTGCCCATTTCCATGGATACAAGGCTCCTTTCATTTATTTTTACTGGGCTTTTACGGGGACTCAGAGCTCCAAATCTGATGGGACATCTGTGCTTCATTAGCTGTGTTTCATTAGCTTTATAATGTGATTTAAACAGACCTCTCAAAGTTGCAACAAGGGAGGCTCCTGAGGTCCCTAGTTCCTGGCCTTGCCTTGCAGGGGGCCCACGAAATGGCCACATGAATGGAGACGAGTGTTCGAAGGTCGTGGGGCCGCTGGAAGATGGATCTCAGGCTAGGATGAGGTCAGACACATCTTTTCCTCTACAATTAAGATCTTAGAAAGGGGGCCTTCTAAATACAAAAGTATCTCTACAGGGAAAAAGGAGAATTTGGCTGTAGGGCCTGGAAGGCTCTGCTAATTCTAGCAATCTGGGTACTCTCACCTACCCCAGTAGCCTTCCCTCTTCTCTGCTTTGGAAGTCAGCACAATTAACACGTGTTTTCTAGGTTGAGGGAGGAAATGTAAAACATGAGGGCAGTTTGGTGGACTGCAACAGGAAGCAGGAAGCAGCCACTTTTTGAGTGTTCCCTCCAGCAATGATTAAAGTAGAAGCAGGTAGTCAGTCACGTGACAGGGCTGAAATGTATAAACTGGGTATCACACTGCTCTGAGAATAGTTGCTATGGTAACCCAGACAGAGATGGAACAGCAGTAAAGGAGAGCTGCCCTGAAAGCAAATGTTATTGATTAAATGAAATTTTTTTTTTTGGGGGGTGGGAGGTTGGCAGAATGAGAGGAGGAGGCAGGTGAACCTACTCTAATGACTGTACAGAAAGTGTGGTTCGGTTGAATATTGACAAATCTTGTCAGGAGTCCTTATAGAAACTGAAAGTTAAATGATCATCTGCACAAGCTACCGTTTCAGTCCATGGCTGAACTTTTTGATTTCAACATTACACAGGCAATTCATGGTTTCTTAAGAAAGCCTATGATGTTGGAACCAGGTAGCACTGCTAATCTTGAGTTCAAAACCTGGTCATCTGAAGCAGGATTATTTTCTGAAGGGTTTATGAATGTGTCCACTAAGCAACCTGGTTATTTCTAATTGAGTTCCACATTCTGCCTTCTGTTGTTCCCATTCCCACTCTAGAGGTAGCTGTTTGGTGTTGGAGGTAGGGTGACCCTCTAAATGTGACCTTATTCCAACTTTGGAATGTATACTCCCTGTGAACTTTTGGCATTGTGACCTATCTGCACTTCTTTTTCCTTAACTGTGACATCGAGAAAAGAACTCTGCCCTACTTTTTGGGATAATTGTGAGAAATAACTTATTAATGATTATAAAGCACTTGAAAATACAAGCTCTTTACAAATGCAAGATGATAAAAAATGCATACGAGTAGCACTAACAACAATCACATCAAGGCCACTGAGAAGGTAGCTGGAGTGTGCTCCAAAATCCAAAGGGAGAATGAAGATCTGTAAGTAGGAAATATCCTTTGATAGACCAAGTAAGACATGAAGACAGACAGCATCCTGGACTTCCTGAATAGTCATCTGAATGTGCAACTCACTTTCATTTATAGGGACGAGTTATGAGTTGCAGATTTGGCAATAACTTTTTTTTAAAAAAAGGAATTGTTGGTCGAATGTTTATTATCCTCAGCATGCCCTTGCCTTTACTATGAGCTGGTTGCAATGACCTTCCGAAACAACTGGTACCCTCACTCCCAAGGCTGATGACCTTCCTTTTGTCCCTTGCCTTACCTTTTTTGCAGCAAAACTGTACAATACCATACAGCCCTCTGCCAGCAGATCCGTTACTAAAGGAATTCATGCATCTTGCATCTTGAAGATGCATTATTAATGCCTGGACAAATCACATCAGGTGAAACCCAGCAAGTCCCTGGCACTGAAAAAAAGGAACAAAGGCTGGCTCTACAAGAGAGCGATGGATGAGACAAATTATAACAGCTGGGAGTTTCTTGTAAGTAAGATGGCATAAAAACCAGAAATGCTAAAATTGTGTGCATAGACAGCAACTTTGTATTTCTGTGGTAAAACAGATTACACACAGTGCTGGAAGAAAGCCGCTCTAATTGTGGCTTCGTTAAAGTCATGGCGCTGCAACTCTTTGAATTTCTCAATAAAAGGGGCCAGCTTGCTGGTGACCAAATTACTTCCAAGCACAACCCCAGGCTCCTATACATGATTTCTGAGATGGACTAGGAAGGATGGATTTTTCTAAGAGGGCCAGTAATCAACTCTGTCTGCACAGGGAAAAAAATAAAATGTGGCTTGGGAGAGCCCACCAGGGAACCCTGGAGCAAGAGAGACCATGGGGGACAGGGGGAATGGAGTCCCTTAAGTCCCTCATGTCATCTCTTCTGGCCGTGGTAGGGGATGCCTGCATAGGTGGGCATGAGACAGCAGTTTGCTTGTGTGTGACTCATCCTTCTGTGTGAGAACTTACAGATCCTTTGACTTCTAAACTGGGTGATTGGAGATAGATAAATATGAGGTTTATTTCAAATGGATTACTAAAAGCCACGAGTGCATAATCATTTAGCTGTGCAGATCCACGACTGTGCCGACTCCCAGGGGTCACTAATGACACATGAGCTGCTTCAGCCCTGATGAGCCTCCCCACTCTTTCTGTAGGGGCTATGGCAGGGAGGATTTGTTTTAAATTGCAGGCAACGGCTAAAGTTTATGATGACATTAAAGGGAGGCATTTTTCAAACCTACTTCTAGATAATCAGTTTATTAAATAAGATTTCTTTTGACACTATGAAAGAAATAATATTCTTTTTAAATATGAGAGCTGCTGATGTGTTAAAGAAAGGGACCCTCTTGTGTGTGTGTGTGTGTACATGCACGTGTGAGTGAGCATGTGCTCACACTTGTGTCTCATGTGCACAGTTCTCTTGTGGTTTCTGTGTAATATTGCCCACAGTTTCTATTTGGAGAATCACTTTTCCTTACATGTACTGAACAACAAACATGAAACCACCTAATTATATTTTCATAATCATGATTAAAAACCATCTAAATTATCCTGCTTGATGTACTCGAAGAGTTTGTTGATTGCTTTTTGATGTGTATTAGAGCTTTATGCAGAGCCACATCAAATGAGTTGCTTCATAATGAAATAAAGGGAAAAATCCTTTAATATGCATGCACACTTACTTAAAATATACATATATAATTCATATTTGGCTAATTAACCAGCATCAACACAAAATCCATGACCATGAAATAATTGTGGAAAGGCTGATTACCTTCAAATAGTACATTAATTTCCATTTCATATATATTTATATATATATCTGTATTTGCACAATATTGAGTCTACCTTTTACAGAAGCCACTCAGTCTTTTGAACCATCAATGCCTCAACGTATTTGTCCACATTCTGGGAAAGAGTTGTGAAATTAGGATGCGAATTTCAGATTTAATTTAACACAGGAATTTCATGTAAATACTCCCCTTCCCTACCATCTGTTCCCTTGGACAATGGAGGGATTCTGGGCCAGTTCACATGAAGGAACAGGAATAAACAGCAGTCCAGTGTGATTTCTTCCTGCTGAACAAGTGTCGCTTCCCCTCTTCCTAGGAACATCAGTGTATGGACTCCTTATGGTTTTCCTGTTTATACACATTCATTTATCCCAGGGCAGGAAGAACTAACTTTTAGGCCTTTTTTCTCTAAGCACTTTTTTTTGTTTGTGGAAGCACTATGAGATATGCTTCACCTTAATTTTCACACTCAAAATTACACATCATCATCGGATGTGTAAAGCATGCACAGGTTATTTTTAATGAAGGTGTTTGTGACTATTTACCCGTAGGGTGTTTTGCATGACTGATGAATCCTCACAGCATTGGAGGACTTTCAGGTGATTTTGGAGACCATGGCTTGGAAAAAGCAGGTGATTGACAGGTGAGGCAGGGCCTGCAAGAAGTGTAAATCAAAGGGGAGAGATGGAACGTTGTCCATGTTCAGACATAGGTGATGATGGGTCTAAACAAAAAGTCAAACTGAGAAGGGGTTTCAATTTTAATATGAAGAAATAGTGGCTCATTTATTCATTTAACAAACCTCAAGGATCTATTGTTTGCCAAGTACTGGGTAATTCTGAAGGGTAATGGTAAGTCAAAGAAAACTGAGATACGGATATTCCTCTGGGTGGGGAAGTTAAAAAGACCCAATATATTGTGCAAATTGATGAGTAGAGATTTGTATAGGGGACTACGGGGAGATGGAGGAAGGACTTTGTAGTCGTGTGGGGAAAGGCTTTACTGAAGGTGAGTTTGATCTCTCTCCGTGAAAAGCATTCTAGTCAGAGGAAACACTAGGTACAAAGGTCAGAGGTGTGAGGAGGTGCAGCAGATGTGAGGGGATGTTGAGTAGGTATGCATTACCAGGCTGCATTTTCAGCTGTGAGGTGGGAAGAGTTAGCAGATAAAGTTAGAAAGGCAAGAGGCCAGAATGGAAAATGTTCATGCTTTGCACCAAGAAATTTGGACTTTATCTGATAGGCAAAGATTGAATTGGAGAATGACATGATCAGATTTGCATTCTGGAAAGTGAAATCTTTTGAAGTGTAGAGGATGCATTGAAAAGTGGAAAGAAAGATTGGCAGGAGGGAGCATAGTTAGGAAGTTATTGTAATACCTCTGGAGAGCATGAGAGAGAGCCTGACACACATAGAGACAGGGAGGATAAAGAGTAGGAAAAAGTCCTTGACTGTCCCTGTTCCAAGCTAAATGACCAGAGTGGTTAGAGCACCTCCTTTCAATGATCCACAAACTTCAGCCACACCAGATTGCCTGAAGTTCCTGCCATGACTGTGCCTTTGCAAATGCTCTGCCTTATGCCAGAAACAATGGTGACCCATTGTCTAGCCAGCTAACTTCTACTGTCACTTCAAGATTCCCCTCCAGCATTAGCTCCTCTGGCAGGCCCCGTTCCCCCTTGTTTGGATTCCCATAGAACCGGATCTACTGCTAATGAAGCAATGACCACAGTACCCGGTCCTTGGTTCTGGCCTTCTTGACTGTTAAGGGGACTATGTTTTGCAATGTATGTCATCAAAGTGGCCACCATGCAATGGGCATTCTCTGAATATCCTTTGAATGGACAAATGCAACAGTTTGTCATTTTGTCAAATAGTTCTACAAAAGGAAAGAAACAGCATGTCGTCCTAGGAAATACTGCTGGGTAAAACTTTTCTGTTGATCCTGGACCTATGGACTGTAGCTACAGAGTGAAAATTCTCATAATGATTTCCTATTTTTTTTGATTTAGATTAATATAGACCACCAGTAGAAATAAGAAAGGCCCTAAAATTGATCGTCATGATATACGTTAATTATATGTATATGCAGAGAACCAGGCCAAAAAAATCTCCTTTATTACATTCTACAACTGAATTTTTATTTGACCAAGGTAACCAAGTGACAGTAACTTGCCCACTTTTCTTTATGTTGTAGTTATAGACACTGAACTTTAATGAGTTGGCTCAGCCCTTTGAGGAGAGCCTTAACATATGATGCTATTGTTATTATTATTTTGTCTAGCCCTAATTTACTTTAGGAAATGCAATGATCAGAGGCCATTGAATTGAACTTCGATTCCACTGTACAAAACACTGTATGGATCACCTGGAAATGCAATGAACCTCTGGTTCTCTGTGCTATCTCTTCTGATCCTGGTCAACATCCCTCTTGGATTTACTACAGTGATGACTTGATCCCTTGGTTTTTCACTATAGAGATGCTTTTTATGTCCCCAGATGGTCTAGATGTCTTGAGTCCTTGGGTTTTTTGTCTTCAGTTGTTTCCGTAAAGAGTCTTTAAGGCAACCTAGACTGGTGGAAATAGCAGTAAACTGTATAAAGTCTTGGCTGTGTCCCCAAGTAGCTGGATGACTTTTGAGAAGTCACCTCAATCTTCGGGAAAGAACTTATTTCTGTGAAATAAGATGGTCAGACTGAATATATTCATTGTTGTTTTCATTTCAGAAACAATCTACATTTATTGCAGCCATTTATTTATCAACAGTTATTAACTGTCAGCTTGGGCAAAGCTCTGTTCTAGGCAAGGTAGGAGACAACAAAAGAATAAAACCAGCCTTCAGGAGCTCACTGTTTAGCGCAGCTATTGTGCCTCTGGAATTCTGGGGCTGTGCACTTTGATTTTATGTTAAAAGGTGATACGGCTTTGAATTTTTGAGTAGAGTTAGAAGGGAGTTTAGAGGCCATCGAATTGAACTTCCATTCCACTATATGGAATGCTGTATGGATCATTTGGTTTTCATATTCTTCTTGAACACTTTTAGAATGAGGAATTTATAATTTCTTTCCTAATTATAAGACAGTTCCTCCTGATATTGAGATGAAAACCACATCGTTGTGAAGCACACATTTTGAAAATTCCTTTACTTTCTCATCCATTCATTCCACTGGCAAGTATTTATAAAGCACTTTCCATGTATGGGGTCTGGTATTAGACCCTGAGGATAAAACAAACCAAAAAGATAGATTTGGTCCTTGCTCTATGGATCTTACATCCCACTGGAGAGGTTGGCAATTAAACAAGCAATCATAATACATTCTGACAAAAACACTACAATCGTGGAAATGTAAATGCGTGATAGCAACATATAGCAAGGATTTCAACTCTAAACCCGAGGGATCAGAGAGACTCCTCAAGTCATCTGAGCTTCGATTTGAAGGGTGCAGCAATGCTCAGTAATTTTAACTCCTTGTAATACATGGTACATGTGCAGATTTGTTACATGAAAATATTGCCTGATGCTGGGGTTTGGAGCACAAATCCTATCACTCTGGTAGTGAGCATGGTACCTGATAGGTGGTTTTTTCAACCCATCCCTGTCTCTCCACCCTCTAGTAGTCCACAGTGTCTATTGTTCCCATATTTATATCCATCTGTGCCCAATGCTTAGCTCCTGCTTGTGAGAACACAGGGTATTTGATTTTCTGTTCCTGCATTAGTTTGCTAAGGATGATGGCCTCCAGTCTTATCCACGCTGCTGCAAAGGATATAACTTCATTCTTTATTATGGCTGTATGGTATTCCATGGTGTACATGAACCATATTTTCTTTTATTTATTTTTAATTTTACTTTAAGTTCTGGGACACATGTGCAGAACGTGCAGGTTTGTTACATAGGTATACATGTGCCATGGTGGTTTGCTGCATCTATCAACCTGTCATCTAGGTTCTAAGCCCTGCATGCATTAGGTATTTGTTCTAATGCTCTCCCTCCTCTTCCCCTGACTGCCCGAGAGGCCCCAGTGTGTGATGTTCCTCTCCCTGTGTCCATGTGATGAACCATATTTCCTTTACCATGATAGTCTTTGAAACACTTGAAGATAGCACTTCTCTCAAGTCCTATCCCTCTAGTCTAAATATAAAATTAAAAATAATTATTTCAGTTCTAATTTCTAGATCTTATAAGTATGCTTCTAGCATCTTCTAATTTACCAATGCAGTCACTTTTTAAAGAAATAAATAAAATTTGTTTGGCCTAACATCTTCTTAAGTGAACCCATTTTGGCTCCTAGTGATGATAATTTCTTCTCTCAAAGTGCTTACCAAGCATCTGTTTGATTATCCATTAGAGAATTTAGTCGAGTATCAGTATCAAGATTTATCAAGCATTTACTATTTAAAAATCAATTTTTTTGCCTATCTGTAGTTTTTTGGCTTCTCTGGTTCTATAAGATTTTAAACAAATTACTGGAAGTGGTTCTCCAATTGTATTTGCAAACTATTTCTCCTGGGAGTAATTATCTGAGCCAAGTTACAATTTTCCTATTATCTCCATAATCTTACTCTTTGATTGTATCTTAATTATGTCTATTCTTCTCTTTTCTGTTTGATGATCGCCCTTCTTGGTAAAGATGAGTGCAAAGTAAAAGCAGTTTGTTTTGTACTACCTGACAATATTGCACATCTTCACCAACCAAAGATAGTATTCCTTTTATTTTTCACTTCTTTGTTTTGAATACAGCACAGTAGATGTGTTTCTGTCTTTGCACTTTTTGCCAGGCTAAGTTTACTTCTTTTTTTTTTTTTTTTTGAGAAAGAGTTTTGCTCTGTCACCCAGGTTGGAGTGCAGTGGCGTGATCTCTGCTCACTGCAACCTCCGCCTCCTGGGTTCAAGCAATTCTCCTGCCTCAGCCTTCCGAGTAGCTGAGATTATAGGTGCCCACCACCATGCCTGGCTACTTTTTGTATTTTTAGTAGAGATAGGGTTTCACCATATTGGTCAGGCTGGTCTCGAACTCCTGATCTCAAGTGATCCACCCACCTCGGCCTCCCAAAGTGCTGGGATTACAGGTGTGAGCCACCAAGCTTGGCCTAAGTTTCTTTCTGGCCTGTGGTCTCTGTGGCCCTCTTCTTGTGGTCCATTGTCTCCTCCTCTTCCTCCTCCTACTCTGAACCTTGGATTATACAACTGTCCTTTCTTTTTCATTCACACACTTAAAAAACGGATTTATTGGCCAGGTGTGGTGGCTAAAGCCTGTAATTTCAGCACTTTGGGAGGCTGAGGTGGGTGGATAATGAGGTCAATAGATCAAGACCATCCTGGCCAACATGGTGAAACCCCGTCTCTACTAAAAATACAAAAATTAGCTGGGTGTGGTGGTGCACACCTGTAGTCCCAGACACTCAGGAGGCTGAGGCAGGAGAATCACTCGAACCCAGGAGGTGGAGCTTGCAGTGAGCCGAGATCGCACCACTGCACTCCCTGCACTCCAGCCTGGGCAACAGAGTGAGACTTGGTCTCAAAAAAAAAAAAAAAAAAAAAAAAAAGAGAAAAAGAAGGATTTATTGGAGGGTACTCTAAGCAACTACTGTGATTTCTTAGGATAATTCCTCTTTGTTAATACTATGCATAATTATATAATCAGGTTTTCATGTTTAGTGCATCTAACACTTCTTGGGCCACATTTCCTTCTAGTGTTGTATTTTCCCTGATTTTGTTTTAAAATATTCTCTTCTAAAATCTAAGATGCATTAATCTTATGGGATAAAGAAAGGGGAGGAGAACTAGTATTTATTTTCCTCCTGTGGTTGATGCCCAAGTTATGTATCTTATTCATTTTCTCTCAACACTGGGGTTGGTTTGATTGTTTCAATTGTTTGAATGAGTAAACTGAAACTCAATATATTATCCAAGTTTGTAAAGAGAAAAACTGGGATTTGAACCTCAATCTGTCTGCCTCCAAAGCTCCTTCTAATGTATCATAGGCTACATTACAGACACAACTATGTTTTTTTATATTCCACAGAAGATGGATTGTTACTGCTTCTTTAGAAAGTCAGAATTCGTTCTCCTTGGAAGATAAATGGAGATCCACAGCTGTGAATTCTATAATTTCTTCTATGTATTACATTGTTCCATTTAGTGATATCTCGACATAAAATCTGGCCCTCTATAACTTTGTTATAATCTTCTTTGGATTTTTTGGTAGCACATGTGGGTGATCACATTGTATAAAGGAGAAGCCCCTAGGGATGAAAGAACCTAGTCAGTCTGGGTGTGCTGTAATCCTAGCACTTCAGGAGGCTGAGGTGGGAGGATCCCTTGAGCCCAGGAGTTCCAGACCAGCCTGAGCAACACAGTGAGACCCTGTCTCTATAAAAATAAAACAATTAGCCAGGAACGGTGGTGCATGCCTGTAGTTCCAGCTACTCAGGAGACTGAAGACAGGAAAATTGCTCGATCCCAGGAGGTCAAGGCTGCAGTGAGCTGATTGCACCACTGCACGTCAGCCTGGGCCACAGAGTGAAATCCCATATCCAAGAAAAAAAAAAAAAAAAAAAAAGAACTGAGTCAAAGTCAAAGCCTTTGGCATCAGTATTAGTTCTGTATTAATTATTTATTGCCGTGTAATAATACTTGTGACAAACTTAGCTACTTACATACAACACAGACTTATTATGTCAGTTTCATTGGTCAGGAGTCTGGGCAAATCTTGGTTGTGTCCTGTGCTTCAGAGTCTCAGGAGGCTTCTTTCAAGGTGTCAGCCAGGTCTGTAGACTCATCTGAGGCTTGACTGGGGAAGAATCCACTTCTGGCACTCAGTTCCTTGCAGGCTGCCGGACTGAGGGCCTAAGATTCTTGCTGCCCATCAGCTGGAGGCTGCCTTCAGTTCCTTGCCACATGGGTCTTTTCAGAATGGCTGCTTTCTTTCTTGCAGCCAGCAAGGGAGATACTCTCCTCTGATGACAAGGATTACAGCCTTACGTAAAGTAAACACATACACGGAGTCATGGACATCCCAACACTTTTGCCATATGTGATCAGTTAGAAGCGACTCACAGTCCTGCCCACACGCAGTGGGAGGGAACAACACAAGGGCATAAATATCAGGGGATGAAATCATGGAGCCCATTTCACAACATTTCTGGCTCAGCATTCATTCTTTTGGATATCAAGACACACTTGGCAGTCCTCAAGGGATTTTCCTTGCCAGCAGTCTCTGTAACTACCGAGGACATACTTGTTCACTTTTTAAAAATCTTATTTTTCTCAAATGTTAAGTGTACTATCTTTCTGTGAACTTTCAGCATAGAACAAATTCTTTTGGTTAGAATGTTTTAATCTTGCTGTTTTAGCATGCACACACACTTGCATACACATGCACACGCGCACACACACACAGCACAGCACACCTACAGCATCTCCCCACAGTCCTTACCAAAGATTAGTAACCTGTCTGGTCCCCATGGTCACATGTGACATTCTGCCCCGACCTATTGCTATTGCTCATAAGTCACTTCCCAGATTAGAATTCTTTTCTTCCCATAAATATTAAAGTAAAGAAATTTGCTTCTTTCACCATGACCTTTCTAGTCTTCAAGGTTTGTTTATGTGTTTTAAAGAATTCATGTCAACATTATATCTCTTGCAGGAACTTTGGCCAATTTCTTCATTATACCCTACAAGAAATAGCCTGTGGTCAAGTTAATTCAAGGGAGAATGCATGAAGTCTGCAGTGCTGGCAGGTGGGAATGACAGTATTGACCCAAGTCTCTGCTGCTATCAGCCAAGTAGACCGCTTATGTCGTAAAGAAAATCAGCATGGCTGGAACCTTAGTTTTAACGGGCTTGAGTTGGTATTTGCCTTTTTGGACTCTTATTCCCACCCAATACATTTTATTTTATTACAGGAAAAATAATTTAGGACTTTGGCAAAAACAATGAAATAATTCAGAGACTGCTGATTTTTTTCATATTTGTAGCTGGATCAAATATTCATAAGATGTAAATTCATAGGTACATTTCTTAGATGGGAAGTGTGTTGGACCACCAATGCTTCATCACAGTGTATTTCACAGAGCCTAAAGTCAGGCAGCCCTGGGCTTGGTCTTCATGTAAAAAAGCTCTCTGTACCATTGCCTTCAAATCCATTCTCTCCTATCTTGACCCCTAGCGCTTGACACTTGATGTGGCATCCTTGACAATGAATGGAGCATCAAACACACCTTTTGTCCTTTATAGTGTTTCCAGTATCCCCTTCAGTAAATTTTTAATGACCCTTTCAATTAAGGGCCCAACAAGATTTCATAGAATGTACCCTTGTCTAATACTAGCACTTAGGCTGAAGTGGTGTTTTTAGACAGCAATTAGTATCCACAACGCTGTCATGATATTTGTGAACATACTTTAGGGCTGATCTTAATGATCCCATTACCATATGCTCTGCTTTTTTCACAAATGTGATGGTTTTGCTTTTATGATATTGTGGAGAAGCTCTGGATTTTGGTTTTGATTAGAAAGACACAAGCTCATGTGCTTCTCTCTTCTGGGCCTATGACTTGCCGGAGTCAGATCTGTTGAAGGTCTTTCATGGATTTCCCATGCAGCCCCATGGTGCAGTGCGAGAGAGGGCTGCAGCCGTTATATGTGAAACCACGAGGAGGTGGAGATGCTACAGCGATGTCCTTTGTGAAACATTAGGTAAGATGAAAGGTCTCCTGGAAATCTGCAGAAACGGTAGGGCATGACACAATGTCTCAGACAATGTTTGCCTCATCCATAAAACAATTTTGAATGCCCTCAACTGTGTGTAAGCTCCTTCTGGATGTGCAGCTGCTATCAACTTTGGCTTGAGTGGGTTAAATGTACATAGGCAAGTTGAGATGAGCAATTATTCGGAAAATATAGCCCAAAATACTCTCGGAAGTGAGAGAAATGGAAATGTTTTGTTGCAGTTATTTATAATTATTCTGGTTGGCATTGCACAGTCTTATCTTGGGGCTTGGTTTTTATGGGAGTGAAGTAGCTACAGGTGATAGCTTACATATGGCAGAGCCAGGTGCCATTAGAAGTTGGATATTGAGAACAGAAGGGAACTAGGAGGCTAAAATACCCTAAATGAATGTGTGACCTCCTTCTGGATCTGAAGAGAAAAATACCATTGATCTTTTTTATTCCTGAATCTCATGTGCTTTGAGGATATTTTATAATTAAATGCTTATAAAAATAACATATTCTTCTGTAGTATGTCTATACAGCCATCTAGCTACGGTGTTGAAGTCTATCTTAGTGGTTGTTTTCTCACTTTCTCTATGAGGAACATGACTTTGCACAGCTGTGAGGAGTGCAGTAGTATTCAGTGAAGTTATTCTTATATTAATTTGTTCTGTCTTCAGACTATATTTATGCTTTCTTTCTTTGAGTTCTAAACAACAGGCATAAAACCTCAGATGGCATGGATACCACACTTCTATATTATGATCAAATTTACTTAATATTTGCCCAAAGAAAGTACTTTTTTAAACTTAGTAAGTTGGCATGTTTACATATGTTTCTGCTTGTTCCACTAACTTGCTTTCATAGTCTGGGGTATTCTACCATCCTTTTCTGCCTCAGGTCCTTTGCATATCCAATTACTTCTACCTGGAATGCTCTTTTCTTCTCTTTGCCTGGTTAATTCACTTTTAAAATTTACCTCAAAGTAGCTTTTCAGAGAATCTTACATGAAACTCTAGTTTGCCACTGAACTCATTTTGTTTCTCCATTAAAAGCTCTATATTTCTTCTTTGTGGTCCTAGTCCCAAATATAATTAAACAATATATTGTGCAACCAGCTTAACATCTGAATCCCCTTGTAGAATATACATGTCTTGGGATGGGCGGCTTCTGTCTTTTTCATAGTTCTACTTGAAGCTTCTCACTCAGGTTCTTACACTAGAAGGTGCTCATTACTATTTATTGGATGAGTCAATAACTATTGTGTGAAGAATTTGATGGCAGGGTGCAGTGGCTCACATCTGTAATCCCAGCACTTTGGGAGGCTAAATGGATTTTGGCCGAGGCGGGCGGATTGCCTGAGGTCAGGAGTTCAAGACCATTCTGGCCAACATAGTGAAACCCCATCTCTACTAAAAATACCAAAAAATTAGCCAGATGTGGTGGTGTGCTCCTGTAATCCCATTTACTTGGGAGGCTGAGGCAGGAGAATGTCATGAACCCAGGAGGTGGAGGTTGCAGTGAGCCGAGATCGCGCCATTGCACTCCAGCCTGGACGACAGAGCGAGACTCCATCTCAAAAAAAAAAAGGGAATTCGATTTTGATAAAATCTGATATACCACTAAAGCACAGCAATTATTGTTGAAGTCTAGTTCGTGGCTTCAACTATCATCAATTCTCTGATGTCTCACAAATTTCTATACCCCAATTGTCCTCTGAACTCTAGATCCGTTTAACCAACTCCCGATAGAACATCCTCATCTGAACTTAAAAGACACCTCTCAATCTCAACTTACCCCAAATGGAATTCATGACAGCCGATTGCTCCTTCCCCTCAAAATCTATTTCTACTCCTAATACGTTGTCTTGATTAACGACACTATTATCCACCCAGTTGACTGTAAAAGTGATACAACCCTGACCCCTGTGCTTCCATATTCATGCCGTGTTTTGTTTCCGAAGTTCACTGCTTAACAAGATGAGCTTCTCAGATCGACAGGGATATTTTCCCACCAAGAATAGTAAGTGACAGAATTTCCCAGACAGATCCTCCAAACAAGAGCTCAAGGTCCATCAAGAAATCTGCCCATCATCTTTCCTCTCTCCCCACATTCTTACCTAAGTCACTGAGTCTTGTCCATTCTACTTGCAAAGTGTCTATCTGGTGACTTCTCTCTCTTCTGTGTTGGTTCATACCCTGATGGGCTCAGCCAGTACCACTGCATCAACTCCCAGTTGCACTCCTGGCTGCTAGTCTTGCTTTCCTCCAGTCCAGCCTCCCAGTTGTGATGGGAATGCTGTATAAAAGGCAACTCTGGTCTGGGCTGTAGCCTACCCTACTTAAAACCTTCAGGGACTCTCCTGAGACAGCCCCTCCTCCATGTTCTTCAAGATATTCTCCTCGGCGATATTCGTGACTTCAGATCCCAGCACTTCCCTTCATATGGAACCACTTGCAGTTTTCCATGCGTTTTATCTTCTTTCCTGCCTCTTGGCACTTACACATGGAATCCTCTGCTAAAATGCAGTTTCTCAATTACCACGCACATTGTTTTTGTTTGTTTGTTTTTGAGACAGAGTCTTGCTCTGTCACCCAGGCTGGAGTACATTGGCACAATCAGGGTTTACTGCAACTTTGACCTCCCAGGCTCAAGCAATCTGCTCACCTCAGCCCCTCAAGTAGCTGGGACTACAGGACCGCGCCACTGTGCCTGGCTATTTTTTTTTTTTTTGAATTTTTGTAGAGATAAAATCTCACTATGTTGCCTGGGCTGGTCTCAAATTCCTGAACTCAAGCGATCCTCCCACCTTGGCCTCCCAAAGTGCTGGGATTATAGGTATAATCAGGCGCCCGTCAGCCCCTCACATTTTAAATAAAGTTTAATGTCATGTTACATCCTCTATGAAACATTTCATGATTCTCCCCACATTCTTAGGCACCTTCTCTTCTCATCTCCATTAGCTCCCATACATACTGCAGTCTCACTGTTTTGTAATTGTTTGTTTACACCTCTCTCTTCTACATCAGACAAGAGTCTCTTGAGGTCAATGACTGTGTGTTATTTGTTCCCAAGTGCATAGTCCAGTGCCTGACTCCAGTAGGTAGTCTATAAGCATCTGTTGATAGACAGAATGGATGAAAATGTAGCCAATAAGACTTTTCAATTGATTATATCTTTTATATTTGTTAAAATAATTTAATAACATTCTCTGAAGATTTCAAGGGCAGGGGAATCTACAAATCAGGGTTTTATTGTTTTCATAAGTTATTTTCTTAAAAAAAATTTTTTTTTAAGAGATGGGGGTCTTACTATGTTGCTGAGGCTAGTCTTGAACTCCTGAGTTCAAGCCATTCTCCTGCCTCAGCCTTCTGAATAGCTGGGACTACAGGCATGCATCACCATGCCCAGCCTAAATTGGAATTGTATAGTCATGGGTCCATTAGCATTTGTGGTATGAGGCGGCTTATATCAAATAAAATTCAAACGCGCTTTTGATTATGTATTTCTAATTCATAATAATGAAAGTATAATTCTAATTTGCATTAAAATAGAGCTGAGAATAGCTATTGGGAGAGAAGAGGAGTCTTTTCTCATACATTTTTGTTCAGAATGGAAAAAACTTGTTTGGATCTTGTATCTGAAGAGAAATTATATATTAAGTAAAATTTAATGTGTGACAAGCAAGCAGTGTCTCATCTTATAGAAGAGGGGCACTGTCTGTTCTGAGATAGATTTTGAAATAGACCAAGAAACTAGGGTTGGATAATTATTTTTCATAGCTACATTTGGAGGACATTGCTGCTGATGGACGTTTTAGTCTTATTCATCTTAATGGAAAAACTTGTTGAATAGGATCCCATGTAGTTCTATTTTAATGGGCTGGACTCCAGAAGTATATCCAGTCTCATGTGACTTAAGTTACATTACAATACTTCATTCTCTGAGGACTTTCCATATACCAATTGTGAAATCACTCTCTACAGCTCACAGTTTTCTAAACATTTGTACCAAAGTATTCTGAGAGATGAGAAAAATCATGATATCTTCGGTCTTGCAGGGGATATGCTGAATTTTAGTTTTTGCTAAGAATACGTGAAAAATGAAATATGTCTGAAGCAGTTATCATACTCCTGGAGCAAGCATTAGATGATGAGATATCCAATTATGTTACAGTTGATGGCGCCATCTTGGATTTATTCGTTACCCCCACATTTGTCATGTTGGACTTGAATTTTTGAATGCCCAAGTGTCTTCAATAAAAGAAGCATTTTCTGTTGGAGTTCTGTGGTAGAAGTCTCTTCCGGTGAACTGTTTATCCCTCAATGCTAAGTGGACTTCTCATCTCTAAATTCTTAGCCCGGGACATGGCAGCATATAAAGCCTTCAGTAAAAAAAAAGAGCCTGTAGAGGCTAGGAAGAAACCACAGCATCTTTAAAGTTCCATGCATTTGTGTGGTTAGGTGATGAGAGGACTTACCAGAAACATATCTTTTAGTAGCCATAATGTAAACCTTCCTTTCCTTTGTGTTCATTTGTTTTTGCTTTGCTTTGAGGGGGAGAAGATGCAAGGACTCGTAACTGCAAACTTTAAAGGGAAGTAGCATTTCTGTCCTACTTCAGAAGTAGCCAGGGATAAATGAGCTCTACCCTCATGGACTACAGATCCAAGTTCCTGGAGTTGCAACCAATTAGTGCTGGTGCAAGAGATACACGTTTAACTTTGAAGAGCTTTAAAGTAAGAAAAATGTATTTTTTTCTTCTACTATAAAAACACCATATGTTCATGTAGAAAATGGTAAGACATAATTTTGTGCATTATCCTCTAATAGCATTTAATTATTATATGATCACATTTTGATTTTGATTTTGTGCTGTCTCTCTTATATGGGTGAGATATTTTCAAGGCAGTCCCTTTATTTTGATCATCTCTCTATCTTTTGTGTCTTTATATCACGAATAATTGTGATTTGTGATTATGGACTAAATTAGCAGCCAAAGATACTATAAGCATCATATCAGGTTTACAGTTACATAGACAATAACAGCATACACAGGAGGTTTTAGATTATTCTGTAAAAAGCAGCATAGTTCTCTAGAGCAGTGTTAATTGAGAGAAGGCAGGGATTCGTTTATTTTTCTTCTAGATCCAGAGCAAATGAATGTGCAGCTACAAGTTTTCTGTCTTGATGTTAGTATGAATATACAGCTAAACATTTTCTGCCTTGATTTTAGTTTGATAGTTGATTCATTGACAGAAAAAAGAGGAAAATAAAATAGTATTAAGAAGCTCAACATTTTTCTGGAATGGCTAAGAGGATGTGGCCCTTATATGATCTCAATTTCGGAGCAAGCTGTTAAAAAATTGGAGAATGGTAGTTCAGCCATAGATGACACATCAAGCTTCTTCATCAATTTTACCAGCATTATCTAAATGCTGTAATTGATATCAAGTTGCTAGACGGGAGGCCTGGTAATAGAACCTTGCAACTCATCTCTCTTTAGATGGCATATGGGGAAGACTGATGACAGCTGGATCCTGGAAACCATTGCACAGTGATATAAACAGCTGCAAGGCTGAGTAAGGTACTTTCTATTAATATATAGTAAAGAATTTTGGACTATACACTCCAGGCTTAGGCTTCTGGGAAGTGGTGAATAGGCCAACTGCATGCATAGATAATCAGATTAAGGATCAACTCATTTGGAGCAAAAGCCTCAAGGCAGAGATACTGCCTCAGAATGAGACCCACCGAGAATGGCCAGGAGGTGGGCCAACTGCCTGCAGATGCAGCAAGGGGAGGACGATGGACTTGGCCGTGGTGGTGGTGACAGTTTCACTTAGGAATAGGAAGGTCATTCTATGTATAGCAACTCTATGTTCCCAAATGAATTCTTCTGCAGGTCTCAGTTTACAAGTGAATTCAAGAGTGTTAATTCTACATCTTGACTCTTGGAACTCTTAAGAACTGAATTGCAGATAAGTTACTTAACCTTTTTGTGCCTCACTTGCCCCATCTGTAAAATGGGGTAATAATTGCATCAAAGCATGCAAAGCAGGGTTGTTTAGAACACTGAATGAGATAACAAAGTAAGGGGCTTAGAAGTGTGCCCGGCACAAATGAACCACTCATCAAAGGCCAGTTATTATTATTTTCAGAATTTGATGAATGGGAAGAAATATTTCCAAACTGGAAGGTTAAAATCAGCAACGTTCTTTATGTAAGAGGACTTAGAGAAATAAGGTTTAGATATTTCTCCTCTAGTACACAGATATTTTAAAATTATGATCCCTACATCCCACAAACATTTACTGATAAGTGTCAATGTGCAAGTTGTTGCTGGGTGTTAATGGCAGTAGAGTTGAATCAGCCTTCTACCCAGTAGAAAGAAAAGTCTCGTGTTTATTTATCTGGCTTTTGTTCTCTCTTTTTCTTTCATCTACCTCTTAAATATAAAATTTCTTCATTTTCCTTTTTGATGGGGCAGCAGAAAATACCAGAGTTGGGCAAATAGCATCATGTTGCTATTCACAGCTGGTTAGTCGAGAACTGAATATCACACTTGCCTGGGGTTATTTGGAACCTATTATGGAATAGTTTATCTTGCCATAGTAGACACTTTTTCTGAACCTTTACCACCCTTCAGCCCCATACCTTAGTCCAAAAGCACTTTAGTAGCACACAGTAGGTTCATGGGAGATACTCAGTAAATCTTTGTTGAATGAATAGGAGGCCTTCCTAATGGCTCCTGTGTGACCACATGATTTTTTTTGTCATCTAAATCATAGGCAGGGCTTTTATTTCCATTCATTCCTAGAGAAAAGTCACTCTTTTGATGAAAGGGAGTCAAAGTTGGTAACAGTAACATTACCAAGGGGCTTTCTGAGGTGAGCACTTAGAAAAAACAAATTGTTTCCCTACATGAAATATGGAGCCGGTTCTGATGACCAGAACCTTGGAGATTGACATCACATTGTCAAAAATCCAAAATGTTGAAAGTATTCTCTCTTGGTTAACCTGAGAGGAAATAGGCACTCTCATACATTGCTTGTGGGAGGGAAAAATGGTATAAACCTAATGGAAGGAACTAGGCAATAGCCAGGTAAATTACATACACACTTATCCATTGACTAGTAAGCCTAGAAAGGGGTTGCTAAGTGCGTATATAATTATCCATTGACTAGCGATCCCCTTTCTAGGAACCCATGTCAAAGATAAACTGGCAAAAATACGAAAGCTTATATATGCATGCCTGTTAATTGTGGTACTATTTGTAATTTCAAAAGACAAAAAAACCCCTACTGTCTATCCACATGGATTTAAATGAATAAACTATGGCACAATGACACAGTGACACATAGCACTCCAGGAGTACTATGCAGCTGTACAAAGAAATGTGGAATAGCTATACAGACTGCTCAGGAGTGCTCTCCTGGGTAAATGGAAATAGCAAAGTGCAGAACACTATGTGATAAGCTATCTCATATCTAAGAAAGATGTGGGATAGGAATATATAAATATATTTGCTTATACTTAAGTCATGGAAGGATAAACTAAAAATTATTAAAAATGCTTACCCCTAGAAGAAGAAAAGGACAGAGAATACAGGACCAGTGCTTGGTAGGATTGACTTTTGAACTACGTATATTCTTTACATAATTATTAAATAAGATTAAACTGAATGAGCAAGCCCTACAAATCAAACGCAAAATGAAACAAATTAATTTTTAAAAATGCATTCCTTAGCATGTAGCTGAGCTCAGGCCAGGATGATCCTAAAAACCTTATTTTGTTCAGACCCCGAACTGAGGCAGCAAGAGCTGGACTCTGGCTGATGAGAGAAAGCATCCTGGAATGCTGGTTTGCCTGCCTGTCTTAGCTGATTGACCAAACACTCTTCATCACCCCTCCTTTCTTTATTTGGAAGATAAGCATCTCACAGGCATGAAAAATGCGTCTCTAACAAAGCCAACAATAATGCAGTTTGAAAAAAGCGTGATGTAATTGTGTCATCTGGTCAGATTTACTAATGAATGAAGAAAAAGTGGAGAATAGCAGCTTAGGATTCCTGAAACTGATCCCTGTGTTCCACGGAAGATGGATTTGGACCCACAGGACTGAAGCTCTGTTGATGAAGAAATTGTTGGTGCATTTGAGCTGTCCTTCCTTGGACATTGTCCTTGGAGCTGTGTTCCTCATATGAACTTGCCGTGCTGAAAAATGGCATCTGGCTCCGCAGCAGAGCTCGCCAAAGGAGTCAGTCCCAACTTTCAGGACAGCTTTCCTCAAAGTCATTCTGGACGAAGATTCCAAAGCATTGCTTCTAGCACTTAAAAAAAGTTTCTTTAGCCATGGGTAGAGAGTGGATGGAGCTGCGAAGCTGCCAAAACAGTATTCAAGTTTCCCTCTTGGAACAGCTAGAGGAGCCAGCTTCTTAGGAGGCAGCCTGCTGCTGCGGGAGGATACAGGGGCCCCAGCAGCATTGAAAAGTCTCTGCCTACCCTGAAGTTGGAGGCCGTCCCGGGGAATCTATGCAGCGTAAGCTCGGGTGGGCCAAATGGCCACTCGGAACTGCCAAAGGCTGCCTGGATCGCTAGTTCACATAAGCTCGGGCTCAGCAGGCTAAGCTGCTGGCATTTGTTCAGTGGGGGAAAAATAAAATAAACTTTGTGTGGCAAGTGATAACCCTGACATTTCAATATATTTACCACAATGTTGTTTCCTAGAGTCACAGAGTAAAACAAATTAGAATTATAAATACCATCCAATTTTCCTAACAGCTCTTGTGAGTTATTAGAGAAAATCAAATCAACTTAGTCAATCAAAGGCAGCTTAAATGCCACTATGTTGCCCTCCCTGAAGAGCTAAAAGCACCTATCCTTCCTATGCAGTCATACAACTCCTTCGGTATGGTAGAGACTAAAGACTTTTGTATAAATATAAAAATACACAGATCAAGTGTACAAAATACTATACTGAAACATGGTTACGATTCTGAGCTTGGACCTAAAATCGGATGCAATGCTTAAGTTTTCTTGAGAGTTCTAGGAATGAAGAAAATCACATAATTACCCTTTTTTTGCATGGAAAGTCTTTGCACTAATGTCAATCTGCATGTGTATAGGAATTTAAAATTGATGCAAACTCATGATTGTACACTAGACATTGCATTGGGGGCCTATGAGTGTTTTATGAGGAGACGCTTTCTTGGTGAGAAGCCGGATGCTCAGAAGGCTGCTGGAAGGAAATACTTCATTCCAGTCAGCCTTCACCTAAGTGGGAAACAGAGAGGCCCACACTCCTCTCATGGCCATGGGTTGTGGTAATTGCTGATACTTGGATGAGCTGTCAACGTGATAACTGTTTGTCATGTCCCACTTAATTGGAGCCCCATAGAACAATAATGAAGTACCCTCTCCATGCAGATGACTTTGTGATTGATGACCTAGCTGAGGAAATAATTTACAAATACAGGCCAAAATTCAGCCTGGTGATGGATCTCATCTGATATTCTCTTGGTCTTTAGAGTGTGGCTCTTTGATTGACACTCATGGTATTGAAATAACCCAAGAGAAAAATCTTGCCTCTAGACACAACAAAGCCCCCTAAATTGAGTCACTCTTATTGAAATGGCGAAATTTTGTTAGCTTCTTTTCAAGCTGACTGAAGGTTTAGTGCATATATATATTTAATGCTGTGTGAGTGAAAATATTACATTGGAAGTAATATCAGTTGATTGACGTAAAAAATTGAGTTCCATTTGTGCAGGGTCGTTTCTCAGTTAGATGTGCAGAAGCAAGAGGGTGCTGGTGGCCCTGGTAGTCTCAGCATAGTGACGGCTCCTTTGGGAGGAGGTGTTTGTGAAGGGCACAGAGGATGTGTTAGTTTCATGATCAATTTCCACTCCCACAAGCTTTCCCAATTCCTTTCAACAATGAATTGAGTAACATAACAATACATTTTTTTCTTTTGCTGTTCAAGATACTCACTGTTAGAAATATTTGGGTTAATTTAAAAGTTATAAATGAAAGATAGAATATTTCAAGAAAATGTGACCTAATAACCTGTGGCAGTCATTTGTAGAGAAAGGTGCTATTAGTGCTAAGAAGGGTGATTGAGTGCTATTTTAAAAAAATAATTAAATGGGCTAGTATTCATCAGGGGCTGCTCTCAATAGCGTATTCTCAATAAAGGCAGAGGAATCACTCAAACAAGAGGGTTCGGTAAACAATGAAAAGAAGAAGGACATCAAATTATGTGATTAACATTGTCCGTTGCAATGTAAAGTGCAATGCATTTATATAATGTAGACAGGTTCTTGTATTTGTATTTTCCCTTTAGAACCATATTAAATTGAATTAATGTTTATCTGTTACATTCAGAACCTAGAAGTGTGTTCCTAAGGATCTTCAGGAAAGAACATAGAGCAACCAACAATGATGTACAGTGGACCTGTGAGGTCTCATTCAATTACAAAGCGCGTATAGGAAAATCCATCCCTTCGTTTACTCAGTCATCCACTAATTCTCACAATTACATATTGAGGAACTACTAGGTAACAAACATTTGGGCTAAAGTTAGGTTTATATCAAATCTGTTATAAAAATGCATGTTGTTATAGGTATTACATATATAAATGCATGTTTACTTGCATTCATTGGAGTATTGTTGAGCACCTGTTATGTGTAAGGGACAGTGCTAGATATGACTGGAAGGTAGGAATGAATTGGAAACAATACTCTGCATCTTTAACAGAGTAGTGAGGTGCACATGTCAGTTCTGAGATGGGTAGAGCTTGCTTTAGAGAAGCTGCCTTGGGGTAGACAGCATTCGAACTGGTTCCTGAAGGCTAGATTGGATTTCCCTAGGTGGAGATGGGGAAAGAGAAAGCAGAGGGAACATTTTAAGGAAATGTTCAGGGGTAGAAAATGGCAGGGAATGTTTTAGGATGACCATTTGGTGGGGACAGTGTGGGTGCCTAATGATTGCATGAGCTGAGCAGAACAGCTGCAGGAGATGAGGGACCAGATCGTAGCAGGCTTCCTTTCAATCCTGGAGTGGAGAGTTTGAGCTCCGCATTCACACAATGGTGCAGCATTTGTGTTTCCTGAGCAAAGAGTAAGAAAATCAGAGCTGGGCTATAACAACCTTTATCAGATGGTGGAATGGGGACTCTCTTTAAAGGGGGCAGCCTTAGGCAGGGAGACCAACTGTGCAGGCAGTTGGTAGGGACCCAGGTGAGAGGACGTGATAACTATTGATCGTGGAGGGTAAGGAAGGAGAGGCCAAGATGGCGTCACACTTTCCGTGCCTGAGTGGGGAGAGGGACAGACAGAGATGGGGAATGTTTGGGACTAAAGATGGTAAGTTCCACTTTATATTGTATGAACAAAATACACATCAATTTCTCCTGAAAGCAGAAATGGCTTTGCTTGCTAGAATTAAGTGGTCAATAGTTTCCTAAAGTTGACGTTGCTCAGGGAGCGATTTACCATGGCAGGGAAAAGCAGTCTTAGGAGTGCTAACATATCTTTCTCATCATTAGATTTCAGGAATCACAGACAAGACTGTGCCTAAGTGGAGACAGGTAAATAAAGCTTCCTCTCCCCAGCCCCCCTGCGCTCCGCACTAATAGAGATCCAGCTGCTGGGAGCAATGAGAGCAGAAGTGATGTTCGTGGGATCAATGCAACCCTGGATTCTCTTGCCACCAGCCCTGTCTCCTGGGGAGCCATTGAGTTAGTGGAATCAGCAGTGGAAGAGAGGGTGAAATGATATTGGCATGACTTCATTCCCTCAGACATTAGCCAGCGGTGGCTTTCTTTTGTCCATTTTCTGCTCACCTTCGTTGTCTGGCACGTCCTTTTTGTTTTACCTTCTCGTATTGGTTTTCCTTCCCCCAGTTTCTAGATAAGTCTAACCTGATTTGCTCCCCCATCCTCTCTTCTTTTAGTCCTTCCTTTCGCTATATTCCTGCCTCCTACCTTGTTTTTTATTTTTTATTATGAAATACTGCAAACATACAGAAAAAAAATCATCGAGAATAAGTAATGTAACAAACACCTACTTACATACAATGGAACTTTAACGAATGTTAACATTTTGCCTTATTTGCTTTGGATCTTTTTTTATTTCTTTTTTTATTATACTTTAAGTTTTAGGGTACATGTGCACAACATGCAGGTTTGTTACATATGTATACATGTGCCATGTTGGTGTGCTGCACCCATTAACTCATCATTTAACATTAGGTATATCTCCTAATGCTATCCCTCCCCCCTCCCCCCACCCCACAACAGGCCCCGGTGTGTGATGTTCCCCTTCCTGTGTCCATGTGTTGTCATTGTGCAATTCCCACCTATGAGTGAGAACATGTGGTGTTTGGTTTTTCGTCCTTGCGATAGTTTGCTGAGAATGATGGTTTCCAGCTTCATCCATGTCCCTACAAAGGACATGAACTCATCCTTTTTTATGGCTGCATAGTATTCCATGGTGTATATGTGCCACATTTTCTTAATCCAGTCTATCATTGTTGGACATTTGGGTTGGTTCCAAGTCTTTGCTATTGTGAATAGTGCCACAATAAACATATGTGTGCATGTGTCTTTATAGCAGCATGTTTTATAATCCTTTGGGTATATACCCAGTAATGGGATTGCTGGGTCAAATGGTATTTCTGGTTCTAGATCCCTGAGGAATCGCCACACTGACTTCCACAATGGTTGCACTAGTTTACAGTCCCACCAACAGTGTAAAAGTGTTCCTATTTCTCTACATCCTCTCCAGCACCTGTTGTTTCCTGACTTTTTAATGATCGCCATTCTAACTGGTGTGAGATGGTATCTAATTGTGGTTTGGATTTGCATTTCTCTGATGGCCAGTGATGATGAGCATTTTTTCATGTGTCTTTTGGCTGCATAAATGTCTTCTTTTGAGAAGTGTCTGTTCATATCCTTCACCCACTTTTTGATGGGGTTGTTTGTTTTTTTTCTTGTAAATTTGTTTGAGTTCTTTGTAGATTCTGGATATTAGCCCTTTGTCAGATGAATAGGTTGCAAAAATTTCCTCCCATTCTGTAGGTTCCTGTTCACTCTGATGATAGTTTCTTTTGCTGTGCAGAAGCTCTTTAGTTTAATTAGTGGATCTTTTTTTAAGGGAATAAAAATACTATCTCTATCTATCTATCTATCTATCTATCTATCTATCTATCTATCTATCATCTATCCATTCATCCATCAACATAGTTAAAGCCTGCTGTGTATTACATCTCCTTGATAACAATCTCTTCTCCAGATGTTAGCACTATCTTGAGTGCCAACATTGTTATTCTTATGCATGTTTTTATACTAACAGAATCACTGCATATACACCATATACAAACATTAAATTGTGTTGCTTTGTATGTATTCAGTCTTATATTGATAATATATTGTATATATTCTATAACCGGCCCCCTTTTTTTTTTTTTTTTTTGCTTAACCTATTGTTTTTGAGATTTATCCATGTTGATAATTGCAGCTCTAATTCATTTATTTTGATTGTTGTACAAAGTCCTTTGTATGAATATACTACAATTTATTTAGCCAATTTGTGCTTAACGAACATTTAAGTTGTTTCTGATTTTTTTCCCCTGCTACAACAAAAATTGCCGCAACAATCATTCATGAGCATGTCACATGTGCCAGAGAATTTATCTGAATTATATACCAACAATTGGACTTTTTAGGCTGTTGGCCACGCTATCCTTACTTATTATTGCCATATTGTGCTCCAAAGTTGTGGAACCAGTTTATAGGTTCACCAACCGTATATGAGAGCTTAGCCTTTCTCAATATTCTTCTCAACACGACGTATTATGGGGCTTTTAGATTTGCCAATATGTTGGGAATAAATTGGCATCTCATTGTTGGTTCACTTTGCATTTCTTTGATTACTAATGAGATTGAGCCTTGCTTTAAAAGCTTATTGTCTATTCTGGTTTTGTGAATTGCTTGGGTATATACTTTGTCCATTTGTTGCATTTTGTCCTTTTTTTCTGATTTTATAAGTTTTTCACATATTCTTTTGTTTTATATAGACTGTATATGCAAATAACTTCTCCCAGAAGTTATTTTTCTGGGACAGATTTTTCATTTTGCTTATGCTATCTTTTGATGTAGAAAAGCTTTTAATTTTAATGAACCAAATGTATCAATTTTTTTCCTATATGGTTTTACTTTGCTTTGTTTTGTTTTTCTACCTTTCCTTCTACTGTCTTTGTTCTCTTTGGGTATATGGTATAAACTTAATTGGCTTGTCTTCCCACTTTCTCTTTTATAAAATAGTTTTTAAGATGGGGATTATGGGTTTCTTAAAGGTTTGTTAAGCCTCATCTGTAAAACCCTGCCACTTGTTTTGAGGGGAAAAATTAGGAGTGGAGGAGATTTGGCTGCTACTTTTTTCAATGTGTAGTTTATTAATTTAGTTAGGTTTTCTATTTCTTCAATGTTGATAAATTTATTTTTATACAAAATTATCCATTAATTGGCACAAAGTTATGTAAAGTACTTCTAATGATTTTGTCCTCTTCTGTATGTAGTGTTGTCCTTTTTATTTGTTAATATTACTTAACATCTTGTTATTCCAAAGATAACTTTTATTTTATAGATGCTTCCTATTCTTTGTTTCTATTTCATAAGTGTCTTTTGTTGTATTTTGCTTCCTGCCTCATGCATTTATAGTGTACTCTGTTGTTATTCTAATTTCTTGATTTGAATGCTTAATTATTTTTTTAAAAATTGTTTTGTAGCAAATTCACTGAAGGCCATACATTTAAGTAATACTTGAGATACACAGCACAAGTTTTGAAATGTAATACAGTAATTTCTGTTCTAATTTTCTTTTAACCCATGCATATTTAGAGGCCCAATTTTTGGTTTCCAAATATGTATTTCTTAACTTCCTGTATTTTTAATTGTTGACTTTGATTTTAATTTTGTCATGTTCACAAAATATAGCCTAGATTCATGAAATGTAGACCATATTCATTGGTCCATATTTGATATAGATTCATTGAAGTTTGCTAGAAATGGTGGATAGAATCATGATATAGAGTCATTGAAATGTGTTAGAGCTTCCTTTCTGATTTAGTGTATCATTAGTTTTCATCAATGTGTACATATAGAGGATATATATTCTCTATTTGGGGGATATAGGGTTTCATGTATATTTTGGAGCAAACATTAATTTGTTGTTTAAATGTGCTACATTCTTACTATTTAAAAAAATCTGCTTTATCTGTCACACTTGATATAAAGAAGGATATAACTTGAAGATTGTGAGTTTCTCTTGAATTCTCTCAGATTTTGCTTAAACATTTCAAGGCCTTGCTGATTCCGGGGGGTTTAAGAGAGAATGACTTCATGCCTCCTTGCTATTAGATACATACAATTTCATGATAAACTGACTGATCTAAGTGTTTGTTCCACCAACAAATGTTGACTGAGTACCGATGATGTGTCCAGCACTGTTCCAGGCATAGTGGACAAGACCAAGAAACTTGCTACTTTCAGGGAGCTCTTATCCTAGTGGGAGAGACAAATTTTCTAATAAGCAAATTTCACCTAATATCAGATGTCACAACCAGTGCTGTGCGGAAGGATAAAGCAGGGCGAGGGGAGAGATGGTCGGCTTGGACGGGGAGCTGCACTACAGGACTGGCCAGAGAAGGCACTCTCAGGAGGCCACTCAGGTGATGGACTGGACAAAGCAACAAGATGAGTCATGTGGATGTACGGGGAAGATCATTCCAAGTGGAGACAATGGAAAGGAAGGCCCAGAGGAGGGGGGATGTTATGTTGAGAGAGCACCATGAGTGTGTTTGAAGATCAGGATGACAGGGGATGACTCTCATTTTGAATGGATCCATTTGTTGGCTGTGTGGAGAACAAACCGTGGTGAAACAAGATGGGAGATGGGGACCAGTGAGTAGGCGAATGGAGTCATCCAGGCAGGAGAGGGGGCAGTGGCTTGTACTATAGAGGTGATGGTCAGAAGTGGGGGGATTCAGAATATATTTTGGATACTTGGCCCACTGGATTTGCTGATGAACTGGATGTCAGAGAGTGTAGCAACAAAGGAATCAAGAGTGGCTTCTAAGGTTTTTGCCTGAGCTATTGAGTGAATGGGATTGCCATTTAGTGAGATGGGAAAGACCTGAGTGAATCAGATATGGGGATGAAAATGAAGAGGTCCCTTTGCAGTACAGCCTTATGATGCCTGTGCATGATTTTGTGCCCGTGTGTTTGCTTGGTCCCCTGTCTGCTCCCTGTCCTGCCTTCGCTCTGCCCTGTATCACAGGGGACAGTTATTCCCACATCCCCCCACACCACCACTGCAGCTGTTCTCAGGAAACAGCCACAGCCTCTGCTCTGCCTTGAGCATTCAGGTGGAAACAGAAGGTGTCAGAAGCCTGCGCCCGGCACCTCTAGCTAGTATTTAAGACTGGGAAAGGCAGAGCAGCCAGTGAGAAGGAGAAGGTGAGGAGAGTACTATGTTGAGAAGGAAAGTGAGGAAAGGCTTTCTGGAAGGAGGGTATCATCCACTTCGCCCAATGCTGCAAAAGGCTGTGTTAGATGAAGACTGGAAACTGACTATTAGTTTTTGATAATGTGAAGTAGTGATGTTTTTTTGGAGGGATAGCAACTAATTGGCTGGAGAGGGTTCAAGAGGGAATGGCCTTATGTCTTAGTGGACTGGTCCTTTTTCATGGTTGATATCTCATTGTAATGCTATTAATTCTTTTTGATTTTAATTCTGTTTTGTCTGATATTCATATTGCCACTGGCGTGTTTTTGGATGAGTGTATTAGTTTGCTAGGAATGTCAGAACAAAGTACCACAGAATGGATGACTTAGACAACAGAAATTTATTTTCTCACAGTCCTGGAGGCTGGAAGTCTGAGTCATCGGGGTTGATTTCTCCCAAGGCCTCTCCTTGGCTTTCAGATGTCTGTTGTCTCCCTGTGTCTTCATGTGGTCTTCCCTTTGTGTGTCTCTGTGTCCTAATTTTCTCTTTTTATAAGGACACCAGTCATATTGGATTAGGGCCCACTGAATGACCTCATTTTTCACTGAATTACCTCTTTACAGACCCCATCACCAAATAGGTCATGCTCTGAAGTACCGGGGGTGGTACTTCAACATATGAATTTTGGGGAGAGTACAGTTCAGTCGAAAACAATTTCTCTAGTGTCCTTTGTCCATATCTTTTTGTGTGACTTTGTGTTAGGTATGTTTTTTACAGTGCAGCAAATAGGTGAATTTAAAAAAATTCAATGTGGTTAGATTCAGTTTGATCCAGTTTGATTGGTCTTTTAATATATGACTTTTCTCCTTTCATTTTATTGTAATTTTTACATTTGGACCAATTTCTGCCATATTCTTTTCTGATTTCTGTTTATCATCATTTTCTCCCCCTCTTTTCTCTTTGTTCTAATTTCAGTGAATTGGGTGAGTTGTTAGTATTCCCCTTTCCCCACTATATGGTTTGAAAACTAGATTGCTTTTCCATTTTGCTGTTGGGTATCTTAAATTTTAAACACATATACTTATGTATACATTTTTAATTAATTAATTATTTTTTTGAAATGGGGTCTCGCTCATCGCCCAGGCTGGAGTGCAGTGGTACAATCTCAGCTCACTGCAACCTCTGCCTCCTGGGTTCAAGAGAGTCTTCTGCCTCAGGCTCCTGAGTAGCTGGGATTACAGGCGCGCACCACTACGCCCGGCTAATTTTTGCATTTTTAGTAGAGATGAGGTTTTGCCATGTTGGCCAGGCCGGTCTCAAACTCCTGACCTCCAGTGATCTGCCCACCTCGGCCTCCCAAAGTGCTGAGATTACAGGCGTGAGCCACCATGTCTGGCCTTTATCAGTACATTTTTAAACAAAGCTTAAGATTATTCAGTATTTCTTTCAGAGTATTTTTACATTCTCCTTTGAACGTATTCTGTACTATCATTGCCTAGAGATTTGGAAGTTCATTAAAAATTAGTATTTTTCTAATTGATTTTTAATTAATTTCCCAGCATATTTTATCAATTTCTGTAATCTCTCCAAATTTGCATAATTGTCCTTCCTAGTCATAATACTGCAGTAACAACTTTAAAAGCAGGGGCTGAAACAATACAGTTTTATTTCTTGTTTACATTCCAGGTTGGCTAGGATTCAGCTCCTGCATCCCGAAGGCCACCTGAAGGAGCAGCCGGCATCAGCAGAGGCAGAGGGGAGAGGGTATGCTGGCTCTTAAAGCTTCCATACAAGAGAATTATCCATCATGTTTGCTCACATTTCCTTCGCCAAAGCAAGTCATATGGCCAAGCATGACTTCAAGAGGGATAGGAAAATAGAATTATCCTGTGGCTGGGGCATTGGATATGGTGGAGCTGTGCATCATCCACATTTATCTTCAGGCCAGCTTCCCTTTTCCTTCATGCTGAACATAGTCTTTAATACATCTTTCAATTAGCATCTGTGAGTGGTAAACTCTTTTATTTTTATACATGTAAAAAAGTCTTCATTTTTCCCTCTCTCTCTTAATTAGATGTTTAGCTGAAAATCTGAGATTTACTATTTCCTTACCTGAGCACTTGGAAAATGTTATTCTGTTGTCTTTTGACCTATATTTTTGCTAATGAAAGTGTTGTTGCCAGCCTAATTGCCATTATTTTGTAGGTAATCTGTCATTTTTGGCAGCTTTTAGATTTTTTTCAAACTGGGTGTGGATTTATTCTTCTTTATCCTCCTCAGAACTTGAAGCACACATTTAGTCTAAGGATGTATGTCTTTCTTCATCTCTGGGAAATTCTCAACCACCATTTTTTTCAATGATCTTTTGCTGGAACTCCCATTGAATACATGCCGGAACGGCTCAAATTTACTAAATCTCTTCAGTCCAGTCTAGAATTTATTCCCTTAATTTTTTTCTTTTTCTCTATATTTTTTAAATTCTAAAACTCCTAATTATTTTTCATAAGTATCTTATCTTATTATTTGTTATTATGTTTTTCTAGATGCTGTTGCTCATTTATGTTTTTGACCATCCTAACCACATATTTTAAAGTCTTTCTTAGACTGTTTTATGACATGGATCTCATTTGAAGTGAGTTTATTTAACTAATTTATTTGTTTTTGGCTCTCTTTGTGAACATTTGTTTTCTTTGTGTTTTGGGATTTGGGTTTATGAACACATCTTAAGTAGGGAGATTGTTTTTTCCTTTGCTCTCTCCCTTTGCTCTCTCCCTTTGTACCCACTTCTTTCTACCTAGAGATTATACGGTTGCTTTCACTCAGGCCCTGGCACTCTAGTTAAGAACAAGGCTTTATCATCGTACAGTATTTTTGATAGTATTAGAAATATAGCTCATCTGTTCACAGAACCAGAAGGCAACTTGGTTCCTCCCACTTTGCTAGACTCCTGACTTTTTAACAACTGAAGCCTCAGTCCTCATTCAGTAGCATTAAAAAAAAAAGTCTCCTTTTAGGACAGTAGAGAGACACCCTCCAGTTTCTGGTTTCAAGCGGTGAGCCTAGCTCTAGATGTCTGTCTGGCATGGAACACTTTTAGTCCCTATTACCTTTTTGGAGCGAGCTTAATGACCACCAGAATCTGATAGGCTGTGGTTTTAGCATCTCCCCCACCTTCCCATTATTGCTGTGGGTTTCTGTGTCATTGATCCACAGGGACCTTTAAGTTGCTTTGAGCCTTGATACATCTTTCTGGTTTGTTGTTTTCTTTTTTCTTTTGTCATGTTTTCTGTCTCATCTATTATGTCTAAGTATTTGAAACAGAAGAGATAAACTTTGGATTTTGAATTGACTAAGACATTCTTATGGGAAATACTTGTCTCCATTTACTCTCCTTTATCATAAACATCATTAAAAAATTAAAGCATAGATCATAAAGTGGGATGGAAAAAACTCAAAAATCCACAATAATGCTTTATTTTCCCCGAGATGCTGAGAATAAAAGGTGTATTGGTGTCACTGTTATATAGCACCATGGTTGTGAGCAGGGATCTGTCTCTCTCCAGCTGTATGAAGCCAGAGAGTTATTTACTTATCTGCAGTATGGGGAAAGTCATACCTGTTGCATAGAGCCATTGAGGAGATTATATGGAATCATGTTTGCAAAGATCCTTGCACAGTGTCTGCACATGGTAAGTAGTTATAGGTATATACAGTTCAAATTGTATCTTGAATATGATCACTAGAATATACATGTTGATGTTTTCTTTCTAACTGTGGCAGGGAGGGGTATTTGTAAGTACATAAAGTAGTGTTACAGATGCTGAAATGTCCTTCCTGTTCCCCAGACAACTTTTATGAAATCCCATTATTAGAGAGTCTTTTCTTTGGATTAATACATCTCTCTTTAAATCAGAGGTTCCCAAATCACGTATGTTCTCATTGATAAGTGGGAGCTAAGCTGTGAGGACAAAAGGCATAAGAATCATACAGTGGAATGTGGGGACTCAGGGAAAAGGGTAGGAGGGGGTGAGGGATAAAAGACTACACATTGGGTGCAGTGTATGCTGCTCAGGTGATGAGTGCACCTAAATCTCAGAAATCACCACTAAGGAACTTATCCATGTAACCAAACACCACCTGTTCCCCAAAAACCTATTGAAATAAAAAAATTAGAGGTTTCTGTAGAAAAGTTATATATCAATCTGGGCAGAAGAGGTTTCTGCACACCTTCCTATGTGTCAGTTTCGTCAAATTGCTTTTTTCTGATTGCTGATTAAGGAACAAAAGGAATCAGAGTTTTATTTGAGCAAGTAGAACTTATGACACCTCCCAGGGTGGGCAGATGGATCTATATGGGACATGCTAGTGGGATTTATAGTAACTGATGAATTGTTCAACAATACAGATGAGCAGGAGGCTCAGGGGCAGGGGTAAGAATGTAGGATGTATCACCTAGCTTCAGCTAAACCATGCTATGGTAACCACTCCAAAAATCTTCGTGGCTTACAACAACAAAGGCTGATTTTGCTCAAATATGTGCTCAATCTGGGAACATTTAGGGCTTATGGCCAAAGGAAAGGAGAACACGGTGGAACCATGCAATGGCTCTGAATGCTTCTACTTGGAAGTGGCACACTTCACTTTCATTTACATTTTAAAGGCCTATGCAAGTCACATGGCTGAACTTGAACTATACAACACAAGCCTCTGAAGTTTATAGTGCAAGATAGTTGGTAACTGCATAAATAAAACTAGAAGGCCTATTTTAGAACCAAGAAGTATCAAATCCTTGATTGGCTTCTTTAACACGTTCTTACTATATCAAGCAGGGAGGACCCAGTTTGTCAAAATGCTTTTGGCTAATGTGGCAAAAGCATAAGGAAAGAGAAAACTTAGTAGAGATGAAACATAAGTAACATCAACATCTAGGCTTGCTATGGGCTGAATTGTGTCCCCTCCCAAATTTATATCTTGAAATTCTAACTCAAGAGTACCTCAGAGTGTGACTGTATTTGGAGATGGGGTCTTTCAAGAGGCTAGTAAGTTAGGACAAGATCATTAGGGTTGCCCTAATTCAATGTGACTGATGTTCATGTAAGAAGAGGAGATTACTAAATAGTCACACACAGAGTGAAGCTCATGGGAAGATATGGAGAAGAAGGTGGCCATCTGCAGGCCAAAGAGAAGCCTCAGAAGAAACCAACACCGCAGACACCTTGATCTGACACTTCCAGGCTCTAGAATTGTGAAAAAATAAATTTCACTTTTTTGAGCTATCCAGTCTATGGTACCTTGTGGAAGCCCTAGCAAACAAATACAAGGCTTTAATTTCTAATGTAAGACATGTCTGTGGGCCTCCTCCCCATCTATAACATGAGGAAGAGCACATCGCCCTGTCCTGGCCTATCCTTGATCTAGGAACTGGTGTTAAGCAATTCTCTCAGGCCTTTCAATGGGCGAGGGTCGTGTTCGTTGCCACAAAAACAATCTGCCTTCCCTTTTTCCAACTGTCCACGCCTTCTTGCTGGCTATTGCGTTCAGCTGACAATAGCTCAGGGCAAGCCCATTGAGAATGCCTCCTTTCCCTGCTGGTAGCAGTGTACTGATTAGTCTAGTTCTTTCCTCTGCTTCTTTCCCTTCAAGTTAGATACAGGCACTTGAACTTGACATTCGTTTATGATGATTTTATTATCAAATTCTAAGCAAGTAATGCATTATAGATGTGTTGGATTCTAATCAAGTAATCAAAATATGTTATAACTCTATTGATCCAGTAGCCACATTGCACACTTGTTCCAAACTGGCACTTTTTAGGCTATTATACAAAGAGTTACCAATGGATTTACTTGTGTGCGTGTGTGTGTGTGTGATACCACATACTGGCTTCTCTTGTGCAATAAAGACGTGAAAGGAAATGAGAAATGCGCTGTTCTCTCTTCATGTAGGAAAACGCCTAACCTGCACAGATTATTTCAAGTTGTGCTCAACTGACATCCCCAGTCATATTTACCAGGAATGAAATTTCTTCTCAGAGACACCCTATTTGCAGAGTCTTACAGGGTCGTGGTGCTTAAAGCAAAGATGCCTCTGTTTTGAACACTTGGGATTGGTTTGAAAAATCTAATTTGCCCTGAAATCCCTTCTGCATTTTAAAAATTGTGTCTGAATTCTCAATGCAGTCAGAGTGACTGTTTGGTAGACAAAATGTATCCCCAAACCATCAAGGGATTTTCATAAGCAATTGGGATTACTCCAAAATACATTGCAGATTGGTATCAACTATTATATTTGAATTTGTATTCTAGTGCTGAGAGCAATTTGTAGCACATTATAAATCAAGGCTCCTCCCTCACAATTTCGGAATGCTCCTGTATGTGACAAGCACTAAGTACGCTGTTGCTACAGCAGCAACATCCGAAATTGCCCAGAGATATCACACAAAACTGAATGACAGGAGAAAATTTCATAATCACTTTATAAGTACAACCCTTCAGTATAGCCCAATCTCCTTCAACCCGAGAAAAATTGAGATGAGTTTGAATTGAGAATGTTAATTGGAACCTGATATGCTTGGCTTTCTGGCACAGTATTTAAATCTTGTCAGGACTGTCTTTCTATCCAAGAGAGCTACAAAAAGTTAACTTACCTTTTTTTCCCCCCAAAATGAAAGCTTAGATTCCAGGGAGTATAAGCCAGATTCATAGAGAAAATCCTAAAATTGCAAACTCTATAGCTATGAATTGGTCCTAATAATGGCTATTATTATTTAGATGTAATAAAAATTCTAGTGATCTGCAGAACAGTAAAATCTCTAGTTTAGCAGGGGATTGAAGTGTTTTTTGGACTGTGCCATATGAAAGCCATCAGAGACAATAGAGCCTTCACAGATATCCACTCTAACATTTGCAAAAAGCATTAACAATATATCATACTTCACTGCTGCTGCAAACCCATAATATTATTCACAAATTATGTATTTAAGATCGGGGAGCTGGAGACATTTTTGTAATGCTAATATTAAGACATCTCCTCCAGAGAGGGTCTATAGAACCTCCGCCTGCATTTTCCATATTCACCTTACTGCTTGACCATGTGACGATTCTGAAATCGTTGCCTGGCTACACTGATCCCTGTTTCCTAGAGCGCTATCTGCCAATGTTCAGAAGAGTTTTATTCATAAGTGTTACTTCGAAATATTGGACTATAATTTATAGAATTTATCGAAAGAAGTTTCTAAAACCATCAAAAATGCTTTTAACTACAAGTCATTCAACCTGAGGAAAGAGAAAAAAAGTTACTTTGAATAATGAACTGATAATGAGATCAGAAAAATTAAGATGGAATATCATGCAAATAACATGGGCATGGGGATTATTACTTAAGATATACTTTTATTCTTATTGTTTTGATTAAAAAATGATAGAAAAACTGCAGAATAGAAAAAGGTAGATTTATAGCAGATGCTTTTATAGAGACCTAAAACTTTTAAGTATCCCAGAGGAAGTAGAATTAATTTATGATGAGATTTGAGTCTTTGATATCTCTATTAAGATTAACAAGAAAGAGGCATATGGTGGGGAAATATCAGTAAGGTAGACATGTCTGGTTAAATGGTGTAAAATGAAAGACTTATTTAAGACACATGAACAACAATAATAACAACTGCAACAGCAATGATGGTGAAATAATAATTAAATGCATAGGTGACGAGAAAAAGGAAGCTAGGAGTGGTCAAGCTCATTTTACAATAAGTTATGATTTTATTCAAAAAGTAATCAACCACTGGCCAGGTGCGGGGGCTCACACCTGCAATCCCAGAACTTTGGGGGGCCAAAGCAGGCAGATCACTTGAGCTCAGGAGTTCAACACCAGCTTGGGTAACATAGCGAAACCCCGTCTCTACAAAAAATACAACAAAAAACAAAAAACAGAAAACAAAAAACAAAAACTTATTTGGGAGTGGTGGCATGTGCCTGTAGTCCCAGCTACTCAGGAGGCTGAAGTGGGAGGATCACTTGAGCCCAGGAGGTGGAGGCTGCAGTGAGCCAAGATTGCTCCACTATACTCCAGCCTGGGTGACAGAGTGAGACCCTGTCTCAAAAAAAAAAAAAAAAAAATCAATCACCAAATGCATCCCAATATACCTAGGATTGACAGCTGATTGGATTAACACAGTTCCTTTAATTAGAATCTAGGTTAGTGGACAGTAAAGGATCAGATTAATCCGTGCAACTGAAGAAGAAGCAAGAAAGCAGGGACAGAAGGGCTTTTGCAGAGAAAGGGCAGGGATGGGAAGAATTCATAAGATCAGCTTTTTAAATTCCTGTTGGACGGATGACACAAAAAATTGTAATATTCAGATAATGCCAGAAATTCATTTTAGTTGCAACCTTTTCTCCTCAGTCAACATTCATTTGAGCCTTTGACAAATGGTAGAATTGATAAAACTTGATTTGCACTTTATCGAATGCAGCTTGAAATGGAGCTACAAATAGGTATCTATCAAATTGCAAATCGATACGTCAGCTTGCATTTAGCCTCATAAACAACATACTGTTGTGGTTAAGAATATTAGTTTTGGAATCAAACAGACCTGGATATGAGCCCAAGCTCAGTTTCCTCATCTGTAAAATTAGGTCCAGAACACCTGCTCATACAGCTGATGAGATCATTCAATGAGATGAGGCATAAAGTAGGAAGCACTGGCTCTTACAGAAGATTGTTAAGCATTTAACAATATTTACTTGTTATTATATTAACATTATTAATATTTTATCATTGATTATAAATAAAAAATGAAATATTTATTATGTTATTTGTAAATTATTATTATTTATGTTAATAAGAAAATTTTGGTACATATTTCTAAGATACATTGGATATCTTTAAACACTTAAAGGGAAGTATTATTCTCCCATTCAAAATATGATAAATAGTAGGTTCAAAATAACATCCTCAGAGAGATATATGCTCATATGAATATGTATTTTACTTTGTAATTTTCATATCCTAATAAAATTCAGGTCAGTATTAATATAAAGAAGTAGTTTTTGTAAATATCTTACTTTTGTAGAAAAATTGGTGAATGATGTGTGTAGTATATTTAAGAAGCCCATGGTGTTCTCAACCACTCCATTTGACATATAGCTAGTACAACAGAGGGTTTCTACTGGACAGTGAGAAGAGAACATTACACAAGTCACCATGCTCTGCAGATTTCTTACCAACTTGCTTTATGTTCATTTACCTGGTTGCCTTTCATAATTACCCTATGACTGGCTAAATTTCAAATTACAAAAGAACCATTTGTTATTCCACATTGCCCTTGGCCTTTAAATAAACAAGATTTTAAACATAAATATTGGCCCTAATGTAATTTTCCCCCATAAAACAATCGAAGAAGTAAAAGAAAAATCTTCTAGATGGATTTAAAAAAAAAATTATTTTAAGTCCAGAATGTGTAGGTTTGTTGCGTAGGTATATGTGTGCCATGATGGTTTGCTGCACCTATCAATCTATCTTCTGCGTTTTAAGCCTCACATACATTAGCTATTTGTCCTAATGCTATCTCTCCCCTCACTCCCCATGCCCTGACTCGCCCTGGTGTGTGTAGTTCCTTTCCCTGTTTCCATGTGTTCTCATTGTTCAACTTCCACTTATGAGTGAGAACATGCAGTGTTTGGTTTTCTGTTCCTATGTTAGTTTGCTGAGGATGATGGCTTCCCGCCTCATCCATGTCCCTGCAAAGGACATGATCTCATTCCTTTCTATGGCTGCATAGTATTCCATGGTGTATATGTTCCACATTTTCTTTATTAAGTCTATCATTGATGGACTTGATAAAGATTTGGGTTGGTTCCATGTCTTTGCTATTGTAAATAGTGCTGCAATAAACATAAATAGTATATAAAACATAAATAAAAAAGTGCATGTGCTGTTACATTAGAATGATTTATATTTCTTTGGGTATATACCCAGTAATGGGATTGCTGGGTCAAATTGTATTTCTGGTTCTAGATCCTTAAGGAATCATCACACTGCCTTCCACAATGGTTGAACTAATTTACACTCCCACCAACAGTATAAAAGTGTTCCTATTTCTGCACAGCCTCACCAGCATATATTGTTTCTTGACTTTTTAATAATTGCCGTTCTGACTGGCGTGAGACAGTATCTCATTGTGGTTCTGATTTGCATTTCCCTAATGATCAGTGGTGTTGAGTTTTTTTTCATATGTTTCTTGGCCACATAAATGTCTTCTTTTGAGAAGTGTCTGTCCATATCCTTTGGCCATTTTTTGATGTGATTGATTTTTTTTTCTTGTAAATTTGTTTAAGTTCATTGTAGATTCTGGTTATTAGACCTTTGTCAGATGGGTAGATTGTAAAAATATTCTCCCATTCTGTAGGTTGCCTATTCACCCCGATGATAGTTTCTTTTGCTGTGCAGAACTCTTTGTTTTAATTAGATTCCATTTGTCAATTTTCACTTTTGTTGCAGTTGCTTTTGGTATTTTCGTCATAAAATCTTTGTCTGTGCCTATGTCCTGAATGGTATTGCCTAGGTTTTCTTCCAGGGTTTTTATGGATTTGGCCTTTACATTTAAGTCTTTATTCCATCTTGAATTAATTTTTTGTATATGATATAAGGAAGGGGTCCAGTTTCCGTTTTCTGCATATGGCTAGCCAGTGATACCAGCGCCATTTATTAAACAGGGAATCCTTTCCCCATTGCTTCCTTTTGTCAGGTTTGCCGAAGATCAGATGGTTGTAGATGTGTGATGATATTTCTGAGGTCTCTTCTGTTCCATTGATCTATGTGGCTATTTTTGTACCAGTATCATGCTGTTTCAGTTCTGCAGCCTTGTAGTATAATTTGGTCAGGTAGCATGATGCCTCCAGCTTTGTTCTTTTTGCTTAGGATTGTCTTGGATATACGGGCTCTTTTTTGGTTCCATATGAAATTTAAAGTAGTTTTTTCTAATTCTGTGAAGAAGAATGTCAATGGTAGTTTGATGGGAATAGCATTGAAAATACAAATTACTTTGGGCAGTATGGCCATTTTCATGAAACTGATTCTTCCTATCCATGAGCATGGAATGTTTTTCCATTTGTTTGTGTCCTCTCTTATTTCCTTGAGCAGTGGTTTGTAGTTCTTCTTGAAGAGGTCCTTCCTATCCCTTGTTAGCTGTGTTCCTAGGTATTTTATTCTCTTTGTAGCAATTGTGAATGGAAGTTCATTTATGATTTGGCTCTCTGCTTGTCTATCATTGGTGTATAGGAATGTTTGTAATTTTGCACATTGATTTTGTATCCTGAGATGTTGCTGAAGTTGCTTATCATCTTAAGGAGTTTTTGGGCTGAGATGATGGGATTTTCTAAATATACAATCATGTCATTTGCAAACAGAGATAATTTGACTTCCTCTCTTCCTATTTTAATACCCTTTATTTCTTTCTCTTGCCTGATTGCCCTGGCCAGAACTTCCAATCCTATGTTGAATAGGAGTGGTGAGAGAGGGCATCCTTGTCTTGTGCTGGTTTTCAAAGGGAATGCTTCCAGCTTTTGCCAATTCAGTATGATATTGGCTGTGGGTTTGTCATAAAAAGCTCTTATTATTTTGAGATATGGTCCATAAATACCTAGTTTATTGAGAATTTTTAGCATGAAGGGCTGTTGAATTTTGTTGAAGGCCTTTTCTGCACCTAATGAGATAATCATGTGGTTTTCGTCGTTGGTTCTGTTTATGTGATGGATTACGTTGATTGATTTGCGTGTGTTGAACCAGCCTTGCATCCCAGAAATGAAGCCACTTAATTGTGGTGGATAAACTTTCTGATGTGCTGCTGGATTTGGTTTGCCAGTATTTTATTGAGGATTTTTGCATCGATGTCCATCAGGGATATTGACCTGAAATTTTCTTTTTTTATTGTGTCTCTGCCAGATTTTGGTATCAGGATGATGCTGGCCTCATAAAATGAGTTAGGGAGGAGTCCCTCCTTTTCAATTGTTTGGAATAGTATCAGAAGTACCAGTTCCTCTTTGTACCTCTGGTAGAATTTAGCTGTGAATCTGTCTGTTCCTGGGCTTTTATTTGTTGGTAGGCTATTAATTACTGCCTCAATTTCAGAATTTGTTATTGGTCTATTCAGGGATTTGACTTCTTCCTGGTTTAGTCTTGGAAGGGTGTATTTGTCCAGGAATTTATCCATTTTGTCTAGATTTTCCAGTTTATTTGCATAGAGGTGTTTATAGAATTCTCTGATGATAGTTTGTGTTCCTGTGGGGTCAGTCGTGATATCCCCTTTATCATTTTTTTATTGTGTCTATTTGATTCTTCTCTTTTTTTCTTATTTATTAGTCTAGCTAGCAGTCTATCTATTTTGTTAATTTTTTTAAAAAAACCAGCTCCTGGATTCACTGATTTTTTTGAAGGGTTTTTCATGTCTCTATCTCCTTCAGTTCTGCTCTGATCTTGGTTATTTCTTGCCTTCTGCTAGCTTTCGGATTTGTTTGCTTTTGCTTCTGTAGCCCTTTTACCTGTGATGTTAGGGTGTTGATTTGAGATCTTTCTAGCTTTCTGATGTGGGTATTTAGTGCTATAAATTTCCTTCCTAATACTGCTTTAGCTGTGTCCCAGGGATTCTGGTATGTTTTTTCTTTGTTCTCATTGGTTTCAAAGAACTTTTTGATTTCTGCCTTTATTTCATTATTACCCAGGAGTCATTTAGAAGCAGGTTGTTCAATTTCCATGTAGCTGTGTGGTTTTAAGTGAGTTTCTTAATCCTGAGTTCTAATTTGATTACACTGTGGTCTGAGAGGCTGTTTGTTATGATTTTTTTGCATTTGCTGAGGAGTGTTTTACTTCCTATTATGTGGTCAATTTTAGAATAAGTGCCATGTGGCGCTGAGAAGAATGTATAGTCTGTTGATTTGGGGTGGAGAATTCTGTAGATGTTTATTAGATCTGCTTGATCCAGAGCTGAGTTCAAGTCCTGAATATCTTTGTTAATTTTCTGTCTCATTGATCTGTCTAATATGGACAGTGGGGTGTTAAAAAATCCATCAAAAATTTCCTATTAACATAAATATAATAATTTATAAATAACATAAATAATAACATGAATAAATGTTTTAATATTTATTAACATAGTAACAGCTTAGTCCCAAGTAGATAAAGGGGATTGCCTTCTCCCTGAATCTATTATACCTAGCAGAGGAAAGTGTGAACTTTCTCTGGTGAAATATAATATCATCTAAAGTCATCATGTCTGTTGTTGAAACAAAAATTATTAGTTATGCCAAGAAATATGATTATATAACCAAACTTCAAGAGAAAAATCAGATAGTAGAAACACACTTGTAGGTGATCTAGTATTGTGTTTAAGAGATACGGGATTCCAAACAACTGTAGTTATTTTGCTCAGAAAAATAGAAAAAAAGAAAGAAATATAGTTTGATGGAAAATTTTACCGGAAAACTGAAATCTAGAGAAAAGAAAATAAAAATTTCAGAAATAAAAATTACAATATATGAAATTAAGTGCCCAATGGATGGAGTTAGCATGGATTAGACACATAACAAGACAGGATTAAAGAACTAGAAGACAGATAAATAGAAAATGCCTAAAAATAAAACATATGTAGGCTGGGCATGGTGGCTAATACCTATAATCCTAGCACTTTGGGAGGCTGTGGTGGGTGTATCACTTGAGCCCAGGAGTTCAAGGCCAGCCTGAGAAACATAGTGAGACCTTGTCTCTACAAATAATTTAAAAAATTAGCTAAGCCTGGTGGTGCATGCCTGTGGTTCCAGCTACACAGGAGGCTGAGGCAGGAGGATTGCTTGAGCCTGGGAGGTCAAGGCTGCAGTGAGCCATGTTCACACTACACACTCCAGTCTGGGCAACAGAGTCAGACCCTGTTTCAAAATAAATAAGTAAAACAAAGCATATATAGAAAAAATGAAAATAGGGATGAGTGAAATAGATATGTGAGGCACATGAAAATATCTAACATACATATTACTAGGTTCCAAAAGAGAAAAGACAAAAAAACAAATCAGATGAGTGAAATAGAAAACAAATTGTTAGATGGTATGTATAAACCCAATTATATATTAAATTAAATTAAATGTAAATGGACTAAACACTACTACTAGAAGACTAAGATGGTAAGACTGAAAAGCAAAAATCTAAATATATGCTTACTGCAAAGGCTATACCTTAGCTATCAGGACACAAATTTGTTTAAAGTGAAAGAAAGGAAACACACACGCGCACACACAACACAAACAAAAAAATAGTATAGTATACTAATATTAGAAAAATCATATTTAAGGCAAGTATTATTACCAGAGAGTAAGACAGAATATTCCAGTCTTAAATCTGCATGTGCCCAATAATATAGTTTAAAAATAAAGCAAACATTGATAGAACTAAAAAGAGAAATAAAAATATGTCAATATCATTAAGAATTTAGAAGATCTTTACAACTTGACTTAATTGTCATATACAGTATAGAACATTGCACCAAACAGCATCCAAATATATATTCTTCTCAAGTGTGCAGTAAACTTTTATCATAATTGATGATGTGTTGGTTCATAAAGGAAGCCCCAATGAATGTCAAAACGTTGAAATTATTCAGATTATGTTGTCTGTCTACAGTGTAAATGAGGATATAAATGAATTATTAACATGTAATTAGAAAATGCTCAACTGCTTGGAAGTTAAACAATATTCTCCTAAATAACCAACGGGTAAAAAAGAAATTATAATTGAAATTAGAACATTTCAGCTCAATAATAATTATATATCAAAATTAGTAGCATGCAGCTAACACAGTGCTCAGAGGGAAGTTTATAGACTGTAATACATACATTAGAAATAATAAAAGTTGAAAATCAATGATCTAAGCTGGGATTACAGGCGCCTGCCACCATGCCTGGCTAATTGTTGTATTTTTTAGTAGAGAGTGTTTTGCCATGTTGGTCAGGCTGGTCTTGAACTCCTGACCTCAGGTGATCCACCCGACTCGGCCTCCGATAGTGCTGGGATTACAGGAGTGAGCCACCGGGCCCAGCCCCATTTTCTTATTTTCTCGTGCTTATATTACTTATGCTATTTTCAATCTGCAGTTTCTTTGAAAGCATCTTTGCAAACTATATGTCCATTTTGTGAGGGGCAACTGGGTTTATTCTAGATGACAGAAACCATAAATTCATTTAACCAGTCACATGATATATGTTGTAATTTATGGCAACATTTCAAAGTGCCTCTTGGGAAATATCCATTCTCGACTCAGAGCCACATGACACCTGACCACCTGAGGCACCAAAGCAATTTGTTTCTTGCTTTAGGATAAAGAAGGTAATATAGATATTTGAATATTTTTTTCCTATTCCCAGTCTTGAATGTACCTGGAATTGCATACGCTTCTTGATAGATAAGTGAAGTGACATAGTTTTGCGTAACAATCTGAAACCAGAAGTCAGTGCAATTACATCTGAGACTAAGAGAAAGTGAACTTCATTGTGCCCATCCATAGATAACATGATTAAGCAACTACTGTAATGCTTTTTACACTGTAACTTCACTGGACATAAAACAGGTTTTCATGGAACCAATTTTTTCCCCCTCTAAATTTCCAGAGACAGCAGTGGACTGAAAGCCTGAGAGACTTTTGTTCTGGTCCTAGTTCTGCCCATCTCTCATTCTATCCCTACTTTAAATCTATTCTTGGTCATGGCACTTCATTTCTTTGGGTCCAATTTCCTCAACTATAAAATAAGGAACTGGTAATTAATGCACACGATGTTTCCTTCAGTTATTCTAAGTGTTATGGACCAAAGTGTGTGTCCTCCAAATTTATATGTTGAAGTCCTAATCCCAGTACCTCAGGATGTTATTATGTGTGGAGGTAGGTCCTTTAAAGAGGTAATTGAGTGGGCTGGGCATGGTGGCTCACGCCTGTAATCCCAGCACTTTGGGAGGCCAAGGCGGGCGGGAGTTTGAGACCAGACTGACTAACATGGAGAAACTCCGTCTCTACTAAAAATACAAAATTACTGGGCGTAGTGGCGCATGCCTGTAATCCCAGCTACTCGGGAGACTGAGGCGGGAGAATTGCTTGAACCCAGGAGGCGGACGCTGTGGTGAGCCGAGATTGCGCCATTGCACTCCAGCCTGGGCAACAAGAGTGAAATTCCGTCTCAAAAAAAAAAAAAAAAAAAAAAAAAGTGGTAATTAAGTGAAAATGAGATCATTAGAAAGGACCCTAATTAGGGCAATATAACTGATGTCTTTATAAGAAAGGGAGATCAGGACAGACACACAGAGATGGAAGACCATGTGAAGATGCAAAGAGACGATGGCCATATGCAAACTAAGAGAGAGACCTTAGAAGAAACCAACCCTCCTAACATCTCAGTCTCAGACTTCTGGCCTCCAGAACTGCAAGAAAATAAATTTCTGTTGTTTCAGTCACCCAGCCTGTGGTACTTTGTTATGAGAGTCCTAGAAAACTAACATGATAAGTAAACAAAGTATCCACAATGTTCTATGCTGATGGTTGGACTTGACTTTAAAAATAATATGGTGAGCCCAAGTTATCCCCACCAAATAACTGACCATAGGAGAAGTGACTACATTTATTATCAGCATCTAGAAATAAATGCTTGAACTTTTAGACTTATTTGACAAGAACCAAGCTTCTCTCTCCTACTAAGTGCAGAATTAGACTATCAGCCTACAGGTTTTCCCCTTACAAACATCATACCATTTGACAGGTTAGACATTTCATGAGAAGCCAAGAGAATCCAGGGGTATTGCAGGTCATGGCCATGGTGGTTTTATTGCTACTGTTTAATATTGATGGAGTGCCCAAAGCTATGTGGAAAGATTACCCAGTGCTTTCTCGTGTGATGCCCAAGTTTCATTTGATAAAAATACTTCTTTGCTTGCTCAGTCACCAAAGATTTTCTCAAAAAACCAATCTACCTTATTTGAATTTATAATAACCTGATTAGTTTTCATTCCATTTATATTCTAGTAACTATTTTCAAATAAAACATCTGGCATCCAGATAGGATGGCACTAAATCTGAGAAACTAAAAGAATGTGAAATAGCTAAAAGGTGGTTTGATCAAGGAGAATGGACCAACGTAGCTAATTGGACTCTCTTTCCTGGTCTTTCAAATGGCCAAAGGCAGTTTTGGGAAGTTAACAAAGACATATGTACAGAAGGATGTTAGTCAGTAAGGCTGTAGCCTTTTGCATAATCCATTTAACAAATCAACTCTTTTAAACGAAAGTATACTGTCTAATGAAGGGAATGGATTTAGGCAAATGTTGAAAGAATAGTTTAATAACTTGCTTCATTATGAGGAACTGCAGGCAGGTAAAATAGGTGGCAGGGAAAGAGGAGGCACTTTGAATTCTAGGCTCTGGTTGAAGTTTGATGCTTCCCCTTTTGGGTGAATCTGCTGTTTCTGCTGCTGGGAAATGAGTAAAGGAATAAATCTTTCCTTAGCCTATGGGTTCATTTATAGGCACAGCAAGGAGGTAGTACTGAGTGATTTTCAAACTGTTCTTTCTTCCCCAAGGGCAATGTGGGGATAGCACAGATGAAGAGATGGGGAACAGGAAGTCATTGCATCTCTCGCCTGCCTCTTCAACCAGGGAAGTTCCACTTTTGTAGTCTTACACGTTGGACTTTAAGATTTTCTTTGACTAAAATGTTTCAAGACCAAAATCACTTTGGAAATCGGTTTTAGAATTGCTTCTGTTAATCTGAGCAGAATTCCGTGCTTGGACGCAAGGCATGGCATAGTTGTAACATCTCTCACTGAAGGAGTAAGGATTCCCCACATGCTTCACACTTTATCATGCTGTTGTTTTCCCCTCTGATGGAAAAGCTTTCCTCTGCTTCATGACTGCCTACTCATCCTGACAGCCCCTTCTCACAGCCATTGGATCTAACTGTGGATTGCTATCCTACATCACAAGGGGAGGCAAAGCTTCCTGTCATCCTGGAATGTTAAAATGAATAACAAGTAGTGCAATCAGTATCATCTTTTTCAGGTGAAATATCTCTTCCCTGAGTGTGGAAGAAAAGAGACTACTCTCTCTTCCTATCTTCAATTTACCCAACTCTTTTTTTCAGCAGAGGGAAAAATAAACTAGCTGGGCATTCTTGAAGTCAGCCTATGGCTCTTAGCCCCATCACTTGCTCCTGAGGAATTTAGAGCCTAAGAATTCATTCATTTATTCACTTAACATCTATCTCTGGAGTGCCGGTAACTTTGGGACACAATGACTAATATGACCATCTCAGCCCTCAAGAAACTCAGCCTACAGGGAGAAACAGACCTATGAACAGATACTCGTAATAGTAAAAACAATGGTAGCAATATTCACAGGAACCAATCTTACCTCCCTTATGGGGCCATATGTATTTGAAGTCACAGGTGCTTAGAGCTAAGTGGAATCTGTGTTTTACTGCTTGGCAGAGAGCTGTTTGTTTTGGGTAACTGTTACAAGGAAGGCTAGGAAACTTCCCTTAGGGCTGTGACCCCATGCAGAGTTTCCAAGGGTAGTTGATCATTTCTCAAACTGAGATTTTAAAATTTATCTTGGCAACTGAAGATAGTAAAACATCTGACAAGGTTTTTTTTTTTCTGCCCCACAAGATTTCTAAAGTAAGGTGGATCTGGGATTATCTTTCTCTTAAGGTAGGATGTGTTGTACCACCCAGAAATTACACTTGGTAGTCAGCATCAGCAACCCTATCGCAATGGCTTAAAGAGATGAAGGATTTATTTTCTTTCACAGAAAGGAAGTATTAGTCCTGAAGAATGCCCAGGAACTGACATGGTAACTCTATTAAATTACCTGGAACCCTGGCTGGCTCCTTGTTATTTACTACTAAGCCATCCTTAGCCCTGGCTTCCTTCCTTAAAGTCTCAAAATGATGGTTGAAAATTCAGCCATCATGTCTATATTCCAGATGAGAGAAAGGAGAAAAGGCCAAGGGCAACAGGGCTGTTACAGCTGTTGGGCATCCTTTCAAGGGTTTCTCACTGGAAAGCATATCCAACAACTCTCACTATCATCTTTTTGGCCAGAACTTAATGTCAAGGCCACATCTAGCTGCAAGAGAGGCTAGAAATGTATTTTTTTAAACTCGAAAATCTTACCTCTCAGTATAAAATTGGAATTTTGTATTTAGTGAAAGAAGGGAAAGGCCAGGTGCGGTGGCTCACTCCTGTAATCCCAGCACTTTGGGAGGCCGAAGCGGGTGGATCACAAGGTCAGGAGACCAAGACCATGTTGGCCAACATGGTGAAATCCCGTCTCTACTAAAAATACAAAAATTAGCTGAGTGTGGTGGCACGCTCCTGTAATCCCAGCTACTCGGTAGGCTGAGGCAGGAGAATCTCTTGAACCCAGGAGGCGGAGGCTGCAGTGAGCCGAAATTGCACCACTGCACTCCAGCCTGGCGATAGAGTGAGACTCCATCTCAAAAAAAAAAAAAAAAAAGGAAAAATGAATATTGGGTGGGTTACTGGTTGTCTTAGTTACAGATGTCTTAACCTCTTTAGTAGTGTCTCTTTCCCATCAACTTCATTCTTTCCCTGCAAAAGCTATAGAAATAGGCGGGTGCTACTGGGAAATTCTCCAGTTACTAAAATGAGGAAGCTACTCAATTTCATTCTGATACTGAACCAGACTTTCATTCTTATTAAAATTGCTGTTTAACAGATACATTAATTATATTTTAATGTGCATATTTTCCCCTCAAGTGTCACTAAATTTAATAATACCCAAATTTTGTCTTTATTTCTTAATTTAGCCAAAGTATGGAAATGATGACCTTTCCATTGAATGGGAGTAATTTTATGGACTCTGATTCTTTCAATATTAAAGAATACTTTTATACCAATAAAAAGTTAAAAAACATATCTCAGCATTAAATGCAATGGCTTTTCAATAAGTTTCCAAAATTCATCTGTGGTCTGAAATCATAACTAAATATGTAGTACTAAAAATGCAAGTTCATATGGAAAGTGTTAGTTAATAAGGGATATGAGAGCATTTACCAAGAAAACTAGTGCCACCATTTTATAGATACGGAACTGAGTCACCAATCTGATTAAGTGGTTTCATTGAAGGCAAAGATGTCAGTGATAGAGCCAAAAATGAACATCAGGATTCCTGACTCTTGGTACCAAAGTGTAATAATTAAGGAACTGAATAAATTAATACATTGCCTTTAGAGCTCATAGATTATAAATTAATAAATTTAATATAGGTTAAAACTCAGTTGAGATACATGATTGTTGGATCAGGCATTAGAGTTCTTAGATTCTCTCAGCAAAAATGACTAAGATTTTAAAAATAAACTACTAATCAAAAAGATTAAGTGCTTCATTCATTTATTCATTCATTCAATTATAGAATATTTTGAGCATACCTAACTGAGGATCAGACATTATGCCAGTGTTGGATACATATGTATGAACAACATTTCCTTGCTCTAGAAGGCACCATCTAGTTGGCAACACAGATAGCTAAACAGACAGTAACAACACAGTTCTATAAATGATATAATGTGAGTACAAACAGAGTACTGAGAAAAGGAGTGTGAATTGGGGGAAGTAGTAACTCACCTGATCAAGTACTTTAGAAAAAACTTCTCAGGAAGGTTGATCAACAAAGATAACTAGGAAAGAAAGAATGGAAAGTCTTTCTAGGCATGAAGCAGGAATTGATGGGGCTTTAAGGGATCATTGCATAGCATCCTTCTTTCTTGCAGAGTGCTGAATCCTCTGAGAAAGACAAAGTACTCAGATAAACTGGCATAAAACTATTGGCTTTATAAAACCTGGACAGTTGTCAAGGCTTGGATTGCAGCAACAATGGACTTTCTAATGCTTTATCCCAGAATTGGACTTATCCTCTTGATCACAGGTAGCACTGAACTAGCCTCCTCTTGTAGGAGCTGCCCCTCAACAACTTACAGTGTGGAGGACAGAACAGGTGTGTGCTTTCTGTGAGTAGGTGGCTCCCAAAAGGAAGGAGGGATGGAGATGAACTATGCATACCCATTTTCCTATCTCAAAATCACTCATCAGGTAAGTCCTTTCACTTATTCAGGGGAAGTTGGAGCTAGGAGTCATAAAGGCAATGGATCTATTACTAGTGGGGCTCCTCCACACCCAAAGGCATAATTAAGAGAAGAGATAAAATGTTACTCCTGAACATGACTGAATATAACTGGAAGACAGCTGAGAGACTAAACTAAGACCTTAAAAAGGTTAATGCTAAAAAAGCATGGAAAATACCAAATATACACAAAAGCAGAGACAATGGTGTGATTAATCAATGTATCCATTATTTAGTTTCAACACTTATTTATATTTTGCCACAGATACTTTTTTTTTTCCTTTGGAGACAGAGTCTCACTCTGTCGCCCAGGCTGGAGTGCAGTGGTGCGATCTTGGCCCACTGCAACCTCCGCCTCTCGGGTTCAAGCAATTCTCCTGCCTCAGCCTCCCGAGTAGCTGGGACTACAGGTGCCTGCCACCAAAGCCAGTTAATTTTTTGTATTTTTAGTAGAAACGGAGTTTCACCGTGTTAGCCAGGATGATCTTGATCTCCTGAACTCGTGATCCACCTGCCTCAGCCTCCCAGAGTGCTGGGATTACAGGCACGAGCCACTGCACCCGGCCACAGATACACATTTTTATGTTTTTGTATTGGAACAATTAAAAAGTGGCATCGGCCAGGCACGGTGGCTTACACCTGTAATCCCAGCACTTTTGGAGGCCAAGGCAGGTGGATCACAAGGTCAGGAGTTCAAGACTAGCCAACACGATGAAACCCCATCTCTACTAAAAATACAAAAATTAGCCGGGCATGGTGGCGGGTGCCTGTAATCCCAGCTACTCGGGAGACTGAGGCAGAGAATTGCTTGAACCCAGGAGGCAGAGTTTGCAGTGAGCCAAGATCACGGCATTGCCCTCCAGCCTGGGTGAGAGAGCGAGACTCCATCTCCAAAAAAAAAAAAAAAAAAAAGTGACATCAGAATAATGCACTGCCTATTGATGTAAAATGTTGAGTGCAGTAGTCGGTTGGTTTATAAGAGTACAGCCATATCCCAGACCATAGAAAGAGCCTGGACTTCTTTTCTGTGTCCCCATGTCATCCAACATAGAACACATGTGCTTCCTTCTCTCTCCCCTATCTCTTCTTCTCACGCATCTCTACTTCAAGAGATTCTCTAGTGTGGCAAAGTTTGAGACTGATTACCCTCTAGTAGCGAAAACACTGATTTGTAGTAGAAGACCTGGTGAAAAGGATCTGGTCTGTTAGTGACGTGATTGTAAACCAGTGCTGACTAAGGATTTTCTGTCATGACACAGAGAGAGGTAAAAATGTTTATTCTGTTTCATTGGCACTGAGGAATCACAGATATATAGAGTTGAAAGGGAAATAGAATTCCTAAGCCGTCTCAAAACACCTCTTCAAAATATTTTAAGTGGTGGATCTGCTATATAAGTGAGTCCAGTGTTTGGGACCTTGTTCCTGTAGAAAGATGCTATACTGTGGGTAGATTCAAACCTGTTTTCCTGTAACTCCCCCCCATAGCTGCAGTGTTCTATTCTGGAGAGACACAGAGCAATTTGACAACTCCATAAAATATTTGTTAGCCATGCAAATATTTTAAGATAGTCTACATATCCTCTCTTAGCCTTGTCTTCTTTGATTTGAATGCAAAATGCATTCAACTACTTCCTTTTTTTTTTTTTTTTCCGAGGTGGAATCTCACCCCGTCACCCAGGCTGGAGTGGCACAATCTTGGCTCACTGTGACCTCCTCCTCCCAGGCTCAAGCAATCCTCACCTCCCACCTCAGCTTCCCAAGTAGCTGGGACTACAGGCACAGGACAGCATTCTTGGTTAATTTTTGTATGTTTTGTAGAGACAGGGTCTCACCATGTTGTCCGGGCTGGTCTCCAACTCCTGAGCTCAATGCACCTGCCCACCTCCGCCTCCCAAAGTGCTGGGATTATAGGCTTGAGCCACTATGCCCAGCCTTCAACAATTTCTGTATTGAGATATTTTCTAGAATCATCAGAAAGCTGGATTCCCTATTCTGGATGTGTTCTAGATTGTCAGTGTACCACATAAAATGCAATCCCTGGAACTGAACACAATTTATTGAACAAAAGCATATTAAGACTTTTAAAGCCCTATGAGGAGGATATATTAGTAAATAAAACAAATTTCTTGCTCTCAGGTGCCTCAAAGCAGGATTATTGTCTTTAGCCTGAAGTTTCATTTCTTCTCTTTTCTTATTCTTTCCATGTTTCCCCTTCCCTTTTCTCTCTCTTTTTAAAAAATCAGTGTCAGTACAGTTTATATTAAGCTTATGGCCAAATAAAATGGTAGCCATTTCTCATGTAAATTGGCCAAGACAGCAGATCTTTCTATTTTGTACTTGTGTCCTTGGACTTTTGAAGTTAAATAAAAAATTTTATGTGTATTCTCATTAAATTTCAGCCTGTTCCACCTATTGAAACTTTCTGATTCCACTCAGAGAAGTAGCTAACGTTTTTAGCTTTATATTTTTGCTAAATTTCATAGACTTGTTCAATCAATGACATAGAATGAAAATTTGAATAGGATGGGGGCCTGTAATTTTCCTCTAGAAATATTCCTCCAAATACACACAGTAAAATCAGCAAATGCTTCTTGGTAGTTGTTTGTTAAAATATAGGAGCTCTAATAGACTGTGATCTTGTGTCATCACCATGTCTCCTGGGTCTTTTGATTGTTGTTTTTCACCACAGAAGAGTCAGAATTTATTTCTTTAGCATTGCTAATCCTGTATTGTGCTTCTCTGGCCATGAGGGGTAAGAACGAGTGAACTTACCCTTCTACAGAAAATTAGAAAATTGTCAAAAAAATTAATAAAATAACTTTTTTTTTTTTCTGAGACAGAGTCTCGCTCTGTTGCCCAGGGTGGAGGGCAGTGGTGTGATCTTGGCTCACTGCAACCTCTGCCTCCCAGGTTCAAGCGATTCTCCTGCCTCAGCCACCTGAGTAGCGGGGATTACAGGCACATGCCACCATGCCCAGCTAATTTTTTTGTATTTTTAATAGAGACGAGGTTTCACCATGTTGGCCTGACTGGTCTTGAACTCCTGACCTTGTGATCCACCTGCTTCAGCCTCCCAAAGTGCTGGGATTACTGGCATGAGCCACCGTGCCTGGCCTAAAATAATTGTTTATAGGCATTAGACAGCAGGCGGCACAGGACTGTGATCTCCTAGAGAAGGGAACACATGAGGCAAGTTGTATAATCCCCATAGATTTGGTCTGAAAACAATTTCTACACAATGGGTACAGGGAGAGAAAACTCAAACTAAGGCTGATGGTCTCGCTGAGGTGAGGAGATGGTGACTGCAGTTTAAGGAGGCTACAACGGCTGAAATTTGCAAGGTGGAGTTGTAGAAAGGAAGGAGCCATGCAGAACAAGAGCTCCAGAAATCTGCACGGGAGTTCATCCCTGTGGCTCTTAATTAAATACCAAGCTGTGCATGAGTAGAGTCTATTACCACAATGTGGAGCAAGGACAAGCAAGGGTTTTCAGGTGAACAGTATGCAGAGGTCACACAGCAGTAGCAGAGTTTAATACCTGGATTAAAGGCTACTCATGACCCCTCCCAAAGAAGGTTAAAAACAGACCTTAAAGTGACCCAACTGATCCTCCAATAACATAAGCACTAAAATAAAGCCCTGTACTCATTCAAGGAACATAATAACATCTAGCACTTGGCAATGTGAAAATTAGTAATGTTCAGTATCCAATAAAAAGTTTAAAAATATGCCAAAGAGCAGGGAAATATAGGCCAAAATGATAAGAAAAAATAATAGAAACTGACTAGAAATGACAAAGATGACAGAACTAGTAGACAAGAATGTTAAGACAGATATCACAAAATTATGTTAAACTATATAAAAGAAAACATGAACATAATAAAAAGGAAAGAAGAAGATACAATAAAGACCCAAATGGAACTTCTAGAGACAAAAACTACATCAGAAAAACAATTTCACTGAATGGGATTACCAGTAAAATAGAACCATAGAATAAAAGTCAGTGAACATTAGAACACAGCAATAGAATCTATCAAGAATGAAGCAAAAAGAGAAAACAATTTAAAAAACGAACTTTTTAAAAATTTATATGTGGGATCTAAGAAGTTGGATTCACAGAAGTAGAGAGTAGAATAATGGTCACCAGGGGCTGAGGGTAGGGGAAAGAGGGGTCAAAATATACAAAATTTCAATTATACAGGAAGAATAAGTTCAATAGATGTATTGTACAACATAGTGACTATAGTTAATAACAATACATTGTAATTTTGCAAATTACTGACTAGACTTTGTGTTCTTATCATAAAAATGGTAAGTGTATGAGGTAATATATAAATTAATTAGCTTGATTTAGCCATTTCACAGTGTACACATATTTGAAAACATCATGTTATATATGATAAATACATACAATAGAAAAAGAAAACAGAAATTGCAAAAAGAACTTCCTAAAAAAATTAACTGAGTCTCAGTGGTTTTTAGGACAATATCAAGCAGTGTAATATTTGTGCAACTGGGGCCGCAGAAGAATGGGGGTGGGCACTATTTGAAGAAATAATGGCTGTTTTTTTTTTTTTCAAAATTGGGCAAAACCTATAAATTTATAGATCAAGATATTCAATAAATGAAGCAGGAAAAACACAAACACACATACAAAATATACCAAGGCACCTTGTAATCAAATTGCTAAAAATCAATGAAAAAGAGGAATTTTAAAAGAAGCCAGAGAAGAAAAATACATATTACATGTAAATAAACACAATAAAAAATTATAACAGATTTTTTACCAGATATATGCAAGCCCAAAGCAATGATGTATCTTTAAAGTACTAAACTAAAAAACAAAAACAAAAACAAAAATCTGTCAAATTAGAATTTTATATACTAAAGACAGTATCCTTAAAAATGAAGGTAAAATAAAAAGGTTTTTTCAGATAGACACCGAGAGATTTCATTACTAGTGGACTGGCACTTTAAAAAATGTTACAGAAAGTTTTTCTGGCAGAAGGAAAATAATTCCAGATCGGGGTAGTGGGGGTTGGGGGTATTGTGGGGACAGAATGAAGAGCACAGGAATGGTAAATATGTTGGTAAATATAAAGGATGTTTTCCCTTCATTTTTATATCTTTTAAAAGGTTAACTGATGGTTTAAAGCAAGGGTAATAATAATAATAATAATGTATTGTGGGGTTAATAAAATATGTATAAGTAAAATTTATGGTGACAATAACAGAAAGGACAGGAGGAGAGAAAAGGAAGTACAGTATTGTATAAGGTATACTATGTAAAGTTCTTCAGTGATATGTCACGTAGTATAATAATTATTTGAAGGTAGACTGGGATATATTAAAGATGCATATCGTAAACCCTAGAGCAGCCATTGAAAACAATCTAAAAAGATGCATAGCCAATAAGCCAATACAGGAGATAAAACGGAATACTAAAAATCCCTCAATGCAAAATCTCCTATCCCTTGTATTCTAATCTACAGAACTCAGCCAGTGTACATGTATACATTTCATTCCTTTCCTAATCGAATCACTTCTCCCTAAATAAACTGTTAAGTAATTAGGGGACATTTTCTGCTTGTGTCCTTCCCCTGTATCCCGCCTCCTCTGTGATTTACCTTAGATTGGCACCCAGCACTCACGATTGGCCTCCGCCATTAACACTCTACTCAGATCCACCCTCCCCAAAAGCAGAAAAATTGCAGAACTCACCATTCACATTAACAAAAATGTACCCCTTCTCTTTATGAAGCTCTCTTAAACTCCAAGAATGTTTGTTTATTATGAATGAATAGAGAATGAATGAATGCACTAATCCTGACTGGGTATTTAGGTATACTTGCTATTTTTTCTAGAAATGTTTGCTCAAATTTCAGGATCCAGCTCAACTGTGACTTCTTTTCTCAAACTTTCCTGGACTCCTACTTCTGGAGACCATCTTGCTTTCTCTGAACTGTTCTTTCTACTTTGTATCATAGTTATGTGTGCAGATACCGTATCTTCCTATTTCACTTTAAATTCCCTGAGTGTAGTATCTATGGCTCATAACAATATTAACAACAGCCATAATTATTGAATATTTCATATGTGCCAGGAACTCCCCTAAATCCCCTCCAAACGCTTAGCTTAACCATGCTTCAATCAATTATGATCCATACTCCATGATAGATATGGGTACTAATATCCCTATTTTACAAGTCAGGAAATTGAGACTGACTTACTTATCCATGGTTCTACAGCTTGTAAGAGGTGGTGGTGATAAGGTTTGAACCCAGATTTTTCTGTTCCTAAAATTTCTTTTTTACTTCCTAGTGTTTCTGCAACCCTATAGCTCAAGCCTCTCAATATTACTCCTGGTACTTAGAACATAGTAGGCACTTAGTAAATATTTATTCAACAAATGTATTCAGCCATGTACAGGATAAATTTTAACAGGGGACTCTGGCAGATGCAACCATGACCCACATGGATGCATCTTTTTGTAAACAGAATAACAAATACTATTCAGACCAGAGGTGGAACAGAAGACATTTTTTAATGCCCTCCAATCACACATCTGGGGTCACAGCCTCTTCTGCCTAGACCTAATCCTGAGCCTGCTGATCAGATGTTTGCAGACCATCTGTCTTGTGGGGTTAGATCGCTTCAGGAATCTTGGAAGTTCTTGCTTCCTAAATCTTATAAACCTCAGGCAGCATGTTAATTATAGTGCATAGACTTGTGCCTTTTGAATTCAAATGTTTAGAAAACTGTGTAAGTTTGGGAGAAATTTTAAGAAAAAACAACCCTGAACATCAGGTCATAAAGATTGTTCCTAATGTAATATAAATGCAATGTGATATAAACACAGTGTAATATATCATCATTAGCTGAATGTCAGGACTGAAAGTAATGAGTCATCCTAAAAAGTCTTGGATTCTACGGTGTATATTTATTTATTCTGCTTAAGAACTCAACTTTGGTATTTAAATGAACACAGTTTATGGATGTATTATTAATGGTACTATTAAACTCTTCAAGCTGACCAGATTTAACATTCTGTTTTGATTTGATTTCTCTTATTACATTTTATAGATATTATAGTCATATGCTTTTTTCAAACCAGCATAGATGAGCATTTAGACAATAGCACTAAAAGAGTATAAGGATTTTTATTTATTATGAAAAGCAAAATTTCAACTCTTTGTTCCTGTTAAAGTGATGATGCTGTTTGGAAATACATTTGTCCAGTTTCTCATCATTTTCAAAATTTAACCTTTGAACTCTAAATCAGCCAGTATCTTAAAAGATTTATACTATGGATCATTAATACATTATTATAAAAAGTATTTTAGTGCTTAAAAAGTCACCAATAACATATGCTGATAAATACATCACTCTAAGAATCCAAATTTCTTGTTTGAAATGGTCTTTCAGAGTTCTACAACCCAAACTGAAGTCTTCTATGAATATGAATTATGGGTAATCTTAGTAAGACTTCTTTCTCTAATTGGAAAATTCAATTTGATTAAAATGACAATTCTACACTTACAGTCATATTTATTTCCATTTGAACCTACAAATGGTCTAAAAATGTTTTCAGAACGTTAAATGGGGACATAATGAGTTTCCTATGGTTGAGTAAGGATGCGCAAGTTAGTGTTATAACACTGCAATTAACATCCATTTTGACTGGGTTAAAGTTTGCCAAATTTTGCCTTTTTGCTTTCAACAAGGCAAAAGTAATTCTGAGGTAAAATAGTACTAGAAAAAGAAAGCACCACTGGAAACTAGAGAGATTTCATTGCTCAAAGATTTTTTTAAACTAACATACTTTCCTCAGGGAAATAAAATATATGAAAGAATCTCTTTGCATTTTTTTGACCCCAAGTGGAAACAAGGTCAATATTTCCTGTTAATCTTTTTTTTTTTTAACAAATCTTTCCCATTTTTCACAGCTATACACGTATGAACATGTTTCTTTACAGACCTTGTGCATGTAAAGTAGTGCAGTTCTAGTTTCCTACATATTTGTGTATTTAGATATGTTGGGCAATATTTTTATTCCTTTCTGATTATAATCTTGGTTATTACCAGAAATGAATCATAGACCTTCAAGTACAACATCCAATTTAAACCTGGCCTCCTTACACATGTTTAATAATATTTATTTGGTAGGGATAATGACCATGAAGGAAAAGGATTATGGACATATTGGGTTTTATTAAATATGTGGTCATATTTTACCATAAGAATATGTAAAATTCTCATAAGAAATACTACAGATGCCAGTCTCTTGTTGAAGTCTCTTGTTGTTGAGATTGGACTTCAAAATGGATGATACATAAGGCATTTATTTGCCACGAACCCCTGTTTTCTCATTTGTGAAATGAGAAGTTCCAGTCTCATGAGTTCTTATTATCCCCCATCCCAGACGATGAGATTCAGCTTGTTAAAAAAGCAGCTCTCATACATTTACAGAATATTTAGGCTTTACGAATCCTACTTATTGGTCTTTGGGAATTATGGTAATGGAGAATCAAAATGGTTTCAATGATTTCTTTTAAGCATATAGTCTTAATATAGGTCTTCAACATACTTTTATTATTGATCTAGTGCTTTTACCATGCAATTTTGCTAACATAAGGACTATTATAAGAGCAATCTGTGATATACAGAGTGACCACAAAGTCCCTATGTTTGACATTATGTCCTCTGATAGTAATTAAAAATGAAATCTACCAGGGACTGATTTAATGTATTTGAACCATCCACATGTAAGAAAACTTGTACCTGATTTTGCCCACTCTGGGTGCCAGAATTCTGGTATTAATTATCAAGTAGAGTTGGTTTAGTCCAGATATCTATATTCCTGAAGCCAATTCCTTGTAGTATAATAATAAAAACATAGTTAATAATGAGAACAGAATAATGATAACATTTTGACTTTGGAATTATACAACATCTCAGAAAGCACTTTTCGCAAAATTTCATTTTCTCCTCATGGCAATTCAGTGATATTTAAGTATGCACTATCAATGTAACATCTCCTTAGGCTGGAACTACTGTAGTTCTCAATTCAAAGAAATTTGATATCTTTTACCTGCTTATTTTATGTCTTCTGAGGATTTAGTGAATTCTCATATTTTTCTAAAGAAAATTTTAATATAGCCAATTCTAAGTTATCTATGCCATGATGGAATGAATAATAATTACAATAACTCCTTACATGTATACACTGTTTGACATTTATTAAACACTTTCAGATGTTTTACTACATTTTTGCAATGTACTTGCTACTTTATTACTTTTTTTTTTTTTTACAATATCTATGTTATAAAATAACATGGGTAATGAAATCAAGGGATGATTAAAACATCTTTAATAGAATTTTGAACCATTTCCCTGAAGAAGTAGATATAAAAATAATTATCAGGTAGTGATGTTTTAATTAACTTAGAACACACACTGAGTTTGGACCAATGCATGAGGGTGCCAGGTGAGACAGACATTTGCCCAAACCCTCAATTTCCTTGGTGTCTTGTCTTCCAAGGTTTTTCCACATGGAGTTTTCTCCCACATAGTGCTGAACTTCTTCCAGTCCGTGGGTGGCGAGAGGTTTTAGTAATATTCGTGCAGCAGATTCAAAAGCTCTGAGTCTTTCACTCACTACTGAAAATATAGAAAGGGGCTGAATTTCCTGTTAACTTGCCCATAATGGGGAAGATACTCATGTAATCCCTTGACTATAGCTTTAAGAGTTGGGAGAGATAGATCAGGAGTTGACTAGTGACCAACATAATCCTATGGCATTCCTAATAATTACATTTGCGAGAAGCTCGCTGTATCTCAGGGGAGCCAATTATTTTGCTGGACAGTATTACTTGTTAAACCAATCCAAATCCATTTCCCTTTCATTTCTCTAAAGGTACTAGCTCTTCCCACTGAAGTAGCAGAGAGGAAGTCAGTCTTATAGCCATAGGATTACATTTCAAATATTTAAACATTGCTATAATTTAGTGATCTCTTTTCCAAGATGGAACTCCCCAACTTCCTCAGGTCTTCCTCTAGCTGATGCTTTAGGTCTTTATCCTTGTCAGCCTCCTCTGGATGCACTGGACTTTGTGAATATTCTTCTAGAATGTAACATTCAGCTATGATCTGACCGATGAAGAAAACAGTGGGACCATAACATCCCATAATTGGGTTATGATTTTTCTATTAAGGCAACCTAAAATTAAATTAGTTCTTCCAGTTTCTGTAACACATTGTTGGTTCATAATGAGCTTATTGTCTAACACAACTTCTAATATTTTTCACATGGTTTGTTGACAAATGTGGTCCATTCTCATCTTTAATTTATAAAATTGATTGTTTTAAATCAAGCTCAGTACTTTTATTATTTAATCTTGTTTTTCTTTTAAATGATTATCTTAGCCTATTATTTTTGGTGTACTTGTTCATTATATTTTGCCTGTGTAGAATCTTTTGGAGAAAACTCTCTCCCTGTTCTTAGACTTTGGGCTATGAGAGGACACACCACCTCAAGCTTGGACAAGTGAAGTGATTTAAAGCATTAAATCACTGTGATTGAATTAGTGATGGGCACATGTCTCAAGTCAGGGCAATAAGCCTCAACCTAAGAGTTTGACCAGAACTCTTGGGCAAGAGGGCCATTCTTTTCATTATGATTGTTGAGCTGGTAGAACATAAGCCTGGAGATGCTAATGCCATAATTGACCTCACTTGGGAGAAACTGCCTGAAAATGAAGCAAGCACCGAGGAAAGTAGAGCCAAAATGTAGAAAAAGTCTGATGCTTGGTTGCTTTATCTGAGCAACTGGACACAACTATGCCTGAAATAATTTATCCACTGAACAATTTGTTTTCTGAGGGTAATTTAAACCGGGCTTCTTTCACTTGTAATCAAGAGTCCTGAGAAATATATGGGCTTGGGTTAACTCTCCCAGCTTTGTGTCTTCCTTAAATTGAATAAGCATACTTTCCATATCTTCACCTTGGTTACTAATAAAAATTTTGAGAGGGACAGAATTTTTTCCCATGCCATCAATTAACACATTTATTTATCTATTTTAAATGGGCAAATAATATTGTAAGTTTTTATCATGTACAGCATGTTTTCTGGAATAGATAAATCTAGCTAATTAACAAATGCATTACCTCATATAGTTATCATTTTTTGTGGTAAGAGTACATAACATCTTCTCTATATTTTTCAAGAATACAATATATCATCATTAACTATATTCATCTCGTTGTACAATAGATCTCTTGAAATGTATTCCTCCTAGCTGTAATTATACATGCTTTGACCAACATCTCCCCTTCCCTTCTGCTCCAAAAATCCTAGCCTCTGTTAATCACCATTCTGCTCTCTACTTTTATGTGATCAACTTTTTTAGATTCTACTTAGAAGTGAGATTACGCAGTATTTGTCTTTCTGTGCATGGCTTATATCACTTAATATAATGTTCTCCATGTTCATCCATGTTGTCACAAATGGCAGAATTTTATTCTTTTCATGGCTGAATAATATTCTATTATGTATACATATCACATTTTCCTTTATTCATCTGTTGATGGACACTTAGGTTGATTCCATGTCTTGGCTATTGTGAACAGTCTGTGATAAACATAGATTTTCAGATACCTCTTTGACATACTAATTTCAATTCTTTTGGATAATATACCCAGTAGTAGGATTGCTGAATCACATGGTAGTCTATTTTTAATTTTTTGAGGAACCTCCATATTGTTTCCCATATGGCTTTACCAATTTACATTCCTACCGACAGTGTTTTAGGGTTCTCCTTTCTCTACATTTTTGTCAGCATTTGTTATCTTTTGTCTTTTTCACAATGGCCATTCTAACTGGGATGAAGTGATATCTCATCGTGGTTTTGATTTGCATTTCCCTGATGATTAGTGATGTTAGTGATGTTGAGCATCTTTTCGTATACTTGTTGGCTATTTGTATGTCTTCTTTTGAGAAATGTCTCTATAGGTCTTTTGCCCATTTTAAAATCAGGTTATTTGTATCTTGGGCTAGTTGTTTAAGTTTCTTATATATTTTGGATATTAACTCCTTGTCAGATGTATAGTTTGAAAATATTTTTCTCCCATTCTGTGTAGGTTGTCTTTTCACTCTGTTGTTTGTTTCCTTTGCTATGAAAAACTTTTTAGTTTGATATAATCCCATTTGTCTATTTTTGCTTTTGTTGCTTGTACTTTTGAGGTCTTATTCAAGAAAACCTTGCCCAGACCAATAATATGAATGAAGCATTTCAGCTATGTTTTCTTCTAGTAGTTTGATAGTTTCTGGTATTACCTTTGAGTCTCTAATTTATTTTAAGTTAATTTTTGTGTATAGTGAGAGATAAGGGTTTACATTCTTCTGCATGTGGATATCCAGTTTTTCCAGCATCATTTATTGAAGAGAACTCTCCTTTCCTCAATGTGTGTTCTTGGCACCTTTGTAAAAAATCAGTTGGCTGTAATGTGAAGATTTATTTCTGAGCTCTCTATTCTGTTCCATTGGTCTGTATGTCTGTTTTTAACGCTGTTTTGGTTACTGTAGCTCTATAGTATTCTTTGAGGTCAGGTAGCGTGATGCCTCCAGATTTTTTCTTTTTGCTTAAGATTACTTCAGCTATTTGGGGTCTCTCGTGGTTCCATATGAATTTTAGTATTTTAAAATGCTTTTTTGAAGAATGTCATTGGTATTTTGATGGGGGTGGCATTAAATCTGTATATTGCTTTCAGTAGTCTGGCTATTTTAACAGTATGAATCCTTCCAATTCATGAACATAGGATAGCTTTCCATTTATTTGTCTCTTCTTCAATTTCTTTCATTAATGTTTTATAATTTTCATTGTAGAGATCTTTCACCTCCTTGGTTACATTTATTCTTATTTTATTTTATTTTATTTCTTTGTAGCTATTGTAAATGAAATTCCTTGCTTGATTTCTTTTTCTGATAGTTTGCTACTAGTATAAACATTACTGATTTTTGTATGTTGATTTTGTAGCCTGCAACTTTACTGAATTTGTTTATTAGTTCTAGCACCTTTTTAGTGGAGTGTTTATGGTTTTGTCTCTGTAAAATCATGCCATTAGCAAATAGGGCAATTTAATTTCTTCTTTCCAATTTATATGACTTTTATTTCTTTCTTTTGCCTAGTTGCTGTGGCTAGGACTTCTGGTACTGTGCTGAGTAAGAGTGGTGAAAGTGGGCATCCTTGTCTTATTCCAGATCTTAGAGGAGAAGCTTTCAACATTTTCTTGTTAAATATGTTGTTATCTGTGGGTTTGTCATATATGGGCTTTATTGTGTTGAAATATATGTGTTTTATGCCTAATTTACTGATAGTTTTTATCATGAAGTGATGTTGAATTTTGTCAGATTTTTTTTTGCATCTATTAAAATCTATTAAAACAATCATATGGCTTTTGTCTTTCATTCTCTTAATATGATGTATTACATTTAATGATTGTGTATATTGAACCATCCTTGGAATGAATCTCACTTGATTATGGTGAATGATATTTTTAGTGGGCCATTGAATTTGGTTTGCAAGAATTTTGTTGAGAATTTTTGCACCTACATTCATCAGAGATATTGGCCTGTAGTTTTATTGTTGTTGTTGTGTACTTACCTGGGTTTTGCTCATTCTTTGCTGCCTAATAGAATGAGTTTGAAAGAATTCCCTCCTTTTTAATTTTTTTGGAATAATTTGAGAAGTATTGGTATTAGTTCTTTAAATATTTGGTAGAATTCATATGTGAAACCATCAGGTCTTGGACTTTTCTCTGAGGGGAGACGTTTTATTATCGATTCAGTCTTCTTTCACATTATTGGTGTATTTGTCCATTCTCCCATTGCTATAAAGAAATACCTGAGACTGGCTAATTTATTAAAAAAAGAGGTCTAATTGGCTCATGGTTTTGCAGCCTGTACAGGAAGTAATGCTGCTTCTGCTTCTGGGAAGGGTTCAGGAAGCATCCAATTATGGTGGAAGGCAAAGAGACAGCAAGATGTCTCAGCTGGTGGGAACAGGAACAAGAGATACAGTGAAGGGGGGTGGTGCTACACACTTTTAAACAACTGGATCTTGCAAGAACTTACTATCATGAGAACAGAACCAAGAGGATTGTGCTAAACCATTCATGAAGGATGCACCCCCATGATCCAATCACCTCCTACCAGGCCCCATTCCAACACTGGGGATTACAATTAAACGTGGGATTTGAGTGGGGACACAGATCCAAACCATATCAATTTGTCTGTTTAGACTTTCTATTTCTTCATGGTTCAATCTTGGTGGATTGTATGTGCCCAGGAATTTATCCAATTTCTTCTAGGTTTTGCAATTTGTTGGTGTACATTTGTCATAATAGTTTCTTATGATTCTTTTTATTTCTGTGGTATCAGTTGTAATATTTCCTAATTCATCTTTAATTTTATTTGTTTGGATCTTCTCTCTTTTTTTTTCTTTTTTCTTTTTTTAATTTTTTGAGATGGAGTCTTACCCTGTCACCCAGGCTTGAGTGCAATGGTGCGATCTTGGCTCACTGCAACCTCCACCTCCCAGGTTCAAACGATTCTCCTGCCTCAACCTCCTGAGTAGCTGGGATTACAGGTGTCCGCCACCATGCCCAGCTAATTTTTGTATTTTTAGTAGAGACAGGGTTTCACCATGTTGGCCAGGCTGGTCTCGAATTTCTGACCTCAGGTGATCCTCCCACCTCGGCCTCCCAAAGTGCTGGGATTACAGGTGTGAGCCACTGCACCCAGCCCCTTTGTTTTCTTAGTTTAGCTAAAGGTTTGTTGATTTTGATTATCTTCTCAAAAAAACAATTCTTTGTTTCATTAATCTTTCATATATTTTTAGTCTCTATTTTATTTATTTCTGCACTGATCTTTATTATTTATTTTGTTCTACTATTTTTGGGTTTAGTTTGCTCTTGTTTTTCTAGTTCTTTGAGGTGCAATGCTTAGGTGTTTATTTGAGATCTTTCTTTTCTGATGTAAGCATTTATTGTTATAAACGTCCCTCTCCTTCTAAGAATTGCTTTTGTTGTATTCCATAGGCTTTGGTATGCTGTTCTTCCATTTTCATTTGTCTTAAAAACTTTTTACATTTCTCTTTTTAATTTCTTCATTGACTCATTTGTTGTTTTGGAGACTGTTTTTTAATTTCCACTTATGGCCGGGTGTGGTGGCTCAGGCCTATAATCCCAGCACTTTGGGAGGCTGAGGCGGGCGGATCATGAGATCAGGAGATCAAGACCATCCTGGCCAACACAGTGAAACCCTGTCTCCACTAAAAATACAAAAGATTAGCCAGGCATGGTGGCGGGCACCTATAGTCCCAGCTACTCAGAAGGCTGAGGCAGGAGAATGGCGTGAACCCGGGAGGCGGAGGTTGCAGTGAGCTGAGATCATGTCACTGTACTCCAGCCTGGGTGACAGAGCAAGACTCCATCTCAAAAAAAATAAAAAAAATAAAAAATAAATAAAAAAATAAAAAAAATTCCACTTATTTGTAAAATTTTTGAGATTTCTCCTGTTATTGATTTCTAGTTTAATACTATTGTGGTCAGAACAGATACTTGATATAATTTTGATCTTCTTAAATTTGTTGAGAGTTGTTTTGTGGCCTAACATAATCTTTCCTAGAGAATGTTCCATATGCAGTTGAGAAGAATGTTCATTCTATAGCTGTCAGATGGAATCTTTTGTAAATGTTTGTTAGGTCCATTTTGTCTAGAGTACAGTTTAAATCTGATGACTGGATGATCTGTTCATTGATAACAGTGGGGTGTTAAAGTTTCCTACTATTATAATATTGCAGTCTATCTCTCCCTTTAGATCTATTAATATTTGCCTTATATATTTTGGTGCTCCGATGTTGGGTGCATATATATTTATGATTGTTTTATCATTAGCCCTTTTTCTTGTTATATAATAACATTTTTTGTCATTTTTACAGTTTTTGACGTAAAGAATACTTTATCTGAAATAAATATAGCTACTCCTAGTCTATTTTAGTTACCAGTTGCATGGAATATGTTTTTCCAATCTATCACTTTCAGTCTATGTGTGTCCTTACAAGTGAAGCAAGTCTCTTGCAGGCAGCATGTAGTTGGGTTCTGGGTTTTGTTTGTTTGTTTGTTTGTTTTTTCAATCGTTTAACCACTTTCTGTCTTTTAATTAGATAATATAATTCATTTACATTCAAGGAAAATATTGATAGACAGGGACTTAGTACTGCCATTTCTAGTTGGTTGTAGATCCTTTCTTTCTCTCTTACTTCCTTTGTGGCTAAGTGATTTTCTCTAGTAGCATGTTTTGATTCCTTGCAATTAACATTTTTTGATGTTATGATTATTGAAAAACTATAAAATTAACCTCCCTTTTATTGTTTTCCATCGATATCTTTTTGTCTACAAGGAAGTATTGGGCTTTTTCAAGTGCTTTTCTAAAATTCAGAGACTTTATGCCTTAACATATTCATAATCTATTCTCCAAGCAGCTCTATTGGTATGATTGAAATCACATTGGCTCAACACATTCCTGGTGATTCCCTGTTGGCTCCTACTGAAATCACTGTATTTTTTCCTCTAATGACTGGCTTAATAATTCAGACTAGATTTCCTCAGGAGTCACTTACCACTTAGTGAATTCACTTTTCACCCTTCTTTTGGAAAATTGGCACAACAATTTCTCATCCTCAGCCTTTTAGCTCTTCTTCTATTTTTAATAATTCCTCAAAGATGACTGAGGGATAACAGCTGAGCATTCTTTGAACACTGGATAGAATTCTTAGAAACTGGATAATATTTAGTTTTGTAAACTTTTATGATCTTTTTTTATTATGATTATTCCACTCTTTCCAGATTGAATGTTAGTTCTTTCATAGAGAAGAAAAACAACCTGGAACTAACTCTGCCTTTCTACTGAAGTGTTAACCTTATGCCATTGTTCCCTAGCAGTCGCTTCTCATTTGCTTGTTTTACTTACTTTAAACCAAGCTAAGAAAATCTGTTGTTGCTTATTTTCAGATTATTTTGCACCCTCACCCCACCCTAGGCTGTAGCCTCCCTCAATGCCATAGACTGCTTTAGTATTTCACCTGGATCAGGAGACTTTCAGCTATTTATTTTGATAGGACTTTTAAAAGTCCAATTTTATTTTGGAATTCTCTCTATAGGTGTGCTTATTTTTAAAGGTATCTACATCCCTCTTTTCTTTATCATTATCATTTGTGATGGTATAATAGGATTTTGTTCCCATTCCTGAGCACTGAGGCAGTCATAATAGAATTAATGGGGTTAAAAAAATAAAAGGTATAAAATAATTTATTTATTTTTAAAACTGTAATACAATTTTTAATTTATCGGCCATACTTCCATAAAGCTGGAAAAAAGATCAGCAGAACGGAAAGTTTGAGAGCACTCATTGTTTACTTAAAAGTGTTTATTGAGCTTTTTTTAAAAAAATTTTATTGTATTGTATTTTAAGTTCCAGGATACAAGCGCAGGACATGCAGGTTTGTTACATAGGTAAACACGTGCCGTGGTGGTTTGCTGCACCTATCAACCCATCACCTAGGTATTAAGCCCCACATGCATTAGCTATTTATGCTGATGCTCTCCCTTCCCCACAACCCACCAACAGGCCCCAGTGTGTGTTGTTCCCCTCCCTGTGTTCATGTGTTCTCATCTTTTAGCTCCCACTTATAAGTAAGAACATGTGGTGTTTGGTTTTCTGTTCCTGTGTTAGTTTGCTGAGGATAATGGCTTCTAGCTCCAACTATGTCCCTGCAAAAGACATGATCTCATTCCTTTTTATGGCTGCATTGTATTCCATGGTGTATATGTACCATATTTTCTTATCCAGTATATCATTGATGAGCATTTGGGCTCATCAAATAGCCATGTCTTGGCTATTGTGAATAGTGCTGTAATGAATATACGTGTTCATGTATCTTTATGACAGAATGATTTATATTCTTTTGGGTATATACCCAGTAATGGGACTGCTGGGTCAAATGGTATTTCTGATTCTAAATCTTTGGGGACTCACCACACTGTCTTCCATGATGGTTGAGCCAATTTAAATTCCCACCAACCAGTGTAAAAGCATTCCTGTTTCTCCACAGCCTTGCCAGAATCTGTTGTTTCTTGACTTTTTAATGATCACCATTCTGACTGGTGTGAGATGGTATCTCATTGTGGTTTTGATTTGCATTTCTCTAATATTCAGTGATGTTGAGCTTTTTTTCATATGTTTGTTGGCTGCATAAATGTCTTCTTTTGAGGAGTGTCTGTTAAGTTTTTGACTTTTTAATGGGGTTTTTTTTTTTTCTTGTAAATTTGTTTAAGTTCCTTGTAGATTCTGAATATTAGACCTTTGTCAGATGGGTAGATTGCAAAAATTTTCTCCCATTTTGTAGGTTGTCTGTTCACTCTGATGATAGTTTCTTTTGCTGTGCAGAAACTCTTCAGTTTAATTAGATCCCATTTGTCAATTTTTGCTTTTGTTGCAATTACTTTTGATGTCTTTGTCACGAAATCTTTGCTTGTGCCTATGTCCTGAATGATATTGCCTAGATTCTGTTCTAGTGTTTTTTTGGTTTTGGGTTTTACATTTAAGTCTTTAATCTATCTTGGGTTAATTTTTGTATAATGTGTAGGGAGGGGGCCAGTTTTAGTTTTCTGCATATGACTAGCCAGTTTTCCCAGCACCACTTATTAAATAGGGAGTTATTTCCCCATTGCTTGTTTTTGTCAGGTTTGTCAAAGATCAGATGGTTGTAGATGTGTGGTCTTATTTCTGAGATCTCTATTCTGTTACATTGGTCTATGTGTCTGTTTTTGTACCAGTACCATGCTGTTTTGATAACTATAGCCTTGCAGTATAGTTTGAAGTCAGGTAGCATGATACCTCCAGCTTTGTCATTTTTGCTTAGGATTGTCTTGGCTACATCTGCCCTTTTTTGGTTCCACATTAATTTTAAAGTAGTTTTTTCCAATTCTGTGAAGAATGTCTGTGGTAGTTTAATGGGAATAGCATTGAATCTATAAATTACTTTGGATGGTATGGCCATTTTCATGATGTTGATTCTTCCTATCCATGAGCATGGAAAATTTTTCCATTTGTTTGTGTTCTCTCTGATTTCTTTGAGCAGTGATTTGTAGTTCTCCTTGAAGGGGTCCTTCATATCTCTTGTTAGCTGGATTCCCAGGTATTTTATTCTCTTTGTAGCTATTGCAAATGGGAGTTTATTCATGAGTTGGCTCTCTGCTAGTATATTGTTGGTGTATAGGAATGCTTGTGATTTTTGCATATCGATTTTTGTTTCCTGAGACTTTGCTGAAGTTGCTTATCAGCTTACGAAGCTTTGGGGCTGAGATGATGGGGTTTTCTAGATATAGGATCATGTCATCTGCAAACAGAGAGAGTTTGACTTCCTTTCTTCCTATTTGAATACCCATTATTTCTTTCTCTTGCCTGATTGCCCTGGCTAGAAATTCCAATATTATGTTAAATAGGAGTGTTGAGAGAGGGCATCCTTGTCTTCTGCTGGTTTTCAAAAGGAATGCTTCCAGCTTTTGCCCATTCAGTATGATATTAGCTGTGAATTTGTCATGAATGGCTCTTATTATTTTGAGATATATTCCATCAATACCTAGTTTATTGAGAGTTTTTAACATGAAGGGATGTTGAATTTTATTGAAGGCCTTTTCTGCATCTATTGAGATGATCATGTGGTTTTTGTCATTGGTTCTGTTTACGTGATGGATTATATTTATTGATTTGCATATGTTGAGCCAGCCTTGCATCCCAGGAATGGAGCCAACTTGATCATGGTGGATTAGCTTTTTGATGTGCTGCTGACTTCAATATGTCAGCATTTTATTGGGGATTTTTGCATGTTCAGCAGGGATATTGGCCTGAAGTTTTTTTTTGTTGTATCTCTGCCAGATTTTGGTATCAGGATGATGCTGTCCCCATAAAATGAGTTAGGGGAGGAGTCCCTCCTTTTCAATTGTTTGATATAGTTTCAGAAGAAATGGTACCAGCTACACTTTGTACCTCTGGTAGAATTCAGCTATAAATCTGTCTGGCCCTGGGCTTTTTTTTTTTTTTTTTTTTTTTTTTTTGGTTCGTAGGCTATTTATTACTGCCTCAATTTCAGAACTTGTTATTGGTTTATTCAGGGATTCAACTTCTTCCTGGTTCAGTCTTGGTAGTGTGTATGTGTCCAAGAATTTATACATTTCTTCTAGATTTTCTAGTTTATTTGCATAGAGGTGTTTATAATATTGTCTGATGGTTGGTTGTATTTCTGTGGGGTCAGTGGTGATATCCCCTTTATCATTTTTTATTGTGTCTATGTGATTCTTCTCTCTTTTCTTCTTTATTATTCTAGCTAGCAGTCTATGTTTTAAATTTTTTTCAAAAAAACAGATTCTGGATTCATTGATTTTTTGGAAGGGTTTTTTTTGTGTCTCTATCTCCTTCAGTTCCACTCTGATCTTGGTTATTTCTTGTCTTCTGCTAGCTTTGGGGTTTTTTTGCTCTTGGTTCTCTAGTTCTTTTAGTTGTGATGTTAGGGTGTCCATTTGAGGTCTTTCTAGCTTTCTGATGTGGGCATTTAGTGCTATAAATTTTGCTCTTAACATCGCTTTAGCTGTGTCTCAGAGATTCTGGTATGTTGTCCCTTTGTTCTCATTGGTTTCAAGGAACTTCTTGATTTCTGCCTTAATTTCATTATTTACCCAGGAGTCATTCAGAAGCAGGTTGTTCAATTTCCAGGTAGTTGTGTGGTTTTGAGTGAGCTTCTTAATCTTGCGTTCTAATTTGATTGTGCTGTAGTCTGAGAGACAGTTTGTTATGATTTCAGTTCTTTGGCATTTTCTGAGGAGTGTTTTGCTTCCAGTTATGTGATTGATTTTAGAGTAAGTGCCATGTGGCACTGGTAAGAATGTATATTCTGTTGTTTTTTGGGGGAGAGTTTTGTAGATATCTATCGGGTCCATTTTTTTCCTTCATTTTGACCTTGGAGAATTTGACGATTATGTGTCTTGGGGTTGATCTTCTCATGGAGTATCTTACTGGGGTTTTCTGGATTTCCTGAATTTAAATGTTGGCCTGTCTTGTTAGGTTGGGGAAGTTCTCCTGGGGGATACCCTGAAGTATGCTTTCCAACTTGTTTCATTCTCCCCTTCTCTTTCAGGTACCCCAACAAGTCATAGATTTGGTCTTTTTAAATAATCCCATTGTTCTCGAAGGTTTTGTTCATTCCTTTTCATTCTTTTTTCTCCAATCTTGTCTTCCTGTCTTATTTCAGCAAGAAAGTCTTCAAGCTCTGAAATTCTTTCCTTTGTTTGGTCTATTCAGTTATTGATACTTGTGGTTGCATTGTGAAGTTCTCATGTTGCATTTTTCAGTATTCCTCTCTAAAGTGATTATTCTGGGTAACAGCTCCTGTAATGTATTATCATGGTCTTTAGCTTCTTTGCATTGGGTTAGAACATGTTCCTATAGCTCAGCGAAATTTGTTATTACCTACCTTCTGAAGCCTACTTCTGTCAGTTCATCCATCTCAGCCTCCTCCCAGTTCTGTGCCCTTGCTGGAGAGGTGTTGCGATCATTTGGAGGAGAAGAGGCAGTCTGGCTTTTGCAGTTTTCAGTGGTTTATCATTGATTCTCTCTCCTCTTTGTGAGTTTTTCTAGCTTTGGTCTTTGAGGCTGCTGACCTTTGGATGGGATTTTTGTGAGGACTTTTTTTTGTTGATGCTGTTGCTTTCTGCTTGTTTTTCTTTTAACAGTCAGGCCCCTCTTCTGCAGGGTTGCTGCGGTTTGCTGGGGATCCACTCCAGAGCCTATTCACCTGGGTCCCTTCCACCCCTGGAGGTGTTACCAGTGTATGCTGCAGAACAGCAAAGATGGTTGCCTGCTCGTTCCTCTGGGATGTCTATCCCAGAGGGGCACTGACCTGATGACAGCTGGAATGCTCCTGTATAAGGTGTCTGGTGACCCCTGTTGAAGAGTCTCACTCTGTCAGGAGACATGGGATCTGGAACCTGCTTAACAAAGTACTCTGGCTGCCTCTTGGCAGAGAGGGTGCACTCTGCTGGGGTCTTAGAGGAGGTGCACTTGTCCGGACTGCTGGGATTCCTCCGAGCCAGCAGGGGAAACACTAAATCTGCTGATCAACGGAGACTGCAGCTGCCCCTCCCCAAAGGGGCTCAGTCCCAGGGAGATGAGAGTTCTGCCCCTAAACCCCTGGCTGCAGTTGCTGAAGTTCTTGCAGGGAGGCCCCACCTGGTGAGGGGGGATGGGTCAGGGTCCAGCCTAAAGAGGCAGTCTGGCCATGATCTGCCACAGCCACTGAGCTGCGCTGTGGGGAATGCCTCCTGTGTCTAAACCGTTTAGTCTGCCTGGCACCTGAGTTGTGAATGCAGGATTCACTTGCTGTTTTTGTTCTTCTCCATGGGAGCCTCCGACCGCAGCTGTTTTCAGTTGGCCATGTGGGCCCCTCCCTATGAAATAATTTAAATAGCATTAAGAGTCAAACCGAACTTGTCTGGGAGTATTTTACAGTCATTTAGCCAACTCACATTTATTAGGCACCTACTACGTGCTTACTCATAGAAACACAGATGTGAATTAATTCTAAATTAGGCATAATAAAATGTGAGATCTTAATGTTCTAATAAAGTAAAATGAGAATGTCCTAACCTCCATTCATTTTTTAGCAGTTTTATTCATTTTATAAATCTTCACTGGATATATTAGACTTGCTCATACTTGAATTGATTCAAATGTACAAATTGGAGATTTCTGCCGCATGTGTAGACTCAGGTTATTGAAGTGCTTTCTAAACTTGAATGACAAGGCTATCTTCAAATCTAGCATCTATCCACCCAATGCATTAGGTAGCTGGTATTCAAAATCATGACCTAAAAGATTATATCTCTGGAAAAAACCATAAAACCACCTTGTTCAATTCCCTCATTCTGGGGATGAGCAAATAGAAGGTCTCAGAAGTTAGACAATTTGTCCAAGAATATATTACTGTGAGCAAATGGCTAGAGAAGTTAATATTTCCCCGCTATGTAGCAAGGATGTTCAGGCCTCCCACAGACTGAGATACAAAATGTGGCCACAATTCTTTTCAATGTCTACATTACGATAATTGAGCACTCACCCTTTTGGAATTCAGTTTCTTTAATGGGCTAATCCCCTCTTTCATTTTTGGGACTCTGTGGGGACACTAACATTCTCCCTCACCTGTCATTGCTGGTGCATCCCCCACAGTCCGCCTCCTCGGCCAGCCCCTGAGCTGCAGCCTGCTGCTCACTGCCCCAGCCCGGTTGTCTTTGTAGGTAATGCCCCGTGCAGGTTGCCTCCCCTCATGCCAGGCTCCCTCTTTTCCTCTGGGGCTGCTCCTCACTCCCTGCTACAGACCTGTGTTAGAAATGAATGGGTCCAATCCTTCTTTTTAATATCCCCCCATGACTGCTGAGACCATAGTGTAATATTTAACAAGATTTTACTGAAGGCTTGGGGATATTCAAAGGAAATTACAATGCAAAGAAATTTAAAACTGATACTAGGTAAGACTCCTCCTAGGAGGCATAGGTCTAAGTCACTCGATATGCTGTCCTCACTGGGGACCTGTCTGTCCCTGGCCTTGAGCCATGTCCCATTGGGAGCGATTTTTCTATCTCTCCTTTCTGGAGTCCAAGTGTCTAACTTACCACGATCTCCAAGAAAGAAAGGGACAGTGTCTCTCCCAAAGTGACCTCCCTAAGTGCCACCAACTGAGCTTTCATCTACTGTCCCAGGGTCTACCGTTATGTAAAACCATACACTGGTAATGTCTGCTTTCCTCAGGGAAATCTCATCACTACCCACAGGGGTGAGGTCTTTCCCTCTGGCCCTAGAAGATAATTGTCTAACATTAGTTTTAGATCACCCCATAGGTAGGGCAGCAATCACAGTGTACGCTGAGCAGCATCAAGGTTTTTGCCATTTAAAAATAGTAGCTCTTTATAGTCTCTGTTCCTTAAGGGTTTAAAATCTTGGAGTCCTATCTTCATCAATGTTACCTTACAAGGTTTACTATTTTAACAACAAAACCACGTGCAACCACTACCAAGAAGTGCGGATTTGATATGAATACTCTTTAGATAAAATTAGAAAAGAATATTTTCTCCAGATATTAAAAATGTAAACATATTCTGCACTGTTGTTATACATGATAACCCATGATTGATACTAATAATGCTAAATGCCTGGAATTGAGTTTTTTGTTTTTTTTTTTCTTTTTTTTTTTGAGACAGAGTCTTGCTCTGTCACCCAGGCTGGAGTGCAGTGGCATGGATCTGGGCTCACTGCAAGCTCCGCCTCAGTCTCCCGAGTAGCTGGGACTACAGGCGCCTGCCACCATGCCCGGCTAATTTTTTGTATTTTTAGGAGAGACATTTTACCATGTTAGCCAGGATGGTCTCGATCTCCTGACCTCGTGATCTGCTCACCTCGGCCTCCCAAAGTGCTGGGATTACAGGCGTGAGCCACCACGCCCGGCCTGGAATTGAGTTTTCACTATGTGCTAGTTATTGTACCTAACCAACCAACATATGCCTATGTTTAATGTAACAGAATACTCTTTTGAAATGCAGGGATTAATATGCCTGCTTCAATGATGAGGAGATTAACGTTCAGAGATGCTAAGTGATTTGTGCAAGGTCACACAGCCAGCGAGTAGTGGAGCCAGGATTTGAAAATAGGTCTGCATGGACGAAAGCTGAGACAATTTCTATTACATCATCATCATCCAACTGACATTCCAATCCTCATGGCAGCTTTCATTCATTTAGGGCTGTGCTTTCCAGTGTATTGAGTACTTGCAACGTGGTTCATCCAAATAGAGATACACTATTTAAGTAAAAAATATATACCAGATTTCTGACTTGGCACAAGAAGAAGAATGCAAAAAATGCATTAACTTTAAAATATTGATAACATGTTAAATAATACTATTTGGATATATTAGATTAAATAACATTAATTTCAGCTGTTTCTTTTTTGTTTCTGATGTGCATAATTGGCTCGCATCGTGTTTCTATTAGATAGCACTGGTTTTGAAGCTTCAGCTTGAAACATATGGCATCAACAGGCTCAAATGAAATATAGACTTGTGGTTTTTTTAAATTAATGGCTTCTAGGAACAAGTCTGGATGAAAACAACAATGTACCTAAAATGGCCTGACCTTACTTTTAAAGTAAGAACTCTTTGTTTTAGGACTGGAATTTTTATGTTTCCAGGCATGTGTTCACACCATCCCTAGCAAAGAGCTGTTTAATGAAATAAGCTTCCTTGTAACTGTAAAACTAAAATATACACAGTTACAGACAATGTCACTGGCCACTGTTTTCAAGTGAATCCTGGGTTTTAGCAAATGCGTGGGTGAAACAGCCAGTTGCTAATATCTGGATGGTGGGTACGTGGCTTTGCTCATCTACTTTGCTTTGGCTTATACTGCCTGTGTCTAAGAAAGGAGACAGTCTTTTACATATTGGCATACAGACTACTACACATATTAATTACTATTAAGGGTATCACTGTTTTGTCGGCAGGCATTTGAGAAATGTTTGAGGCCTCCATGTAGGAGACCAGGTGCAGGAGAGTTTACAGTTTCCTTTACATCTGAGAGTGTGGAAGCTATCAGCCCAGGCTGCACAGGAGAAAGCCTTTGAAAGACACAGCCCCTCCCCTCCCAACACCGCTACTCCTCAGCCCTGATCACCATGACTTTCTAATCAGTGCCTGAGAGGAAACAAGTGTTTTTCATATTTCGAGATAAACTGAAGATTTTCCTGAGATTCCCCAGACCCTAAGAAGAGAGGAAAGAATTGGCGACATATGCAGATTTTTGTAAATCAACCTCACTAGAGTGATCAAGGCCATCCAAGGAACAGGGTTAGACTACTATTCAAGAATTGTGGGGCAGGGCGCCCGGGCTCACGCCTGTAATCCCAGCACTTTGGGAGGCCGAGGCAAGTGGATCACCTGAGGTCAGGAGTTTGGGACCAGCCTGGCCAACATGGTGAAACCCCATCTCTACTAAAAATACAAAATTATCTGGGCGTGGTGGTGCGTGCCTGTAATCCCAGCTACTTGAGAGGCTGAGTCAGGGGAATTGCTTGAACCAGGGAGGTGGAGGTTGCTGTGATCCGAGATGGCGTCACTGCACTCCAGCCTGGGCGATGGAGTGAGACTCCATCTCAGAAAAGAAAAGAATTGTGAAGAAAGATAACCTAGACCAACATTTCCTTCCCAAGTCACTGGAAGGCTTGCCTGGGTGTGAATCTTAGGAGTACTTTCTTGACTTCAAATTAAATTGACATTTATTTGACCAAGAGTTACAGACACCTGATCAGTAGTGAAACCCCCTAGCCCAGACTTGCTTTGTCAGCAGTGACTTCCCAAGGAGGAGGATGATACTGACATAGCTTGTCAGACTCCACTGAGTCAAGGTTAAAAGAATATCTTTTCTTTTTTTTTTTTTTTTGTTCTCACCCTGGCCTGCAAAATCTTGCACAGCTTTTTCTTGTTCCAGTAGTTGCTCAAGCGTGTAATAAGTTGAGTTCCAATGAATTGGAACCTCCTGTTTTAGGTGATGTTTCAGCAAGTTGCTTTTCAGCTAGAGCTGGGTCAGGAATATTTTTTTCTCAAACATTGACAGAATGGCTGAAGTGTTCAGATTTTCCGTGTCATCACTAAGATATCTGTAAGTGTTCCTGTTATGATGCAGAAAATCATTTTTGAGGATGTTTAAGGAGTAAGTGCAGCACAGCATACAACCATCATCTTCCACAGTGCGAACTGCTTGCTGAACACACCGAGGGGTGGAAGCAGGAGAGAAGAGAGGTAAGAACGTGATAGAAGTCACAGTGAGGGCCTCCCATTTCCTCAATGCACTAACAGTTGTCTGTGCGTGCTAATGAAGTCATACCTCGCAGGTAAAAATGCCTACAGTAATATCAACAGTAACTAAGGAGAAATGGATTTTGCCTCATTTGAAAGAGATTTCATTTTCTTCACAGATGTTTCCATTTGGACCTTGCATTCTTTGGTTTTGTTGATACAATTTACCTAATATGCTAGTCAATAAGAATAGAACTTATTCAATAAGAATTTGCCAGACCCAAAGGGAGCTATTTCTTAGATAAGGGCAGAGTGTTATATCTAATCTGTTCATTGACTTTAAAAAGAAGTTCTGGTGAAAACATTCAAAGTTCTGGTGAAAACATTCATATGATGGTTAGATGATCATTCATAGCAAAGGTTTGAAGAGAATTCAAGCTGGGCATCTTGCCTTCAGCTAGGGTAGGTAGAAAGTTCAAGTCAAAGAGGGTCAAATAGTGGTAGAGAGAAATAAACTGGCAGTAGGAAAAGGGCAAAGGAGGGAAAAAGGCTGCAGAGAGCAAAGTGTAATTAATAAACAGAAAAAAAGCACAAATCAAAGGGAAACCATGAAAAAAGAAGAGACAGCAGGAGATATGACAAGAGTAAAGAAAGAAAGTGAAGGAAAAGTAGTAACTGAACTCAGTGAAAGGAAAATTAAAGCAAGCGTGTGGTTTTGAAGTGATTGGGCACCAGTATCGCCAGCTGTCGACCTAACTTTTCTGCCTGGTGGAGAGGCTTCGCGGTTCTTTACTAATTGGCTATAGGGGTCTGAGCATGGAGGGGCGGTTCCCATACAGCCGGGCTCTGGCTGCTCTGTAGCTGGGTGGTGTGCCCCTCGAGACTTTGGTGTGCATTATCCTATTTGGGGGATTTTAGAGAAGCCCTCTTTCAGAAACAGCTCGTACACAAGCTGTTGCGGCCAGCAGAGCTGCAGAGCCTCAGCAAGCCCCTGACCCTGTGTGAGGGTGAGTGGCTCACCAGCCCCAGCTGGCTCCCCTGATTCCTGGACACAGCTGTTGAGATGGCAGATTCTAAGTCCCCCAGAAGGCTTCCTATTTGTGACCTAACTAGGTGATGACCTCATCTGCCCAGGGACAGCTGGCACTCCTGGGACCACATATGAAGGAGTCATTGTGGACACTGTGTTGTCTTAGTGGCAGAGAGGGATTGGTTTCAGGCCCCCACACATGAAAACACACTCTTCCTCTCCAGTGTATCCCAAAACCTAGAAAGCCACATTGAGAAAACTGCCTCAGATATCCTTGAATGTCAGCAGAATACATGTGGGCTGGCAGACTGTGTGTGTGCGTGTGTGTGTGCACGTGCACACACATTCCTTCAACAGCAATTCTTCCTACGTGTATCCCTACTGAGTCATCACCAAGAGGGCGAGGGCTGTTGGCCAGTTGATTGGATGAATCTGGAACAGTCAGCAGCTATGATCACAATGCCCCCTATTCTTTTCTCTCTTGAGTAAGCGGGGAAGGCTGAATTCCAAAACAACTTATGACAAGTCTTGATTTCTCTCTTGCCCTTCTGCCGACCAGCTGTGACAGTCATGTCCCTTATATCTATTTTTCTTGGGTTCTCAGCAGGGTAGAAAATATGCTAATGGTGGTGTTCACTGACTTCACTCCATTACCACTGCAGGTCAACCAGCAATGAGCAGATCCCATGGGTATCAACGATATCTGTGGTAGGCAGACTTCTAAGACAATTCCCAATGGCCCACACCCTTGAGTATAAGTGGGGCTTGTAACTTGCTTCTCATAAGTAGAATACTGCAAAAGTGATGATATAGTACTGCTGTGACTAGGTTGTCTTCTATAGCAAAGGTGAAGGGATTCTGTAGATGTAATTAGGTAGACTTTATGTTAAAAGGAAGATTATCTTGGGTAAGCCTGACCTAATCAGCCGAGCCCTTTCAAAGAAGGTCTAGAGATCAGAGATGGAAGAAATCAGTCTCCCTCCTCCTGGCTTTGAAGATTTGAGCCGCGATGAGTTCCTCAGCTGTGAGGGGATGACTTGGTAACAACCACGTGAGCCTGGAAGGGGTACCTGACCCACAGGTGAGACTCTAGCCCTGGCTGAAACCTTAATGGTAGCCCTGAGCAGAGGACCCGCAACCCGGGAGTTGTTCCCAGACACCTGACTCATAGAATCTGTGTGATAACAAACATATTGTTTTAAGCCACTAAGCAAAAAGGGGAGAAAAGAACCACACAGCAATAGAAAATGAATGCAGTATCTCCTAAGGAAGGTGGTGAAGCTGTCCTTGGTCTAACCTATGAGGACGATAACTACCATTTGTGAATAGTAATAACTAACATATCCAGTGTTGGCTCTGTCTGACACTGTTTGGTGCTCTCTGTACGTTATCTCTAATTTTCACAACTGCTCAGAAAGGCAGATCTTATTTCATAGGTGAAGAAAGAGATTCAGTAATGTTCAGCAATTTTCCCAAAGTGGTGGAGCCATGATTCATACACTGTGCTTTCCTAGACTAAGGTTGTGCTTTCTCTGCATACCACGCTAGACCACGCAAGTCAACGTTTGGCAGCTGATGAATGTTTCTTTATTTCAGTGTCCAAATACCATTATTTAGCACGGGGATACAAAGATTCTTCCAAAATCAATGCTTTATTGAGAAGTCTTTTTAGGGAGAGCCATTTCAAATGGGAATGAGCCTTGATAGTACTTGTGCAAAGTAGCTAGTAATTGTCTAAACCTCAAAACAACCCTGACCACCCGTGGAGGGTCATTCATTCATTCCTTCATTCATTTGTGTTTGTTTACTTGCTACGCACAGACACACATCCCAGTGAAGAAACTTAATGAATAGTTTGCTGAGAGAGGAAAGTTGGAGGTTTTTTTTAAGTGTTAGAAAGAGGCTTTCTTGGTGGTTATTCTCATTAAGAAAAACTATGCTATCCTGAGTAGGATGAAATAGATCCATAAGTCACATTAAAACAGGATCCTCTCTTCACTGGTCAAGAAAAAGTCAAGGATGTGAGGTATCCTATCCCTCAAAGTGTACGCTCTTGATAGTATTGTGAAACACAGCATCCAATTTTTATACTTCCCTGGTGAATGCAGGTGCAAGTAGAAAATTCCACTGAGCATCACAAATATGTATTGAATGTCTACAGTGTGCCTGCCACTGTTCCAAGTGCTGTGATATTGTAGGAGACAAAAAGAAAACAAAGAAACAAAGATCCTGGTCTCATAGGGCTTTCATTCTAGTTGGGGCTATAGATAATAAACGGAAATACTGGACGCAGTGTCAGGATCCGTCAGCCTGCTTTGTGGAGACCCCACTGCGGAGGGTGAGGATGGGGCAGGGTGTGTGTGTTGGGAGTTTTTGCAGCGATCCTATCCAGGTGAGAAGGTGGTGGCTCAGGTGAGGTGCATAGCAGTGGAAGCAGAAAGAAAGATTTTGGAATGACTGACATGGAGTAACGGATGGCGGCTGCTGAGGAAAAGTGTCACAAGCAGCTGCAAGTAGCTGGACAGAGTACCAGCGATTTGTGCATGAGAGGACTTGGTCACGGGGGAAGGGGGGCGGTGCAAACTTAGACCAGATGCAGCCCCTTCTCCCCTTAGTCACACACACAGGGGTTCTGTCTTCTTGCTGACGTGCCCACAGGCATGGCTCGGCAGCTGCTAGCCTCCAGGTGTTTGCTAGGTGGAAACTGTTTAAAGACTTAAAGATTCAGTTTGAATTGAAGCAGTTTTCCTGGTAGCAGAAATCATGGTGCAGATTTCTTTTCTGCCAATAAAACAAATATTATACCCTGTTACCTTCAGTAGAGGGACATTTCATAATGAGTATTTTATAAAAACATGAAATCACAATAATCCCACTATATACCAGCATAACCGGGTTCAGCTAGAATTTCATGTTTTTGGTGAGAAGACAAAGAAAAGGGAGAGTGATCTAAGGTGCAACTTCCACCTACAGATTGTTACTTTCCTTCAGTACATTCGTTTGTCACTGAACAGAGTCAAGTTGTTTTTTCAGCATAGACTCTGTATCCTTTAACACATTTTTTTGTAACCCTAGATTTTCTGTTGCTGAAATGTCATGTTATTGTAGCCAGAAAGCAAAATCCTTTCCGAATTTTTGAGCCATATAATGTATAGTGATGAACTTCAGAGATTATACAACCCAAGCCTTATGTGGTTCCAAGTCTCTGCCTGAACCCCTCCCAGGTCAGGGAAGTTTCCTTCCATTGGCAACAGCTCTGATGGTTAGAGAGTGCTTTCTTATGTTCAGTTGTAACTTGTTTTTCTGCAATTTCCACTCATTCCTCCTGGTTCTGCCTTTGGAAGATAACTTTTACTTAAAGACTAAAAAGTAGAAAAACAATACCATCATGGCCCTTACATCTGATCCTAGTTTTTATTTATAAACCAAGAAGCCTTTGAACATGTGTGAAAGAGAAATGATCAGGGTTGGTATTAAATGCTTAAGTTTCTAAATTGTTTTAGAAGTCTCATCAAATTAAATCAAATCTGCAGTGTTAAATGACAGCAAAAGGAGTTTAGATCAGTCAAAGGGAGCTGGAATGGGATTTTGTTTTTCACTCCCAAGGTGGTTGTCAGCTAACAATGTTCCTGAGGTGAGCTTAGGTCGCTGTGGTAAGTTTACATTCAGGCTCCCAAGCCAAAACATGTTGTTGCAAGCAATCCTTTCTCTTTTGTTAAACACAAAATAAACAGATGTCCCACTGAGATGGACCTCCTCCTTCCTCAGCCTCCCTACAATATGCAGGAGCTGCTGGAAGAAAATTTACTCCAATGGCTCAGGTAGATATTGCTGAGCAAAGTGTAGATTTCGCAGAATGGCAATTGATAAAAGCAAAGCTTTGCTGGGGAGGGATGAAAAAAACAAGCCTATCAGGAGAAAGAGAGAGAGAGTGGGGGTTGCAGGGGAGATGGAAGAGGAGGGGGAGGAGAGAGAAAACTGGAGGGATCATATTTATAAAGACTATTTCTCTCTTAATCTTATGATGATTTCCAAGAAATTCTATTTATTTCCGTAGAAAATGGGATAGATAATGGTAGGGGTGGCAGGGTGGTGGTGCTGTATTTAGGTCTAGATAGTTTTTCTAGCCACATGGCAATGTTTTCATGAAACAGACTCAATGTTTCTTTTGTTCGTATATTTAATTGTTTAGGGAAATTCTAGGTATTAAGTCACCACATACAGTCATATATATGAAGCCTACATGTTATAGGTTAAGACAACCAATGAGATTGTGAGGAGACAATATCAATTCTAAGTTCTGCTAGATGCAGATTAGAGACCTGTTCCCTTCCTGAGGAATTGGTATGTCTGTCAATTGCCCTACTTACCTTGACCTTCATGTTAGGTGAGGCTTTTATTGCCATTTAAACAAAAATGCTGGGGATAAACCATTTTATCTTCAAAGATCTTAGGAGGAGCCATAAGGCAAAGTATTTTGTCCTTGATATAAATGCATCTCTCCAGTGATTTATTGGCAGATGTATGTAGGTGACGATAGATTTCTAAATTGAATGTTCTGCCTGAGGAATGGCCTCTGATGTGCATTAAGACCTGTTTCGTAATATTCACACCTCTCAATTTGTGCAGATATACCTTCCTGATTATATTATGCATCAATCTTTAGGACAATTGTCAGGTGGTAGCTGGGCAGCCAGAGTAAATGGATGTTTCTTGGCACAAATCTGACTAGTTAGCCAAGAAAAATCTTTTAAGTCATCCGAGAGAGATGCATCTGACACTTGTTTAAATATTAGTACTCTGGTCTTTTTCTCTAAGTGCTACATTCATTGAAGACATATCTCTTTCTCCCTACTCTAGTTTCTGAGTTTTGTGGTTATTATTGTCATGTGTAAGAAGTGTCAGAGACACAGATTTCTGATAGGTGCTGACACAGAGCCGGGGAGACTCCTCCTCCCTTCTCTCCCCTACATGTTCCTTCTCTCCCTCCTACCTTCCTGTCTTTCTTCCTTCTTTCCACTTATTGAGTTTCTGATAAGTGCCGCCAGTTATTGTGTGAGCTGTTGGTATCCAGAGGCAAACAAAGCCAATACAGACCCTCCCCTCTTGGAGTTTACCAAAACATGTGACACCTCCTCCACCTGCCAGCCTCTCTTTCTCTCTGCTAGGGGTCTAGACTTATCTTCAAGCCTTGGATCTCTCAGCCACCAAAAACCTGATTTGTCATGGGACCTGGCTGGATTGTGTGATACATCTGGATGCTAATGTGGTAATGGGTTGATATGTTACTCTTTTGGGATCACGTTGGTAGTTTTAGTAAGACCAGTCCCACTTTAAAAGGATGGTTAGACAGACTGTGAGCTATCCAAGGTTTAGTATTACAAGTCTAGCCCTTCAATGAAGTCTACAGTGCTTGGTTCCAGGCAATACAATTACATGTAAATCCCAAGAGACCCTTGACTGCCCTTGAAATTTGTTCTGTGTTTAAGTAATTGGGTAGTTTTTAATGATTTCATTTTATTTCCCTAATTGGCTTATTGGTCATTCCTCTTTGCTTATTTTTAAGTGGTTGCTGTAGAATTTACAATATCCATTTTTAATTTATCACAGTCTACTTTCTTATAATATTATGGCACGCCTTGTAGAGTATGAGAACCTTATAACAATATATTTTGATTTTCCACTCACATCCCTTGTGCTGTTATTGTTATACATTTTATTTCTATGTATGTTATAAACCCCACAATATATGGTTATTTTTGGCTCAAAATTAATTATCTTGTAAACAGATTAAGAATCAAAAAAATTTTTATGTCTTTATATTCCCCACAAAGTTGTCATTTTAGATACTCTTTCTTCCTCTGTGCAGATCCAAATTTCAATCTAGTTTAATAATATTTTGCCTGAAAATTTTCCTTTAAGAATTGTTTTTATGGTACGTCTCTACTAATGATGAAGTCTCTCAACTTTTGTTTATCTGATACATTCTTTATTTTACTTTTATTTTTGAAGGATGTTTTCACTGGATGTAGAAGTCTAGGTTGATGGTGTTTTCTTTCAAGAAGTTTGCTTTAATTCTCATCTTTGTTCTTCTGTATTTAATGTGTCTTTTTTCCCTCTGCTTGATTTTTAAAAAATTTTTTTCTGAGACAGAGTCTCTCTGTTGCCCAGGCTGGAGAGCAGCGGTGCAATCTCTGCTCACTGCAACTTCTGCCTCCTGGGTTCAAGTGATTCTTGTGCCTCAGCTTTCCAGGGTAGCTGGGATTACAGGTTCATGCCATCAGGCTCAGCTAATTTTTGTATTTTTAGTAGAGATGGGGTTTCACCATGTTTGCCAAGCTGGTCTCAAACTCCCGACCTCAAGGGATCCACCTGCCTCAGCCTCCCGAGGTGCTGAGATTACAGGTATGAGCCACCACACCCAGCCTCTCTGCTTCATTTTTAAGACTCTTCTCTTTGTTACTGGTTTTTGGTTGTTTATGATGCATCTTAATGTAATATTCTGCTTGGGGCTTATAGCACTTATCTGTAAGTTTATTGTTGTTTATCATATTTGAAAAATTTTGATAATCATTTCTTCTTTTCTCCTCAAATATTTTTATCCTTCTCCCTTTTCCTTCTCTTACAATTATATGTAATTTAGATGATATTTTATAACAGGCAACTGGGATCTGTTTTTGTTTTTTTTCCAGTATTTGTGTGTGTGTGTGTGTGTGTGTGTGTGTGTGTGTGTGTATTTCATTTTGGATAGTTTATATTTCTACTTTGAAGTTCATGAGTCTTTGGAAATTCCAATTGGGTCTTTTCATGTCTTCTATTTCTCTCCTTATTATGTTCATGTTTTTATTTATCTCTTTAAGCTGTGAAACATTTTTAGAACAGCTGTTTATTTCAACTTAATTAGCTATGCTAATGCCATTTGTCATTTCTGGGGCTGTTTCTGTTGAATGATTTTTTTTGTGGTTATGGGTCACTTTTCCTTGCTTCTTGATTATCTAGTTATTTTTATGCAATGCTGGACATTGTAAATTTTATGTTCCTCTGTGCCATATCTTGTATTCTTTAAAGAGTGATAGACTTTGTTTTGACGCACAGGTAAGTTAGTTGGGATAAGTTGTTGTTTTCATAATTTGGTTTTATTCCTGATTAGAGGAAGTTTGAGGTGGCTTTTATTATAGGATTAATTTACCTTCACTTCTAAGGTGTAGCCTTTCTGAAAAGTCAATCCTAAGCCTTATGTAAACTCTTGAATTTGTTTATTTTATAGGTATTCAATAATTGTTCTTTCCTTAGAAGCTGTTCTTTGCTGGCCTAATGGGGTATTGACCTGTGCATGAGCAAATAAACCAAACTTCCGAGGGACTTTTACGCAGATTTCTGGAACTCTTTTCTTGCATATGTTACTTTGCCCTTAAAATTCTAGCTGCCTTGGCTTTCCCAAACTCTGGTCAATGTTTCTTCAGCTCGGTAAGAACTTTAGTCTTTAAAGAAACTGTGGTATGTGTATACAATGGAATACTACTCAGCCATAAAAAGGAGTGCATTCATGGCATTTTCAGTGATCTGGATGAGATTGGAGACTATTATTCCAAGTGAAGTAACTCAGGAATGGAAAACCAAATATCATATGTTCTCACTGATATGGGGGAGCTAAGCTATGAGGATGCAAATACATAAAAATGATACAATGGACTCTGGGGACTTGGGGGGAAGTGTGGGAGGGGGTGAAAGATAAAAGACTACAAATAGGGTGCAGTGTATACTGCTCAGGTGATGGGTGCACCAAAATCTCACAAATAACCAGTGAAGAACTTACTCATATCACCAAATACCACCTGTGCCCCAATAACCTATGGAAAAATGAAAGAACTTTAGGATTTGTTGGAGTTCCCATTCCTTGGTCTGTGGTCTGGACTCTGCCTCCCAGTTATAAGCTGGGACAACCATAAGGCTCATCTTGTTTGTATCTTTTTTTTCCTCAGGGATCACAATTTTTCATTGTTTCTGTTCAACGTCTGAAAGTACTTATTTCATATATTTTGTTTCAATTTCTGTTGTTTATGGCAAGATGACAATTCTTGTAGCAATTAATCCTTCATGGAGGGAAGTGAAATTATATGTTACATTTTAAAATCTGTGGCAGATGCAGTTAGTTGTGGAAAAAATAACCTTTTCACTTTCCTCCATCTGTAACAGGACATTGTAACAGAATTCCTAAGAAGAGAGATATCAAATGTGAATGTGAGTTGGAAAACAGATCTCCCTGTCGAATATGGTAAAAAATAAGGCAACCAAAAACTAGTTACAGGACTCTTGAACTTCTCAACCATGTGATGGGTATATAGAAATATACAGCAGAGACTGAGAGAGGTTTTTTAGGAACATGTTTTGAGGGAGTCAGCTAATGCTATGCTGTGATCCCAATTTCACCAGGGTGAACGACAGAGGATATTCCCCTACTCATTTAGCCTGTGAGAGGGGCTTTTGTGATGTATTTTAGAACTTGATATTCATTTCCTGAAATTAAGGGATCTTGTGGGCCACCCAAGAAGTCTAAAGCATAAAAGAAGGGCTTAGTAGCTGTGAATGGATGAGCCAATGGAGAGGTGGCTGTTTGTAAGACCTGTTTTCTCAAAAATTGCCAGGGTACAGATTGCACGGGTACTTTTTATGGGCGGGGACGCTCATGAGGAAATGGAAATGAGGAAGGATTTCAACAATACTGAAATTTTGACTATATCATGGGACTGAGGATTCTAATTACAGGTAATCTGAGTGATGAGAAAAAGCTTCCTTCTCAAGTTTTTAATATGTTTAGGAGCAGAACTAGCACCAGGGAACAAATTCAAGAGATCAGTGGGAGGTAACATACCATTTCTGTTACCAATAGACCATACTTATTCTATACACTTTACCACAGAACCCCAAGTTTGTGAAGACTGTCAATGTACGTAGCCCTAAGGGGTGACTCAACCCCATTTCCCAGACATCCTCTTTTCCAGACTGCCTTCAAGATTGAGAGAGGTAGGGAGCAAGACTCAGGTCTGAACAATGAGAAGTAAAGATAAGTCTGCTTTGAAATTACTGGAAAATGATTGCTTCCTGATGAAAGAGGAAAATTTACCTCTTGCCTTTTTTCCTGCTTAGAATGTGATTGTGTTTAGAGCAGTGGCAGCCATTTTGAGACCCTGGGGCAACAGGCCTAAGGACAAAAGTTAGCATGCTGAGGCTGGCGGGCGATTGCAAGGTTGAATTCTTGGCACAGGAGTGGATTGGGCCTGGTAAATTCAACTGCCTTATGCAGAAGAGGGTTCAGAACAAATCTGAAGTCTCATGCTCAGTGACAGCAGCAGTGACGCTTTTTCTCCTGTTAGACCAGTTCAAGGCTTTGGGGTATGTTTCCTGGAAACTTCCCCACAAGCTCATTTTCTTTTCTTTCTTTCTTTCTTTTTTTTTTTGTTTGTTTTGTTTTGTTTTTTGAGATGGAGTCTTGCTCTGTCACCCAGGCTGGAGTGCAATCTTGGCTCACTGCAACCTCTGCCTCCTGGGTTCAAGCGATTCTCCTGTCTCAGCCTCTTGAGTAGCTGGCATTACAGACGCACAACACCCCGCCTGACTAATTGTTTTGTATTTTAGTAGAGACGGGGTTTCACCTTGTTGCCCAGTCTGGTCTCAAACTCCTGAGCTCCGGCAATCCACCCGCCTCGGGCTCCCAAAGTGCTAGGATTATAGGCGTAAGCCACCTCGCCTGGCAACTCATTTTCTACCTCTTTACCATTCTGTGAGCTACCCAGTATCCTGACAATAATGTTATTTTCTAATTGATCAGTAAGAGTCAACTTCTTTCCCTTGCAATTAAGAATCCTGACTGATGCAAAGCATGTAGAATTTCTCATAGTTTGGCCATTTGGGTCAGAAGTCAAGTGTTCTACCTGTGTTAAGAAGTCCTGTGACTCAGGACCAGAAACCTGGCTCACCTTCCTGGTGTGTAGGGGGTTAAGATGGCATACTAAATCAGCACAAGCAATAGTGTCAGGGAAGCCATCTTTTTAAGAAGTCTAAAGAGACAAGAAGTGATAAATGGCTCTTCTTCTTACTGTTTGGCTAATTTTGACTTTGTACCACTTACACATAGCTGTTGCCGTGGCCTCAAGTTCTAAATAAAGTGTTCTGTATGGCCAAAGCTATTTCCTCTTTCCCAGAGTAGCACATTGCACTGTGGAAGATAATCTTGCACGTTTGTATGGTAATAGGATTAACGTGGCCCTTGTGGTATTTGCCCACCTAGCAACTGTGACTTTGCCATACTTGTGAATTATACTTTTGCTTGTGAGTTTCTTTGTAAATCTTCCTTCTTAACAAGGTAGTAGAAATAGCTTAAGTGTCCTGACATTTGTGAGTGTGGAGCCCAGAGATGCTTTCTTGGAAGTTGGCCAGAAGTCAGATCATCACTGTCCGGGATGGTTGATGAGTGGCAGGGTTCAGATGGCCATGTGGTGGAGGATGAGAACAGGAAGGCCAGCACCAATGCACGCAGTAGGGGACACTTAGAGGGTAACTGAGCCCCCTCCTCAGAGAAGCTTTTCTGATCAGAGCCCTGGGGGCCACCTGTAACTGGTATTCTCTACAGCTTTGGGCCTGTGTCTCCTGCACTTGGCTCTGGGAAGGTAGGTTTGAAAATAGAGTGTGACATATGGAGTGAGGTCCTTGACACCCTGGATTTCACAAAGCAACCCGACCTGGGTGATATCAGCACCACATCCTGTGCTTCAGCAGTGCTCACCCATTCCTTTTATTGTTTATTGTTGTTGCTGAAGTGGTTTGCTTTCTTTTCTTTCACACGTCTCTGAATTGTCTAAGTATGGCATTTGGAATACAGCCCTCAATATACATCCTGTTTGCTGTTTGTGAGGGAGGTTTTTTTTTTAATGCTATTGAAATTATAGCCCTGAACAATAGGGTAACATTCATATGCTGAGGCCCCATTAAATTATTATTTTTTAACAGTGGAAATGTTTCTGAAATTGACTGGTACAATGTATACATGCTGAGTGTTCACTATATTATTACTTTTTGCTAGTGGGAAGGGCTGAGGAAATGGAATAAAACAGTTCCAAAATCTCAGCGGTATGTGATGGGAGCTCGAAACACATACTTACATTTTTTAAAAAGATCTAGAAAATATAGTGGTGAGAGAAGTTTATCTGAGAAAGTTCACTTTGGAAGTAACATGGTGACTAAATTATTATTATTGACATAAAGGTGATTTACAAGAAAAACTCACATCCTTAATGCTTGCAATATGTTGGCTGCTTTTTATCCAGAATTTGTCTTCTTTCCATCTCTGCCCACATTTCAGCATTTATTCACTCTAGTTAATGACTTTAAAATATTAAAAATCTCCCTCAGTAGGTACCCGAGGGTCAGTGGCACCTGGTTAAGATGGGAAGGAAATTGACAAAGATCAAATCTCCGACCCACACTCTCAAGGCTGTCGGCTGTGTTTCCTGGCCTCTCTCACTGTCCCCGACGCGCGCTTTGCTCCTGAGTGGGGGAAATCAGCCTGATAAATTACAGGCTGCTCCCTGCTCACCAGAGTGGGGAAGGGGAGCCAGATGGAAGGAAGCGTGGAGGTCCCTCTGTCACTACTGGCCGGCTGCCACCACCTGGGCACTCTGTGCTCCTTGCCGAGGGAATGTCACTGTCCTGCCTGTGTAACAGGGCTGGCCATCCGCAGAGCCCTCCAAAGCAAGATGAAACATTGAGCCACGTTGTCATGGTTACTTAGTCATTTCCCCAGAGTCCTGACATCAGTGTCTCCAAGGGGCAGGAGCTCCACCTCATGCATATGCATGTGCGCGGCAGGGGCCTTGCCACATCTGAGCATCTTATAGTATTTTTAGTAGAAAATGATAGTGAAGGAGGGAAAGGTGACATAGAGAATGGAAGTAAAAATGACAAGAAGGCATGTTATTAAATGAACAAATGAAGTTGCTTGCTAGTCGAACTGGGAGAAGACAGGAAGGGTTAATGCTGAGTTGGGATTCCCAGGTTTAAATTAGCCATCTGCTTGGTCACGCTGGGCTCTCACTCACATTTTCAGAGCTTTATACTTCTTAGATGACTTTCCCAGACAATGTCTTATTTGACTCTCAAAACTGCCCATAACAAACATGCGGCTGGGGAGACCCTCTATGTGCAGCAGATGAGGAGACGGATACTCAGAGGAGTGAGGCACCTTGGAGGTTCACACAATCAGTATGAGGGCTCATCACACAATCTCAGCTCCCAGCCTGAGTTTCCTTCTGTTTCCACTATCTCCAGTCTCTGAGGAACTGAGAACTTTTAGAAGGTAGAGACTTTTCAGGGGACAGTATTAAATGATGATCTTGTCTGAATCATTGTGCATCTATCTACCCCCCACATAGTACACACTTAATCACTTAATGAATAGTGAATGAATAAAGTTCATGTTAGAGGGGCCCTGGGGTTTCCTGGAAAAGCCAGACAATTTACTGTTTTGCATCACACATGTACCAATGCGAAATTAGAAGTTAACGTTTTTCAAAATGAAACAGTTATGTTGAAAGAGTAGGTCATGGCTGAGTACAGTGGCTCATGCCTGTAATCCCAGCACTTTGAGTGGCTGAGGTAGGAGGATTGCTTGAAGTCAGGAGTTCAAGAGCAGCCTAGGCAACATAGTGAGACCCTGTCTCTGCAAAAAACTAAAAAAAATTAGCTGGGTGCAGTAGCAGTGGCATGCGCCTATAGTCCCAACTATTCAGGAGGATGGCTTGAGCCCAGAAGTTTGAGGCTGCAGTGAGTTATGATCGCTCCACTGCACTTCAGCCTGGGTGACTGAGACTGAGGCTCTTAAAAAATAAAAAAGAAATAACTTTAAAAAAAGTAGGTCATCTGAGGTAAACCTCCAGTTAATGCAACGCCCCATGCCCAGATTGATATCCTGTTTCAGAGTCTTCCTGTGACCATGTCAGTTACCAAAGCATCATACAGTCCCATGGAACAGCACAGAAGCCCTGTGCCCAGATGCAGATGATGGCAGAGGGAGCAGAAAAACCCAGTAGGTATAAGATTACTTAGTGCCGTGTAATTGTTGCATCAAGGAAATCTTGCAGTTTGTCACAAGTTATTTAACAGTTGAAGTGACTAAGCCGGAACCATGAAAGGTAGACTAAACCAGGGATATTTTCTAACTTAAAGGCACACGGGGTTTTGTTGATGGGAGAATTCACCTCACTTAGGTGAGCGCAGCTGTGGCATTCGGGCTGCAAACAAGCCCTGAATTGTGAGGATGAAGATTCCGAGTGTGGGTGGTTCTCTGCTTAGGAGGTGGATTTGCAATGGACAGGTAGGGCTAAAAATGTTAACTTCTAATTTCACATTGGTGCAATGTTGCCCCTGGGTCTCTGGTTTAGAAAAAGCATTAGCAGGTGTCTTTGGCAGAGACTCTTGGGGTTAAGAGCTGCGTCTCTTCCACCTCTAGTCCCCTTGGGAGGGTCCACACCAGGGGACAAGTGGTTCAAGTTTTCTGTGTCTCTCTTTTGAAGGGTGACGGGGGAGCTAATTTCCTGTGGCTTTTATTTCTACACCCCAAATGAAGCTTGAATGAGTCAATGCTCACTATGTTATTCCATATATCAACTCTTGCAGAACAAGTAGCCCCCAAATTTAGTAGCTTCAAACACCAACCGATTTATTATATATCATCATTTTGCTGTCAAGAATTCAAACAAGTCTTGGCTGCACAATTCTTCTGCTTGTGTGACATTGTTTGAGGCCTGTGGCTTTGGTGTGGATGGCTGGAAGGCTAGACTCAGCTGGGAGTGTCAACCAGGGTGGCCCTGTCAGGGTTGTGGTTGGCTCAGGCCTCCAAGAATGAGTGTTTCAAAAGACCCAGGAAGATGCCACTAGTCTTCTTATAACCTGGTCAAGAAATCCATGAACACCCCTTCTGCCACAGTCTACTGGTCAAGCGAGTCACTGAGTATAATCAATCACCTTTCTTCCCTCTGTTCCTCACATTTTTCCTCTCTTGCTGTCAACTAGAAGTAGCAAAGTCTGCTTCTTTGAGTGCACTCAGAAAATCCCCATGCTCTCTTAGCTGTAGGAATCTGGGAGACAACCAGGGGGCCACCTGCTTTGGTCTGCTAGCTGAGGTGAGCTCCTACTTCCCCAGTCCCCCAGAGTTTTGCCATCACCGGCTCCCCACAGCCCCTCTCTGCAGGGAGCTCTGCTCAGACAGTCCTGCATTTTCTGATTTCCCTGACTCTTACTTGTGATATTTCTTCTGATAATTCTTCTCAACTTCAGGCTATTCCTGCATAACAAATTAACCATGGCTATAGTAGCTTAAAATGACACTTATTGGTTATCTCATGTCTCTGTAGGTCAGAGGTCCAGGGAAATGTGAATGGATTCTCTGCTTGGGGCCTCACAAGACCAAAAACAAGGTATCATCTGGAATGGGCTCTGGGGAAGAATCCACTTTCAAGCACACGCAGGCTGCTGGCAGGACCCAGTTCCTTGTGGTTGTACAACTGAAGTCCCATTTCTGTGACACATGGCCCCCACCATAGTCAAACTAGCAATGGCACATGGAGTCCTCATGCTTTGTATTTTTCTGACTCTCTCTTCTACCTCTTCCTTTGAAGGCTCATGTGATGATATTGGGCCCACCCATAAAATCCAGGGTAATCTTCCTATTTAAAGGTCAACTGTTTAGTAACCTTAATGACATCTGCCACGTCCCTCCTACCATGTGCCATAACAGCAGAGCAGAGATTGTGCAGACCAGAATATGCCACAACAGGTAGAAACCACTATCCAGAGGCCATAGCCCATGCCCGATTGAGGGCCCCATACCCTGCTCTTTCTCTTGAAGCACTGAGCAGTCTTCAGGATATGGTTCCAGAAAGAACTAAGGAACTCCTGGACTATGCTTCTGGGGTCAGAGGCTCCATCAACATGGTTTGTCTAGTCCTGCAGCCATACCGGCCTTCTTGTTCCTTCAGCAGGACTTTTCTTTATACTTGCTGTCTCCTCCATCTAGAGTACCCTCTATCCTTCTCCCAAATCCTCTACAAAGCTGGATTCTTTATTCCCTTTGAATATTAGCCCAAATAACTCTTATCAGAGACCCTTTTCTTATCCTAATAAAATGCCATCTTTTTCCTTATCTTGTTCCATTTTTCTTCTTAGTTCTTGCCACCCCTACTATTGCATATTCTTTATTTATGGCAGGTCTGTAATCACCAGACATTGTTCTAGGTCCCTGAGATCTATCTTAGTGCCAGGTAGACCAGGTTTCCCCTCGCAGGGGACTTAAATACTGGTGAGAGATAGAGTTGGGTGATGACCAAGTAGACAATTCAAGAAACAAGCAAACCCTATGTTGCAATAAATGCTGCAAACTAAACAAAGTTATGTGAAACAGCTACTGTAATTACAGGTACAAAGTTCCTGAAGCAAAGGTAATCTTGGAGGGGGAGAGGAGCAACAAGAAGGCTGGAGGGCCCAGAGTGTCATGAGCCCTCTAAGAGGGGTGGGCAGTGGCAGGATTGCAGTTTTTGAGAACACGATAAGGAGTTTAAATTTTTTTTATTATACTTTAAGTTTAGGGTACATGTGTACAATGTGCAGGTTTGTTACATATGTATACATGTGCCATGTTGGTGTGCTGCACCCATTAGCTCGTCATTTACATTAGGTATATCTCCTAATGCTATCCCTCCCCACTCCCCCCACCCCGCAATAGGCCCCGGGATGTGATGTTCCCCTTCCTGTGTCCAAGTGTTCTCATTGTTCAATTCCCACCTATGAGTGAGTACATATGGTGTTTGGTTTTTTGTCTTTGCGATAGTTTGCTGAGAATGATGGTTTCTAGCTTCATCCATGTCCCTACAAAGGACATGAACTCATCCTTTTTTATGGCTGCATAGTGTTCCATGGTGTATGTGTGCCACATTTTCTTAATCCAGTCTATCATTGTTGGACATTTGGGTTGGTTCCAAGTCTTTGCTATTGTGAATAGTGCCACAATAAACATACATGTGCATGTGTCTTTATAGCAGCATGTTTTATAATCCTTTGGGTATATACCCAGTAATGGGATTGCTGGGTCAAATGGTATTTCTAGTTCTAGATCCCTGAGGAACCGCCACACTGACTTCCACAATGGTTGCGCTAGTTTACAGTCCCACCAACAGTGTAAAAGTTTTCCTTTTTCTCCACATCCTCTCCAGCACCTGTTGTTTCCTGACTTTTTAATGATTGCCATTCTAACTGGTGTGAGATGGTATCTCATTGTGGTTTTGATTTGCATTTCTCTGATGGCCAGTGATGATGAGCATTTTTTCACGTGTCTTTTGACTGCATAAATGTCTTCTTTTGAGAAGTGTCTGTTCATATCCTTCGCCCACTTTTTGATGGGGTTGTTTGTTTTTTTCTTGTAAATTTGTTTGAGTTCATTGTAGATTCTGGATATTAGCCCTTTGTCAGATGAATAGGTTGCAAAAATTTCCCCCCATTCTGTAGGTTGCCTGTTCACTCTGATGGTAGTTTCTTTTGCTGTGCAGAAGCTATTTAGTTTAATTAGATCCCATTTGTCAATTTTGGCTTTTGTTGCCATTGCTTTTGGTGTTTTAGACATGAAGTCCTTGCCCATGCCTATGACCTGAATGGTATTGCCTAGGTTTTCTTCTAGGGTTTTTATGGTTTTAGGTCTAACATGTAAGTCTTTAATCCATCTTGAATTAATTTTTGTATAAGGTGTAAGGAAGGGATCCAGTTTCAGCTTTCTACATATGGCTAGCCAGTTTTCCCAGTACCGTTTATTAAATAGGGAATCGTTTCCCTATTTCTTGTTTTTGTCCGGTTTGTCAAAGATCAGATAGTTGTAGATGTGTGGCATTATTTCTGAGGGCTCTGTTCTGTTCTATTGGTCTGTATCTCTGTTTTGGTACCAGTACATGCTGTTTTGGTTACTGTAGCCTTGTAGTATAGTTTGAAGTTAGGTAGCGTGACGCCTCCAGCTTTGTTCTTTTGGCTTAGGATTGACTTGGCAATGCGGGCTCGTTTTTGGTTCCATATGAACTTGAAAGTAGTTTTTTCCAATTCTGTGAAGAAAGTCATTGGTAGCTTGATGGGGATGGCATTGAATCTGTAAATTACCTTGGGCCATATGGCCATTTTCACAATATTGATTCTTCTACCCATGAGCATGGAATGTTCTTCCATTTGTTTGTGTTCTGTTTTATTTCGTTGAGCAATGGTTTGTAGTTTTCCTTGAAGAGGTCCTTCACATCCCTTGTAAGTTGGATTCCTAGGTATTTTATTCTCTTTGAAGCAATTGTGAATGGGAGTTCACTCATGATTTGGCTGTCTGTTTGTTTGTTATTGGTGTATAAGAATGCTTGTGATTTTTGCACATTGATTTTGTATCCTGAGACTTTGCTGCAGTTGCTTATCAGCTTAAGGAGATTTTGGGTTGAGACAATGGGGTTTTCTAGATATACAATCATGTCACCTGCAAACAGGGACAATTTGACTTCCTCTTTTCCTAACTGGATACCCTTTATTTCCTTCTCCTGCCTGATTGCCCTGGCCAGAACTTCCAACACTATGTTGAATAGGAGTGGTGAGAGAGGGCATCCCTGTCTTGTGCCAGTTTTCAAAGGGAATGCTTCCAGTTTTTGCCCATTCAGTATGATATTGGCTGTGGGTTTGTCATAGATAGCTCTTATTATTTTGAGATACGTCCCATCAATACCTAATTTATTGAGAGTTTTTAGCATGAAGGGTTGTTGAATTTTGTCAAAGGCCTTTTCTGCATCTATTGAGATAATCATGTGGTTTTTGTCGTTGGTTCTGTTTATATGCTGGATTACATTTATTGATTTTCGTATGTTGAACCAGACTTGCATCCCAGGGATGAAGCCCACTTGATCATGGTGAATAAGCTTTTTGATGTGCTGCTGGATTCGGTTTGCCAGTATTTTATTGAGCATTTTTGCATTGATGTTCATCAGGGATATTGGTCTAAAATTCTCTTTTTTTTTGTTGTGTCTCTGCCAGGCTTTGGTATCAGGATGATGCTGACCTCATAAAATGAGTTAGGGAGGATTCCCTCTTTGTCTATTGATTGGAATAGTTTCAGAAGGAATGGTACCAGCTCCTCCATATACCTCTGGTAGAATTCGGCTGTGAATCCATCTGGTCCTGGACTGTTTTTTGGTTGGTAAGCTATTAATTATTGCCTCAATTTCAGAGCCTGTTATTGGTCTATTCAGAGATTCAACTTCTTCCTGAGTTAGTCTTGGGAGGGTGTATGTGTCCAGGAATTTATCCATTTCTTCTAGATTTTCTAGTTTATTTGCGAAGAGGTGTTTATAGTATTCTCTGATGGTAGTTTGTATTTCTGTGGGATCGGTGGTGATATCCCCTTTATCATTCTTTATTGCATCTATTTGATTCTTCTCTCTTTTCTTCTTTATTAGTCTTGCTAGTGGTCTATCAATTTTGTTGATGTTTTCAAAAAACTAGCTCCTGGATTCATTGATTTTTTGAAGGGTTTTTTTGTGTCTCTATTTCCTTCAGTTCTGCTTTGATCTTAATTATTTCTTGCCTTCTGCTAGCTTTTGAATGTATTTGCTCTTGCTTCTCTAGTTCTTTTAATTGTGCTGTTAGGGTGTCCATTTTAGGTCTTTCCTGCTTTCTCCTGTGGGCATTTAGTGCTATAAATTTCCCTGTACACACTACTTTGAATGTGTCCCAGAGATTCTGGTATATGTGTCTTTGTTCTCGTTGGTTTCAAAGAACATCTTTATTTCTGCCTTCATTTCGTTATGTACCCAGTAGTCATTCAGGAGCAGGTTGTTCAGTTTCCCTGTAGTTGAGCGGTTTTGAGTGAGTTTCTGGATCCTGAGTTCTAGTTTGATTGCACTGTGGTCTGAGAGATAGTTTGTTATAATTTCTGTTCTTTTACATTTGCTGAGGAGTGCTTTACTTCCAACTATGTGGTCAATTTTGGAATAGGTGTGGTGTGGTGCTGAAAAAAATGTATATTCTGTTGATTTGGGGTGAAGAGTTCTGTGGATGTCTATTAGGTCCACTTGGTGCAGAGCTGAGTTCAATTCCTGGATATCCTTGTTAACTTTCTGTCTCGTTGATCTGTCTAATGTTGACAGTGGGGTGTTAAAGTCTCCCATTATTATTGTGTGGGAGTCTAAGTCTCTTTGTAGGTCTCTAAGGACTTGCTTTATGAATCTGGGTGCTCCTGTATTGGGTGCATATATATTTAGGATAGTTAGCTGTTCTTGTTGAATTGATCCCTTTACCATTATGTAATGGCCTTGTTTGTCTCTTTTGATCTTTGTTGGTTTAAAGTCTGTTTTATCAGAGACTAGGATTGCAACCCATGCCTTTTTTTGTTTTCCATTTGCTTGGTAGATCTTCCTCCATCCCTTTATTTTTAGCCTATGTGTTTCTCTGCAGGTGAGATGGGTTTCCTGAATACAGCACACTGATGGGTCTTGACTGTTTATCCAATTTGCCAGTCTGTGTCTTTTAATTGGAGCATTTAACCCATTTACATTTAAGATTAATATTGTTATGTGTGAATTTGATCCCATCATTATGATTTTAGCTGGTTATTTTGCTCATTAGTTGATGCAGTTTATTCCTAGGCTTGATGGTCTTTACAATTTGGCATGTTTTTGCAGTGGCTGCTACTGGTTGTTCCTTTCCATGTTTAGTGCTTCCTTCAGGAGCTCTTTTAGGGCAGGCCTGGTGGTGGCAAAATCTCTCAGCATTTGCTTGTCTGTAAAGTATTTTATATCTCCTTCACTTATGAAGCTTAGTTTGGCTGGATATGAAATTCTGGGTTGAAAATTCTTTTCTTTAAGAATGTCGAGGCCGGGCGTAGTGGCTCAGGCCTGTAATCCTAGTACTTTGGGAGGCTGAGGTGGGTGGATCATGAGGTCAGGAGATCGAGACCATCCTGGCTAACCAGGTGAAACCCCATCTCTACTAAAAATACAGAAAGTTAGCAGGGTGTGGTGGCGGGTGCCTGTAGTCCCAGCTACTTGGGAGGCTGAGGCAGGAGAATGGCATGGACCTGGATGGCGGAGCTTGCAGTGAGGCGAGATTGCAGCACTGCACTCCAGCCTGGGCGATGAGCAAGATTCCGTCTCAAAAAAAAAAAAAAAAAAAGAATGTTGAATATTGGCCCCCACTCTCTTCTGGCTTGTAGAGTTTCTGCCGAGAGATCAGCTGTTAGTCTTAGTCTGATGGGCTTCCCTTTGCGGGTAACGTGACCTTTCTCTCTGGCTGCCCTTAACATTTTTCCTTCATTTCAACTTTGTTGAATCTGACAATTAGGTGTCTTGGAGTTGCTCCTCTCAAGGAGTATCTTTGTGGTGTTCTCTGTATTTCCTGAATTTGAATGTTGGCCTGCCTTGCTAGATTTGGGGAAGTTCTCCTGGATAATATCCTGCAGAGTGTTTTCCAACTTGGTTCCATTCTCCCCGTCACTTTCAGGTACACCAATCAGATGTAGATTTGGTCTTTTCACATAGTCCCATATTTCTTGGAGGCTTTGTTCATTTCTTTTTATTCTTTTTTCTCTAAACTTCTCTTCTTGCTTCATTTCATTCATTTGATCTTCCATCACTGATACCCTTTCTTCCAATTGATCGAATTGGCTACAGAGGCTGGTGCATTCGTCACATAGTTCTTGTACTGTGGTTTTCAGCTCCATCAGGTCCTTTAAGGACTTCTCTGCATTGGTTATTCTAGTTAGCCATTTGCCTAATCTTTTTTCAAGGTTTTTAACTTCTTTGCCATGGGTTCGAACTTCCTCCTTTATCTCAGAGTAGTTTGATTGTCTGAAGCCTTCTTCTCTCAACTCGTCAAAGTCATTCTCCATCCAGCTTTGTTCCGTTGCTGGTGAGGAGCTGTATTCCTTTGGAGGAGGAGAGGCGCTCTGATTTTTAGAATTTTCAGTTTTTCTGCTCTGTTTTTTCCCCATCTTTGTGGTTTTATCTACCTTTGGTCTTTGATGATGGTGACGTACAGATGGGGTTTTGGTGTGGATGTCCTTTCTGTTTGTTAGTTTTCCTTCTAACAGTCAGAACCCTCAGCTGCAGGTCTGTTGGAGTTTGCTGGAGGTCCACTCCAGATCCTGTTTGCCTAGGTATCAGCAGCAGAGGCTGCAGAACAGCGGATATTGGTGAACAGCAAATGTTGCTGCCTGATCGTTCCTCTGGAAGTTTTGTCTCAGAGGAGTACCTGGCCGTGTGAGGTTTCAGTCTGCCCGTACTGGGGGGTGCCTCCCAGTTAGGCTACTTGGGGGTCAGGGACCCACTTGATGAGGTAGCCTGTCCATTCTCAGATCTCCAGCTGCATGCTGGGAGAACCACTACTCTCTTCAAAGCTGTCAGACAGGGACATTTAAGTCTGCAGAGGTTTCTGCTGCCTTTTGTTTGGCTATGCCTTGCCCCGAGAGGTGGAGTCTACAGAGGCAGGCAGGCCTCCTTGAGCTGCGGTGGGCTCCACCCAGTTCTAGCTTCCTGGCTGCTTTTTTTTTTACCTACTCAAGCCTCGGCGGTGGCGGGCACCCCTCCCCCAGCCTCACTGCTGTCTTGCAGTTTGATCTCAGACTGCTGTGCTAGCAATGAGCGAGGCTCCGTGGTCATAGGACCCCCCGAGCCAGGCGCGGGATACAATCTCCTGGTGTGCCGTTTGCTAAGACTGTTGGAAAAGCACAGTATTAGGGTGGGAGTGATCTGATTTTCCAGGTGCCGTCTGTCACCCCTTTCCTTGGCTAGGAAAGGGAATTCTCTGAAGCTTTGCGCTTCCCGGGTGAGGCGATGCCTCACCCTGCTTCAGCTCATGCTCTGTGCGCTGCACCCACTGTCCTGCACCCACTGTCCGACAATCCCCAGTGAGATGTACCCGGTACCCCAGTTGGAAATGTAGAAATCATTTGTCTTCTGCGTCGCTCATGCTGGGAGCTGTAGACTGGAGCTGTTCCTATTCGGCCCTCTTGGCTCCACCCCCCTAAATTTTATTTTAAAGGCAATGTGAAGTCACTGAAATGTTTTAAGCAGAAGAATAAACTGACCTAAGTTAGATTTTTAAAAGATAATTCTTATGTGTAGAAAACAGAGTGGGATTGAGGTGATGTAAGATGGAATCAGGGACACCAATTTTGGGGCTATTGCTGTGGCCCAGGTGTGATAGAGCATGGAGGTCTGGCTGTGCAGGTGGAGTAGGAGTGCACAGAAGTGGGCAAATAAGGGATATATTTTGAAGTTAAACTAAAGAAACTTGCTGCTCAGTGAGATAGATATTAAAACAAATCAGCAGTGACTCCTGGGCTTTTGACTTCAGCAACTTGGTGAATGGGAGGCCATCTACCCAAAAAGGAATTAATGAACAAGGAGCAGACTCAAGGTGGGACTCAAGAATTCTGTTTGGCAATATTAGCTTTAATAGTGACTATTACACATCCAGGCAATGTCTGCAAGTTATTAGGAAGGCCAAAACTACAGATCAGCTTGGAAATTGGTGGTGTGGTATTTAAAACCATAGGGCTGCCTGAGCTCACCTAGGGAGAGACTGCAGGGCCTTTGGCTAAGCCCTATCCTGCCACATCCATTGAGTTTCGGCAAAGAGGAAAAGCCAACCAAAAAGAGGCCAAGTGAAGGAGGAGGACAACCAAGAGATGGCGTTATCACAGAAGCAAGAGAAGAAGACTGATTCAAGAAAGGCAGGGTCAACATGTCCCGTGTCTCATGTCCCATGCTGCTGAGTGGCAGAAGCAGAAGGAAGAACAGTGCCTCTGCTATCTCTTGGCAGAAGAAGAAGTGAAAACAAACATCAGCTCCATTAGGGATGAAGAAACAAATGGGAGGTGAGGAATTGGAGACTGGGGCTCATTCAAGATGTTTTGCAATGAAGGGAGAAGAAAATGGAGTGAGTCAAGGGACAGTTTTTAAAAGGTGGAGATTCTTGCAAAGATTGTTTGCTGATACAAGTGATTTAATAGGAAGGAAGGCACGATGGCTCAGGAAAGGGAGAGTAGAGACGTTTGCAGTGAAATCCTTGAAAATGTGAGAGGAGAGTACACAATGAGAGGCTCAGGCTCTGATCTAACAGCATTGTGCCAGAAGCCCCCTCAGAACTATTGCCAGGTCTGACTTTCAAAAAATGTAAAGCCTTACTAATACTCACATGCCCTCTTCCCTTCTGTAAGGCAAAGTTCCTGACCTTCCCCTACTGCACTAGGTAAAGACAACTATTGACAGAAAAGAAAATCTCCTCACATAAGACCACATTGATGAAAGCTTTCCAGAAATAGATGTGAGCAATGTCATGGGTCAGTTGGATAATTTATTTTTATTTTTATTTTTTTATGAGATGGAGTCTCACTCTTGCTGCCTAGGCTGGAGTGCAGTGGCGTGATCTCGGCTCACTGCATCCTCCGCCTCCCAGGTTCAAGCAATTCTCTGCCTCAGCCTCCTGAGTAGCTGGGATTACAGGCACCTGCCACCATGCCTGGCTAATTTTTGTACTTTTAGTAAAGAGAGGGTTTCACCATGTTGGCCAGGCTGGTCTCGAACTCCTGACCTCAGGTGATCCACATGCCTTGGCCTTCCAAAGTGCTGGGAATACAGGCGTGAGCCGCCGTGCCTGGCCAGTTGGAGTTGTTTTAATCAGCAAAAGGCTTTAGTAGTTTTATTTTCCTTCTAAACATTTGTTGAGCCCCTACCGTATCCCCAGCGTCTTGCTAAGGGCTTTCACATGCCTGATGTAGTTTAATCATGTAACAACTACAGGTTGGTGCTATTGTTCTGTTCACAGCTGCAGAAACTGAAGCTCAGAGTGGGAAAGGGACTTGCCCAAGGTTACACTGAGGCCACTAGAGCAGAGCCAGCAGGAATCAACCACAGACTCCTTCTATGACAACCTAATGTTGGAGCAACTTGGAGATTTCCCTTTTATATTCATTTTCTATTGCTTCTGTAACAAATTACCACCGATTTAGTGGTTTCACATAACACACATTTATTACCTGACAGTTCTGTAGTTCAGAAGTCTGGTACAAGTCTTCAGTGTGGCTAAAATGAAGGCATCTGCAAGGCTGCATTTCTTGCTGGAGCAAGGAAATCCGTTCTCTTGCTCCTTCAGATTGTTGACAGTATTTGGTTCCTTGTGGTTGTAGGACTGCAGTCCCTCTTTTCTTGCTGGCTGTCAGTGGAGGGCCATTCCTGGTGTCTAGAAATTGGCTATATTCCTCTGTTCATGGCCTCTTTCCTCCATCTTCAAGACCAGACATGATGGGTTGAAATAAGTCTCTCACTTTGAACCTCTCCTGCCCTTCCTTTCACCATATCTCTCAGAATTTCCTACTTTCCTCTTCCACTTGTAAAGGCTTGTGTGATTAAATTGGATCCACCTAGATAATCCAGGACTATTTCCGTATCTTAAGGTGTTAGCCTTAATCCCATCTGCAAACTTCATTTCACGCCATGCAACATCAGCCTGTTCACAGGTTTGGGGTATTAGGCTGTGGATATCTTTGAGAGGCCATCATTCTGTTGTATCATACACCTTTCATTTATGTGTATATTGATAAAGTCGTGGAATATTGATCTGTTTGAAATTATGCTTTTTCACGAAGGATGAAGTATAAAATAATTTTGTCATATGTGATCACTGATCGGGAGTTGGGGATTAGGAATGGCTGGAATATTCCCAAATGATTATGGTGTAATTCTAAGCTAGATTTGGAGAAGAGCCAGATAATTTTTCTTTTTCTCTGGAAGAGTAAGAAGGAAGCATTTTTGAGGATGGAAAACCATTTACCACATAAGCAATGGTAAGCAGAAACTGCTGAATCATCACTTGGTGAACGCCCTCCCCCCACCCAACCCCAAACACACACCCAAGTTACATGTCATCTTCTGGGAAAACTTCCCGGACCTCTCTAGATGGATTTAAGAGCTGTTCCCATAGTGCTTTGTTCATAGGTGCTACGACAGTACAGACACCCTATGGCTCTAACAACTTATGCCTATAACTGATTCCTCCATTGAACAGTTGTGTACATCTCTGTGTTCTTGAATCCCAGTGAGTGTCTGGTGCAGGCTTGTCAGTGTCAGGACAAAGCTCCATGAAAGGATGGGTGAAAGCTGGAGCTCTATCATGTCTATCTATTCCTCAGAAGGGAGACCAGGATAAGGAGAACCAGCTACTGGTAACCGGTTGAGTGGATGCTTGGGTTATAAAGAGATATGGAGAAGGAGGCATCTAATTCTCACTATTACTGAGCTGGGCCAAGGCCAGGTTCATTTACTCAGTAAGAACATGCTGCCCGCTTACTAGGTACCAGACCCTGAGGTAGACAACAGTGATATACATGTGAATAAACCCAATCCCTGAACAATAGATATTGGGGACTGCCAGAGGTGGGAGCAAGGGAGAGGGAAAGAGTTAGAAAACTACCTGTTGGAATTATGCTCACTGCTTGGGTGACAGGATCAATTATGCCCCAAATCTCAGCATCATGCAATACACTAATGTAGCAAACCTGCACACGTGCCCCCTGAATCTAAGTTATAAAAGTTGAAAAAAAAACAAAACCCAGTGCTTGCCCTGATGTGTCTCAATCCAGGAAACACTGAATAAAGACTTCCAGTCAATTGCTTCTTCTTTGTTGTCTTAACTTTTTATTAAATAAAACATATATACAGAAAATTATACACATTCTTCATGGAGCTTGATGAATTTTCACAAATCAAACAAGCCATATAAGCAACAACTAGATCAGGAAACAGAACACTACCAGCACAGTAGTGTATTTATTTTTCCAATTCCCATTGTCATTCTTTTTGTGCTGCTTGGAAGTCCTGGACTTCAGTGTGACAGATGGATCCAGAACCCACCCTGTAAGTAAACAGATGAGGTGTTGTGTGCCCTTCCTGCTTGGGAAACTATCTTAGTGTCATCTTCAGACACTGATATTTAGCAGTAGGTTCTGATGGGAGAAGAATGTCCAGTTTTGCTTACTCAGGAGTCATGACTATCCCAAAACATGGCAGAGAATAAATGAACAAATACTAACGTCAAATATTTATGTGTGAAAATGCATTGTGGAATATAAGCATTAGGTGTGGTCCTTTAAGAATAATCTACTTATAAGAACAGAGTATGTGAAAGATAACAAATATTATGGAACACCTTGTAGAAGATACTGATGAAAGACATAAACCAGTGTCTTGGGGGAATCTTGGGGGTTCCACTGAGGTGCTTCTGAGGGGGTGTGTGTAGTGGTTAAGGCAGTTGCAGTGAGGGCAGGATTCTGGCCTCCCAGATATAAGCAGAGTGGCTCTCCTTTGATCTGTTCAGTATACTGGGATTCCAAGTGAAATATTACTTGGAAAACATGGCATGTTGGTGGGTCAATTTCTAACAGCATTGGTGTAGGCTGGAGGTTTTCTGGGTACTCAGAGGAGGGAGAGCTTGTGGTGCATTGGGCAAGGCCAAGCAGAAGGTAAGTACATTTGGGAAGGAGAGCAGAGGTGAGGTGCATCCTAAAAGAAGTCTATGGAGAGGGACTTTGTGAGATCTTTGAAGGCCACTCACTCTATGCAGACTTCATGCCTTTCAAAGTCCATCGGGCCAGACAGGGAACATTTATAAGAGAGATGTGGAGGTGAGGGCTGCAGCAGCTAAGTGTGCTCATCCTGTTTACTAAGGGAGCTGTCACTTAGCATCACTGATTGTGATTCTATGCGAATTTTGGCTCAGTGGGGCTAGATCTTCAGGTTTTCCATGAGATGCTGAAAATCCAGATTATTGTGGGCAAATATCCTGATTTTTAAAACATCAGTTTATTTTGTTAAGAACACAATGCTCAGGACAAGCAGAACCTTGTGTCAGAATGAATAGGTCCAGGAAGGCACTTTGGGGCTCTGGAGAAGTTCCAGAAAGGCACTTTCGGGCTCTGGAGAAACACTTAGCCACCCACACTTCTGATCAGAGGACAGGCTGCACCCGGGGCTTGGTGAGCGTTTCCCCTGAAGCTCTGAAATGTAGACACATTCTGATTGGAGCAGGATTAGCATGATTAACCATGGAAAAACATGCAGTAACTGCCTTTCTTAACAAACAATCTGAATCTGAAACCAAGGAAAAAACAACCCCCCTTCCCTTTCCTGAGTCTTACGTTCTTGTATTTGTCACTACAGCTAAGGGTAAGTGGCATTTTCCTCTGTGACCGGGGGTTTGGTTCTTTGCCGCAGCTCCCCATATTGACAGAACTTCCCAAGGTATTGTTTTTTGTTTTTGTTTTTTCCATGAATATTGACCACCTCTGGCAATTTACAGAAGTGTTACTGAGAATTTCTGATCACCCACATACCACTGCACCTGTCTGGCCAAGAAATGAGCACATCGTCAGAAGGTCTGCAGTTGAAAAGTCTAGATACTCCTTTTGAAAAGTGAGAAGTGGTCACCTCTGCTCCTCCTCGTACAATCCAAATGAAATTCAAACAGCTACCGCATTTGTGTTGCAGATCAAAGTGCTAATTACTTGTTTCTGGAATCCACTTTTCTGACGATGGCTCTTTTAAAACTTGTAATCACATAGACACCACTGTGGAATGATATCATTTGCTTTTTCATAGGAAGCTGACTAGGTTTCATGTAAAACAATTCTGCCCATCTTACCCGTGAGAGCACTCCAAGATGGCCCCATGTTAAAAACAAAGGAACAACCTCCAACCACTCTCTCCCAACGCACTACACAAAACACCATCACCATCAAGAAACAGCCCCCTTCCCCACCAGATGCAAGAAACTTTTAAAACTTAAGTGTATCATTTGAAGTTGAGATAGTCTTCAGACCTGCAATGCATAATTTATTTATGGTCCCTTCCTTTGATTCTCTCTGGTCAGGATACCTCTGATTGGAAAGTAGCTCTCTATCAGAGGCGTGGTTTTCATTTGTGCCCAGCCTATCTGCCTCCCCACCTCTTCCTGGCCATTGCAGTGCCGAGATCCTCACTAAGGGCTGCAGGGCTTGGTGTGCCTCAGCTCTGACTCAACTCAGGCAGTGGTTGTACACAACTGCACTGCCAGCAGACAATCACCATTGATGATGGCTGTCCCATTTCTCTTGACACCCATCTGTGTTGGCCACTTCATTTCCTCACCTGAGAAACCCCAGAGTGGTGGGACATATCATTAGGCGATAGCTCTTGATAAGCAGGAACACATGAAGCCTGGGAATGTCAAATATGTGAATTCATATTCAGTTTTAACAAACTGAGGTAATTAGTTGAAACGCAATAGAAATTGACAGTCTCTGACATATAAAAAATGACCAGCTGACAGAGACGGAGCTGTTCTTCATTGCACTAATATCCGTTTCTTCATCAACCTGGAATTCCTCAATTTTTTGGCATTTCAATTACATTGTAAAATGAATTTGTAAAATTTGCACATTTATGCCTTTTTCTCTCTTGTTCTTCTGAAAACTTGAAAAGAACTTTTCAGGCATATTCCTTATTTCCCCACTCTGCACACAAGATATGAGTGAACAATTTTTGTAAGAGTTATGTGTGTTTTGAATATCAATGGTATATCACAGATTCTAAGGAAATGCGTATAACTGAAATGGATGGACAAAATAAATAGGGGTGTGTGTGTGTGAATGATACATTCTATAAAGGTGGGAACTTTGTCTTATGAATTCAAATCCACCTAAAATAATGCCTGAAATATTCTAGGGCTCAATAACATGTGTTGAATAAATAAATTAGTAGATGAGAGAACATTTACAGGACTACACTGGATTTAATGGCGGCACTGTAATAAATAGGCCCACCTCTGAATCCCCAGAACCTGTAAATGTGATCATATTTGGAAAAGCATCTTTGCAGATGTAATTAAGGATCTCCAGATAACCCTGGATTGTCTGGGTGGACCCTAAATCTAATGGCAAGTGTCTTAAGAGACACACAGGGGAGATTTGACAGACAGGAGAGAGGTAATGTGACCATGGAAGCAGAGATTGGAGTGATGTGACGACAAGCCAAGGAACACTTGGAGCCACTCAAAGCTGGGAGTGGAAAGGACTGGAATCTGTCTGATAGCCAATGGAGGGAATGCAGCCTGGCCAACACCTCAATTTAATACTTCCGGCTTCCAGAACTGCAAGAAGATAAATTTTTGTTGTTTTAAGTTAGCATGCTTGTGGAAATTTGTTATGGCAGGCCCAGGAAACTAACAGAGGGACTAAAATGAGAGACATGGACTGCAGTAGAGCATAGTCCTGGGCAGAAATGAATACTACGGTAAATTTTAGGTGAGATTGTGCTATCAGGCATTGCTTCTCGGTGTCAGCATGGGGCAATATGAGCATGACTGTCGTGTCTTGAAGGAGAAGCTATTAGCCCTTGTGAGATACACAGTGACCTGTTTATGGCTGTGAGAAAGGACATTCTACAGGTAGAAGACCTATGAAATGTGGAACAATCTTGGATCTTTAGTGAATATTACAGAGCTTTAGTTCCTGAAAGTTTGAAAAGCGGAGGATCAGGGGGATGACACCCTTTCCCAGCTGGAGGGGATCTTAAAGATCATTTTCATAGCTTGATAAGGAGAATGGAAAGCAGTGAAATAATCACATGCTCATTGCAAATTCCAGGGAGGGAAGTGTCAGGAGGTGAGTAGACAGTGCTCCAGCCCCATCAGACAAAGAGGGTTGCTGAAGCCCATGGAAGTGAGACGGATGCATTTCTGATGACGGCCTCTTCATCATAGTTTGACTGTAACCCCAGATACCTTAAAGCTGCCATTCAAGCCAGTCCTCACTCCTTGATAATGACAGTGTTTGGGGGAAAAAGAGAAAGGAGAACACATATTTACTTTTTCACCTTAAGCAGCCACGTGGTGAAGACATTGGCTTGTGATGGGTTTGGCCATAACCACAGTGTGTGGCAAGGTCCGGTGGGATTCAGCTTTGATCTTGAGAGAGGCTGTGAGGGGTTTGTTTTTCACAGGGGGTTTAGCCTACAGTTAAGTGCAAACACCTGCTGAAGTACTGGTAATTAGTAGGTAATTAGTAGTTAATGTTCTTAGAATTTAAAAAGAAAGCTTACATAAGTAATTACTTACTATTCCTTATAATGTGCTGCTTTTCTTGAGATTTCATATCCCCAGAACATTTGCCAAGTTCCTAGGTTCCTCAACATACTAAATTGTTTATTAATTACACACGTATATTGCTTTCAGGAAAAAAAAAAGAAAATACATTAAATGCTGGAAATAGGAGTGAGTTATCTTTTAAATTACAGTAGAGAACTCATTAAAATTATAAAATCTGTGACTGGGAGCAGCTCTGGAAGGCGGCCTTGACTTAAAAAAAAAATGGATGTGACTAGGAAAGAAGAGATGGACAGAGAAAGAATGTTCAGGACAATTTAATAAAACACTAAGCTTCAACACATTTCACAGAAAGGTCCTTTTCATGTCAGCAGACACACGTCTATGGCTTGGCTTGTCAGAAAGACCACCAGGGTCCCCATTCGTAGGGGTGAGTATTGCCAAGCAAAGCTAAGTGGCACTAACAATCTCAGGCTCTCGGGGCGGCTGAAATGGAGGGACATTGGAAGACATTAATTAGTGTGCTGAAACTATATTTTCAAAGGATTTTTGCTTTCAATTTTTTAAAGCAGATTTCTAACCCTGGAGACTCTCCATGCCAACTGGAAATGGGTATTTGTTCACCGACTTTGTTTAGAGGCTGGAGCTCTGAGAATTACATCTGAAATCTGTTCCTCCCTTTGGACAGCCTCAGAATATTCAGCTGAGCCATCTTATAACTTCAGTGTTCTCATCTTTAAAGTGGGACTAGCAAGTGTGGCCCTTTTCTCCTTCCATGTCTCTGCCACTGCACACAAATGTACTTCCTGGGGATGTCTCCATGTGTTATCTTTGAATACCGTGGTGAGGTGTGGAAGTCCCCAAATTCTATATCGACACAGCCAGATCTAATAATATACATACGTAAGATAAGCATTAGGTGATAAATATATATGCTTCAGCTATTATTTATTCCACAGTGTGGTTTTATTATTTTTCGGTTAATATTGGTTGTCTTTTTAGAATTCCAAGTTACAAGAATTTTTGAGAAATTAGTAAAGCAAGATATTTGATTAGGATACAAGCAGGGAACATTGGAATCAATATTCTGAGGCTGGGAGAGGTCAGAATAAAAGCCCCCTCACCACATGATGCTGGAACAAGTTTATTCCTGTTAAGGGAAAAAGGAGCTCCTCAAAGGAACAAAGGAAAAGAAGGAAAAGCTGGGAGGAACTCACGGAAAGCCGACCCTGGGCTGGCAGACATTTAAAAATCGTCCTTCTCTTAACATTTGGGGAAGTAATCCCACATAAAAAAGAATCTCCCCTCTAAAATACTATCAGAGGAGAGATAGTTTAACCTTCCTCGTTTTCGAAGGTACTGTTGTTTTTACAAAATACATAACTGATATATTTCTGAATCTACTGTTTTTCTCTCATTTTATCTTTGATGTCTTCAATGGAAAAATATAACTCTCTGAATTCTGCAGGAGAAGTTTTAGTTCTTTTCTCACCTACTTCTCCTCTAGGTAAAAAAATATTCCTTCCTTAGCCATTCTACACTTATTTTTCAAATCTTTTGCTGTTACATGTACACGTGAGTGTGTGTATGCGTGTGGTTGTGTTATTTTTATCACTACTCTGCTATCACTTATCACCATTTGTATTATGCATTGATTATTGTTTATTACAGGTCTCACTGGCACTAGATGGTAAGCTCCACCAGGACAGAGACTTTGCCTATCTTTTGAATCAATATATATCCAGCACCTAGCCCAGAGTGTGAACCACAGCAGGGTAAAATAAATAACAGAATGAATGAAATAGGATTTAATAATGTGACTCAGCACTGCCTATGATAAGGATATTGAAGGGCTCCTGTCTTCAATGTTTACTTTTATACTAAATGAAAATCCAGGATGAAGTTGTCAGTCACTGTGGTTCTCAGACTCTTTTGCTATGTTTGAACATTGAGAATCACTCTCATGTCCAAGTTGTTGGTGGCTTTTATCGATACTGCACTTGCTCTAACTAACTGTATTTTGTTGTCCCACAATTTTTCAGTGTACTGAGGATATTTATTAATCCCCACATGCTGACTTCTGCTCCAACTTGCTGCCAGGTACACATTTTCTATGTATTTCTACAACCTTATGTGGTTGACCTCTGAAATCCTAGCTTCCAGAACATTTATTCTTAATTTATGATGAGTATGCAAAATAGATCAGAACCAAGTTACCACATATACATTTATAAATAAATAACATAATTTGCATATATAATTATATATGTATTTGGCTTATAACTGTGCCATTAGTGGAAATTTCCCAGGTACAGTACATATAACAATCTTTACTGTATACAGAGCTCAGAGAAATTGATAAGAAATAGATAGGTGAGCGTTAATCATTAATAATTTACAATTAACAGTTAATAATTAACAATTTGCAATAGACAAAATAGATGGGTTAGAAAATATATGGGAAAATGTTTGATTTCACTGGTAAATAAATACAAGTTAAAATAATGCAAGACATTTTTGCTTATCAAATTTGCAAAGATGTAAAGATTTTCTGAATTTTTATCCTTGGTAGATTTCCTGGTTTATCTGTTCCCTTCCTTCATTTTCGTTTTGTTTTTCAGTTTCCTTTTTTTTTCTTTTTAGTGATAAAATTCCCCCCTTTTCTTCTTATTTCCTTTGGAATGAATTTTTAGGAGGCTTACAAATCTTGTTTTTGGAATTTATCTTTTTAAAATGTATCTGTTCTTAAAATATTGCTTCCTTTAGAACATTTTGTTGTTGCTGCTGCTGCTGCTGCTGCTTCTTTGAAACTGTCTACATTTGATTTTCTAAGTGATAACTTTTTAGTTATTTTGGAATCTGGAGTGATATTCCTTGACCAGGACATTTTCTCCAGGAGAAGGGCAAGTGGCTTGATATCATAGGGTGAGCTTGAGGTTCTAATGTATCATACATTCTATTTTTAAGGGTAAGGCGTGCATTTTTCCCTAGCCTATGGTCAGTTTTTAGAATGGACTACTCAAGAACTGTGTATTAGACACATACATGTTCTAGAAAGAGAGGCAGCTGAATTTCAATTTTTAATGTGTCATATGAGGAGGGATTTTGCACATTCTGTGGAGCTGGAAGATTCAGTGTCGCACAAATGGCAAATGCCTAATGCTCGATCCCTCCGTGGGTAGAACATAGCCATGAACAAATGCACTGAGGAGCAGTATTTCACCGACAGGAGAGGGACAAATGTGCTCTCTTGGTCTCCAACTCTTGCTAAACTGTAGTGGCACAAATCCAAGAATCAAAGAAGTATCCTAAGCCTGTGGTTCTTTGGGATTGTAGCTGTCTGTGGTTTTTACAGTATCGAGACTGCCTGAGCTTATGGCACTCGGGAGTGTAACAAGGACCCGAGGAGTTTCACGCTGTGGCTAGCGCTGTTTACTCAAAGCCATCTTGGAAGGTCACTGAAGCAGGGGCCAGATCTTTTCTATACTGGGTGCCTTGGGGGGTGATCACAAACGCTGATTGGGATCAGAACTGCACTAAAGTGGACAATATAGATACAATCGTGTCCAGATTTACAGCAAAATGCTGCATCATGTTCAGGATCAAATTAATACACTAAGCTTCGTTTATTTCTTTTAGTGGAGAACAATAGTCGCTCTTTTTGCTGTCTTGTTCCCAGTGAAATAGTCCATGTATAGAGTTTCCCTTTTCAGCAGCAGTTGTGTCTACAAATGCTATTCTCAAAACGACAGCTATTCTCAAAGCCACCAGGCGTGCTATTGCCCGAACAAAGAGGTGCATTAAAAGAGTCTTGACAATTTCAGCTCCTAGAAACACAGGGGTCACAAATCTGCCAAGTTGAAAGAAAACAAATCACTAGGGCAAGACATTTTATTTAGTTCTAAATAGCACCTAGCACATGGATAGCATTCAAAAGCATTAATACAGCCATAATGCAAATCAACATGGGTCTGCAGACCAGGAGCTGAAAGAAATTAGGCTAAACCCTAAAGAAATCAGACCATGGGTAAAAGGCATTTCAATAAAATTATCAAACATTATTCATTAATATGTCAGTCAGTCAGTCATGTATATCTTGTGTACTGGGGTGAGTTACAAAAGAAGTCAATGCTTATAGGTAGAGGCTTAAAGTGTAATGAAGGAGACAGGACAAACACAAATAAATATAAACAAAAGAGGCAGAAACCATTACACCACAGGCAAAAACAATGTTAGCTCGACAAAGCCAGAAAGGAGAATCCTGTCTATTTACAGGGGTAGAAAGGTTGCTAGAGGGTTGGAGGAAAGATCCCAGCATTGAAGGAAGTGTGCTTTTTTCATTAAAGTACCTAAAACTTTATGTGGCATGCCAGACACAGCTTAGATTGGAGTAAACTGAAAAGAACCTATAGCTTCTGAAACTGATTCAAGGATTCACCAAGGCTAGTAGTGTCCTGGGTCTAAGAGAAATCAAATAACTGAAAGATAACTCAGTGGACTACATATGGGTGGCTGACAGCAGTATTGGTGGATAATGTTTAATAATTTTATTGAAATTCTTTTTTATCTACGGTCTGATTTCTTTAAAGTTCAGTCTAATTTCTTTCAGCTGCTGGTCCTAGGGTCAATCTTGATTGTCATCATGGTTGTATTTAAAGCTTTTGGGTGCCATTCATGTGCTGGGTGTGGTTCGGAACTAAATCTGATGTCTTTCCTTTGTGATTTGTTTTTGCTGATATGTATTTCTGGAAGGTGCTTCTCTGAAATGTCACTTGCAACTGGAAGCCATGATAAGAAAAGGGTCAGGAACTCTCCCTTCCCTCTCTTTGTACATTCTAGGAGCCAAGGCTGCTCTGAGAGTCTCCTGTGTTGGGTCCCCTTCAATCTTCCTTGTTCATGGCCTCAGTGGGGAGAAGGAGATACTGTATTTGTAAAAAGCAAACAAACAAAAAAACCAAAAACAAACTGCATGCTGTTGTTCTGTGTTTTGTAGAAAAATATAGGAGCTTTGATGCCTATAAAGGACATGTAATAGTTATTCCTATAGTCCCCAAATGATAAAAATTGTAAAATACTAAAAACAAACACTCATGTAATGCTTATACATGTCAACTTCTTTCTAAGTCCTTTACATGTATTTGTTCATTTAATCCCTCACTGTAACACTATGAGGTTGGTATTAGGTTGGTGTAAAAGTAGTTGCAGTTTTTGCCATTTACTTTCAATGGCAAATATATTTGTATTTGGTAGAGTAGAATTTAAGCCCAGACAATTTAAGATCAAAAGACTGTGCTCTTAACTACTTTAAAAATATTTTTTATTTTTATTTTTTGAGACAGGGTCTCACTCTGTCACCCAGCCTGGAGTGCAGTGGCATGATCGCAGCTCACTGCACCCTCGACCTTCTGGGTTCAGGTGACCCTTCCACCTCAGCCTCCTGAGTAGCTAGTACTACAGGTGCCTACCATCATGCCCAGCTAATTTTTGTATTTTTTTTTTTGTAGAGACAGGGTTTCATCATGTTGCCCAGCTGGTCTCGAACCCCTGAGCTCAAGTGATCCGCCCGCCTCAACCTCCCAAAGTGGTGGGATTACGGGCGTGAGCCACTGTGCCTGGCTGCTCTTAACTACTTAGTTATATTTTATAGTCACCTAATTCTACTGTGTGTTGGAAATAGGTATTGCCACTACAATATCCTTTGCAAACTTAATTACACCTATATCACAAACTTCCCAAAACAGTATATGCCATTTTTAGACAGGTTAAGTAGTAGTGAAGTTTTCCTCTTGAATGGAGCAGTAATTTGTTTCCCGAAATATCAGTGCATTGTGTTGATATTAGGTCAACTGGAGTCATTCAAATATCTGAAAGATGCTATCATGTTGCAAGTTCACAGAACTATTTATCCCCTCACCAAACTGGAGCCTCTTTTCTGAATGGCCACCTGTTTTCCAAACCCCTCTTAGAATGTCCTTCCTGGAATGGGACATAATTTCCCAAGCGTGGTCGGACCAGAAGAGAGTATGGTTAAGGCCATTATCCCTCTTGTTCAGGGCATTTTTCTTCTTTTAATGGACTTTGAGATTCCGCAGGAATGCCTGGGATTTGTTCAGCTGGGCCGTGGTAGGTTTTCTGGGCAGGGGGGTGAATACCACAAGACAAGGTAGAAATGAATGAAGTGAGAGATGAGGGCAATTAGATACAAGAGATGGGTGGAATTTAAAGCTCACAATGAGAAATTTAAATCTGATTGGAAAGCAACTGGGGCCCACCGAAGTATTCTGAGAAAGGGAGGGACACAATCAAAGTAAGCCTGGGGTTCCCAGGTAGGTGGTGCTCCCTTCCTTCACCTCTGCAGCATTTTGACACTGGTTAAGGTGGGGAAGGCTTGTGAGCATTTGTGGGACTGTAAAAGGTTTTTGGCTGATAGATTTGTTGGATCCCATCTGCAAGAGGATGTTAAATAAATGATAATGAGACTGGTCCGGAAAGGTGTGTTGGTATTTGAGTTCAGGTATTGGGTTGGGAGTCAGGCATTGCATAATCTGTTCCTGGATTTGCTGTGTGGTTTGGGGTAGGTCAATTTACCCTCTCCATCTCCCCCATCCACTCAGTTGTTTGTACAGTACTTTGTACTTCTTAAATAAAAGATGCTATAAATCATTTAAAGATTTATTTGCTGAATATTTTTAAACTAAAAGGAGGAGAAGGTAGAACTCAGAATTCATGAACTGAAGGTAAACTAAGCCACCATTTTCAAACATAATTACACCAAAAACGTTTTAAGCAGGTGATCATATGAGTGATAATATTAAGTGGTGAAGAAGAGAAGAAAATAATAATGGTGATGTGGATGATAAAACCCTATCCTGATACCAGGTACCACACTTTTGATGAAGCTTTTCTCATTTAATCCTCACAACAGCTCTATGAAGAAGATATATTTGTTTTCCTATTTTATAATAAGAAAATGGAAGCTCACAGAGGTTAAGTACCTTGCCCAAGGTAACGTAATTAGAAATGGTGGAGCCAAGATATAAATCCAAAGCTGTAAGATTCTAAGGATTAAGCATTTAAAAACTCTGTTACGGTTTCCCAGACTTGATCCTAAGGATCACCTGTAGCACCTTCAAATTCTTAGATCTGAGCTGGGGGTTAGAAATGCATTCTCTTAATGAACACTCCAGGTGATATTGAAGATAAGGCAAGTTGGGGTTGCCATACAGTACAGCAGGGGCTGGCAAAGATTTTCTTAAAGGGCCAGAGAGTAAATATTTGACAGTTTGTGAGCCATGTGGCATCAGTCATAACTGCTTTGCTCCTATAGTCCAAAAGCAGCCATAGGCAAGATGTAAATGGATGAATGTGGCTATGTTCCAATAAGATTTATTTACAAAAACATTCAGCAGGTCGGGCTTGGCCTATGGGCTGTAGTATAGTTTGCTACCCCCTGCTGTATATCTCAGTTTTCTTTTGATGAAGCATTTGGTATGTGCCTTCAGGCCATCTGAGTACCTTCCAGGGTTGTATCCAGAACTAATTTAGAGCTAATCCAAATTTAGGGGCACAATTTTCTCCAATTTTCTTTTATTCATACTTTAGAACTTGCCCTTTCAAGGCTCTAACAATGAACTCTGGTCTATGGGACTTCACTCTCTGGTTAACCATCATCCCTCTCACACAATCATTCCCTCTGCAGCTCACAAAGATTTATCTTTTCAAATTTGTATCTGCCATGGGGCCTTTTGCATAATTAATGCTTAGTAAGTATAAGCACTAATTATGTATAAGGCACCATGGCTTTTCAGGTGGAGGTTCACCAACAAAGAGTTGAAAATGCATATTTGGTATTAAGAAAGGAGTTGAGAAATGCAGATTTGAGATCACCATAGGATAGCACAGGAGTTCGAAGAGAAGAGGGCAGTGGAGAGAACTTAGTGGGGAAGCAGGCCAAGAGCAAACAGGGCAAAGGTCTGAGCTGGAGAAGCTGGAGAAGCTGGAGAAGCCAGGACGGAAACGGACTCACTGGATGGTGGAAACTAAGTGAGGAGAGAGTTTTAAGAACAGGTTGTTCCACAATGTCAGCTATAAAGAAATCTTGGAGGATGAGCACTGGCCATTAGGAAGAAGGACCTTCATTCATCTGTGAGAGGTTACTCTAGAAAAATATGAGCATAAGCCAGGTTGCTATGAAGAGAGTCACTAAAGAGAGGAAAGAAGTGAAAGAATTGAAAGCAAGTTAGAGTTGCAGATCTTGAAGGTGATAGAATTCTTGGTCATGATGAAGTTCAGGGTACGGCAATATGTATGGTGACTGAAGTAGAGAGGAGATATGCTTGGCTGGAATTAAGGAGGGATGGACAAAGGAAGTGATAAGGAGAAAAATTGTGATCTAATGGCCACGGCACTTTTAGAAAATAAAAAAGTATCCTGGTGACTGAAAGGAGAGAATGGGAAAAATATAATACCAGAAGACATTTTAGACTTTGGAAGAGAAGGTTCTGTTAAATATTATGTCAGACAAGGGCCAAAAATGATAGGCTCATATAGAATTTTATTACTTGGACCCGGGCTCCCACTAAAAGTTTCTGTATTTGGAAAGCTCATGGTCCATTTTTTTATTTGCCTTATTTTTTACTATCTGAGTATCTAACTAGATCACCTCTCCCCCTCCAATGCCTTTTTTTTTGAAAGCTAAAACCAAACAAAAGAAGTTACTTCATCAGGAAGTTGTTTTCTCCAAAGACCTTTTTTTCTGGGGATATATTATCTATTATTTTAATAAATATCTTACTGCTGGAAAGCTAACTCAAGAAACTGGGAAGATGCTGACATGAGCAGCCTTGTATAGCTGAATGTTGGTTCAAGTGCCTTGCTCAGGAAGGTCAAGGGTGGGAGTCATCTGTAGATGAACAAAAATACCTTGAAAGAACCCAGGGGAGCTAATGGAATGTCAAATTGTAACAGCTGCTAGGGACACAGGTCTTCAGAGAAACTTTATACTGATGAGGAACTCAACTGTGTGTGTTCTATTTATTCGTCTGTCTGTCTACCTACCTACCTACCTACCTACCTACCTACCTACCTATGTATCTATTATCTACCTATGTGATCTATGTATGTATGTATGTATCTACCTACCTACCTGTCTACCTATCTATGTACCTATGATCAACCTATCTATGTGTATCTATCTATCCTATCTGACCTACCTATGTATGTATCTATCTACCTATGTATGTATGTATCTCTCTACGTATGTATGTATGTATGTATCTATTTGTCTGCCTGCCTACATATGTATGTATCTCTCTGTCTACCTGCCCATCCATCCGTCTATCCATCCATCCATCCATCCGTCTGTCCTTCCATCTGTCATTCTATCTACTGCTTCTGTGTGTGGAGGGGACTGTATCCAACAATCGGCCTGAGAAGGCATCCAGAGTGGTAGGTGAAAAAGGATGATCAACCAGGAACAGGCGATCAGATAGAGAGAATGAGATTCAAAGAGGAAGACTCAGGCATGACAGTGGCTTCCATACCAGCTTGCAGGTGCACATATCCGTGCTACATGTATTCATTTCTGGCTGGAGGTCTGGATATACTGCTTCCATTTTAAGCAGTCATCATGGTGGAGGCTGAAATGGACTGGCATGTATAAGCATCTTGCCAGAGGTTGTTAAGTTTCTTTAGGGCCTGGATACCAGCAACCACAGCCTAGCAAAGGATACCTTTACAACTCTAACACTTAGTTTTTGGGGATTACTATTTAAAATTTTAGCTCTCTGAGCAATAATTTTTGTTGAAATCAGAGTAGTAGAGGCTTAATTCTAAGGGTGCTGTTTTTTTTTTGTTGTTGTTTGTTTTCAGCCTGGGATCCTCATCTCCTTTCCTTCACTCCCAGTGTAGGTTAATAAAAAATATGTTGTTTCCATTTATTTGCACATAATCAGGTTTCACATGCTGAAGTGCAGTTACTCGTCCCCACCTCTATAATTAATTCTCTTAGTAGGCTTATTTTCTAGCCTTAAATTAATCTCTCCTTTAGCCAACTAATAATATTTAGTGCTGTGGGAGAGATGTAAAAAAAAGGGGGGGAACATGTTTCTACTCTTGAAGATCTAACAACCCAGTGCTTGATGTACAGGTACTTGATATACATAAAAAAGACATAAGCATACAAAAAGAAAATCAAACAAGTGAAAAATCAATGCAGCTGCATAAAAGTAACTAACTCAATCAATACATGTTTGTTTGTTTGTTTTCAGAGGGAATGAAGGAATGCAAGACATTGGGCCTGCATGAGCCTATGGGTGGGAGTGCCTGTAAACAGAGGAGTCCTATAGAGGATTGTGGGTCAGGCAGAGACAAGAGCTCTGAGGCCAGGTGACTGGGCTGGCAGAGTCAGGGGTGGCTGACCAGGGTAGGTTTAAAGATACATATCAGAGATATTAGGTGCAATAGCTCTTACAGTTTTTCTAACAAAGGGTTGTAATTTATTTGAGTACACCACAATCAAATAAATATGTGCAGGTAACTCTTGATTAAACAACCTAATTTGCTCTCATGAGCTTTAAAACTCTGTCATTTTATTCCTTATGAATTGCAGTCGTTTTTTCCATCCCCTTTGTATGCTTGCCTTGTACTTTTAGGTGGACATTCCATGTTTCTCCTTCCTACACAGTTGAGAAGAGTTTTTTTGAGAAAGTTATTATGTAGTGCCCATGTTGCAGCTCTGGATTTTCTGCCCTGGTGAACTGGACCCATTATCTTCTCTCCTGAGCTCTCACAGGGTGAATGAAATGAGTGCCTTTTCTCTAGGGGGTGACTTGAGGGTAAGAGTCTTGCCTTATCAGCTCTATGTCCAGCATAACGCCTTATACATAGCAGGCACTCCCAGCGCACAGATGGCCAATTCTACTTGCCTTTTCTGATGTTACAGGGAAGGAAAAATGAGGACTGTGTGCTTTCCTCTTGCACAGATCTTAGGTTCATTGTATTTATGGAAACAGAAGGGGATGGGTCTTCACTGAGAGTTTGAAGATGAATACGTACAGTGTACATGGAAGTCCAAAGTCTGACCGACTCTATCTCAACACTGGCAGCCTCATAAGTTGTTATTATCAGTCCTGCAATTTTTAAAGCACTGCATAAAGCTTTAGCTGTTTGATTCCCATTGACTTCCAGCTATTGTACATTCACATAATGGAAGCAGTTTGTCCACATGAATAAAACATCAATAAGGTGTATGTATAAGTGCCATTTAAGAAAAAAATAGAGGAAGTAAAGCATACTTATATATAAAAAAAACAGGGAGGCAAAGGGACCAATTTTCTGGTTAACAAAAGGTTCTCACCTAAGTGAAATGTCTCAAATCATTCCCCTGTATCAGATTCAGGTGGGGGCATTGTCTCCCACATGCCCAGCGAAAAGCAAAGCTGCCCATGCAAAAAGTGAGAACTAGATGGTATTTTTCCTACAATAAGTTTTTACATTTTTGATCTTTTTCATTGATTTTAAAGAAGGACAGGGCTGCAGGAACCTTGGGACTACCTCTTTAAGCCCCCTGAGCAGGAGTTAAAAGCTGGCAGCCCCAGCTGGCTTGCCTCCGTCCCTAACAACTCTTGCTGAAATTAACGTGGCTCAAGCAGGGGTCAGGGCTGCCAGTTGTCCAAAGACCAATCATTGGTTTTAAGAAAAATCCCCCTTTTAATGATTCACGGTTGAATTTGGATTTAAACTCAGCTCAACAAGCAAACAAAACAAAGAGCTGTTGGAGAGGTTGAGTTTAAAGCTGCCAATGTGCTGCAAGTTGTGAAAGGTTATGACGTCCACAGGTCTGAGGGTTTTCAGCACCATAGCCCTAGGGTGCAAAGAACTGAAGAGGAGACAGTGACCACAGGTGACATTGTGAATAGCATGCGAGTGTAGTAATGCTCAATTTCTTCTGCTCCTGCCCTGGAATATCCAGGTTCCATGCAAGGTACTTTTGTGGCATCTGTGCTAAACACATTGCATGCTGCCAGGTGCTGAGTGGGTTACAAACCATGTGAAAAACAAGTTCTGCTCCTAGGAGCTTAAGATCTACTTAAGAAAATAAGGCATATGCATATAAGAAGAAACAGAGTTGAAATCCAAGATTCTCAATCCTGGCTGTGTCAGCTCATCTGGTGAAGCTTAATCACACACATCCACACATGTATGCATGCATACACAGATCGTACACACACACCAGCAAATGCAAAAGAAATGACAAAACAATTCCCTGGCTCTACTTCTGACCTCTTAGTGAATCAAAATCCCTGAAGATAAGATCTGAAAATTGTTTAAAAAATTCTTCTGATTGATTCCTATTCGCAGGCTAATATGTATGAAAACCACTAACCCAGTTGGCAAATGGTTTCAGGTAAGAGATATGGGTAACTCATGCCCAGGGAGAAGTCACTGGGCTTTCACTGATGAGGGGATGCTTTTCAGAGGAGACGGGAGAAGACTTATGTGTGCACCTGCTCAGCCTGGTCAATGCGAGAGTGTACTGATGAGCCATGGAACCAGAAAAGGTGGGGCTCCTGGAGCCAGGTAGAATGCATACCCTCACATCCTCACAGCTTACAGTATGCCTGAGCCTGAACCTATCTCAGTATCTCAGACTGAAGTGAGACGTGGGCCAGGAAGTCATGCAGCTAAGCCTGTAATGAAAAAACAGAGATCTAAACCTTGCACATAGTTGCATGTTGGGAATACTAAAGTTTACCATGGGATGAAATAGTGTAGGCATAAGCTGCCATCCCCTCATCTCTGCCGTCCTCAACCCCTCATCAGTAACCCATGGCTTGGGGGTAGACAGCTTCTCTTTTTGCACAGAAGAGCACAACTGCTTTCCCCAAAGGTAGGCACACACATGCACACACACAACAATATTTCTGCCACTAATATTTGTGAAGCCTGGGCAAGAGAACAAATGGAGGCCCACAGGCCTTATATCCAAATGTTAAACATACTGTTAAATAAAATATGCTCTATCCACTTGCTCTGACAAGTATTCCTTCCTAGACTCTGTAGACAAGTTTCAAGTTTAGGATTCTTGAACTTCAGGAAGTTCTTTGCTGGAAGGCAGTGGAGCAGGGAGAGTCACCCCAAGCCTGCTGCACACCCCTTCTTTCCACTCTCCTAGTCTGGCCCTGCACCAGGAGGGACTATAAGCAAACACCACAGATCATACATTTAGGCTCCATTCATAAGTCTGGCAAACAATGGCTCCTTGGCTATCCCATAGCCTTGGGGTGCCTATACAGGAAGTGCAGGGCTACTATCATTCAGAACTTTGAGAAGTACAAAATTTCATATGAATTCATTGCATCATTATTATTGGAATGTGCCTTCTTAGAGCCTCTTATCTACCAAATGCAATAAGAATGTCTGCCTCCATGCTTTGTTACTCATCACCATCTTTACCCTCAGAGTTAGCAGCTTCTACTGAATTATCCTATATGCCAGGTTCTTTGTCACTAGTCTTCAATCTTCCTCACTCTGATAGGCATATCCTATAATTTTCATTTGCAGAAATGGAGAAACTGAGGCCCAGATTAAGGTACTTGCATAAAGCATGCAGCTACTGAGTGATAATATTGAAATGGGTGTTTAGGACTATATGACTTCAAAGCCTATTTTGAAACTCTTTCCACTACACTGTGCTGGCTCCTATAGTTAAAAAATGTTCCATATAGTCTAAATATGATGCGACATGTTTTTCCCTCACAAAAGAGATAATTGCCTTCTGTTCAAATCTTTACAAAATCTTTTCTGATGTTCTCCCTCAATTGTTTTATCCTGAAAAGAAATGCTACTTAAGGAAGCCATATAAACCTAAAATAAATTCTATCAATACCAATTTGGGTTTCTCATGGAGGTCTCCTAATCTAATTTTGGCAGTATGGTGGACTGGGTACTCTGAGGGTTCTTTGTAGAACAATTCAATCCCAATAGGACACAGCTGTTGGCAAATGGTTGGGCTGATAAAAGATTGCAGAGATGCCTGAGGAAACCCCCATCTTCTCCAAATGACTTAACATGAGCTAAGGTGGGAGCTTGGAGTAACGAGCAGTGGTGGGCATGTTCTGGGTCTGTGTCCATAAGGTCAATGAGCCTGGGGCTTTGAGCCAATATTCTTAGGGAGGGCAGCAGTGGTCCTTTGTCACTGGTGCCCTGTAGATGACAGAGAAGCAGAGCTAAATCCTTTTTGCAGGAAACCATCTCCAATTTAGGCTCATAGAATTCTCACACATTGAAATTGAGCATTGAGTTCACCAGAAAAAAAATCACTAAACACACCAGGGGACAACTATCATGAGTGACTGTCATCAGACACACATATAAGAGATTCAGACCCATGAGCACAGTAAATATTGAAGTTGTTAAAGACCATAGAAAAGCTATGATGGAATGTTTAATGAAAGGAAATACTCAATAGGTCGGTTAAATAGCAGAGTAGACCAACTAAAAAGAGAACTGAAAGACATATCTGGGCCAATGTTGTCCAATAGAACTTCCTAAATGATAAATTTCTGGAGCTGTGCTGTGCGATACATGTGGCTAATGAGCACTTCAAGTGTGCTTAGTGAGGTCGAAGAACTTAATTTCTAATTTTATTTAGCTTATTTAAATGTAAATAATCACATGTGTCATGGCTATAGTATTAGGCAGTGCAGATCCAGGCCATAAAGCAGCTATCGATAAGTTTCAAAGAATCAGTATCATGTAGAACATATTTTTTGATTAAAGTGCCATTTCAGCTTGACTGCAAATGGATATGAGGGGTATCTTCTGGAGCGATGGAAATGTTCTAAAAGTGAATTGTAGTGCTGGTTGACAATTCTATACATTTACTAAAAATCATTGAATTCTACATTTATCTTGGGTAAATTTAATAGTATTGTAAATTACATTCCAATAAAGTTAAAAATGCAATTAGAAGTCAACACCATTAATAATAAAAATTCTCATATCTTAAAAATTAAAAATTACTCTACTAAATAATCTATGGGTCTGGGAATAAATCATCATGGAGATAAAAGAAACACTTAGATTTGGAAAGTAATGGAAACATAGTGTATCACAATTTGCAGGGTAAAATGAAACTAATACTTTAAGGGAAACTTATAATCTTAAAAGCTTGTAACAGGAAGGAAGACTGATAAAGAGCAACATTCTGCTTAAAAAATCAGAGATAAAAGAGAACAAACATAATGAAAGTAGAAAGAAGACAAAGATGAGAGCAGAAATCAATAAATGGAAAACAGAAATACAACACATAGGATTAACATGACAGTTCTTGAAAGAATTGGAAAATTTAAAAATCTCTGACAAGACTAAGAAAAATGACAGAGGTCACTGATAAAAATAATAGAGATATTAAAAATAGTTCTATAACTTTAGATAAAGCATAGATTACAAGGTATACTAAGAGTATGCCAGTAAAAATGGAAAATTTAGACAAAATGGACACATTCTGGGAAAATAATAGTTAAGAATAAACAGAAAATCAGAATACTTGTACAATTGGTAAATAAATGAACCTTTAGTTAAAATTTTCACAAAAGATAAGTGCCAGTTCTAGATAGTTTTACAGGTGAAATTCTACCATATAGTAAATGGAAAAGATATTTAAGTTTTATATGAAGTCTTGTAGACCACATAAAAAGAGTGAATATTCTCCAACCCAATCTATGAGATGAATACAACCTTGACAACAAAACGTATCAAGGATGGTCCTAGAAAGGAAAATTACAGGCCACTCTCATGCATGAGCATTAATAGGAAGATTCTAATAGCAAATTAAATCTAATAGCTAACTAAATGAAGTAAGGGACAGAAACATAATCAACCATGAGTAAATTGCATTTATTCTTGGACTGAAAGGTGGTTAAGTATAAGAACACTTATAAATACAATTTATTACCTGATTAAAAAGAAATCATATCATCTTAAAAGATGACAAAAATTCAACAGACACTTAGGATTGAAACAAAGTGAAAAGATACTTTAAAAATTTAGGACAGTAAGGGAACGTCTTAACCTGATAAATGGTGTCTACCAAAACATCATTCTCAGTAGAAGGAATGTTGGAGATATTTCCTTAAAATTGGGAATAAGCCAAGGAAATCAACTATCATTACTTCTCCTCAACTTTGAGGGTCCTAGCCAGTGCAGTAAAATAAGTAGATGCATAAGTATTAGACAAACTACCACCACAATAAAACAACAACAACAACAACTTATTAGGAATAATGTGAAACTTTAAGCAAATGAAAATTTAGCAAGAAGGCAAGAATACTAAACGTGGTCGGGTGCGGTGGCTCATGCCTGTAATTGCAGCACTTTGGGAGGCTGAGGCGAGTGGATCACGAGGTCAGGAATTTGAGACCAGCCTGGCCAAGATGGTGAAACTCCATTTCTACTAAAAATACAAAAATTAGCCTGTTGTGGTGGCGGGCACCTGTAATCCCAGCTACTTGGGAGGCTGAGGCAGAGAATTGCTTGAACCCGGGAGGCGGAGGTTGCAGTGAGCTGAGATCATGCCACTGCACTCCGGCCTGGGCGACAGAGCGAGACTGCTGTTTCAAAAAAAAAAAAAAAAAAAAAGAATACTAAATGTATTTGTTTTCTATTGCTGCGGTAACAAAGTGACATGAACTTGATGGCTTAAGACAAAAAACATTTGAATTATTACAGTACTGTAGGTTAGAAGTTCAACACAGGCCTCTCTGGGCTAACATCAAGGTGTTGCCAGTCATGTTGCTTTCCAGGGGCTCCAGTGGAGGATCTGTTGTCCAGCTTCTAGAGGCCACTCACATTCCTTGACTGGTGCCCTGATTCGTCCACCTTCCAAACCTCCTTCTGAAGTGACAGATCCCTCTGATGACAGTTGGAAATGCTCTTTGCTTTTAAGGAAGCATGTACTGAATTGGGCTCTTGCATCTAATCCAGGATAACCTCCCCATCTCAAGGCCTTTAACCTTAATCCCATATGCAAAGTCCCTTTTGCCATGCATGTAAGAAAACATATTCACAGGTCCTGGAGACTTGTGGATATCTTTGGGTGGGCCATTATTTGCCTACCACACTGCTAAAAAAAAAAAAAAAAGAAAAATACTTAATTATATTTCTACATAAAAGTCACAATTGAAGGCAAAATTTTAAAAATGTACAATAGCAAAAGTAGTTAAAAGGTACCTTTCCATTACTTGATAGAATAAATCTACCAAAAACTGTGCAGGACTCATATGCAGAAAACTCACAATGATGTCAGTTTTTTCCAAACTGAAAATGCCAACATGTATTCTAATACTTATATGAATGCATACAAAAGGACCAAATAGGCAAGGCACTTCTGGAAAACAGTAAGTTAGATGAATTTATCCTGCTAGATGGTGATTGTCTCTTATTACAAGCTATATTAAGATAGTATGGAAATGGTGTAGAGGTAAATGAATTGACCAATGAAGCAAAAGAAAGAGCCCAGGGACAATTTTGTCCAATGGAATAAAATAGGGAGTCCAGAAACAGGCTCATGGAAACTTGATATAGGATAGAGGTGGCATTGCAGATCATTGGTACTTGAGGCTTAGGATAAAATTCTATCCACACATTTAAACAGTATTATATTTCTCAATTTATACCTGAAGGCAACATTGAAAGGTAGATAATACCAAGAATGTGGGGAGATGGGACCCCTTGGCACTGCTCGTGATCATGTTAACTAGTGCGACCATCTGGAAAGTAAACTGGTTATATTTCAGCTTCCTAAGGAACCTGTATGGGGACGTGTATTGTAGCATTGTTTGCTAGAGTCAGGAGACCGGGCAGGCTGTGCTTCCATCACTGAGAGAATGAATAAGCAATGTGGAATAGGGCTGAGGGTTGCCAAATGTACCAGATACCATACAGGAGGCCCAGTTAAGTTTCAATTTTAGAAAGATAATAATGTTTTAATGCAAGTGTGTCCCAAGTATTTAAATTTTTTTTTAAATTTCACTTTTATTTTAGATTCAGAGGGTACATGTGCAGATTTGTTGCATGGGTATATCGCATTATACTGAGGTTTGGGGTATGAATGATCCCATCACCCAGGTAGTGAGCACAGTGCACAATAGGTAGTGATATGGTTTGGCTGAGTCCCCATCCAAATCTCATCTTGAATTATCGTTCCCATAATCCCCACGTGTCCTGGGAGGGACTAGGTGGAGATAATTGAATCATGGGGGCAGTCTCCCCCATACTGTTCTAGTGATAATGAGTAAGTTTTCATGAGATCTGATGGTTTTATAAGGGTCTTTCCTCTTCACTTGGCTCTTAATTCTTCTCCTTGCTGCCACCATGTGAAGAAGGATGTGTTTTCTTCCCCTTCTGCCATGATTGTAAGTTTCCTGAGGCCTTCTCAGCCATGCCAAACTGTGAGTCACTTAAACCTTTTTCGTTTATAAATTACCCAGTCTTGACTATGTCTTTATTAGCAGTGAGAATGGACTGATACAGGTAGTTTTTCACCTTTTCCCTGCTTTCCTCTCTTCCCCCTTTAGTAGTGTCTATTGTTCCTATCTTTATGTCTATGTGTACTCAATGTTTATATCCCACTAATAAGGGAGAACATTTGGTATTTGGTTTTCTGTTCCTGTGTTAATTCCCTTATGCCCCAAATATTGCACATCTGAATCATTTGTTGTTTATCTGAAATTCAAATTCAATTAGGCATCCTATATTTTATCTGACAACCTTAGTAAGGGCATATTGAGGAATCTGAACAACTAGATGTTTGAGGAGTTAGGAGGAAACCCTAGATGTTTTATAGCAACATAAATGGATCTGCAAGACCAAATATTGAGTGACGAAACATCAGCCACAAAGAGAAATTTTGTAGTGTAACACTATCTGATTGAAAACACAAACCCACAACAATACTACTTTCCCAAGAATAAATAAATATTGAAGGACACATATTAAACACACTAGTGTGGACGCCAGTGGGAAGGAGAAGAATGTGCTGGGATTAAGAGTGAAGGGGAAAAATAAAGCCAAGAGAAGGGCCTTGTGCAGAATGATGATGATAGAGTAAGAAACAAGGAAAATGATTAACCTATCTTTTTTTACCTGAGTTCAAAGAAAATAATTTAAAAGGACCATAGCACATGCAACTTAGATGGACATAAACATTATGTGCTCTGAAGAACTGTCAGTAACCTCAAAAAGTGGCTTCAATTACGATGCTGGCACTGACGTCAAAAATGCACGTGAAGGGTTTGAACACAATAATTTTGTGATATGTCAATGTGGGAAATAACCAATATTTCTAAGCTAACAACTTTATTTTCTATTGTAGACAATTGTAAATATGTATGGATAAATTAATAAATACTAAGAGCAGACATTTGAATGTTTTATATACATTCCTAAAATAATATATATTCAAATTGGCCCAACCTTTTTTAAGAGAAAATTCTCATTGGGAAAATGGAAAATGGGAGACTACTCTTTATTCAGTGTCATCTAGTGTTTGGACACAGAGAATATTTACAAGGGTGGCTAAATAGCAGACAAATAGTAGGCACCCAGTCCATTGTTGCCTGTTCAGTACAATCAGGACGTGTTTATGTCTTAGCTGATGCCTTAACCAACATTGCTTTCATGATGTGAACGTGGCATTAATTTGAATGAGAAATCCTAAATAGCAAATTTATCACTATCAATTCAAAGAAGATAATATTCTGTTTATATAAATAACCATGTTTTAAAGCCTATACAATGTTAACCATTTATAACAAATTTAACATGGTTTTCAAAATGTGCTGAGAATGATAAGTCCTGGTATTGGAGGATGGAAAGTTGGTGGTTATAAATGGTTTTCTTTTGAGTGAAGAGTGCCTAATTTTTGTCTGTTCTGCTTGAAAGCCTGTTGAATTCTTTTGCAAGGGAGAGAAAAGTCATGGTGGAGAGTATGAGGGATTTGAAGCACTTGAATCAGGAGGACACGCATGATATGGCTGGAACTGGTCTCATTTCTGATGACATCAAAGGAAAGTCTTGAATCCTCCATTGGAAACTGCCCTGGAGCCTGGGGGTCTCTCCAAGCTCTATCACCCAGAGAATGGGTTCCCATGTAAGCAACTATGTAGTAACTTGAGGCATGTTCACTCCCAAAACAGCTTTGAATGTTTTATGATTTGTCAACAGCTAAGACATAGAGAGGAAGTGCTCTCTCTCTCTCTGAGACAAGGTCTCACTCTATTGCTCAGACTGGGGTGCAGTGCAGTGGCACCATCATGGCTCACTACAACCTCAAACTCCTGGGCTCAAGCAAGCCTCTTGCCTCAGCCTCTCAAGTAGCTGGAACTATAGGTACATGCCACCACACCTGGCTAATTTTTTAAATTTTTTATAGAGGCAGAGTTAAACTATGTTTCCCAGGCTGGTCTTGAACTTCTGGCCTCAAGGGATCCTTCTGCCTTGGCCTCCCAACGAGTTGGGATTTACAGTCATGAGCCACCATGCCTGGCCCTCTTTTTCTAATGTAAATCAGTATGTTTGTTTATCCTGTCATTTAACTAAATCAGGAACTTGATATTTTTTTGTCCAAGGAAGATAGGAAAAAACGCAACCATAACGTTATTTATCTTCTGACACAACATTGCTTTGGAATTTGTGAAAACATCCATTTTGTGTTATTCTTTCCTCCTTTTATTTTCAAAAATAGCATACCTTGTATGAATTTTATTTGATAACATCAAAATTAATCAGCCTACTATTCTCTTTCATAGTGTAATTTGATATTACCAGTGTAACTTGAGCATCTGTCTCAAAGATCTTTTCAGTAAATCTGCCAAAGTAGGTTCTTCTCAGCGTTGTTATCACAGTGAAAAACTGTAAGCAATCTAATTGCCCAACCATTGAGGAATGGCACATCTGTACAATACAATATTATGAAATATACCCCATAGGATAAAAATTGCTCCTTAAACACAATTTTTAATGGCACAACAAATATTTATGACATATGTTTCTGTGAAAAATATAGAATAAAAACCTGTACATAAAATACTATCTCAACTAGCAAGTATCTCTGGATGGTGGGATTAGAGGTCATTTTTACTTAACAGGTAGTTTTGTATATTTTCTAAGTTTTCTGCAATGAGTTTGTATTACTCAAATTACTATTATTATTATTATCATTTGAGACAGAATCTCACTCACTCTGTTGCCCAGGCTAGAGTACAGTGGCGTAATCTTGGCTCACTGCAAACTCTGCCTCCCGTGTTCAAGAGATTCTCTTGCCTCAGCCTCCCAAGTAGCTGGGATTACAGGCGTTCGCCACCACACCCAGCTGATTTTTTTATTTTTAATAGAGATGGGGTTTCGCCATGTTGGCAGGGCTGGTCTCGAACTCCTGACCTCAGGTGATCCACCCGCCTCGGCCTCCCAAATGCTGGGATTACAGGTGTGAACCACCATGCCTGGCCAAATTATTTTTTTAATGTTAAAAAAAATACCCACTCAAACCCAGAACAATGAAGCAGTTTTGACAGGTCCCCTTTACTGTACACGTTCAAACTTGTTAAAGTGGGTTAATGTGTTGATTGAGAGTGATTAAGCATACAACTGACTATAACACTGTCAACACAGCAGTTAAATCTTGTAAAAGTGTAGGTAATTGGCTTACATATACCAAATTACTTCAGAACAATTTCAGAAATGCTAAAAAATTTTGACTATATATATTTTTGAGATAGAGTCTTACTCTATCGCCCAAGCTGGAGTGCAGTGGTGTGATCTCGGCTCACTGCAGCCTTCACCTTCCAGGTTCAAGCAATTCTCCTGCCTCAGCCTCCCAAGTAGCTGGGACTACAGGCACTCACTGCCACACCCGGCTAATTTTTGTATTTTTAGTAGAGACGGGGTTTCACCATGTTGGCCAGGATGGTCTTGATCTCCTGACCTTGTGATCTGCCCACCTCGGCCTCCTGAGATTACAGGCATGAGCCACCGTGCCCGGCCCAATTTTGACTATATTTTAAATGGAATGCATATGCAAGGCTGTGTGAAGTCTTTAAGAAAATGAAAACTTAAGTGTTCCTAATATAAATGTGCCCGTAGTTCAGTATCTCAACCATCATTTAAATACAGGCCCTTACCTTGCTCCTAGTTATTAAAAATTTTAGTATTGTGAATTCTAATATGCTTAATTGACTTTTGAAAGACCTTTATGATTTAATAAACTAAAGAGGGCTGATAAAAACCAATATAAATTCAAGCTTTCAGAAATGAGCTATTTATTCAAAAATGGTACATATCGAAATAAACTCTGTTAGAGAAACAGAAAGCAATGTTTGTTTTGCTCCTACAAAGGGGAAGGTCATTATAAATTGTTAAGTCACAGATCATACAACTTAGGAGCTATAAAACACCTTGTAGATCCTCTAATCCTGTGGTTGCAACCTCACTACCTGCAGGTTTGAAGACTGTATGTATTTTATTTACTCAGAGTTTGTTTTTGTTTTAAATTCAGGCAACATTTAATATCCAGAGATTTAACATACAAATCCAGGCCTCACTGCCCTGGACCCAACCTTCTTGGTCCCTAAAGTAGAGTGGGCAGCCCCTGAGTTTGCAGCAGAGCTCACATGCACTTACCCTGCACTCCTTACTCATAGCCTAAGACAGAGAGTATGGGACTCCTGCCTGCATCCAGCTCTTTGCCTCCTTAGGTGCCTCCAACTCACTCACCTTATCCTGCTGTGAAAGACAGTCGCAATCCGTGCTCCTTCCTGCCTCCCCACCTTCGCTCAGTAGTTTCCACTGTCTGTTGGTGGTGCACCCTGTTTCCACCCCAGCTAGTTAATTCTTACTCATGTTTTTGAGTTCAATTCACCAAAAACGCCTTTCCTCAGCCCTTTGCTTGGGTCCAGTTACCTACTTACTCTCATAGCATGGTCCTCTGTTTTATTGTAATGAAAAGTAAATAATGAATGGTTTTATATATATCTTTCCTGCTAGAATGGGAGCTCTAAAAAGGCAGGGACCGAATCTTGTGTGTTACCTATACATAGTAAGTGATCAATACATATTCACTGAATGAGTGTATTCTTGCACTGAACTGGTGAGGAGCAGAAGGCAGAAGGGTAAAGGGCTGGGGGAGAGGCCCAGGAAGCCTGGGACAGAACCCACAGGCAGGCTCAAGGCAGGCAAAGGGAGGTCTCCAGCTCTCAGGACCCTTCACAAACCATGTGCTCTTTCTCAAATTCCCCTCTGTCTGGATTTGATATCTCTTCCTTATAATCCCACCCCACCTGCTTTGGTTTTTCCTTGACATCCAGCCATCTTTGGGTTCCATTTTTTGCTTTTCTCCTTGAGTGATAACAGCTGGGACTGCAAGCTCACTATGTCCTCCAAATGGGACCAGAGTCCAGACTTTCAGAATTTCAGTTCCCTTTCCTGAACCTCACTGCCTTTTGGCCACCTTTGGTGACCTTAAGAATCAACTAGCAAAGCAAGAAATTATATAACAAAGCAAGTTCTGAATCCTAAATAGTAGCTTTGTCATTTCAAGTATTACTTAATTCAGGCAAACCCAAAACATCCAGAATGCCTTGGAGAGGGTAGCAATGATTTGTATCAATTTCTGCAGTTAATACTAATAATGCTTATTGTATTGCTTATACAAAAGTACTTGCAACTCCACAAGTATTCTTTATGAAAAATTCATTTTAACATTGTCTTCATAATGACATGACAGGAGGAAACACAGGCATCATGCGTGTCCATGTTTGAGAAGAAATATATTTTTTAAACATTTAGGGTGCAGTTATTTAAAAGGCATAAAAAGTTGGATTCCTAACTCATATCATAGCTCAAAACAAATTCAAGATGGAATAAACATTTAAATAAAACAACGAGAACAATAAACAACTATTAACCCAGAAGTTGGAAAGACAAATCTGATTAAATAAAAAAACTGAATAATGTCTAAATAGAAACAAAATACCATAAGCAAGAATAAAAGTAAAACCTGAGGAAAATTTTTGCAAAACACATGACAGGGGGTGAATTTTCTTAATTCACAGAGTACTCTTAAAAATCAACCAGCATGTGGTGATAGAAAGGAAAGTAACAGGTAATTCACAGAAAAGAAAACGCAAATAGCAATACATATATAAAATATGCTGAACTAAATAGAAATTAGAGATAGAGACAGTTCCTTGGAAAAATATGAAGAACAATGCCTGGTATTCAAGAGGGTGTGGAGAAACAAGCACACTCACGTTTTTGGTAGGTATGTAAATTAGCACATGTTTTGGGAGAACAATTTGCCTTTGATACATACATATAAAAGCTTAAAATTCACATGTGTCTTTATCAGTAAATTCTACTTCTAGGTATTTCTTTGACTGGTATAATCAGAACCAGGCAGAGAAGTCTTATAAAATTGTTCATTGCAGAATAATTTATAATAGCAAAAATTGAAAAAAACCAAATGTTCACCTTTGGAGGATTAGTTAAATCAATTAGGCAGCCTATAACCATAAGCTAGTAAACAAATACTATTAGCCATTAAAAATAATAAAATATGTATTGACTTGAAAAGCTATCCATAATATGTAGTTAAATGAAAAAACTAGATTTGTATTTTTGTAGTGTGATTTAACCTACCTAAAGAAAAAAAGTAGACATGAATGTTTGAATATGCAAAGAAAATATCCGAAGGCCATAAACCAAACCAAAAGCTACCTCTGAAGTATGGTACTGATGGAAGAAACAGGGACTTTTGCTTTCAATTTATATAACTTTGTATTAAAAAAAATCATGATTTATCCTTTCCTGCCAAAAAATCACTGTATTTAAACAAAAAGTTAACAACAAAACACATTTAGGTTATAAGCTATTACAGTGCATGAATACTGTACAATCCATTCAACAATTTAATTCAGTATTTTTTGAATGATCACTAATTCTCAAGAACCATGCTGGGAAGTTTGCATAACAACAACAAAAAGTGAACTATTGCCCCACTGTCACTGAGTGAACAGCTTAGTAGCTGCATGTTAATCTCATCAATACAAATATTATTTAGCGTAATAATTCGGGAGCCCACCAAGCATTGTGCTGGCACAAAGGATGAAATGATGAACTCCACTTGAACAATTGGGGTTTCACATAGAAAATGTTTGCCTTGCATCATAAGAGTATTCGTTCTAGGACTTGATTTTACCCTACTTACACTTTAACAAATTGGTCTAAAATTTGTTCATGGATGCTGGCAGAAGACATAAGACTCCTGGGTCAGAAACAAAGGACTTCATTACCCACTGCAGAGCAAGCAACATGAGTATCAGCATGTACATCAATTTCCCTGTCTCCTAAGTTCACTGGGGCAAAATCATGGGCCCGGATGGGCTTCCATTGCAGCTGAGGAATGTTGAACTTGGGGAATCTATTGTTTTATAATAAGCAATAAACAAGCTTGCTTGTTGCCCCTGAGGGAGACATTACCTTGTCTCTGAAGGTTACTCACTGCAAACACAACCCTGAGAAATGGACCAAGTAAAGGGTGGTCAGGAATTTGTATTCTGGGAATACTCAGCAAAAGGTGTAGGGGGATGAGAAATTGATCAGCAAGTATCTCCTAAGAAAGAGTGAGCAGGAGAAAGCCCTCTTGAAGGGGTAGGCACATGAGACTGGCCCTATAGGAGGAAGAGTGAAAATGAGAAGGCAGGCAACATAGCAAGAAATGGACCTGAATAGGGAAGCAAGGACCACATTCTGGCATTCTCTGAAGACTCAGCTTTGCCCTGTATAGGTTGGAAAGCCACCAAAGGTTTTTTGTTTGTTTTATTTCATTTGATTGAACTATACAAGATTGCTGGTTTTGTAGGTCAGGAACAATTGAATAATGATAATTTCATATCTCTCAACCTAATTTCACTAATGCAGGTTGGAAGATGAATGAGGAAACAGGTACAGGGAAAGATGATTCATTTCTTTATCTCTATTTTAGCACAGTGATGCCTGATGAATATTATAGTGACTCGATGTCTACTGAATGAATGAATGAATATGGAGGATTGTTTTCTAGAAAAACATGAATATTGTGGTTAGTTTTCAATTCTCTTGAGGATCATTGAAGCCATGAAGATGAAAACCTGACATACGGAGTTTATATTGTTTCGAATTAATTGAATCAACCCATGAAATGTGTGTCACACTTTTGGAAACTGAGACTCTGGAGAGTGTGTTAAATATAGTAGCTAATCCTGTGAACTCTGGCACCAAATGGTCTTGAATTTATATTTCAGCTATTTCTAGTAATATAATCTTTCAGTGCCACAGTTTTTTCATCTGTAAAATGAGGCTGATGATTTACCCTCCTTTTGGGGCTATGAGGATTACATGAAACATCCTATGTAATGCAGTTAGAACAGTCTTTGGGATTATTAATATACTGTTATTATCAATGAAGATTGGTTGAGACTGGTGAGAAATAAAAGTTGCCCCAAATACCCAGTGGAAGGCCTATGGAAATGAGGTCACAATGTTGAATCACTCAGGGTGTGAGAGTAGGACAATTAAGGGTTAGATTTTGTGTACTTGTGTGTGGGTATTGAAGTAGCTTCCCTCTCTAAGAGGGGCCAGTGTGCCTCAGTCAGCTGAAATGGATTAGACCAGAAGGATTAACAAATAGGGAGAAAAGAAAATGTTAGAGTTTCAGCAGGATTGCCAAACTCTGTGTGTACAGCTGACTCTGGAACCATGCTGGGGTGCTCTCCCAGCACTCACACTTTCAAAAATCCACACATAACATTTGAGTCCCCAGAAACGTAACTACGAATAGCCTACCATTGACTGGAAGACTTATAATATCATAAAGAGTAAATTAACACATATTTTGTATGTTATATGTATTATATACTGTATTTGTACATTAAAGTAAGCTTGAGAGGAGAAAATGTTATATAGAAAATCATAAGGAAAAGAAAATGTATTTACTATTTATTAAGTGGAAGTGGATCATCACAAAGGTCTTCATCCTCATGGTCTTCCTGTAGAGGAGGAAGAGGGAAAAGAGGAGGGATTGGTCTTGCTGTCTTAGGGGTGGCAGAGCTAGAAGAAAATCCCCCTGTAAGTGGACCTGTGCAGTTCAACCTCAAGGATTAACCGTACAGATTTCATCTGTTCCTTAGCTTTCTTTTGGATCTTTCCATCTCGAAGGGGCTGGGTAATTGCAGCTTAGCTCGGCTTCCTCGAGGCCTTCAGGGGTGAGTACTCCAAACTGAAGAGCACACAGTTTTCACATTTCAGAGTTATGATCTAATTATGTTATTTTTCATGTTCAGAGCAAAACGACATTGATCTTTTAAAGTCTACTCAATCAAAGCAAAGTAGAAGTTTAGGTGTGTGCTGGGCCAACAATTTAGATAATTCAGGCTGCAGCATTTTCTATGGCCTGAATTATGGAGCAGAGCTGTCTACATAGCCCTAAATTCATCAGATGCCACCTAATCCTTCACTTGGCTTTGTCCATTGGGTATTTATTCCTTGCTGATTGACTATATTCTCTTATTTTATGGTTTATCTTATAAGATTATTGCTTAATATTTGCATTTGCCAGTCAGCTTCAGCACTTCAGACCATCCCTTGTCAACCCAACATATTTATTCAATTTGCCCCTTTCTGGGATGAATATTTAGTTATGCTTTCCTGCCCACACAGCTAACTCTTTTACTTATTCCTTGATCCTCTCTGGTGATGGTTATTGTACTTCCCAATTCACTTCACATACTTCCCAGGGTTTGTATGAAGGTTCAGTTTAAAAATATTTCTTTCTATGTGCACCACAGTTTGTAAATACTTACATTCTTAACTTGAGTTTGTATGAAGGAGGCTAAGGGATAAAGCCCAGCCCCGCCAAAGTAAATGCACCAACAAATTTGATGGCCACAGTATGCTTTTTGTGCACACTGCATTTTGGTGCATCCATAGGAAGTCAGCAAATTGTTGCCCCTTTACTGTAGAATCCTTTGCAACCAGATGAAAATGGAGGTCTTTAGGCTGAGTAAAAACAAAGAACATAACCTGAGGCAAGTCACAAAGAAGCAATTTCACAGCCATAGAAATTCTAGCTGAGGCCAAAAGGGATGATTTCTAAGGCTTAGCATGGTTATTGGCCTCTTGCAATGTTAATGGCATGCTTAAAAGCCAGTAGCAAAAAAAGAGGGTAATGTCACTTTAACCAAAGGAGTAAGGCTGACAGGCTGAGCGCTGGCCAAGTGTAAAGTAGAAAGCCTAGCAAAGAATAATTGAAGCCCCTGCGAAATATTTCAATTTTTTTATTGATTGAAGGTAATTATCCCTTAATTGCATATTTAAATGAGGTATTAGGAGGTTTAACTAAGCAATGCCTCTTAATTGCTGCTGCACACTAGGTGTCACAGATTGTGTTTATTTCATATGTTAATTAAAGAGAAAGGGGTATTTTATTTTATTGACTACAAGGTTCTCTAAAGCTGTGTTGTTTAGGACAAAGTACATCTCAGGTGTTTATCGCACGCTGGGTATTAATATCATCATTAGTGAGAGGTTAAAGTTTTTTAATGAAGAGGTGCATCTCCATTTTATGTGTTTTCAGCCACACAGGCGTCTCTAAAATGGGGGAGGTAGAAAAGCCCCCAAATCCCACAGAAACAATTATCTTTATGAAAGAAATATTGAGCCCCTTCCTCAACAATAATAAAGCAGAGTGCAAGTTCTGGTATAAACAGGAAAAACAACTCCAAATTATTAAAGAATTAGGATTGTTACATGAAGCCCTGATGGCCTGTGGGTGCTATGTTTGTATTATGAGCAGCAGTGGTCCATGTATTAATTTGCAAGTTGCTGCATGATTCTGTGATAGCAAAGGGCATTACTGCATGTTAACAGAGTAGGTAGAGATCCTTTATAAAAACCCACATCTCCCCTTGAAACAATATAAGATGCTTAATGAGAAAGCTGTTTGTAGGCCCCTGTATTTGGAGGAGGTTTAATAGCCTATGGTACTGAATGGGGCAGTAAGAAAGGATTAAGCATCACTTTCTAGACTGCTTTATTTTTACATGGTATAATGCAATGATCATAATTTTAAAAAATAAAGTTAGTATTCACAGCTGTCTCAGACTGACCCATCTGGCTCCTCAGACAGGAAGGAGACTGCAGAGCACATCAAATAGAAGAGGGCACATAGAAGGGTTGTTAGGAGCCGCTTTAAACTCTGCAATCTATTATGGTAAGAGTAAAAATTTATAGCAAATAATAGCAAAAATATCATTCAATTGATTTTCTTTCCCTGTCTCAGAAAAACAGATCCAAGAAAGGAATATTTAATATTTCTATGGCTGATTCATCTATTCATTCACCTAACAAATATTGACTTTCTTCCTAGACAGCGGTCAGAAGTGGGAATACAGTGATGGGTAAAATACACAAGGCCCCTTCTTTTGTGGTACTTATGGTTTCTCAGACACAGGAACGTGAAACAACCACACAGATCACTCCATTGTTCCCAACAGTGAAGGGTCAGTGCAGGGAGCTAAAAAGCTTCTAATGGGAAGGTTGACCTCATCTGGAGTGGTGGGCGGGTAAGAAGAAGTGATACTCCTATGTTTAGACTGAGGCTTAAAGAACTTGGGGTTGTGGGTGGCTTATTAAGACATTCTAATGCCATTTTGAAACCAAGTTATTTCCTTCAAAAACCCTCGGTGACAATTATATTATTTATTAGGTTTTATATAGATTTTAATGATTTTCCTCAATCAGTAGGAATAACACTGTGTGCTTTATTGAAATGCTTTCGTAGCTATCTGAATCTAGAACTGATAAAAAATTTAACCAAAAGTTATTTTCTACATTTTCTATAGACTATAGATGTTGTTTGTATCTTTCTCTCATAAATAGTCTGTGAACAAATAAAATTCAAGCAGTTGAAAAGGTTCAAGCAATTGGAGAAGGAAAATTCTGTAGGAGAAAACTCCTGTCTTGCCTTTAAGAAAAATTTTTGGACTGGTAAAAAGCTTTGTGTTATGAAGGATAGTTCCAATTTACAGGCTCATGAGCTTATGAGTGGTATTTGCTTCAATCCTTATCTTTATGTTACAGCTATGGCACCCACATATGATAAGTCTTCACTGGCAGAATTTTGAAAAAGTAATTCCAATGCAGTGAATATAAAAAGTGCTATCAAGGAAAAATATTTTTTCTTCCCTGGAATAGAAACCATTATTTAAGCTGTTAGATGCCTCAGGGTTCTATTCATACAAAATCCATCCCTGCAGTCAAAACATATTCTTTTCTAAAGATTTCATATATATGTGTATGTTTGTGGATATGTACTTTATGCATGTGCGTGTGTGTATGTGTGTGTAGGTACATATATTTCTGTGATGGAGACCATGGCTTTCCCAAATATTCATAAAGAAGAGATAATTATTTTTCTATGTGCAGGTTTGGTAGGGTTGTATATGCTCAAATGAAAATAAGTATAATAATTTTTCAGTTATTTTGAAGTAGACCGATTTGCACTCGGAGACTAATTTGGGGTTAGGCAGCTGGAAGAGACTCTGTGCAGATTTTTACCCCCAATAGAATGCTACACATTCACAAAGACTAAACTGAAGCTCAGAAGAAAACCGTGTAGCATAATTGGTGATCTCTCTTTTTTCATAAAGAACAGGCTAGGATGGTTTATTTTTAAAAAGACAAAAAAAAGGTCAAAGTGGCAGGAAAAATAATTCAGGTAGGTCTTCCCAACTGAAAGGAATCATCTATTAGGAGGTGAGAAACAGATCAATATCAGTTTTCTAGCTTCAGCTTTGGTGGTAGATATAGGTTTTGTTATGCTTATTCAATTTGGGGGCCTTTTTATAAAAATAATACATAAGCATTTTACTTCTGCAAAATGTATAAAAATATATGTGATTTCATGAGCACACTGCTGGGGTCCCTGTCAGGGCCTTGGAGGAAGCACTGAAGGCCTTGAGGCTGAGCCTCACCGCTTTCATGGCAGAGTCACCTCCGTTCTGCTTATCTCTGTACACAAAAGAATGCTCAAGTGTTTAGTATAGGCTTAAATTTAGGTTTACATTTTTAGCATCTGAATTTTAGGAAAAGTTTCTTAGGGGAATAAAATGAAGGTGCTAAAGTGTGTGCTATAGGAGATTAAAATGATACAATATTAAGCAGGACCCAAATCTTGGAGAATGACATTTTAGTGTTCACTAAAGAATTTACATTACAACTCAGAATGTCCATAACATTAATGATGTAACAGTTACCGATACAAATCCAAATGATGAACAAATCTGACACCTTAAGGATGTTCTTTAGTAATAAGTTGAAGGAAAAGGCATATTTTGAATATGTGGCACTTCATACACTCCATTCTAAAAGGATCTTGGATATTGTCAACTGTCTTTTTTGGCAATTTTGGAAACTGAATAAACCCAAACTGAGCTTAGGTATAATTGGCTGCACAACCTACAATCTCAAGGATCTTCTTTTAGAGAGAGCTGGAACCTGACTCCTGGCTTGGTGGGGCAATCAGAAGCCGGCAGCATATTCAGGGGACAGAGTGGATTACTAACCCACACATAGGCAACTTGGAAAGGAGATTCTATTGTGTGTGGTCCCTGAAGTGGGTAAGCCTACAAGAATCCCCAGTTGTCAACTAATAGCCATGAAGTAATGGACAGGTAATCAACATGTTTTGTGATGTCAGGACTTCCATTCTTAAGGGCAAGGACATGCCATAAACTAAAAGAGGTCAGTTTTCCATGTTAAGACTTGCATGGCCCAACGAATGAATGAAAGCATGCATTCATTCATCCCCTGGGAATACAGGGGTGAGCAAAACAGGTAAGGTTCCTTTCTTTATGAATCAAATATAAATACTAACAAGTATTGAATAATAAGCTGTGACAAATGCCACAAAAGAAAAGTGCCAGGTGCTATGAGAGTATTTAACAGGGAGACCTAGTTGAATCTGTTGTTGTTGTTGTTTTTGTTTTTAAAATTTTTGTGTTTCTGGTGGGCCCTTTAAGTTCAATTTTTTAGTATCTTCCTCCCCTGGGCCATCAAAAAAGGCATCAGATTAGAGATCCTCAGGGTCTTGCTCAATTTATGCCCTGAGAGCACAGGTACACTTAGAGACTTGAGCTAGAAATGTCCTGGGAATTGAGGCTTTTATAGAGATTCTGAGCAGTTTGAGGTTTAGCTACATCAGAGCTACCGTAGGCTAGCTGTCTGGGAGCTTTGCAAGAGAAAGGAGATCAGCAGTTAGAGGAATTGACCCCAAGGGACAAGGCATTGTTCTGGAAGTCCGGTATTTCCAGTCTGAAAACAGGTGTATGTGGAAAACGCCTGTTAGAGAAATACATCCTCTGGATGTTTTCACTCCTCAGAAGAGTTTCAACTAGCAATTGGGGCCATGATCTGGACAGTCTGAATGAGGTTTTTGTTTGTTTGTTTGTTTTTTGTTTTGCTTTTTTCCTCTGGACATTAGCTCCCTGAAAGTAAGCTCTGAGAATCAGAAGTAGAAAACCCTGACCACTGAAAGTGAATTGCTTTGGGGCCTTGAGCCATTCGCACTCATTTAAAGGAGTTTCTTTCTGTTTTGAAGCGTTGTCATCCACAGTGTGTTGGCTTTTGTCCCCAGAGAAGCAAAATGGCTGCTGCAGAGGCAGGCACCGCTCCTTACACAAGGGCAGCAGGAGGCTGGTGAAAGGCATTTCATTAGAATGTGTGCTGTTTGAGGGCAGGGCTTTGAGGGTCTGGTTCATTGCTGTGTGTCCAGCGCACAGTTCCTGGCACGTGGTAGGCCCTTACTATTTATCTGTGAAATGAATGACTGAATAGGTTACTCTTTCGTTTGGTACTATTTCCTCTTGAAACAAAACTTTTAGAACCCAGAGGGTGGCAGCCCTTCCTGCCAAGAGCAGTATAATGATTCTAATGATGTTCTCAATGTCCAGCTCAGGAATCGATGCTTCCATCAGCCATATTACTCACTAAGCCCTCCACTTCCTGATACTTTTTAAGAATGGTTGTTTATTTAAGAAACTGTTGCTATGTAAGCAAAGGAAGGATTGATATTTATTAATAACTAACAGTAATATGCTGAATTTCAATTAAAGGTGAATGGCAGAAACAGGGAGAAAATACAGTGCTCTAAAATATAGTCCAATGTAGGAGAAGTTTTGGTGAATGAGATGGAAATGTTAATCAAATGTCTGGCTTACTTAATTAAATTAGCATTGTGGTTAAGAACACGGACTCAGTTTTAAGAGATCAGTTGATGCATAGAACCTTTAAAATGTTGCAGAGACCATGGTCCAGGGGTGGGGGTTATATTGCATATCCAATTATATGCAATATTATATATAACATCTAGTGGCACTGTATTTTAAATATGCAGTTTCTAAATTTAAAATTACATTTTTAAATGGAATGGTTACTTAGCTTTCACATTGTGATTTTTAAACATTTTATCAGAGCACTGGAATGCTCTTCTGTGTGCAGATGAAATTGGCCATCTTTCATGTTTCATTCACTGAAAATAAATATTAATATTTTATATTAATAATTTATTTAGTGTTAATTAAATAACTAGTTTTTAAAAACATGTCAAATAATTAGGGAAAATGCAAATCAAAATCACAATGAGATCCCACTTTACACCCCCCTAAAATGGCTAAAATAAAAAAGAACAAGCATTGGCAAGAATGTGAAGAAATTGGAGCCCTCAGACATTCCTGCTAGTGGGAATGTAAAATAGCGCAGCCACTTTGGAAAGTAGTTTGGCACTTCATTAAAATGTTAAATGTACATTTACCATGTGACCCAGCAATTCTGCTCCTAGCCATATACACAAGAGAAATGCAAACATAAAAGCGTAAATAAAAGTTCATAGCAGCACTATTCACAATAGCCAAAAAGTGAAAGCAACTCAAATATCCATCAGCTGATGAATAGATACATTAAATGTGGTATATCCATACAATGTAATATTATTTGACCATAGCAAGGAATGAAGTTTCAATGCATGCTACGCCATGGATGAACCTTGAAAACATTATGCTGAGTGAAAAAAGCAATCACAAAAGGCCACATATGGTATGATTTCATTTATATGAAATGATCAGAATAGTCAAATCCATAGAGACAGAAAGTAGATTAGTGGTCGCCAGAGGCTGGGGGTGATCGGGGAGTGACAAATAATGGATTTGGGTTTCTTTTTCAGAGGGTGAAAATGTTCTATCCTTAGTTAGTGGTGATGGTTGCATAACTCTGTGAATATACTGAAAAACATTAAATTATGCACTTTCAAGAAATGAATTTTATGTTATGTGATAGTAAAACTATTATTAAAAAGATGCTTACAATTCTTGACTGTTTCTAGAGTGTGAGCTTGTCTTAAACTGGGAATAAAAAAGATTTGGGAGACTTTTCACTCCATTTTTCCCTCATTCCTAATCTCTGCTGTTCACGTCCTATGGTTGAAGGAAGGAGAGAGAGAAAATGAGAAAACTAAACAAGAAGAAAATATGGCATGATTCTGGAGAATGTCTCACTGTTTTAGAAGAAAGTGACTGAAATTATATAACAGCAATAAAGAATTCAAGGTATATTTCAACTATACCCAAAATCTCATTATGATGGCTTCCTTTGGCATGGAGAAAAATATCATAATTCTTTTTTAAAACACAAAATGAAAACAAGCTTTACTAGTATTTAGAATATCTACTTACATGAAATTTATAAATATACATGTGTCAAGGGTCCATGCTTACAAACTTCTTCTTCATAAACGTGCACAACAAAAAAATTAATGAAAAGTTTGGAGACCATTATCTTAGTCCATGACATTGTTGGAAACAGTAGCCTTTCAAGATTCAAGGGCAGAGACTGGGCAGAGACTTGGCAATCCGACGGCCCCAATTCAAACTCAGCCCATGCTCTGTAACTTTAAGTTATGTGCTTCCGGAAGCCTATAATCAGTCAGTGTCCAATCAGGAAAATACCAAGTAGTTCAACAGAGGGAATGCAATGTGGGGAACTACGTACAAGGGTGTTAGAGGGGCTAAAAGTTCAGTAGGAAATAGTGAGGCAGCACCAAGATTTGTACTACTAGTACTAGAGGGAGAAAAGGATGAGAGAGAGTGATAACAGGGACGAGGATGGAGTGGGAGAGTGAGGACCCTGGAAGGGAGGGACTGTCCAGCAAGAGCTGGAACCACTGAGAAACAGCCCCTTTGAGAGAAAGTGCGCCACCCAGGGGAGGGAGGTGAAATACCCTGATTCCTGCCTTGCTGCTGTCCGCGCCTGCCAGTGCCTATCATTGGCTGACCCCACCCAGAAGCCCCTGGCAGAGGAGGCAGGGAAGTTAAGTTTACTGGGCTCAGTCTCCCTGCAAAATGAAGCAAGCAGTGTGCATGAATGAGCACATGAAGTTTCCTCCTCTTTAAGAGAAGAATAATAAAGTGTGAACGTCGTAGGATTATTGACCAGACTAAATGAGATCATGAGAAACCCTTAGGACAGTCAGGCACACTGTAAAGTGCTCAAGAAGTATTAGCTAATATTTCACAGTGTGACTTTAGATAGGGACACTCAGCATACTGGAAATCAACATTTTTGCTATTCTAAAATATCATTGCTTCATTAAAGAAATATTAGTCACATAATTAGATGACTTTAGTAAAATTATTTTACAATATTGATGTTGAAAGACAATTTAACACTGATATTTTAGGTTAATTGTGTAATATGGCAAAACAGGATGACCAATAATTAAGTAAGTGGAGTAGTGCAGAGTGTGGACTGGGGAGCCAGGAGACCAGAGGTTTGTCCTAGCTCATCGGTAACAACCTGTTTGACCTTGGACTCCAGCCCTCAGAGGCTTTATCAGTGAAATCAGCAGCCTAGACTAGATGATTGCTGATTTTCTCCTGACATTGCTATTCTCTGACTGATATTCACCTTTAAGGCATATGGTGCATAGAGAGTGTTTTCAATGCACTTTCTCCTTTAAGGCCTCGTGTTATCCTTCCATAAATCCAGGAGGTAGGAGGGGCAGGGGAGCACCACTCTTCATATTTCACAGGTGGGAGATAGGATGTAATTTGTCCAAACTACACAACAACTCAATGGCTGAAGTAGAGCTGGACTCCAAGCCTCTTCCTGTTCTAACACCCAAGGTATTTGAATAGTTGTCAGGGACTGAAGAAGAATGAACGGTGCACCCATGGAGTCAGACCATTTTTTGCCCATGTGACTAAACAAATGGTCCATTTACATATTATATGATGATTCAGAATGTGGCAGTCTTGGAATGTGACATTCATGTGAACATTAATGATGACACTAGATATTTAGCCCATATATAGGTGATACCCATTGTTGCTGTTGTTAAATGTGCTTTCCAGAAGGAATTGCATAGAGCGCAGAAGGCCATTATCAATTTCTTTAATGATAAGGACATTGACTACTCGCTTGTTTCTTTCCTCTATTACTGTTTATCATTCACATAAGGGCAGATGTCACTGTAAAATTGTTCAAGGTGGCTTTCTTTTTCATGAAAAAAGATCAGAAAGCTGACTTCTTTATACCCACATACAAGTCAAATACAGCACATGCAAGCAACCTAACATTAAAAGGCAATACAATAGCATGTCAATTGTATCAAACTTAAAGTAGTTAGAATTAATTTAATTCATATTCAATCCAGTAAAAACAAATTGCTTATCCAATAGCAAATAATTTAGATTCTAAAGTAAAAAGGTCACCCCATCTGTCTATTAACTGCCTCCAGAATTGATGTTAATTATTATGATCATCAGTGAGGCATGATCAATGCACAGTGTTTAATCCTGTGCTGGGCCCAGAACAAAGCTTAGCCTCTGCTCCATTAAATGAGGCTTTTTTTTTTCTCTCAACAGGAACTTATTGAAGTCAGAACAGTTGAGCTATAACTTATACCCTTGGATTTTCCTTCTTTTTAGGATAGTTCTTGTTCAAAGATAAAGTAAGGCATATTAAAATTTTAAATACTTTATTTGCGCAGACAGCAATTCATGAATCTGGCAACTTCAGACTGCAAGCATTTGGGCATTCTACTGAAGGGGCAGAGGGAAAGGATTTTATAGGGTGAATGTGGAAGCAATGTAAATAATCCCTGAGTTAGAGGCTAGTTGATGGTTTCTGATTGGCCTAGAGGATGGCTGTTTCACTGAGGTGGTTTCCAGTTTGCTTGTGTAGGAACTCAGGGCTCTGAAGCTACCCCAGTCTAATGGCCTCCAAAATAATTACTTAATGATTTTTCCTTAAGAGAGATAGGCTATGTTTGTTTTGCAGCAGTAGATTCAAGAAAAATATTCTTTCATATTTATCGCTACTGAATGCAATTGATATTACATATTATGCATCCCATACAATAAGATAAAAATTACTTGATTTGGGTACTTGAACCAAATTCAAGTTCTAATTACATATGGATTATCATTAACATTCTTTTTATGCAAATATAAAAGTAACACCATCTTGGTATTTTTTTTTTCTTGGCATTCTTTATTCTTTGGAAAGCCTCGATGTGTCATTTTCTCCTTGTTCCCCTTTTCTTCCTTTCCTTACCTTTTTGTTTTCTTCCCTTTCCCTCTTCTTTAGGCCAATTATTCCAATTTCCCTTTTCCTCTGTCTCTTGCCTTTTATCCTTTCCCTGCTAACCCTGGAATTATCTGCACTGTGTACCACCTGTTTCTTTTTAGGGTCTAGTTTTCTTATTTTCTTCTTCTGATTTCTTATCATTCTCACTGTTGAACTGCAAGTTGGGAATGTAGTTGCTCAGGAACTCTCCATCCAGTTGGAGCTGTTTTGGAGAACTAGAGCTTCTCAGTCTGTGACAGAGCCAACAGCAGGTCTTTGCTTATTAAATCCTGGTTGAACAGGAGATGCTGGGCGTTAAGATGGGAGGAGAGTAGGTAAAACAAAGTGGAAAAACAGACAGGGGGTGCTGTGAGGCAGGCAAAGAAGCATAATAAATTGACGTTGTCTTCTAGAAACTTATCTCTGGGAAAATGCCCCAAGAATAGCAACCTGATATCACACAAAAATGGAAAAGGGACACGTTTCTTAAAACAAGAGGGAAAACTGGCCTATCAAGTCCAACCCAGCCAGCTTCTATTCTTTTCACTGTCCATCTCTCCAACTTGGCTGAAGCTTTTTTTTTTTTTTTCTTGCTTTGTAGGTGTTCCCTGGAGTAGAAAATATTATCTGACCCAAGATTACGGAAGCCTTTACTTGTGCTTTGGAAAAGAAATGAAGCCCTTCTAAATTCAAGAATTATGTTAGAAAAGTAGAGAAATATTTAAAAACCATATGGGTAGAAACTTTCCTGAGGGTGAGGTGCTCTCCCAGGAGTAGAAAATATTATCTGACCCAAAATTACAGAAGCCTTTACTTGTGCTTTGGAAAAGAAATGAAGCCCTTCTAAATTCAAGATTTGTGTTAAAAAAGCAGAGAAATATTTAAAGGAAACCATATAGGTAGAAACTATCCTGAGGGTGAGATGCTCTCATGATGACTGAGGCTTTCAGGTCTATGAAATCACGACTGATGGGAGTCAATATGGTTACTAGGGACTCCCTACCTGGGCTTGGGGATTCCTACTCACTCCCAATACCACTCAGAAAGATGTATTGAGGTGGAGATGTGGCTTGGGAGCAGAGAAGACACTGAATCTCAGAATGAGGTCTGTGACCTGCTCCAGGATCTACATTTTTAAGACAGTTCCCTAGTCGTTATTTTTAGAGACCACCTTTAGAATAAAGTCTTACATATTTGTGCACCATTAGCAGCACAATCTAGGCAGCCGTTCCCTGAGGCCATTTTTATTTGTGATGGTGGTAGATGAGTAGCTATGGGGACCGCAGCAATGTGGAGAGAGCTGGGAGCAGCATTTGCTATGCACCGCTCTTCCATCCATTTGTTTGTGTTTGAATGGACCCTGTCCTCTCCTCTCTTAGCTGTGCAGAGCCTGGAGCCTGTACTTCTGCAATACAGTTGAATCATCCTTCCCTGTTACTCCTCCAAGGAACCCTGCCCTTCTCTCACTAACTGGTCATACTTGTAACCTTGTTTTTCCCTCTGTTCATTTTAAACTTTATGTTATTGTTTGTTAATTTATTAATTGCTCCCCCCACTTTGGCTTCATTGTTATTAACTATTGTGCATTTTAATGGTATTTACTTCCCTCATTGCTGGTATTTATCGCTTCGCTATGAATTCCCTATTCCCAGCTGTTGTTTCGAAATAGCATTATATATTATTATGTTTCTTCATTGCCTCTTCTCTCTATCACAGCTGACTGCTTGTTTACCTCTCCCTCTATGGACTTCCCTATCATTCTCTCTCTTCCCCCAATTGCTTCGAATACTTTGTTGAGCCTCCCTCTATTCACTGCCCTTCCAATAAAATGTGCCCTATTCTTCGATTCCCCTTTCCTTTTTCTCTCATAGCTTTCTCTGCTGCCTTGGGGGCATTTTACAGTGCATTTATTCCCTAAACCACAGCCGGGTCCCACTCCCCCTAGCTCTCCGACCTTTCTGGTTCAATTTCAGCTTTCCTCCTCAACCTGCTGATCTGCGTCTCCCAACACTCCCAATCCCAAGGCTGCCATTCTTGCACTCTTCTTTCTGCTCTGGACTCAGATTTCTGCTCCAGTTTTCACCTTGCTGATTTCTGTCACTTCCACGTTTTCTGAATTTATTGATCTTTTACAAGCTGAATCATCTAGCCTAGGCTTTTATTCTAAATACATGATCTTCTCTCTCCCCTACAAAAAATCTACTCTACGTGTATCTCTTCCTCTGGAACTGATGCATATTACTATTTATTGAGCATTTCTTGTGTATCAGGCCTATGCTTAAGGAACAATTGTAAGAGACTTTACATATTGTATCTCTTTGAATTCCAGCAAGAGAAGTAGCTGGGAGGACAGAGTGCTATTACTCCTACTTTACAGATGGGGACCTGAACCTGGTGGGTGATGTGTTTGTCCTCTCTTAGCTGTTAGTGAGTGGTGCGCTGGGCTGTAAGTCAGGTCTCATCCCAGGACACAAGCCCTCAATGGCTGTGTTCTGTAGTCCCACTGACAGCAACCATCAGGATGGAAGGAGGGCAGCCTCCCCCTTTCCATGGCCTCCATTTTTAGCAACTCCCTTTTCTCATAAAGGAGTTTAACTCTCATTTCCTATTGCAGTGTAGCTGGCATTTTCTCTCTTTACACCACTTTGTCAAGACTATTCCATCTGTTCTTCCCATTCTGTGGGAAGGAGAGCTGTCTGGCAGTCGACCTTAGGTGCAGATGCAGGCAGGCAGGTGAGTGGGCATGTGGCATGTGGCCCAAGGAGGCTGTCACTAGGCAGCAGGAAGCCACAGGACTGGTGAGTGGGCAAATCTCCAAATGGACTCAGGGGCACAAGGACCTATTCCTAAGGGACCTGGGGCATCTAAGTGGGAACTAAAGCAGGAAATCAGGCATTGGAGAAAGTATTGGTCTCATTTCCGGAACTGGGGTAGATGATGTCCTGTACACAAAGAACAAGACAAAGCCCAGGACCAGTGTCCAAGCTCAGGCTGACTCGAGATGGAGCTAGTCCTTGGGATTTGTCCCAGAGTTAGTGGCAGGTGAAACTATACTGATCTAGGTATGAAGACATAAGGCCTTGGAAAGGGGTACTGGGAAGGGAGAATTCGGTTTAGATCTAAGAGGTGTTATATAAAGGAAGTTGGACAGTAGGCAGTGATTAAGAATGCCTTGAATCGTTCCCCCAAATCCTTCTCAGATGGTTTTGAAAATATGTTAAAGGTGGTGATTTGAATCAACCCATGTTCTTGTTTGGGGTCCATGCAATGTGTTAATTACCTAGGTTGCTTCTGAAGAGTGGTACTGCATTAACAGGTTAAATAATAACAAGTAGCTTGGATGCCTATTTGCAGAAAACATTTTTTCTTGTTGTGGTAGGAATCACTTTTCCAGTAGTAGTGAAAATTTGCATGTTTCTTATGATGCCCCTGTGGCCAAGTGATGGCTGGAGTGAGAAGTTTAGTCTGTGACAGTGAGACAAAAACCTTTCCTGATCCAATCATCTAGATAAGAACTTTTTTCTACTCTGATTTGGCCCAGTACTTTGTTTCTCTAACACGGCGAAAGTAAGCAGCAAACATCCGCAGAAAATGGTTGCTGATGGGCACGGCCCACATCTCCTTTAACAGGCTGTGGCAGTCATCTCCTAAGTTGCTACAAAGTTGGCTGTTAGGGACATTGAGCTCACTGCCCATGAAGCCTGTGGCCTGCAGCCATAAGCTGCCTGGAACCGGAGTACAAAGGGGACTGATTTTGTAGTACAAGTCCTGCTCCTGCTCCTGCTCCTTTTCCAGAGTTCCCTGTGGGATCAGACTACCTCACGCCCTTTCACCAAAGACCTCTCCCACCACTGATGAACCACAAGCACTCCAAGCCCTGTATCAAATGCTGCTGTGACAGAAGACATACAGATGTGGAAGATAAATGTGGTATATATGGGACAGTTGTTTGTTAACCTCTCTGGTGACCAAGCCATTTCCAAGTTGGTGCCAAAGTCACACAAACCTGACTTTAAGCCACTGTGATTTGATCTGAGGCATCAGTGGGTCCCTTCAAAAGGGCGGGTTGAAATGTGTTCACTTTCTGAACTCTCTTCCCTTGTGGACGTCACAATGTTAGAACATCAATAGGGATAATCATAATTGTTACATTTGATTTGATTTACTAAAACTGCTCAAAGCTGAATATAGACATTTAGCTATAATTCAGGAAAGTTACAAATTCAGGATTGTTGCTGTTCATGAGACATTTTTAAACCAAATTTTCAATGCAATGTGGTACAATAAATAAAGTTCAATATCAAAAAAAAAAAAGAAATTTGTTTACTTTCTATTTCATGAGTGAGGTTTTGAACAGACTTGATAAATAGCAAGAGGAGGAATTACCAGGAAGGCCAATAATAAGATGATAAGAATAATAGTTACCATTATTGAATACCTAATGTGATGGGTGCCAGGCAGTGTGCTACACGATCTATCTTCATAATCCTGTTTGCCTCTAAAATCACCCTGCTAGGGGATTGGGGAAGGGACTACAGCTGCCCACTCAGATGCCCAGCTGCTTCCATGGTCATGGACCTGGAGCGGGGCAACACCTCCCAGCTGGGTGGGACCCCACTGTGAAGTCCCTTTCCTCTTTCTGCCTGCTGCAACAAGGCTTAAACCAGGCAGACAAAGATAATGCTCTAAGTGAATCATGAAGAAATGTGCTGGGGAAAGCCTCACTGTCCAAAACAGGGGGGTAGCCAAGCTGACTTCCATTGTGGGTTACCCACGAAATGAGGACATTTCTATCTGGTTTGGACCATTGTGTTTTGGGGATCTCTTCATGACAGCAGTTTGTTCTTACTCTCTAACTAATATAGTAAATATCATTATCGTCACAAGATTGCACAGAGCAAGATCGACAGAGCTAAGATTTGGATGAAGATGTTTCTGCTTGAAAGGCCATTTGAGGAGCAGTCAAAAGGTTTTAGTCCCCTAGAAAGTGTAACCCAGAGGCCAGGCACAGTGGTTCATGCCTGTAATCCCAGAACTTTAGGAGGCCAAGGTGGGCGGATCATGAGGTCAAGAGATCGAGACTATCCTGACCAACATGGGGAAATCCCGTCTCTACTAAAAATATGAAAATGAGCTGGGCGTGGTGGCACACACCTGTAGTCCTAGCTACTTGGGAGGCTGAGGGAGGAGAATCGCTTGAACCCAGGAGGCGGAGGTTGCAGTGACCCGAGATCACTCCACTGCACTCCAGCCTGGCAACAGAGCAAGACTCCGTTTCAAAACAAAAACAAAAAAAGAAAGAAAGTGTAACCCAGAAAGGCTGGTAATGATAAGCAAAGGGCCAGGAAAAGGTAAGGTGAGGATGACATCACAGGGAGAGTCTGGGAAGATTCTGGGAAGCCAGGAGAGGGGGCTCTGGGATCCCAGGGCCCAGCCCTTGACAAGGCACCCAAAGTAAGTGTTGGGGATTACTCAGGAAGAGGGGAGCTGCTTTTGAATTTCTGTATGATGTGTACTCTATAAGAAACTCTAAGGCAGGTCTTCCCAAACTCTGTAGTGTAGACCAGACACCTGGAGCTCTTGTCAAAATGCAGATTCTAATTCAGGAGGTTTGGGCTGGCCGAGGCCTGAGATTTTGCACTTTTCCCATATTGCCAGGTGATGCTGATGCTATTGGTCAGAGGACCACACTTGGAATAACAAGAACCTGTGAGGCTTTCCATTTGGAGGGTGAGCATCTCAGAGTTCAAAGTCCAGTTTTCCAGGAAGTCCTGATATTTAACCTCTGCCTCCTGGGTTCAAGCACACTCTGTACACTTGTGCTTTAAATTATAAAACTACTATTCCCAGAGTGCCTTTCAGAGAAGTACCTGCCCGTAAAGACACCTGGATTGTGCCTTCTGTCCAATTTGACTCAGAGGCTCCATGCATTTTGCAGGTAGTGGTCTTCAGGTGACAGGATTTTATAGTCATGAGATGCAGTGGTATGCTATAGATCAAAATATTTTTTACTTGTGTGACTGTAATCTATGGGGAAGGGGTGAAATGGCCAATTGATTATAATGCAGAATATAAAAAGATCAAAGTCCTATAGCACCAGCCATGCTGCTGTCCGCAGAAAAGGAGTAGGAGCTCACGGGAAAATGTTCATGTAATATATGAGGCATTAAAAATTCTGTTACATTATTCTTGCCACCAAGATTGTAATGAAAATGGGAAACGGCACCAACTTAACCCATTCTCATTACAATAGTTAGATTGTAATCTCATGTTCTGCCCTCAAGAGAATGCTAAATGAGATTTTAAACAAAAGAGAGGACAGAGAAGTATGGAGAATACAGGAGCAAATAGAAATTGGAAAGTTGAAAAAGTGATGCATGATAGACTTCTCAGTGCTCATTTGAGGCTTTCTCTTTACTTTAGCAACCAGAACAGAGCATAGGGCATTACGAAGACCAATTGATGCCATGTAGAAAATCCATAGCACAACCCAAACATGGTAAGTATGTAACACAGAAAGGAAATTGTCAAGCACAAATTTGGTCTTGCACTTTGATAGCTTAGTCCACTTTAGATTAGAAGAAAAAATATGACATTACCAAAACAAAAAGAAAAACCCAAAAACCCAAACCATGCAAAAACAAACAAACAATACAACTCTGTGGGAAGTATCTTGTGGTAAAGGTTATTGTCTGCACATAGTTTCTAGTTTGTTATTGAAGTATGTATTTTTTTTGGTACTGGATATTCTAAACTCTCTGTGTATTTTATGTTTCCAGCACATCTCAGCTTCTGGTGTGAGCTGGCTGTCAAGTGGGGCACTTTGGTTTTCCTCCCTATGGTGTCTCCTCCTCCAGCAGACTAGAGTGGGCTAGTTCACATAAAGAGGGCAGGGTTCTGAAACAAAAAGCAGAAAAGCATTCAGACCTTTTGAGCCTAAGCCTCAAACTGGCACACTGTCATATTCGTGACTTTCTTTTGGCCTGAGGAAATAAGGCCAGCCAGATCCAAGATGTTTCTTGCACAGAACTTTGTTTTATTTTTTTGTGAAGATGGGGTTTTGCTATGTTGCCCAGGCTGGTGTTGAACTCCTGGCCTCAAGTGATCCTCCTGTCTTGGCCTCCCAAAGTGCTAGAATTGCAGGCCTGAGCCACTGCAAAGAATTAGAAAACCAAGATGCTTGAAGTGAGGGAGGGAGCCAAGTTTCTGTCTGGGGGAAAGTTTTCCAGGAAGAGAAAAGCATATTCAGTGACCCTGAGGCAGAGCCTGCTCTGGTGTTTGAGGAACTGCAGGACTGAAGAATGGCTGGAGCAGAGCAGCCATGGGGAAAGAGGACTGGATCAGAAAAATATGGAGAATGGGGCTCGGCAGATGGCTTGGGGACTTTTTAGCCAGGGTAAGAATCTTGGCTTTTGACGAAGTGAGATGGGAAGCAACTGGAAGTGACTGAGCAGAGGAATAGCTCAAGCTGATTCAAATATTTAGAGGCTCAATTTGGTGGCTATGTGGGAGCTAAAGCGGAAGCGGGAAGAACAATTAGGAGCAGTGGTGTGGTGTGCTGGCAAATGTTTAACAACCAGCTCTCCAAAGGAAAAAAACAAGTATATAAATGTATAATTACAAGTCATTATAAGAGGTGGGAAGGAAAATAACAGGGTAATAGGAGAAAGTTAAAGAGGGGCAATATAATTAGAATAGGTAGGATGGGAAGGATTCTGTAGAGAAGTGACATTTAAAGAGAGCTCTGAGCATTCCAAGTGTACATCAAAGGTCATCAAGTCTGTTTCCCTGGGTTTGAGCAGAACCATCTGTCAGCAAGTCCAGACACTGGTGAAAACGGACTTAAGAAAGATAAACAAACACCCACTAAGGAAAATATATTCTTCTGCCTCCTTTGGTAACACGTTCCAGTGTTTACCAACCCATGTTCTCAGGGGACTTATCTTTGAATCTAACTTGAATCCATCCTACTACACTTGAAGGTTTTTCTTTTATTCTGAGTGGAGAATGGAGAGTCGTTCACCGAGCCCCAAATTTGGTCTCATTAAGATATCCACACGCTGGCGCTGGGGACTGAACTCTGGTGTTGCTGAACTCTCTACGTGCTGTGTTAGTTCTTGATGACTGACACCTGATTCCGGAGACGTTAGGGAGAATATCGACAAATGTGAATGATGTTGTGAGTCACCTGAGCCAGCTGTGACATGGGCCTGTTCGGAATTACTTATAGCCTCTGGACACCAGCACTAAATAAGATGCAGAATGAGCCACAAAGGGACTTGCCCTGAGGGTTTTGCAATTCCCACTGTCAAAGCCCAAGGATTCCTGAAGCGAGTGGAAGGAAATGAGAAGAAAAAGCAGCTGAAACAGTTCACTGGACCTGTTCTGAGTTTGTATGTTGTGTTGTTTTGACAGCTTTTATAAGCACATTGCACAGATATGGTAATAGAGAAACAAGATGGAAATTGAGCAGGCATATAAACACAGAAAAATCACAAGCACAATATAGATACAATTATATAATTATATTAAAGTAATATTGCATTTCAGGAACACCTCTGTTTACTGTTTTTCAGGTAAGGAATTTGGTTTTCAATGAGAGAGGACTAATGAATAAATGTAGGAGGGAAATGTTAATGCTAAGAGCATGTGGTGGTAATTCATAAGAGAGAAAAGAGATTACCAAAAGGTTTAGGCTAGAAATATAAATGTATGACCCTGGTAATGCAAGTGTGGCGCCAGGCCAGAAGGGAAAAAAAAAAAAAGGAATATGAAAAGAGAGAACAGGCTTAGGAAATGATCAAGGAGAAGCAATAATACTTTATTTTATTTATTAAAAAACATTTTTTTTTTTTTGAGATGGAGTCTCACTCTGTTGCCCAGGCTGGAGTGCAGTGGCACAATCTTGGCTCACTGCAACCTCTGCTTCCTGGTTCAAGTGATTCTTCTGCCTCAGCTTATCAAGTAGCTGGGATTACAGGCACCCGCCACCGCGCCAGGCTAACTTTTTGTGGAGACGGAATTTTCCCACGTTGGCCAGGGTGGTCTCGAGCTCCTGACCTCAGGTCATCTGCCCGTCTTGGCCTCCCAAAGTGCTGGGATTACAGGCGTGAGCCACCACGGCTGGCCAGCAATAATACTTTATACTGCTAGATGGCATTGCTATAGGGATATTTTGTAGATGACAGTTTTTGTCCATTTCACAAGTTAAACTGTGAACTCATTATTAACAATCTGACTATCTTTATTTTTAGGTCCAGCATTATTTATGTGTGTGAGTGAATGTGTGTATATATATATATATATATACACACACACAGACACACACACATATATACACACTTTCATATATATATATACACATATATGTATATATTTTTAATGTCAATTTCCTAGTAATAAAGACTAGAACAGAGTGTAGAATAACATTCTACACTCATAATGAACTATATGTTCTAGAGGAGATAGAAAAAAATTTTGCTGATAATCTTCAACATTATAAATAGACTTGTACGCAGACATGATGATTACATATTCTTATGTATATATTTGTATACACACCCACAGATAGTCTTATTGAAGATGCACAAAACAACGTGTGCTATGAAAAACATCACAGGTTGGGCACGGTGGCTCACGCCTGTAATCCCAACACTTTGGGAGGCCAAGACAGGGGGATCACTTGAGGTCAGGAGTTCAAAACCAGCCTGGCCAACATGGTGAAACCCCGTCTCCGCTAAAAATACAAAAATTAGCTGGGCGTGATGGCATGTGCCTGTAATCCCAGCTACTTGGGAGGCTGAGGCAGCAGAATTGCTTGAACCTGGGAGGCAGAGATTGCAGTGAGCTGAGATTGTGCCACTGCACTCCAGCCTGGGTGACAGAGTGAGACTCCATCTCAAAAAAAAAAAAAAAAGATCACTGGCACTGAGGGTAGTTCAGTATTAGAGTAGACTACTAAAGAAAGCTATAGAAAGAGTCTTTGGAGGCCAGGTAGAGTGGTTCACGCCTGTAATCCCAGTACTTTGGAAGGCCAAGGTGGGCGGATCATTTGAGCTCAGGAGTTTGAGACTAGCCTGGCCAACATGGTGAAACCCCATGTCTACTAAAAATACAAAAAGTAGCTGGACATGGTGGCACACACCTGTAATCCCAGCTACTCAAGGAGGCTGAGACAGGGGAATCACTTGAGCCTGGGATGTGGAGGTTGCAATGAGCTGAGATCCTGTCACTGCACTCCAGCCTGGGCGACAGAGTGAGACTCCATCTCAAAAACAAAAACAAAGATTGGTTTTTGGAAATCTTTGGATATCATTTTAAAACTCAGCATGAGAATAAGACAAATATGTATATATATGTATTTCACTATTGGGAGATGAATTTTTTGACTTTGACAACAAACCAGACTTTGAGTTTGGTCAGAGTTATTCCTACTTCATTGGTATGTTTCTGCCTGAAGACCACTAAGCATTCATTTTATTTTTGTAAACAAAGCAACGTTTTTGGAAATGTCAATCTTCATTCGCATGCACAGGAGCTTTTCTCCGTATGCTAAGCCAATTCCATTGCCAGCGTGGTTGATGTTGGCATATGCCCTAATTACACATCTTCTACGAAGTTCTTCTTATCCCTTAGGTTTCAGATCAACTGTCACTTCCTCAGGGAAGTCGATCTTTAATTCAATGCTCCCTACCCCCATCCCCAAGAGTCTCTCAGAAAACTCAGGGCCTTTTTGGTTTTGTTTTTGCTTTTTTTTTTTTTAATTGCAATTATATACTTACTTTTTGTGTGTATTTGTTTATTGTCTACCTCTCCCATAGACTGTGGGCTTTGTTAGGTCAGGGACCATGTCTATTTTGTTCCTGCTGCATATTCCACAAATAGGGAATTAAGAATAGGGCTTGGGGTGGGCATGGTGGCTCACGCCAGTAATCCCAGCACTTTGGGAGTCTGAGGCAGGCGGATCACGAGGTCAGGAGATCGAGACCATCCTGGCTAACACCATGAAACCCCGTCTCTACTAAAAATACAAAAAATTAGCTGGTCGTGGTGGCGGGTGCCTGTAGTCCCAGCTACTCGGGAGGCTGAAACAGGAGAATGATGTGAACCTGGGAGGCGGAGCTTGCGGTGAGCCAAGATCGTGCCACTGCACTCCAGCCAGGGCGAGACAGTGAGACTGTGTCTCAAAAAAAAACATAACAAAACAAACAAAAAAAAAAACCAGGGCTTCACTGATACCAGGCATTCAATAAATATTTGTTGAATAGTTGAATAGAATCATTTTTAATATTGTCAGTATTTTGTTAATACTAGTGAGACTATTTCGTGTTACAAGAAAGACGCAAGATTGAAGTATTGACTCAGGCCATAAAAAATTCCTTTTTACTTAAAAGCATTGAATCTCACACAATTTTCCAGCAAAAGAAAAAAAAACTATAAAATATCTATTAATATAAAATTATTTATCTAAAGGTTAGGCTCGGGAGCAGTGTGAAGGTTGGACACATATTCTTAAGACAGTAAATTTTTCTCAGACCAGTTTTTCCTCTTTCCATTTATTTTAGTTTGATTGGCTAAGGCTGTGATATAATGAACTGCAGAACTCAATCCAGTAATTTACAAGGTCTGTCTCCTATTCCGTGTTTACCATTCGTTTTACTGCCCAAGTTGAATTGTTACTTGTTCTTTTATTTGGACAGCTCACAATGGCCACTCTTACTGGCTCCTGAAGATTTCTTAATGTAGCCATTTAATGCCATCTGATTGCCCTATGGAGTCTTTGGTTCACTTTTCATTCTTCAAGGTTAGTGAGCAGCACGTGGGTGTTGAATGCCCATAGCCTGTGTCAGTGGTTTCATTCCCCTTCTAGTTGTTGAGTGACAGGAGCCGCTCTGCTCTCCAATGCTCTTTGTTTAGCTGAGTGAATACAGAAAGTTGCCTTTGGGTCTGGTGCTAGATGAGAAACCCAGGGGGATTTTGTGACTCTGAGGGCCAAGACGAGTAAGGCTTCCTATGAGGATTGAGGAAAAAGGGAGGAGCATAACAGAATTACCATATATGACCCAGAAATTTCACTTCTGGGTATATATCCAAAGCAAGTGAAATTAGGATCTCAAAGACATATCCGTACTCCCATGTTGATATAGCATTAGTCACAACAGTCAAGATATGGAAACAACCTAAATATCTGTCAATGGATGAATGGATAAAATGTGGTATATATAAAAAATAAAATACTATTCATCCTTTAAAAAGAAGGAAATCTTTCCATTTGTGATAACGTGGATATAATCTGAAGGACATTATGCTATGAGACATAAGCCAGACACAGAAAGACAAATGCCACGTGATCTCACATATAGGTAGAATTTTTAAAAGTCCAACACATATAAGCAGAGAGTTGAATAGTGGTTGCTAGGGGCTGGAGGTAGGGAGGAGTGGTGGTCAAAGGGCACAAAGTTTCATTTATGCAAGATGAATGAGTTCTGGAGATCTAATATATAGCATAGTGACTATTATACTTGAGATAGATCTTAAGCATTCTTATTACAAAAAAAGAAAAAGAAAATGCTAACTAAGTGAGGGGACAGATATATTAATTAGCTTGCTGGTGGTGATCATTTTATAATGTATATGTATACCTCCAAACATGAAGTTGTGTGCCTTAAATATATACAATTTGTATTTGTAAATTATACCTCAATAAAGCTGAAAAAAAGGAGGAGCATACTTTATACCTTATGCTTCAAGTCTCTGTGGGCCTGAAAACAACCTATAAATCCCTTCATATTTTTTCTGTGATCCTGATTAAAACAAATGACAAACAAAACAAAATGAAAGAAGGTGGCTGTGTCTGATTGTGTGCATGGCGGAAGAGTGGAAGATTGGAGGTGAAGCAGGGCTTTGTGGGGGAACACTTAATATTGTCTTTGGACAACTTTATGGATGCACTTTTCCTTGGTCCTTATTATATGGTAGGTGCAGCTCAATAAATTATTATTGAAAGAATAAGTGACAATAAATCTAGGATCGTGAATTTCATAGAACCAAAAACACCAGGGCTGGGAAAGATGTTGAAATATTATAAGCTGGATCTCATTCTGCTGAACGAAAAGAGATTTGTTCTCAGAGAGATTAAATTACCTGGCCTTAGTCAAAAGAAAGTTACATACAGAATTGGAATTAAATAGTAAAGTTGGAATATTTAAGGAGTGATATGATAAATCATTCAGCAAATTTGACCAATATAGGCTGGAGGATTCTGACCAAATGAACTGTCTTCTTCCCAGCCTGTCTCTGCCCACACTTGTAAGCTATTTGTTCTGAATTATTTAGAAATTGTCTCAACATCCATCTCACATATTTGTGTAGACATATCCATAAAGAGTTACATAAGCAGTATTATTATCGCAATTATTATTATCATTAGCAGCTTCATTTCTTGTTATTTTCCTTGTGGTTCATCTTAGGGTCTTCTGAGGGCTGTTAAAGAGCTTGAAAAAAATAAGAATTGTACTTGTAGATATTTATTTTCATTGTATTATTTAGAACTCTATCCTAGGGAATCCTGCTAATTCCTAGTTGACTAATCTACAAAAACCTTAAATTCTCACCCTGCTTCTCTGTAAGCTTTAACAGCAGCAAGATGGAGTGAAGTCTCTTATTACTAAAACTTCATCACTCATACAAAATATTTGCGAGTGCTCCTGTGCTGTGGTGTATGAGCATAAATAATTAAAGCAGAACTACACTTGTCAGAAGAACTGAAGCAAAGACACACTCCTCTGTTTGCAGGCACTGCATAGGCAATGACTGCCTTATTAATGCAGCAATTCACTAAGGACTGCTGTAGTTAATGGGAATTAGCAAAGTGCTAGCATGCCCATATTCATCTTTTGAGGGGCTATCCAATATGCAAAGTGATAGGCCTGTTGAATGATTCTCATTGCAAATATCCCATTCTTAAGGCTTTTTTTCAAAGTAGAACCCCAGGAATCACATTTTCAAAGGTGTCACTGTAAGACTTTCTACCGAGGCTAAACAATTTTAGACTTTATTAGAGTTTTTGAATTCAATTTTCCCTGGATTCTTTGCCTTCTTTCATGCTCATGAAGAGAGGTGACTTTTATCAAATTACTCCAGGTTTGTGCTCTGTAGGTCAAGATATTGTTTATTGGTTCACATAAGTGTACTCTGCTAAAATCTCAGTATATATATTTGTGAGTATTTAATCAAACTGAGTAGACTAGGCAAGTACTGGTACAACAAAAACAATATATCAGCATTAAAGAGAAAATTATTTTAGCTTTAATTATGTCATTTAAAATAATGACATTTCAAGAAAATGTAGTTCATTATTTGTTCATTCATTCATTTATTCAACACATATTCATTGATTATTTACCATGTGCCAGGAACTGTGTAAGGCAGTGTACAAGATAGACCAGGTTCCTACCCTTAGGGAATTTATAGTCTAGCAGATTCAAGTATTGGCTTGAACTATATAAATTTCCTTTTGTTTGACTGTTACTGATTTACAACAAGGCAATTTCATGTGTTTCAACCTAATTCAAACAGTGTTATAGGAGCACATAGGAAGGAACCTAATGTAGTTTTGGGACCAGACAGTGGCTCCCTGAGGAAACGGTATTTGAGCTAGTAGGAGTAGATTGACTAGGAGTAAGCTGGATGAAGCAGAAAATGTGCCAAGAGTGACAGTAGGAGGTGTTAAGTCTCAGAAGCAACTAAGTGCCTGGTTGGGCTGGGGAGCTCCAGTAAGGAGTGCAAAAGGAAGAGGTACGAAAGGGTTCTGGAGAGGTAGGCAGGGCCGGATAGTAGAGGGGCATGTAAGTCATATTGTTTGAAATGTATCTAAGAGCCAGGGAATAGTTTTAAGCAGAAAAGCAAACTGATTTTATTTGTGTGGCTGGAAATCAGTCTTGCCACAATATAAAAATGAACTAGAGAGAGGCAAGTTTGGAGGTGGAATGATTGGTTGAGAGACTGGGAGATGGTGTTAGCTTAGTCAAAACTGGTGACGGTAGGTATTATGGTCTGGCTCTACGTCTCCACCCAATTCTCATCTTGAATTATAATCCAACTTGTAATCCCCACATGTTGTTGGGAGGAACCTCATGGGTGATGATTAGATCATGGGGGTAGTTCCCCCATGCTGTTCTCTTGATAGTAAGTGAGTTCTCACAAGATCTGATGGTTTTATAAGAGGCTTTTCCCCCATTCACTTGGCACTTCTCCTTGCTGCTGCCATGTGAAGAAGGACATGTTTGCTTCTCCTTCCACCATGATTGTAAGTTTCCTGAGGCCTCCCCAGCTGTGCTAAACTGTGAATCAATTAAACCTCTTTCCTTTATAAATTATCCATTCTTGGGTATGTCCTTATTAGCAGAGTGAGAATGGACTAATACAGTGGAGATGGAGAGAACAGAACATTCAGGAGGTAGAATCAACAGGACTTGGTGACCCAATGGATGTAGAATAAGAATAGGGAGTCAGGGGAAAAATATGTGTTTCTGGTTTAATGGGAACGTATCTGACCAACCCAACCGTCTTCTTCCAAGCCTCCTTCTGCCCACACTCACAAGCTATTTGTTCTGAATTATTTAGAAATTGTCTCAATATCCATCTCACATGTTTGTGTAGACATATTCCTAAAGAGTTATATAAGCAGTGTTATTATTGTAATTATTGTTATCATTAGCTGCTTCATTTCTTATTTTCATTGTGGAAATGAGAGAGGGGACACTGAGGGAGGAGAAGTTGGGTGCATTGTTGAGATGATGAATGCAGATTTGAACAAATTAAATTTTATTGAATTCTTGGAGGTTCTTGGGAAACTTAAATGGAGAAGTCCAATAGCAGTCAGTTATACAGGTTTGGAGCTCAGAAAAAACATTGAAACCTGGACAGGAGTGAAGATGTAAGAGTCAGCAATAAGTAGATGGCAATTGAAGCTAGGGGAGTGGAGGAGACTTCCCAGGGGGTGTATAAAATGTGAGAAAAGAAGAAACAGATGAAGAAAGAATAGGCTATAGTGGGGTCCGGAAAGGAAGCCGAAAAACTGGGGCAGAGCAGGGGCAGGAATTCTTTACTGGAAAACAGCGTAAATACAGTGTTTTGAAAAGTAATGGTCATTAATTTCTAAAGTTGCTGAGAAGTTAAGAAAATAAGGACTGATAAGCAATTGTAAAATTTCATAATAAATCAGGTAATGAAATGCATGAGCGACTTAGAGAAAAATAAATTTATTAGAATTCAATTCTGATTGCAGGTTAACAAAAAATTAAGGTAGATTTAAGCAATTTATTCAAATTAAAATTTTTCTTTTCTATTTGCTGTTGACTAACATTTATCTACTGGGTCTATAACTGGCTGAGTGACAATGAATCACATAATGAGAAACCTATCACTGCATGTTTGGGTCTGAATCACTGTTGTCATCAGTTTGTCAAGTCATGGATAGGATGGCTCTGTGATGTTTGGTTTTCCTGGGGTGATCCCATCATGCCTGTTATTGCATTGTATTTATTAACACTAACTCCTTTTACTCTCAAACGTATCTCCATTTGAACAAAAAGTAAAACGGGTTTCCATGCTATATAAAAGTACTGCCTCGATATCTTTTCAAAATTCTGCTCTCACTGCTTAGGTAGGAAGGTGATCAATTTATACAAATCTGGTTTTGTTATGTGCTCCATGGCTAATTATAAGAAAATCACAAATTGTTTTTAATGATTCTCTAAAAATCATTTTTCATGATGTTTTAAAATGAAAACACAGAAGCAATGTATAAAGGAAAAGATTATTCTTCTGCTTTGAATGAATAATGTTCAATCAGGAATAATCAATATATATTGAACACCTATTATGGGTAAGGCACCAGGTTCAGATTCTCAAGCTTCTTGTTGATACTAGCATTTATTTTCAGTACTTTTGAGTCAGTCTACAATACTTTGTCCTGTTTTTTATTGATCTTTATCTTATTTTGATTTTACCCTTGTCTCCCTTATTAGAAATAAAATCTTTCTTATATGTGCATCGGTATTCTACTTAGATTCTATTTATGCTACCAAGCTGAAGACAAATTGGCATCAGATCTATGATACATCATAATATAGATGTTAGCATCTATAAAATCTAGAAAAGAGAGTGCCTCTAGACTAGTGGAAGGGACATTTCCCTCAAGAAATGGTGGTAGAGTTTTTCCTTGCAGCATGTTGGGAGCAATGAATGGACCAATAAAATGGATGGAGAAGCTAGGAGGAAGCAAAATAAAAAGAGAGCTGATATGAGATCCTCTGCATTTGTCCACTACCCATCCACCTAGCCACAGATGGTGATCATAAGCCAAGCCCTACCCAGAGAAGGCAGGGCAGATCCATTATAAATTCAGAAAGAACACTGACAGCCAAAAGCTTTCCAGTCTGGGGAAGAGACAAGAGGTTGAATACAGTAATAGAGGGAAATAACCATGCACCAGACAGAGGACTTTACAGGCAAAGACAAACAATAAAAAGTCTGAAAAAACAGAGCTGTCAGGAGCATGTCAGAACATCCCTGATCATCTGAATGAGGAAACAGGACAAGGCTCTGTCCAAACCTAGGAGGCCAAGGGCAGAGGTTTCAGACCTTTTGAATCTTATCAGTAAAGTTATTTGACCATGCTTTGTTATACAAACACCCTTAAAAATATAGTCTTGCCAGGTGTGGTGGCTCATGCCTGTAATTCCAGCACTTTGGGAGAGAGGTAGGCGGATCACTTGAGGTCAGGAGTTCGAGGCTAACATGGAGAAACACAATCTCTACTAAAAATACAAAAAGTTAGCTGGGTGTGGTGGTGCATGCCTGTAATCCCAGCTACTTTGGAGGCAGAGGCACAAGAATCACTGGAACCCAGGAGGCGGAGGTTGCAGTGAGCCAAGATCGCACCACTGCACTCCAGCCTGGGTGACAGAGAGAGACCCTGACTCAAAAAACAAACAAACTAACAAACAAAAAAGATAGTGTGGAACAAAGGCAGTCAGTTCCTCTGCTTACAAGAGGTGCAGAAACGTGAAAGACCAATAGAAAACTGTCACCCTAAAGTGGCTTTCTTTTCTAATCTATGGTTGGCAGTAAGAGGTATCATTTGTGATTAAAATTGGCCTCAAATACTTTATTATTTTGCTAATTAGGAGATAGAGTCTCATTCTCCTTCTTTTGTGTCTTGACTGACCTAAGTGACCTGTTTGATCACTAGAATATAGAAGAAATAAAGTTCTGGAACTTCTAAAGCTAGGTCCTTAAAAACCTTGCAGATTTTTTCTGGGCCTCTTGGAATATTTGCTCTTGGATACTTGAGCCAACATGTAAGAAGTCTGACTATCTTGTGAGAGAGATAACCCCCTGAGACAATACAAAGAAGGAAAGGACCTGTTTATCCTTGTTGTCATGAGAGGCCTGTGCCATCTAGGACACCCTAGACATCTATAGCAGCCAGTTGAGTGACACAGAGTGACCCCAGTTGATGCCAACTGGAACAGAAGAATTGTCCAGATGAGCCCTGCCCAAATTCTTAAACCACAATATCATGAGACATAATAAAATGATTGTTGTTTTATGACACTATGCACAGACAGACAGCCGGAGCAAGACTATAGAACTGGACTTACTACTACTAACAAAGATGTTAGGATCTCAAAATAAAAAAGACATGAGATGCCTGAGTCAGAGACACTGAGGTGGTTGCATTTAACCATCAGAAGCAAGTCAGATATGATTATCGCAATGAGTGGCAGATCTGAGTGGCAGCCAGAGAACCATGTTCTATAGAGAACCATGGAAATGATTAATAAACACACCATCCTTAAGAACAAGCTAGATGAAAAGCCAACAAGGGTGCTGCTCAATCGATGCAGGCTAAAGAAACTAAGGATGGTTGATTAGGAGACTAAACACAGTTGCCTCCCCTCACCAAAAAAAAAAAAAAAAAAAATCTTTTTGTCCAGTTTGTGAACCTAAGCCAGTTTCCTAACCTGAAATCCACTGAACTGGAGAAGGGGCTAGTTTTCCAGAAGGCAGAAACCTGCAGCACTGTCGCAGTATATATGGTACTGATTGCCCTAGTGCTTCCTTAAAGGCATCTGAAGAGTCATCATAGCCCCATTGTTGCATGGGCATATGGGAGCTAAGTAATACATGAAGTTCTGGCCCAGGGTGGGCTCATAGAAGGTCCAATGGTTCCACAAACCCACTCTGTGGTCACTTCCTTGGAATGGACATCACTGGGAGCTTGCAGAATCCCATATTAATTTCTTTTTCTGTGAGGTAAGAGCTGTCATAGTCAAATAAGCCAAGCTCTGAAACTGTGCCCACCTCACGAGCATAGCAATTACAGAAAAATTTTGACCCTGGGAGGTAAGGGAAAAGAAGATAGTGTCTCCCTCAAGGACATAAATAATTCAGAAGTGGTCTCTAGCATAATCTCCATTTAGTTCACAAGTCTGGCACCTATAAAAGCCAGATGAAATCTGAAGGATGACGTGAGACTACTTCAAATGCAACCAAGTATAGCCCAATTGCCTCTACAGTGCCATATGTGGTATCTGTTCTACAGCACAGTAATACGACCTCAGGAATGCAGGATGTGGCCTTTGATCTGGTGGTGCATTCTTTCCACTTCATTCAAAAAAGAGGATCAGAAACAGTTTGCATTCACTTGGAACAGAAAATAGTACTCACTTACAGTCTATAAATGACAAATATGAACAGTTCAGCTCTGTCATAATATAGTCTGAAGACACTCGGAATGTCTAGACATCCTGAAGAACAACACACTTTTCCACTACATCAATGATATTTTGCTAACTTGATTAAATGTAGCAAGAAGTAGTAAGGGTGTTGGAAGCCTTGGTGAGACACATGTGCTTAACAGAGTATGAGATGAGCACTTAAGGATTTAGGGACTAACCATATTAGTAATATTTTAGGAATTCAGTGGCTTGGAGCATACCAAAACTTTCTATCACAAAGTAGTTGGAACAACGACAAAGTATTGCATCTCATACTTCCCACCACAAAGAAAGAAGCAGTATAGTGATCTCTCTTTGTTTTGTTTTTTGAGATCTCACTCAGTCGCCCAGGCTGGAGTGCAGCGGTGTGATCCCGGCTCACTGCAACCTCCTCCTCCGGGGTTGAAGTGATTCTCCTGCCTCAGCCTCCCAAGTAGCTGGGATTACAGCACCCAGCTAATTTTTGTATTTTTAGTAGAGATGGGGTTTTGCCATGTTGGTCAGGCTGGTCTTGAACTCCTGACCTCAGGTGATCTACTCACCTCCGCCTCCCAAAGTGCTGGGATTACAGGCATGAGCCACTGCGCCCAGCCTCTCTTTGGGTTTTGATGGTAGTATATTTATATGAAGAACTGTCAGCTTTGCATGGGTCCCAGAACAGGAAGAAGCTCTGTAGCATATCCAGAATGCTAGACTAGCATTCCTGCCAACAGGAATGTATGACTCAGCAGATCCTGTAATATTAGAGGTATCTGAGGTGGGAAAAGATGCTGTGTAGATTTTATAATGAGTCCTGAAGTTCTGGAGCAAGGGCATACCATCTGTAGTGAACAATCGTATGCCCTTCAAAAATTGCCTCCTGGCCAGCTACTGGACCCTGGTAGAAATGAAGTATCTGACCATGGTTAATTGAATGACCATCTGGCTAGAACTTCCCATGATAAGATAGATTCTGTCAGCCCTTCTAAGGCATAAAGTTGGACAAGCCTAGCAGCTATCCATTGTGAGATGGAAATGGTACATCTGGGATCCAGCCCAATTGGGACCAGAGGACAAAAATCAATGGCACAAGCAGGTGACTCAGACTGCCATGTCACCAATACACTTACCCTAGTGCATCTCCCTTAGCTCACATTCATGGTCAAATGGGAGGACTCCCATGACCAGCTGACAAAGGAAGAAAAAAGCCCAGCTCGGTTCACAGATAGGTTGACTTGGTTATGTTAAGCTAGTGTAGTTTTAAAAAATGCCTGAAAATTTTTTGATATTTTCTGACATTCTTTTGACCCTATCAAAAGATAGAGCCTAATTCTTCTCTCCTTGAATATAGGCTGACCTTAGTCCCTCACTTCTAGCTAATACAATAAAACAGAGGTGACACTGAGCAATTTCCAAGGCTAGGTCATAAAAGGTGCTATGTTTTCCTCTTGGCCCTTTCTTTTTCTTGAGATATTTGCTCTTGGAACCAAGCCATCATGCTTTGTGAATGCTAAATAGCCATATTAAAAGGCTGTGTGTAGGTCTTTCAGCCACAGCAGCCACTGAGATCCCAGTGAAGAGCCAGCATCAACTGCAGACATGTGGGTAAGCAAGCCTTCTCATGAGTCCAGACTCAGCTGTCAGCTGCCCCACCTGTTACATGGAGCAAGGCAAGCTGTTCCCACAAAGTCCTGTCCAAATTTGAGATATGTGAGAAAAATAAATGTTGTGTTTAAAGCCACTGAATTTTGGGTTATGTATCCATAGATAACAAGAACAGAAGCTGCAACACAGCCCAACCACAGATGGCCTTCAAATGTAGTAGTGAGGGGAAATACTACAAATAGGCTACATTTTGGGTGGTACACCTGGTCATATTCTTTATGTAGGAAAATAAGTGGACCAAGGTTCAAGTATGTATGGACTTACGGCAATAGAAAATGACCTGGCCAGTTCATTGGGGACCTGAAAGAGAATGATTGGAAGGTCTGTAAAAACATGGTCTGGGTTAGATGCATATGCATTGATGTACGGGAATAAGTATGAAATGTGAAAATCTTGCAATATGATAATGTCTACCAGAGAACATCTACCATGAAAGAAGCACTGCACAGCCAAGTTGACACAATAACTTGGTCAGGTGATATAAACTAGCATGCGCCATTGGCTATTCAAGTGTCTGGCACAGTGGACACAGGAATAAAATCACCATGGTGACAGGGATGGAAGCTATGCATGGGTTCCTACTCACTATGGCCTATCTAGCTACTGTCTACTATCTAGCTACTGTCACTGCTGAAAGTTTGAGCTGCCATCAACAGAAAGCAACCCTGAACCCACACCCCAATTTGACACTATCTCTTGAAGAACAATTTGATGGCAGTTTGAGTATCTTGAAACCATTCACCTTGAGAGGGACATCAATTATTTTTCACTGGAATAGACAGATATTCTTTTCTTCTCTCATAGCCTTTGCCAGCACCACTATCTGAGGATTTACAGAATGTTCTATTCACCAACATGGCATCCCACATAAAGTCACATTAGACCAACTGACTGTGATTCAGGAGGAGTTAGGGCTTCTTCTACAGAATACAGTAGGAAAAATGTATTTATCACCCATAAGTTCCACTTTGGTGTCTTAGTATTCCCTTGCCCAACTTTGATTTAAATGGATAATTATAGCTGCCACAGAAAACCTTGGTGACCAAGAGTTGGACTCTTCAGTGATGAGGATCTGGGTCACCCCATCAGATAAGTCACTTAGACCAGGAGATGTGCTAACTGAAGGTGTGGGGAGTCTAGAATAAATGATAAAGAAGGAGAGGGATGAAAATCAGCTGGGGCCTTAAGACAAACTGCAGCAGCAGAGGCTGTGGGTCATGCCACTTACCTTCCTCATCTAAGTTTCTCACAGGAAAGAGGCCCGCTAGCATCTTGAAGTGCTCGCAGAACTTGTAAAAAGAAGTGATCTAAGTGGTACAAGTGGTGGACTGTGATGGAGGCTGTGATATGCCATCCAGATCCTGCCTCAACACTGAAACACCCTAAGTTTCTGGGAATTTTGCTGATTGACAGTCCTCAGATATCAACACTTTTTGAGAATTGCCCTAGGTTGAAGAAAGCCACCTTGCCCAACGTCACTCCTGAATTTCAGATCAGTCCTTATTCAATGATGGGTAGATGTAGGCACATAAAATAGAGATCTTTTGCCCAAATTCTGAAGAGCCATGTGTTTCAGTGATCTATTGATGCATATTAAATCACCCAGAAACTTAGTGACTTAACAAGAATCATTTTATTATTTTGCAAGGTTTATGTGAGTCAGTAATTTGGAAAGAAATCAGCTAAGAAGTTGTGGCTTAGGGTTTCTCATGTGGTTTCTGCCAAATAATGGTTAGAGCTAAAGTAACAGAGAGCCAAATCAGCTGAAGGTTGGCTAGGCATCTCTCTCTTTATGTAATCTCAGGGCCTTGCCATGTGCTAGTCTGGTATTTCCATATGAGCTAGTTTGGTCTTTCTCATAGCATGGTGGTCTCAGGCCAGTCAGATTGCTTCTATGACAGCAGAATACTTCAAGAATAAGCAAACAACTCAGAGGCTCTATGGCCTTTAAAGCCACATAGCATTGCTTTTGTTATTTTCTGTTGGTTGAAATAATCAAGAAAACTTATCCTGTTCTAAGGAAAGTAGATATAGACCTTCCTTTTTTATAGGAGGAGTGTCACAGTCACATTGTAAGAACAGCATGTAGTATAGAAGATGTTATGGCAGGTGTTTTAGGAAAATAGAATCTGCCACACTATTCCAAATTGGAGCTCCCCTTAGATCCTTTGTTGAGACTGCATCACAGACCAACTTCTCCCTTGGCCCATACCTTCTTCCTTTTCTTCTTCCAAAGGTGTCTTAGTCTATTTTGTGTTGCTATAAAGGAATACCTGAGGCTGGATCATTTACAAAGAAAAGAGGTTTATTTAGCTCATGGTTCTGGAGGCTTTACAAGAAGCACGATGCTGGCATCTGCTCGACTTCTGGCACAAAAGCTGAGGCAAAACATGTTGAAGGTCAAAGGGGAAGTAGTCCTATCCAAACAGGAGCCAAACCTGAGGGGCGTCTTGGCTTTATAACAAACCACTCTAACAGAAACTAATCTATTCCCCAGAACCAATCCAATCTCATGAGAGCGAAAATTCACTCACAACTGCAAGAATGGCACTGAGCCATTCATAAGAGATGCACCCTCATGACCCAAACACCTCTCGCTAGGCCCCACCTCCCAACACCACCACACTGCAGGTTAAATTTCAACATGACATTTGGTGAGGACAAACAAAACACATCCAAACCATAGCAATAGGTGTTGATCCTGAAAGCACTTCTTAACAAACTTCCTTCATTATAATTTTCATTGCCCAGTCTCCCTTCCAGGAAACCTGACCTACAACAACTCGATAGCCATGTAGGTTTTCCCTGCTGTGAACTGCATAATAATTGTCCTCCACTTCATTTTCTACTGTGTTTTCTACCTTTTCTCATTAATTTCCGGGAGTTTGTAGGTAGTCTCTTAATAAATATCAATCCTGGTTCCATTTTAGAAGTTGCAAATATGTTCCCCAAAACCACGATCTGTCCATTAAGTTTGCCTATAATGCCCTTTATTTTATAGACAGCTAGACACGTTTTTTATTTAGGTATGTATTTTAGAAAGTTTCAAGCATGCCCTGAACATGTTATTCTATTGGCCTTATTTATTTTTAATTCTAGAGGATTTAAAAATTGTAAATTGATAAAACCCTTATAATTACGTAAATTTATGGAGAAATAAATGATGGCATAATTTAGGAATATAATGTGGAATAATTAAATCAAGCTAGTTAATATATCCATCGCCTCAAATATTCACCACAGTGTGTGATAAAACTCAAAAAAGAAAAAAACATTCCTTCTGTTTGAGATTTTTTGCCTTTTGACCATCCTCTCCCCATCCCTCCACTCCCTTGACTATCATTACCATTCTGCTCTTCGCTCCTAGGAATTCAATTGTTTTAGATTCCACATGTAAGTGTGAACATGCAATATTTGTTATTCTGAGCCTGACATTTCACTTAGCATAATGTTCTCCAATTCCATTCATGTTGTCACAGATGACAGAACTTCTTTCCTTTTGTAAGGCTGAATGATATTCCATTGTGTATAAATACCACATTTTAAAAATTCATTCATCCATTGTTGGAAACTTAGGTTGATTCCATATCTTGGCTACTGTATGAATAGTGCTGCAATAAACATGGGAGTTCAGACATCTCTTCAACAAACCGATTTCAAATCTTTTGGGTAAATATTCAAGAGTGGGATTGCTGGATCATATGGTAATTCTATTTTTGTTTTCTTTTTTAAATATCCCTATGCTGTTTTCCATAGCGGCTATATTAATTTACTGATTTTACTGTACTAATTTATAATCTCAACAGCAGTATCAAAGTATTTCCATTTTTATTTTACCTTTCTTATTTAGGTCTTTATTCCATCTGGCATCCACTTTTAATATGGTGTATATAGAAATTCAATACTGTTTTTCTCCATAGAGTTTCCCCTATATCATTTTCTAAGCAGTATGCCACTTTCCTATTTTTCTGAGATCTTTTATGTTCTCTTGAAGGTTTTTTAATTGCCATATTGTTTTTCTTACTAAAGCTTTTTGGATACATTGCTCTATGATAGAACATGATTCTTTTTCTTTGCTCCTCTTTTTCAAAATTGACTTGGCTATTTGTACACTTGTATTCTTCCACAACATTGCAGGATGAATTCATAGAATTCCTTTAAAACTAATTCTGCTTAGAATTTTTATTGGAATTGCATTGCATGTGGAGATTAGGGAGGACTGACATCTTTTACTGTTAAGTCATTTCATCAATGAATATGTATCTCTCTCCATTTATTCAGATGATTAGGATTTTTTCAATAGTAGTAGTATGGAGACTCCTTATCTAGTGGTGGATCCATATTCCCTGCTATTTATTTATCAAGGCAGACTTAGCAGACCTAAGCAGACCCGGAAACCTACATTATTCATCTGACACTTGTTCTAGAAATAATAAATACGACCCTACAGTTGTTTAAAATCTATTTTTTATTAAGAAAAGAATAACAATAAATGGACAAAGATTATAAAAAAAGAAATACCAATTTTGGGGGTTTTTTGTTTGTTTTTTGAGATGGGGTCTCACTCAGTCACCCAGGTTGGAGTGCAGTAGCGTGATCTTGGCTCACTGCAACCTCTGCCTCCCAGGCTCAAATGATCCTCTCACCTCAGCCTGCTGAGTAGCTGGGACCAAGTGCGGCTAATTTTTTTGTATTTTTGGTAGAGACAGGATTTCACCATGTTGCCCCAGGCTGGTCTCCTCCTGAGTTCAGGAGATTCACCCGCCTCAGCTTCCCCAAGTGCTGGAATTACAGGCATGAGCCACTGCACCTTGCCCCAGTGTTTTTAAGTTAGGAAAAGATGCTCAACTTCACCTATAATTAGGGAAATGCAAATTAGAAACATAATGATATGCTACTTTTTGCTCATGAAACTGACAAATTTCCAAAAGTTTGTATTAACAGAATGTTGGAAGCAAGTGCTCACATACATAGTTGGTAGGATTCCAAATACATGTGAACTCTTTGAAGGGAAATTTCTCAACATATTTCAAAATTAAGAATACAGGTAACATTTGAACTTGCAGTTTCACTGGTGGAAATTTATCCTTCAAGTGTACTTACACATCTGTGCAAAGTTGTATAAAGAAGGCTATTTTACAGCATTATTTATGCTAGCAAAAGGCTGGAATAATCTAAATGTGCATCAGAAGGGTATGGCTAAAAACTATTTGTATATCCATACAGCAGAATAACATGCAGCCTTTGAAAATAATTAGGTATAGCTTCTTTCTGTGATATGGAGTAATCTTGAGGATTGTAAAGTGGAAAAGGCACAATGCCAAATGTGTATAAAGTATACTCCAACTGTATAAAGCAAAAAGGATGTATTAATATATTTGTTTGCAGTTCCATACAATATCTCTGGAGTGATAATTAAGAAACAGATAATAGTGGTTGCCTCTGGGAAGGACAGCTGGGAACTGAGGGTTGAGGTGGGAGAAGACATTCTTTACTCTCTCTATCCCTTTGAACTCTTCAATTAATTTTTTTTAACAAGATTTACATATTATTTTAAAAAATAAATTTAAAACTATTTTAAAACTTAGTTTCATCCTCTCACATAAGTTGTAGAATATTATCCCATATTAGAGATGCTTTGGTGTATTTAGATTCGACCTAAATCTTTATCTTTTTAGCTTATTATATGTGCCTGTGTTCCTTCCTGCACACTCCATGGAATTATTAGGAGATATGTTTTTCTAGCAAAAGTGGAAGAAAATAATACCATAGTTTAAAAGTCTTTGGCAATGGTACATAAGTCCTTCTATTGGAAGTGAAATGGGGATTGGAATAATGTTTCATTGCATTTGAACAATGTTGAAGTAAAATCTGGAGAATTCTTAATAGGTTTGTGTTATGGGCTGAATTTTGTCCTCCTAAAATTCATATATTGAAATCCTAACCCCCAAAACCTCAGAATGAGATTGGATTTGGAGATAGTCTTTAAAGGGGTAATTAAGTTAAAAATGAGGTCATTAAGGTGGGCCCTAACTCAGTAGCACTGGAGTCCTTCTAAGAAGAGGAGATTTGGACGCAGATTAGTCCAGGGAGAAGATCATATGAAGACACAGGGAGAAGACAGCCATCTGTGAGCCAAGGAGAGAGGCCTCAGAAGAAATCAACTCTGTCAATACATTGCCATGGACTTCTAGCCTCCAAACTGTGACAAAGTAAACAGCTGTGTTTAAGCCTTTCAGTCTGCGGTACCTTGTTATGGCAGCCTTAGCAAACAAATATAACATAATAATGCAAAGCAATCTCAGGTAGCGAACAAAGAGCACTGGTATCAAACATTTAATAGATAAAGTATTTTAGGATTTGGGGTTTGGAATGCTTTAAATGGACTAACTTGAGCTGTCCTTGTGAGACTTTTTCAGAGGATCAGTGGATCATCTCTATTAATTAACATTTTGAACTCAAGTAAGATGATAGCAGAGAGGAAGTCAATGTTTGTGAAACCAGGTGGAGATGAATGTTACAAACGTAGGGTGTTCTTGTAATCCAAGTTTGCTGGAAAATAAGAGAATCTCTTTGATCTCGGACATGATGTTTAAAGACATAATAGAACAGATTAATTTACACATTAGGCAGACAGCTGAGCATAGGTGAAAATCTTTCTCATCTGCAAGATATCATAGACAGCATTAAAAAATATTCAGTTATTCCTAAAAACAAGAATGAGACTGGAATAAAAGAGGCACTCCAAAAAGACGGCTTTAGATGGGCAGCCCTCACTGCCAGGCCAAATTGGATGCTTCTGCTAAAAGACTGGGGCTGATGTCATTGCCCAAAGGCCACACTTGCAGAAAGGTCACTGTATCAGGAACTATCGCAACATAGAACACATGATGGAGAAATCTTCCACATGTGAACAAGCAGAAGATTCTTTTGGCCACCTCTAATTTCAGCTGCACAGCCTTGTACAGTTTTCATGCATATCTGGATAGACACCAACCAGGTCCTACCTGAAATACAGGTCTTTTCTATTTTATGCCTCAGGACTGTCTCCAAAGCAGAGGGATCCCTTTGGCCCATAGGCAATCACAGTTAAAAGTGTGAGGGAGTCAGCATTCCCAGGGGCAACCCTCAACTCATGGCGGGATTGGAACTCTTTAGCAAACAGTTCTGGAAGGCATTCTTCATGCTTCTCAGGTCCTGGGGGAACTGAGAAACCTCCAAATGCTGCCTTAAATGGGCTTTTCCTGATTCTGTGTCTTACGCTCATTGCTCTTTTGCTTGTGTTTCTTAGAATTCCTTTCAAATAAGCTACTTACGACCACTCTCGCAGGCTCTATCTTGAAGGAACCTAAACTAAAACAGTGAACAACCAAGAATTAACTAATATATGAGGATGGCTAATGCAATGAAAGAGAGACCACCGATACAACAAATAGAAAAAAATTTATACCCCAGGAATGACAACTGATAGAAGCAATCCAAAAATGATTTTAAGAATATATAATATCACCACAGAGATAAAAGAGGTTTTTGTAAACATGATTATTAAATACAAGCAGTACTCAAGAAACAAGATCTGGCAGTCTACAACTTCTTAGAAATGAAAAACGTAATTGTTGAAATAAAAAATTCATGGTGGGTTGAGTAGCATACTGGATATACCTGATGAATGAAACAGTGAGTTTAAGTGAGGGGAGGTGTTTCAGAGATTCGAAGGGGAGATCTGGGGGTTTCACAATTCATCAAGTAGGACTTACAGGAAAAGTAAAATTGGGGGAGTAGAGGGGAATTAATATAGAAGGAAATAATTCAGAGCATTTCTGTAACTGAAGAAAGACTTCGAGTGGGGAATCCACTAAGTGCCATGCAGAGTGAAAAATAAATAAGAAAATGCATGCATGTGTAAATGCGTATTGCAGGGACATAATTTTGAGCAGCTTGGTTTGACTCACTTGAGTATTATTTATGTTCTTATGGTTGGGTAGTTTTACATGATATGGGTTTTGTTTTTATTTTTGAGAAAAGACTGTAGATTCAATAGAAGCAAATTGAAGTGAACATTTAAGTAATGACCAGGTAAATTCAAGTTCTAAGGACAATCTGATTAATTCTGGCTAGGAAAAGTCATTTGTATATACCCTTTATTAAAAAATTAGACAATAAAAGTATGTGTGTATGAATGGATCTGATCCTCTAAATGGGAGAAAACAGCTTTCAGAAAGATCATTGCTGGTCATCTTTCTGATTGATTGAATCATCACAAGATTAATGAAGCCACCTCAGTGGAGCAGATTGGCCATTGCAATCTACACTGCTGGTAATATGATTTGCTTCCCCCATCAATCTCATTTGCCCCACTCAATCTGTAAAATGGAGAGCAATAGTCTACACCACCAGCATTCAACAGCTCATCTTCAGGTGCCAATTTTTTACACGGTGGCTGTGTCTACATACTATAAAAAACAATCGTTCACTCCAGTCATAAGAAGAAAGCAAACAAGCTAGGTTATGTAGACAAAACATTAGTTTGTGTTAATTTTTCTCACCCTTTGATTGGTTTATTTGATATTGTGCAGACACAACCTGCACTTGGCATTGAGGTGCTGTTGTTTCCATTGTGCCTGCTTTGTAGGCTGCCTTCCCTTTATGTAGAGGAATCTGTTTACTTTAGTGGTCTTTTTACACCCTGGCAGCATTGTCTCTTTCTCATAGCTAAGTACTGAGGAAGGGCAAATCCGTACGCTCCCCATGGTCTAAATCTCTTTTACCATGTTAAGCAGCTCCTGCCTGAATCTGGAGGGAGGCTGTCCATGAGCACTGGAGAGTGGGACGACCAGAGGAAGAGCACCACACTCTACCATATCTTAAGGGAAGCAGCAGTTTGTCGGTGATGTTTGATGGCTTTCTTTATCTCAACACAACAATCTCTGGGGCACACTATGGCTTCTCAACATGTCCCTATTTAACTACACTCCTTACTTTTAGCTGCTTGGGCTCAGCTAACCAAGTGGTGGCAGAGATGTGTATAGGAGATCTTAAATCATTCTGATTTTCCCAAGTCCCTCCACAGTTCTCGGATTGAACATATGGCAATGTTATGTCTATTTGAAAAAGCCTTTGCATCATATGTTTATACAACTGCTCACTATCCCAAGACAAAAATTCTTTTCCTGTTATTGCCCATTTGCTGACTGAAGAAATTATCCTCTTTATGTGTTCTGGTACTTTACCTTGATATCTTACACGTTTAATTATGTAGCCCTCAGTCCATAATCTATATCTTCATCATCTAAGGCCATTTTGCTTCTGTGAATCCAAAGCTTAATGATATGTTGGGAGATAAAGAAGAGATATTTTTAAGATTTCTTACTATTACTCTTTCTAAGGTTTTTTTAAATTGTAGAATCACAAGTAACAGAATCAATAGGAAAAGACCAGTAAATTCTCAGATGGTTCTTATCCATTCCTCAATTACATTGTGCTGCTAAAACAATACCCAAAACCTTTCCTACCAACTAATCCAGCTTATATTTCAGACAACATATAAAATGATGGGAATAGTTTTACTTACCCTACAAATGCTGTGACCCCAAATGCTGCAGGGTGGAGTGTTACCATCATCTGATGCATGTCAGCATCAATCTCCATGGAAAAGAAGGCAAGAAAAGCCCTAGCAAATCCAATGAAACCCAATTTCTGGACAGCAAAACTGAGCGTAGCAGAACAATAGTGGGGCTCAATATTCACGGAGGTTGCAGAATCTACTATGGGTCATAGAATAGCCTGTGAGGCCTGTTGCAGATTTCTTACAAATGAGATTTACAACTTGTCCTGTTGACCCCAATTTAAAGCCCTTCAACTACTTCTAACTGTAAGATTTCTTCTTGGACTCCATCTATATTGTATTCCTTTAATTCATGTCATATTTGAGTGAATGATTCCAACCTGCATTATTTCCTGTTTCTCTGATATGAACTTGCCACTACTGCAGTAATGGAATCAACTGTCAGGTCAAGCCTGTGATTTTCATAAGAGCTTATCAGAAGTGTTGGAATGGGGACGATGGTTCATTTAAATATATTAAGGTTGAAATTCAACAATTACCTTGTCATTCAGCACTTTGTGAATGTCTTGGGTGAGGTCTCAAATCAAAGTGTATTTGAAATGTGGAGGTTAAGCTGATTGACCTGGGTATGTTTAGAAGTTCTATTACATTAGCTAATGCAGTACAAAACCTAAGTTGAGTTGGGCATCATGTTTTGCACGTAAACCAAAGGTATCGAATTTGTGGCTTTTGCTAGCTTTGCAGAAAAGATTTTTTTAAAATACATTTCTTGATAGTGCAAAACTAGCAAAAGCCACAAATGGAATGGGTTTGCTTCTCATGGAAAACCTTTTGTATGCTGAAGCTCTGGTCAGCCTCTGCAGTACTTTGCGGTTTGTAGCTCCAATCTCAGAACAAGTCTTAGCTCCTCAAGAAGCAGAACGAGTTCCACACAGACCAATGGAGTGGTCTATGGAATACTGCCCATCTCCTTGGCAGGCTAATGTTTCTCATCAGTTTCCAACTTCAAAACAGTAGGACCAAGAATCACACTCAGGAAAGCAATTTGTTGGCCCCACGTGAATAGACGATGGGAATGTCAATCATAGATGCGTCTCAAGGTGGATTCTACGGTAAAATGAAATGGATAAGTGAAGCTGAAAGAGAAAAAGTGGGAGCTACAAGAGGTCATGTCCATAATATTTGAAAGTTCACATAGTATCAGTTATACTCTTGGACAAAATTGCATAAAGTATATAACAACGTAGGACAACCTATCTTTCAATCTATTTTCTGCCTTCTTGGCTATCTATTATCTACCTATCTGTTAAAAAATAAACAAAGGTACTCTAGATTATCCATGCACTTATCCAAAAAGTGGAGGTAGACATAGAAAAAAGAGTTGTTTCCTTCTATTCCATGCTATCAAAAGCCATTGTCTAAAATCTTAGGAGTTATCTTTGATCACACCGCACTGTTGGCTTTTGATCTAACTGTTGGTATTCGCTTTCTATTTCCCAGTCTGAGGATCCTGTCTTTCTACTTGGTGTTGGTGGTAACAATTTCAGTGTTCATGAGGAGAACTGACACAATGAATCAGAAGCAAAGAGAGGAAACACAGGTGAGTTAATTTGGTTCTTTCTTTAACTTCTACCCCGATGAGAGATAACATCAGGAAGGGACCAGACATCTTGGTTAAAAAGTGGTCTTTAAATTATCTGTGGATTTATTAAGTTATGTACCTCTAGACAATTGATCAATTTAATTGTGAAACTCTACACAAATGATTGAAAATTAGCCATGTCTGCAGCACACGGGCATTTATCACATTCTAGCCTCTGTGTATTATTGAAGACAGTAATCAAAGGATTACTTAAATACTGAAAAATTACACCTGTGATAAGGGCTAGCAAGGGGAAGCGTGTGCTCCTAGTCACATATAATATAGGACCACCAGGGAAGGCTTCCTTGAAGAAGTGATTACTGGGTTGGGATCTACTGGAAGAGCAGAAGTTAACTGGACACAGCTGAGGGTAGATGTTCTGAGCAGCAGCAATAGCATGTGCAATTGCCTTGTGGTATGTGGAAGGTTGGTGCACTTGAGAAACACAAAGATATAACCAGCAATTCTAAGTAGTATTTCTGCTTCTGGAAAACCATTGCATTGATGCAGGGTGCAAAACTTTCCTTTCCAGAAATGTTAATTTAATGTTCATATAAAAAATAGAAATAGAGGCTCAAAAAGGCTGCTTGGTTCACATGGCTAATAATGTCACAGAGAGCTAACTGAGAAAATTTAGTATGCTTTCTTTCCATTCTCTCTCATTATGAATGGCTGCAAACAACAGAGAAACAACAACGAAACCTCAGTATACAACAGTTTAGTTCACTATCACTTCAAAAACCCAAAACCTTTGTGTCAGTTGCAAGCACTGGAAGGAGAAATCATAGGGTTGCTTTCTTAGGGATCAGAGCCAAATCCGACTTTCACTCTAGGCCCCGGGTATGCAAATCAAGAAAAGCAGGAGTGGAAGGGGGATGCAAGCCCCGCAAACACACTCATGCTCCATGCTTAGAAATATGCAAGGTTGGGAAAGCAGAATTGCCACCACTTAACAGCAGTGTCAAAGCATGCTCAAGAAAAAGGTGGTGCTGTTGATACTGTCTTGATTAGAGTGTCACCAGCCTCTTTCTGGGTGGCACTTCCAGGAGAATCCCATCTGGGCATCTGAAAGTTTTCCAGATTGGGGCCACCCTTTTGTCATTATCAGCCAAAGCTGCTTCTGCTAAGAAAGTTTCCATACCAGGTTGCTGCATCGTGTCTGTCACAGCCAAAGCACAGAATCTCTGAGAACTACTGATCATTTGTATCAAACTAATGAGGTTGTCCTTTATCTGAACATGAGGCTTGGATTGTATGCTGACAGTGGATATTAAGCTTTGCTTTCTACCCACCTCTCCCAAAGCTTGTATAATTGATGATTCTTCCTGCCAGGATAAGTTTTTGAGCACAAAATTCATTTTAATAGCAGTTTTTGCTTATTAAGCAAACCACTGTGGGTTTTTTTTCCTGTTTACTTCTACAGCCAGAATCACAGAAACACAAAACAAATCAGCCTAATTTTGCCGTGAACTTTGCTTTTGACATCTTTCTGTTTTTCAAAGAGAATAAATATGCTGTAACTTGACTGCTCTCTTTCAGACTGAAGAAGCAGAGAGCTATTTTTGAAGCTCCTTAAATCAGAAGCTATGGCTTTTTACAAAAGCAGCCCCACAGGATATCAAGACTGTGTTTGGAAACATATGTGATAAAAAAACAAAAAAAGAGACAAACCGTAAAAATGAACTGGGATCACCTTGTAATTGGGCAGAGAGGGCTTCCTGCTGCTCTGTGTTTTTATAAAAGCCATTGCTTCTGCATTTCTCACCTTTTGCTGCAAGAGATTGTACACAAAATCTCCAATTGCCAAGCAAATCACAGCCGAGAGTCAGACCTCCTGTTTGGAAGAGACCTTTCTCCCCTCAATATTCTCTTTTATTGATGTTATGGAAAGAAATTAGAGATACATAAAGAATCAACAGTGGTTATAGTGAAAATGCAAGTCTTATACAAAGAACCCTGAGCAAGGTCTTACAATACGCCAACATCCACATGGGGATGGCATTAGACAGCTCAATGAAGTTTAATTGTTTTACTGCTGTGCTTCCAGGCAGACACCTTGCATGCCAATGGAGGATAAGTGCCTTGTAAATAAAGTGCATTATTATTATTTTATTTAATATGACTAAATAGCTGTTACCTCCCCAGCCAGTATAGGAGCAGGAAAGACTGGAGTTTGGTGTGTTTTGAAAATGACATCTCATCTCAGAATCTACCTGTGACTCTTCAGGTGATAACTTCAAGAAGTGTTCTTCCTCCTCTTTAATTTCTCCTCTAATGAAGTGGGGCCAAAATTAATTGCTACATTTACCTTTCAGAGCATAGAGCAGCACAATTCATTGGCTGTGTATACAGTTATTTACCACAAATAATATTGACTGGCTGCCCACTATTTCAATGGTTCTGAGTTAGGAGCAATATAAATTGTTTTTAAAATATAAAGAAAGCATGATTAATCTTTAAGGTGTTTGCCAATCTTTGAGTTACGTTTTTAAGAACAATTTTAGGTCCAATTTTGCAGGTGTGCAGACACAGAAAATTATTAGCATGAAAATCTGCGAGGGTCTTAGAACCAGAATTTTTAGGAGTGAATATCATGTCAGATGGTTCAATCAGAAAAGCTAATATCTCATGTGCTAGGATGGTCTGTCCAGTAATAATTTATCATCACACACATATACTAGCTAAGAGGCAGAAAGTTAGGCAGAAACTTTCGTCTTAAAAAAATTCTTTTTGAAAAATTTATTGTACAAAAGCATGTACATTGACAAACACTAAGAGAAAATGAAACAAGCACAAGAATATGAATAGATACTGAAATTTATACATATGTAACATGTTCTTTCTACTAAAATGAATACATTGATAAGTTTTACTTTCTTCTTTTGAGACTAACAGTTTTGGCCTGAATATGATCTTAAAGAAGGTACATTTTACATTGTGTGTTCCAGGCATATTTCACATGAGCAAGGAATAAGTTGCAAAATTATGGGGCAGGGAGATCATACCCTACTTTTTTTTTAAGCAGGTTTTAAAATTTACTGTGTCTTTCTCACACTTAAAAAATGCCTTCTTATGATACTGGTGAATTACTGTTTTAATCCATATGTTTATGGCATGTAAACTTCCTTGTATGGATGGATAGACAGGAACGTTATTCTTGGAATTTGTTGACAACATGGGTACGATTTTTCACTCCACCTGTTCTCAGGGAATTCTGCAAAGCCATAAATTCTATGTTAGCTGGCTAGACTGTTCCTAGAAGAAAAAAAAGAGTTTAACACAGTGAAATGCTTGATTCCAAAGAAATCTTAGTGGTAGGTTGGTAAATGAGCACATTTTGGCTTCCCTATTGAAGTCACATCTGTTGTTGACAGTGGAAACAAAATCAGTGCCATTGACAATGCCATATCTATTGCTTTACCGTTTCATGAGCATGAATGTGTAGTGGACTGGACAAGACCATAGAATAAAATGAGAAAAAACATCCTGAACACAAAGGAATACAGGTGGTAGAGAAAAAGAGGCTTGCTAAAAAATAGGGCCAAAGGCCCTACTCTGCATGCTCACTGAAGGACTTTCTAGGCAAAAACGCTGGTGTTTAGTGGTCCCATTCAATTCCCTCTGGCTCCCTCTGAAAAGTAAGAGAAACTTTTCTCCTTATTTCATGTCTGGTTCATGTTGAGTTCTGCTCTTTTAGCACATACCCACCATCTTGAATACCCTTAGGAGTTATTTTCATCTTCCTTCTTACATATTAAAAATGTATCTGAGATAATTTTACAGCAAATGATTCTCAGCTCCAGGACTCTTCATAATGCCCTGTGCTTGCTCTTCTAATCACTAGATGGATCTCTGTCTAGGTAACTCTATGCCACACTCTCTTTCAGTTACAGTAAATAACAAAGATGAAAGAAACCTGGGGATTCTGCCCTTGAGTTCATAGTTCAGTGGAAACCACAGTCACAGAGCACGTTGTTGTTATACTGTGTGCTATAACCCGAGTATTCTGAGGATATATAGGGCAGGTGACTGACTGCCTGGGAGAAGCTGGGGAGGCTTCATGGAGGAGGAGTCTTTTAGGTTGAGTCTCTGCTTTAGATTCAAGGCCTGTCTCAAGGACCAAATGCCAGCACCTGCACATCTCTTACTGAGATTCTCAGCCAAATGGAGCAAAAGTTCCTCTTAATAACAAAACATGTGAAAATGGGCTTGGTGCAGTGGTTCATGCCTGTGATCCAAGCACTTTGCGAGGCTGAGATGGGAGGATTGCTTGAGGCCAGGAGATTGAGACCAGATTGACCAACATGGCAAAACCCCGTATCTAAAAAAAAAAATTAGCCAGATATGGTGGCACATGCCTGTAGCCCCAGCTACTCAGGAGACTGAGCCAGGAGCATCACTTGAGCTTGGGAAGTTTAAGATCGTGCCAATGCATTCCAGCCTGGGAGAGTGCTATCCTGTGTTTTGTTTGTTTTTTAATGTGTGAAAAGGGAAGGGAGGGGAAAAAAAGAAGAGATGGCTCATTTTGCACACAAAAATCCCACCCACTAACAGAAGAGATCCTGTGCACATTTGGCTCCTCCTATTCAGACCACCTGCTGCTGCCTTCTCTGTCTTTGAGAGGGCATAGGTCAGGAGTGAAGAGAAGGTGCAGGGCCATTTGAAAAGTGTCTGCAGGAGTGTGCTGGGTATTTTCCCTTTGTATGAGCAAAGGCAGGAAAGTGACTAGACGAGGAGGAGGAGGAGGACTCTTCCCTGTACAGGTGAAGGATAGACAAGGTTTGTCATAAAAAGTAGAAGGAAAGGAATAATCTGTGCAAAGACATGGCTGAGTGAAAAACAGGGTATCTGGGAAAGAGCAGCATTCGATATGCAGGGGAGTGGAAGGGAAATTGAAGAGGGTGGGTCAGGGAGTGTAGGTTTGGAAAACACTTCGGAATTTGAATATCATGCCAAGTAATGTGGACTACATTCTATTGGCAAAGTGGAGTACATTACAACAAGAAAGTGACACCATCATATTTGTGTGACTGTGAGTGTATAGATATAATAATCTTTTTTTTGAAAGAGTATAAGAACCACAAGAAGTTGCAAAAATAATATAGGAACTTCCTGTATGCACTTTACCCAGATTCCCCTGTGATAATGTCTCACATAACCATAGTACACTGTTGAAACCAGGAAACTGTCATTGGTCCAATATTATTAACCCAGGTCTACACCAGGGGATCCTGCCCTTGAGTTTGTAGTTCAGTAGAAGCCACAGTCACATAGCACATAATATACTCCACATCTAGGTTCAGACATCTACACCTGAGTTATTCAGATTTCACAAGTTTTTACTTAAGCTTTTTTTGATATATGCTTCTGTGAAATTTTATTACGTGTGTAGATTCAAGTAACCATCACCTCCATCAGGATATAGAATTGTTCCACCAACACAAAGAAACTCCTTTATGTTGCCTCTTAATAATCATATTCTTCTTCCAAATCCAACCTTGGCAACCACCAGTCTCTTCTCCATCACTGTAACTTTGTCTCTTTGAGGTTGTTATGTAAATGGTATTATACGAGTATATAACCCTTTGAGATTGGCTTTTTTAATATAAACTGCCTTGAGGTTCATCTATGTTGCTGCATATATTAATAGTCAGTTCCTTTTTATTGTGGAGTAGTGCTTCATTGTGTGGGTGCACCATGGTTTGCTCATTCATTCACCCATTAAAGGACAATTGCCTCGTTTCCACGTTTTCTCTATTACAGATAAAGCTGCTGTGAACATTCGTGTACAGGTTTCTGTGTGAACCCAAGTTTTAATTTTTCTGGGCCATATAGTCAATGCACACAACCTGATAAGAAAGTGCCAAACTGTCTCCAGAGTGGCCATACCATATTACATTCTCATCAACAGCATATGAGGGGTACAGTTTCTCTACATCATGGCCAGCATTTAATACTGACAGTATTTTTTATTTTAGCTGTTCTGACAAGTATATGGTGATATCTCATTGTGGTTTTAATTTGAAATTTCTTAATGGCTAATGATGTTGAAATGTTTTCATGTGTTTATTTACCATCTGTATATCTTCTTTGGCAAAGTGTCCATTTAAGTACTTTCCCCATTTTATAATTGAACTATTTGTTTTCTTTTTAGAATTTTCTCATTTTTGATTTTTGTGGGTACATGGTAGGTATATATATTTATGGGATACATGAGATGTTTTGATGCAAGCATGTGGTGCACAATAACCACATCATGGAGAATGGAGTATCCATCCCCTCAGCATTTATCCTTTGTGTTACAAGGACTGTTTGTTTTCTTGCAGGTGAGTTTATAGCATTCTTTGTATATTCTGGATATGAGCCTTTTTGTCAGATATATGATTTCCAAATAGTTTTTTCCTATTTTTTGGCTTGTTTTTCTATCCTCTTTGGGTATTTCACAAAGCAAATTATTAATTTTGATGAAATCCAGTTTATTAATTTTGCTGTTATAAATTCTGTCTTTGGTGTCATATCTAAGAACTATTTAACTAATCCTAGGTCATGAATGTTTTTTGTTTTCTTCTAAAAGTTTTACACTTATTTGCTTTACGTTTAGATATATAAAGCACTTTGAATACATTTTTATATGAGGTATGAGGCTTGGGTTGAGGGTTTCTTTCCTTTTCTGCCTATGATTACCCAAATATTCCAAAACTAATTGTTGAAAAGACTACACTTCCTCCATTAAGTTGCTTTTGCATCTTTGCCAAAAATGAGTTGGCTACACTTGTTTGGATCTACATCTGGATTCTTTATTCTGTTCCATAGATCTGTGTTTCTGTCCCTCTGCCAGTACCACATTGTTTTGATTATTGTAGCTATGCAGTACAACTTAAATCAGGTAATGTGATTCCTCCAACTTTATGCTACTTTTTCAAAATTATTTTTGCTATTCTAGTCTCTGGCTTTTCATATATGTTTTGAACCAGCTTGTTTATGTCTAAAAATGTCTTAGAATTTTGAAGGGAATTACATCACATTGTAGGTAAATTTATTGAGTCTATCAACCCTGAACACACCATATCTATCCATTTATTTAAGTCTTCAATTTTTTTAATTAGTGTTTTGTAGATTTCTACAAACAGATGCTGTGCATGCTTTGTTAGTTTTATACCTGAGAGTTTTATTTTCTTAGACTGATTGTAAACAGCATTGTGTTTTAAATGTCAGTTTCCAATTGTTCATTGTTAACATATATTCATAGAAGTGTGATTGGCTTCTTGTGTATTAGCCTTGTTTTCTGCAACCTTGCTAAACCTACGACTTACTTATTCATTTCATGAGGTTTTTTTTTGGGTAAATTCCTTGAGATTTTCTATGTTGTCTGCAAATAACAACAGTTTTAATTCTTTCTTTCTTATCTATATGACTTTTATTTCCTTTACTTGCTTTATTACATTGGCTAAGACTTCTTTTCTTTGCTCTTAATCTAAAGGAAAAGCAACTAACTGTTGTCCATTAATTACGATGCTAGCTCTAGGATTTTCTTTGTGTGTGTAGATGCTGTTTATCAGTTTGAGTAAGTTCTTTTCTTTCCTAGTTTTCTGAAAGTTTTTATCATGAAGTTTGTATTGAAATGTTGTCAAAGGCTCTGAATTCATCCAGAGTTTGAAGGTCTGGTGGTGAGGCTTGTTTTGGAGAGAGTGAACAGTGCATTGTGTACCCTCTATGAGGAAGGAGAGGAAAGGTGCCCTGTCTTCACATCAAGTCCAGTGAGGAAAAATTCAGGAGGATCATTTGGAGAACATGTGATACTAAGTGTGCCACACTGGTGTGATGTGATAGTAAGTAAGCCACACTGGAATTTGAGAGATGTAGGATCTGGAATGCCAAAGAGGTAATGTCTAGCTGGAGCAGTCTGCTGGTGGCAAAGCAAAGAAATAAGGCTGCTAACATTTTAAAGCTCTATGGTATTTTCCATAGGTCAAAAGAGAACCCGGCTGGGCACAGTGGCTCACACCTGTAATCCCAGAACTTTGGGAGGCCAAGGTGGGCAGATCACTTGAGGTCAGGAGTTCAAGACCAGCCTGGCCAACATGGTGAAATCCCGTTTCTACTAAAAATGCAAAAATTAGCTGGGTATGGTGGGAGGCACCTGTGATCCCAGCTACTTGGGAGGCTGAGGCAGGAGAATCATTTGAACCTGGGAGGTGGAGGTTGCAGTGAGCCAAGATTGTGCCACTGCACTCCAGCCTGGGCAACAGAGTGAGACTCTGTCTCAAAAAAAAAAATAGAATATCTATCTGTCTGTCTGTCTATCTATCTATCTATCTATCTATCTATCTATCTTTTAAGTTAAGAGGACTTCCTGAAGGGACAGAATGACTCCCAACAGGAGTGTGGTATGTGTGTGCAACCACTGGAAGCCAGAGGCAGAGGGGGAATCATAAGCATCCCTCTAAAAGAATTATTGCCCTTGTAAAGAGAACTGAAGTGGGAGATCCCAGTGATGGTGGAAAGTTTGGAATTCCAATTCTTTGGGTTCCAAAAAATCCAAAATCACCCCACCAGTACCAGATTTCAAAGGTAAGATTGTTTCTTCCCCTTACCTCTCTCCCACCCACTGCTTCAGTTTCATGGGTGTCAGAGATAATGTAATTAAAGGAGGAGTCAGTGGAAAAGCAAGGTAGGCAAATGAGGGCAGAGTGAAATCACCTATGTCCCCTCTCCCAATTCAGGTTCCCTGCTTGTATCAAACATGAGCTGGAGGAAGGGTGACATTATAAATTGGATTGGAGTTTGGAATTTTGATATTAGACTGGACTGGATGTTTTATTTTGTAATAATTGATACTCATCGATAATAACTGAGAGTGATCAGAAGAGCTATATGACTTGCCTAAGATTTCAACAAAGGTTAGAGAGATGGGGGTTGGTTGAGTTAGTTTGTAAGCATGGTGCAATGACAGACTAAAGTTGATTTTTGTTTGCATCGTAGCTAGTCAAACTATTTTAGTAAACCAGTGATAGTCATGAGTCACAGAATATCTAGGAGACCAATTGTAAATGTGAATCTGGAGAAGGTCAGGAAAGAAAACATGGATTTTGAGGGTTCATTCTATCATTTTTGCTCCATTTAGAATCGATTCAACCTCTAACACTTACTTGATAGCTATATAATAGACAATTTATTTTTAAATAATTACAATAAAAGAACCCTACTTAAAAACAAGCACAGGAGTGAAGTCAGCAAAATGGCATAATAAAACATCCCAGCCCTTGTTTCCCCACAGTTACCCTGATTTAACAACAATATAGGGATAAAATACCTTTATGAGAATTCCAGAATCCAGTTAATAAGTTTCAGCACTCTAGGTGAGCACAAAGCTAAGAACAATATCACTAAAATGAGTAAGAAGGGCAATTTCAGTCTACCCTAACAACTTTCCCCAAGTTAGCACAGCTCAGTACCAGAAGAGCATGCCCTAGCTCACAACTCCTCCTTTGAGTGAAAGAGAAGGGTAGAGTGTGCATCTAACATTTTGGCTTTTCAGAGGGCTGCCCAGTGGGCTGGTTTCTGTCTTGTCTCATTGAGAGCACTGGTTGAACAAACATAATTTCAATGCCTGGTGACTGCTGAGAAAAAAGAAGTGTGTGTGGTGGGGGAGGGAGTGGTAGATTGCTGTAGCCATCATGGCTTACTGTGATCAGAAGAAAGTTCTCAACTTGAGGCTATCCCCTTGGGAAAGGGGGAGAGAAATGAAGCATGGGTCCAGCATTCTGGCTTTTTGTAGAGCTATTCTAGGGATTGTTATTCATCTCTCTTGTCAGGTATCTGTCTACATTTCAGGGTACTGACTGAGAATCTGCATAATCTGAATACCTGGTGGGCACTAGGAACAAGGAGAGTGACCCAGATTGGTGCTGTAGACTCAAAGAACTTGCAGTGCCACAGACAGATGCCAGAGAGAGAAAGAAATTATGAAAAAGAAAGGAATACGCCTTTCTAATGAAATTACACACAGACTTAAAGAAAATGCATCATCCCCTTAAAAAAGGTTTCAGAGATCACAGAAGCTCTAGTCAGGCTGATTGGTGAGTGTCTTCCCTTGCATAAAGCCAATCCAATAAGACTGAGAGAGGTGGCTCTTTTTTCAGATGTGTGAATCCCAACACAAAGTTATGAGACACACGAAGGAACAGGGAAACATAGCTCAGGTAAAGGACCAAAACACATATTCAGAAACCGATCCTAAGAACTGAACTGGAGGCATATGAGTTATCTGACAAATAATTCAAAGTAACTGCCATAAAGATGCTCTGTGAGTTCAAGAAGATAATGCATAAACAAAACAAGAATATCACCAAATATATAGAATATATTGGAAAGAATCAAATAGAAATTTGGGAGCTGAAGACTATAATAACTGAACTAAAAAATTCACTAAAGGGTTTTAATATCAAACTTTTTCAAACAGAAAAGATTCAGCAAAGTTGAAGATAGGTCATTTGAAATCATCCAGTCAGAGAAACAAAAAGATAAAAAGAATAGAAAGGCTGGGTGTGGTGGCTCACACCTGTAATCCCAGCACTTTGGGAGGCTGAGGCTGGTGGATCACCTGAGGTCAGGAGTTCGAGACGAGCCTGGCCAACATGGTGAAAGAAAACCCATCTCTACTAAAAACACAAAAATTAGCTGGGCATGGTGGTGGGCACCTGTAATCCCAGCTACTTGGGAGGCTGAGGCAGGAGAATCGCTTGAACCCAGGAGGCAGAAGTTGCAGTGAGCCGAGATTGTGCCACTGCACTCCAACCTGGGCAACAGAGTGAGACTCCATTAAAAAAAAGAAAAAGAATAAAAAAGAATGAAGAAAGGGTCAAGTGCAGTAGCTCATGACTCTAGGCCCAGCACTTTAGAAGGCCAAGGCAGGAGGATTACTTGAGGCCATGAGTTTAAGATCATGCTGGGCAACCCAGTGAGACCCTGTCTCTACAAAAAGAAAAATAAAAAAATAGCCAGGTGTGGTGGCACATGCCTGTAGTCCCAGCTATGCAGAAGGCTGAAGCAGGAGAATTGCTTGAGCCCAGAAAGTTGAGGCTACAGTGAGCCATGATCATGCCAGTACACTCCAGCCTGAGCAACAGAGTGAGACCCTGTCTCAAAAAACAAAAAGAGTGAAGACAGCCTAAGGGACTTAATGAAACACCATTTAGCTCACCAATTTACACAAAATGGAGTCCCAGAAGAAGAACAGAGAGAAAAAAGGAAAGGAAAGAAGGCTTATTTTAAAAAAAATGGCCAAAAGCTCTTCAAATTTGGGGAAGGAAATAGACATCCAGAATTAAGAAGCCCAGTGGCTCCAATTACAGTGCACCAAAATAAACCCATACCAAGATATGTAATCAAATTGTCAAAAGTCAAAAGCAAAGAGATTTTGAAAGCAACAAGAGACAAATGATTTATATGAGAAAACCTCCATACATCCATTAGTAGATTTCTCAGCAGAAACCTTGCAAGCTAGAAGGAAGTGGAATGATACATTCAAAGTGCTGAAAGAAAAAAACCATTAACCAAGAATACTACGTCTAGCAAAACTGTCATTCAAGAATGGAAAACACATGAAAAAATGCTCATCATCACTGGCCATCAGAGAAATGCAAATCAAAACCACAATGAGATACCATCTCACACCAGTTAGAATGGCAATCATTAAAAAGTCAGGAAACAACAGGTGCTGGAGAGGATGTGGAGAAATAGGAACACTTTTACACTGTTGGTGGGACTGTAAACTAGTTCAACCATTGTGGAAGTCAGTGTGGCGATTCCTCAGGGATCTAGAACTAGAAATACCATTTTACCCAGCCATCCCATTACTGGGTATATACCCAAAGGATTATAAAACATGCTGCTATAAAGACACATGCACAAATATGTTTATTGCGGCACTATTCACAATAGCAAAGACTTGGAACCAAGCCAAATGTCCAACAATGATAGACTGGATTAAGAAAATGTGGCACATATACACCACAGAATACTATGCAACCATAAAAAATGATGAGTTCGTGTCCTTTGTAGGGACATGGATGAAGCTGGAAACCATCATTCTCAGCAAACTATTGCAAGTACAAAAAACCCAAACACCGCATGTTCTCACTCATAGGTGGGAATTGAACAAAGAGAACACGTGGACACGGGAAGGGGAACATCACACTCTGGGGACTGTTGTGGGGTGAGGGGAGCGGGGAGTGATAGCCTTAGGAGATATACCTAATGCTAAATGACGAGTTAATGGGTGCAGCACACCAACATGGCACATGTATACATATGTAACAAACCTGCACGTTGTGCACATGTACCCTATAACTTAAAGTATAATAAAAAAAAAAAGAATGAAGGAGAAATAAAGACTTTCAAGAAAACTGAAGCTGTGGGATTCATTATCACCATATCTTACAACTGATGCTAAAGAAAGTCCTTCAAGTTGAAACAAAAGGACACTTAACAGCAACACAAAACCATATGAAAGTATAAAGCCAGCTGGTAAAGCTAAGTCTATAGACATACAGAATACCATAATACTGTAATGGTGATATGCAAATCACTTTTAATATCAGGTATAGAAATTAAAAGATGAGTATAAAAATAACTACAACTATAAAAACATGTTAATGGATATACAAAATAAAAACATGTAATTTGTAAAATAAATAACATAAAGTGTGTGGGGAGAGGAAAATTGTAGAGTATTAGTATGTGATTGAAGACAAGTTGTTATCAGTTTAAAACGAGTATTTTAACTGTAAGATGGTTTATGTAAGCACCATGATAACCACAAAGAAAATACCTATAGAATATAAGTAAAGGAAAATGAGAAAAGAATGAAGCCTGTTACTCTTAAAAAAATTAATGAAACATAAAGGAAGACAGAAAGAAAGGAAAAGAGTAACAGAAATCTACAAGACAGAAAACAAGTAACAAAATGACAATAGTGACTCCTTCTCTAGCAATAATAACTTGAAAGGTAAATGGATTAAATTCCCCAATCAAAAGACACAGAATAGCTCAATGGATTAAAACACCAAGATCCAACTATATACTTTCTATAAGAGATCCATTTTCAAATTATGGACACACATAGGTTAAAAGTAAAGAATGAAAACAGATATTCCATAATATAATAACCAAAAGAGAGTGGGGTGGCCATATTTATATCAGACAAAATAGACTTTTAGTCAAATATTACCAAAATACATAAAGAAGGACATTATATAACAAAAGGATCAATTCATCAGGAAGATACAACAATTATAAATATATATGCACCCAACATTGGACCACCAAAATATATGAAGTAAACATTGACAGAACTGAAAGGAGAAATAGTAACACAATTATTGTTGTCTTCAATACCCCTATTTTATTATTCTTCTCCAGCAACCCATAACATTCCCTAGCACAGATTGCATGTTAGGTCACTAAATAATTTTTAGTACATTCAAGAAGATTGAAATCATACCAAATGTATGTTGCGACCGCAATGGAATGAAACTAGAAATTAATGGCAGACAGAAAACTGAAATATTTACAAATATGTGACCCACTAAACAGTCAATGGGTCAAAGTAGTAATCAAAAGGGAAATTACAAAATATCTTGGGACAAATGAAAATGAAAATGCAACATATCAAAACTTATGGGATGCAACAAAACAGTACTAAGATGAATATTTATAATGATAAATGCCCAAATTAAAAGAAGATCTCACATAAAAAATTTAATATTACATATCTAAGAGCTAGAAAAAGGAGAACAAACTAAGGCCAAAGTTAGCAGAAGGAAGGAAATAATTAGAGGAAGAATAAGTAAAATACAGAATAGAAAAACAATAGGAAAAAATAAACAAAACTACAAGTTGGTTTTGAGGAAATATAAAATTGATAAACATTTAGCTAGATTAAGAACAAAGAGACAAGACTCAAATCACAAAAATCAGTAATGAAAAAGGAGACATTACGATTGATATCAAAGAAATAAAAAGGATCATAAGAAACTGCTCTGAATAATTATACACCAAAAAATGGGATAACCTACAAGAAATGGATAAATTCCTAGACTAAATCATGAAGACTAAATTATGAAGAAGTATAAATTTGAATACACCTATACTCAGTAAAAGATTGAATCAATAATCAAAACCCTCCCAGCAAAGAAAAGCCCAGGACAAGATGGCTTCACTGGTGAAGTCTACCAAACATTTAGGGAGAATTAATGCCAATCCTTATGAAACTCTTCCAGAAAACTGGAGAAAAAGGGACATGTCCAAAGTCATTTTATGAGGCCAGCATTACCATAATACCAAAGTCTGACATAGCAGTATAAGAAAACTGCAGAGTAATATCCTAGGACAATTTAAGTGCAAAAATCCTCAGCAAAATACCAGCAAGCCAAATTTAACAGCACACTAAAGGGATCATATACCATGATTAAGTGGGATTTGTCCCTGGTATGTAAGGATGGTTCAATGTACAAAAATCAATCAATATATACCCTACATTAACAGAACAAAGAATAAAAATCACATGGTTAAGTCAATATAAAAAAATAACAAAACTCAATATCCTTTCATGGTAAAAACACTCAACAAATTAGGAAGGAAATGACTTCAACATAATGAAGGCCATATCTAAAAAGCCCACCACTAACATCATAATGGTGAAAAACTGAAAGCTTTTCCTCTAAAATCAGGAGTAAGACAGGTATAGCTACTCTTACCACTTCTAGTCAACATCGTACTAGAAGCACTAGCCAGAGAAATTAGACAAGAAAAAAAGTAAAAGTCATTCACACTGGGAAGAAAGAAGTAAATTTATCTCTGTTCATTGATGACCTAATCATACATAGAAAACCCTAAATATTACACACACACACACACACACACACACACACACACACACACACACACAGAGAGAGAGAGAGAGAGAGACAGAGAGTATCAGAACCAATAAATGAATATCGTAAAGGTTCAGGACACAAAATCAACATATAGAAACCCATTGTGTTCTATACTAAAAATGCACAATTCAAAAGGAAATTAAGAAAATAATCCCATTTACAATAGTGCCCAAAAGAATAAGATGCTTAATAATAAACTTAACTAAGGAAGTGAAGGACACATACACTGAAAAGTACAAAACATTGATGAAAGAAATTAAAGACACAAATAAATGGAAAGACATCCCATGTTTGTAATTAGAAGACTTAATTTTGTTAAAATATCCATACTACTCAAAGTGATCTACAGATTCAGCACAGTCTCTTTGAAAATCCCAATGGCATTTTTTAATAGAACTAGAGAAAACAATTTTAAAATTCTATAAAACCAAAAAGGAGACTAAGTAGCCAAAACAATCTTGAGAAAGAAGGACAAAGCTAGGGGCCTCAGACTTCCTGATTTCAAAACACATTACAAAGCTACAGTCATCAAAACAGTATAGTGCTGGTATAAATACAGAAATAGTTCAATGGACTAGAATAGAGAGCCCAGAAATAAACCCACATATATGAGATCAAAGGATCTTCAACAAGGGTGTCAAGACTACACAGTGGGGAAGGATAGTCTTTTCAACAAATGGTGCTGTGTTGTATTTTCCTCTAATTTGGTCTTGAGTCCTTTTTCTGGATAGTGGCTATAAACTCTAGTCTTGCCTTTATGGGGCTCCAGGGTATTTGGTCATGAATATTTAAAATGTATCCTTCGTGGGATACTTCTTTATTGAGAAGATGCCTCAATGTCTGACTCATGACCAGGTGTTCCTCTCACAGGAAACATGTTTATGCTGGTGAACACTCTGTGGCTCTTGTCTGCCCTGTGTCCAGTTTATTCCTACCAAGATAGCCACTCTCTAGGAGAACCCTGACCAGGAAAAAAGACACAGAGGAGTCAACTCAACAAAACACGTGAAATAACTGAAAGTTTACTACTTGACAGATCCCAGAGAGAAGAGGTCAACATGCCTTGGAACACCAATGGAAAGGGGGGAGTCATAAGGCATTCCCAACCAGCGGGTAAGGAATAAGAGGGAGACAAAATGAGGGACCTGTAGGCTGAAGCTTTTATTGCGGTCCAGGTATCATCTAGGTGGGTTTCCCATTGGGAATTGTAACTGGTGGATTTACAGCAAGCTGGATCAAGTTCCATGCGATCACACTGTGACTAAAAGGTGGTTGCTGTGGCTTATCTGCATTGTGCATGTAGGAGGTGGAGGTCAGTTAGGTAAGTTGTATCTAGCTGTCTCATAGGGCAATGGTCACTAGGAAGTGGTTATATAAGGGAGACATCTGGATTGACTACTTTGAGGAACTGGGAGGAGGCAGAGAACTGGAAATTGTGTCAAGGATGACTAAGCCCTGCTACTGATATGAGAAAGTTAATCTCATATTTAAAATGGATGCTGAGGCAACATAAACTTGTAAGAATTCACAACATGCTTGAAAAACAGGATATCTACATTCAAAAGAAGGAAACTGGGTCCTTATCTTACACCACACATAAAAATCAACGCAAAATGGATTAAAGACTCAAGTGTAGTACCTGATATCATAAAACTCCTAGAAGAAAACACAGGAAAAAAACCCTGTTGATATTTGGCTTGGCAATGATTTCTTGGATATGACACTAAAAGCACAGGTAACAAAAGCAAAAATAGACAAGTGGGACTACATCAAACTAAAAAGCTTCTGCACAGCAAAAGAAATAGTCAACGGAGTGAAAAGACAACCTATGGAATGGGAGAAAATGTCTGCAAACCATACATCTGATAAAAAGTTAATATCTAAAATGTTTGAGGAACTCCTACAACTCAACAGCAAAAAATCAAACAAACAACCTGATTAAGACATAAGCAAAGGACCTCAATAGATATTTCTCCAAAGAAGACATACAAATGACCAAGAGATATATGAAAAGGTACTCAAAATCACTAATGACAGAGAAAGAAAAATCAAAACCACAATAAGATATCACTCATATCTGTTAGGATTGCCATTATTTAAAAAATAAAACATCAAATGTCAGCAAGGATATGGAGATAAATGAACCCTCGTATATTACTGGTGAGAATGGAAAATGGTACAGCCATTACAGAAAATGGTACAGAGAACCACCATATGACTCAGCAACCCACTTTTGGGTATTTATCCAGAGGAATCAAAATCAAAATATTGAAGAGATATTTGTACTTCCATGTTCATTGTGGCATTATTCAAATAGTTAAGAGGTAGAAACAACCTAAATGTTCATGGATGGATGGATAAATGAATAAAGAAAATGTAGGGGTGTGTATGTGTGTGTGTGTGTGTGTGTGAGTGTGTGTGTATTTATAAACACAATAGAAAATTCTCCAGCCATTAAAAAAGAAGGAACTCCTGTCACGTGCTACAACATGGATGGACTTTAAGGACATTATGCTAAGTGAAACAAGCCAGTCACAAAAGGACAAATACTGCATGATTCCACTTATATGGATATCTAAGATAGTCAGACTCATTGAAACAGAAAGTAGAATGACACTTGCCAGGGGCTGTCAGGAGAAATGAGGAGTGGTTCAGTGGTTATAGAGTTTCAGTCACACAAGATGAAAGTTCTAGAGATCTGCAGTTCAACATTGTGTTTATAGTTAACAATACTGTACTATACATTCAAACATTTATTAAGTGGGTAGATTTCATGTAATATGTTTTAAATCACAATACAAAATGCACATACAATGCCACATTTAGATTTTCTCATAGAAATCTATGAGATTCACAATTGACGATTCAAAATTCACAATTGACAAGTGACAATTCACAATTGACCCCCTCTTCCCTGTGTGGTGTCGTAGTTAAGAAATGAATGCAGTCCTTGGATTCAGGCAGCCCTGTTTCCAATCTCAAATCTTAGGGATTATATTAATATCACGTTGCACAAATTACCCTTTCTGATACTCAGTTTTACCTTTTGTAAAATCGCATAATGGTGCTTGCCATGTAGTTAGTTCTAACTAACAGCTGATTTGTTTCTTTATGTCATTACCAAATCACATGTAAAATATTTGGGAGACAACATCTTATTGCATGGGCCTTATGACTCTTTGTCTTTACCTTCAGCCTCTCTAGAAATTGCATTTGTGTGTGTGTGTGTGTGTATGTGTGTGAACATTTATTCTTATGAAACTTTTGTGTATATATACATTAAATATATATAATAGATATTGATATATAATTCCTTCTCTTGAAACTCTGGTCTATATATGGATAAAATGATTATCATTAAATCATTTATAAAACACCTATTAAGTTTTAAGGATTGATTCAAAGACATACAAAACATTTCCTTTGTTTAAAGGATTTAAAATGTACCAGGGGAGAAGAATATACTAATATTATTTACTAATATATTATTAATAGTATTTAATATTGGTATATTAATATTAAAACTTCAAATAACCATTCAAGTTCATCAACGCTAACAATCCAGAGAGAACCAACAGTAAGTGGTTCAGTGGGTCAGGGGACAAAGCAGTCACTGAGGGCTGGATCATAAGATTCGCCAAGGAGATAGGATTTGAAGACAGCTGGAAGTTCAGTGCTCTTCGACACGTGGGGCATGTAGTGCAGTGTGGGCTAATGCTTCTACATGAGACACGCTATGATTTTAGGTCATGTGTGAAAGTGGCTCTATAGAGTGTTGAATCCCACTGTCACAGGCAGTGTGGAGTGGTGGTAAGTGAACAAACGGTAGTGAAAATGCCTGGATTTGAGCCTGGCTCTGCCACTTTTTAGCTGTGTGACCTTAAACAAAATACTTAAACTCTGTGTACCTTTTCTCATCTGTAAAATGGGGATAATAATATACTACCTTATAGGGTCGATATGAGGATAGATAAGTTAATAGATGTAAATTACTTAGGCCAATATAGGCACCTAGGCACCTGGTGAGTGTTATGCATGTATTTGTTAAATAATGAATAAATAACCAATCACATTGGAAGGAAGCTATTTCCTTTTCAATTCTCTTTCAATCCTTATGACAAAGTCAAAAAGAAAGTCTCTGCCTGGTACCAGAATGACTTGAATACCTCTCTAGCCTTTGTCAATCTCCCTCTGCAAGAAAAAGAAAATATCCCAAGCTCCTCTCTTTGACAGAAGATGATATTGCAACGGCACTTAATAAGCCAATTTTATTGTCATGATATTACTTTTTATAGTTATCTTCTATTTGTATCAAATGATTCTGGCATTCCATTTATGGTATTTGTATATAGTTTAAAAATAAATTTTAGTAAAAGTTTTTAATCAATTTGAAGAAAGTAGTTAATTTATATTTTAAGACAGTAAATAAATAGCAACAACAAAAAGGTGGTTTCTTGAAAACTCAAGTTTAGAAAGCTTTGGATTAGAGCAAAGCTGGTAATTCTGAGAGAAAAGAGAAAGTTTTGTTCTTCTGTGTTGTGCCTTTTGCATGGTTTTCAGAAACAATGCCTCAAAGCTCCTCTTTCATCTAGGCGAAGTGCATGGTTTTGTCCACCTTCCAAAATCACCACTCGCCTTGTCTAAGACACATGGTCAAATAGAAGTGGGCAGGGAATGTAAGCACTTTGCATTGTTGCTTTAGTGGACCTCTTCTGTCTGCTGAAAAGCGTTTGGTCCAGCTATCTGAGGAGTTCCACTAATTGCCTCATTAGGCAATCTCAATGCAGAAACAATATTTAAGTACATCAGTGCAACTCTTGGGTATATGTAGGATTTAATAGCAGATGAAGCCAAATGAGCTGAAATGGAAAATTTATTTCTTTTTTAATAAGCCTTCTTAAATTCTCATTAAAAAAAGACAGTAAGCAATTCATGCTTTTCAGCAAGCTGTAGTTTTTCTTAAGTTGTAAATGCCTCTGAGCCATTTAGAGAAGCTCTGAAATATTTTCTGCAAATTATTCTAACATTTTCAAGCATGGGATATTTAATAAGAGCTTTACTTCTTCTAAAGTTAGATGTACAACCTGTGAATCACATCAAAATGCACAATATGTAAATATACACGTAATACATGCATTCATAAAGGAGAATGACCTTTTTAAAATATTTAAGGCTTTAGTAATTATGTTAAAAATATCCCCAACAATGGTTACTGAAATCCACACTTGGTTTTATACTTGCCTAATGTAACAGTTGTCCCCGAATCAGGGGACAATAGGAGTAGAAATACTGGCAGAACCAGGGAGAGGCAAGCTGCTGCCATCCATTTGTGTGTTTTAAATTGACCATAGGAAGAAAAGGTGATCAAAGGACAAAGAGCCTCCAGACTTCCCTAAAACTCATCTGTCCTAATATTTGGAGTTCTTCACCTTTCCCATCTCGCTGTGTCTACCTGGTTCCCAGCACATAGTCACTGCACACCTAGATTATTATGAGTCTCCAAACTACCTTCCCCTTCACCACCACCATCCCAGCTTGCTCTCAGTAGAGACTGATCTTTCTACAATCCTGTCCACACCTCCTCATTTCCTCCCTCTAAGATCTTTTCTGGTTACACATTGCGTTCAGATAGAGTTCGAACTGCCTGGCTTTGCTTTCGTCCTGTGCGACAATGTGGCTTCAGCTGCTTTGTTGGCACTTTCTTTCCCTTTTCTTCACACTGAAGTCTGTGCTCCAGCCAGACCTTCCTGGAGTTCTCATTGCTCCTTCCCAAATATGCCTTGCACATTCTGGCTTCTGAAGCTTTGCTGAGGCTGATTTCCTACCTCTGTGTCCTTTATTCATGCACATTCCACCATCCAGTAAGGCCCATCCCAAATTCAACTCTTGCCATTTAAGCTGGAAGGACTTCTGCGCACAGAGCAAATCAGGCCTTCCACTCAGCTGACTCTCTCTGCGGCACTTTCTTTCTGTACCATGGATTGCCGCTTACATTTTTATGTGTGTTTATTGTCAAATCTTTTGCATTAGATTTGTAGGTATTGAAGGGCAGAGACTATCTCATAGCATTTGGTGTGCCTTGTTTAAAGGAGGTGTTCAATAAATCAGTTGATTAATCGCTCAATTATGTACTTTGCTGGTATGTTTTTGTAAAACAATCAGCTATCATTTTGAACAACTATTAGAAGTTCCTAAAGTTTGGAAGAGCTTTCTGGGGAATCTATGATCTATTATAAGAATCAGATTTTAATTCCTCTCAGTTTTGAGCTTCTGTAGAACTTAGCACAGTATGGTGAAAACAGGGATAGTCAATAAATGTTAAAGAACCAATAAATGAGTGAACGGAGCCCTGAATTTGAGTTTTCATTCTTATCTTCTCCTTAGACCATCTTGCACATAAAACCTTGTCTATTTCATGCCTCTGAAAGTAAATCATAAAATGATGTAATCTTCTTTCATGTGTTTATAGCTTGTGATTACAATCTTCAGATCCAGTCCAAATTTAAGCGTATAGAAAAATCTTTTATTAAAAAGGCATGTTGAATCTTCTTTATCATCTTTGCAACCTAACTTATACAAATCTTTGTGATTCTATTGCTGGGACTCTTGCTATCTACCACAAATTTGTATTGGAGTCAGAAAATTCAAATTACCTTTTTGGATAGGATTTGCTGTTTGACTGTTTACTTTGAAGATATATGTATGCCTACTGCTGGTGGAAAAATAAATTGATACAAGCTTTTGGGATATTAAGTTTGCAATATAAAATAGCCACCTTTAAAAGACTGAATGCCTCACCTGGGCAACATAGTGAGACCCCATTTCTATGAAATAAAAATAAATTGGCCAGGTATGGTGCATGCCTGCAGTCCTAGCTACTTAGAAGGCTGAGGTGGGAGGATCACTTGAACCCAGGAGTTTGAGGCTGCAGTAAGCTATGATCATGCCACTGCACTCTAGCGACAGAGAGAGACCTCATCTCTGAAAATAAAATAAATAAATAAATGGCTGAATCCTTTGATCTCATAATTCCATTTCATAGAATTATAAAATTATGAATGTACACAAACATTTAACTCTGAGAATGTTCATCTCAGCATTGTTTCAAATACAGATACATGTAACCAACATAAATGTTTCATTGTAAATTAGACAAATTGCAGTAAATAATTTTTATTTACCCACATAATGAGACACATGCACTTATTAAAAATAATGTTTGGAATTTTACATAATAATTGATGAAATGGAAAGACATGTGGAAAATTATGTTGTTTAATTTTTAAAAAGCATGTGACAAAATATGCATGCAATTTATTTTAATAAAATTAATTAAATATATATATGTGTGTGTATGTGTGTATATATATATATATATATATATATAATGAATATGTAGACCTCAAATGTAAAGAGTAGTTACACTTGGTAGGTGGAATTATGTGAGAATTCTCTTCCTTTTTATATATATCTTTATATTCTAAATTGTTTTTTAGAATAGATATGATAGTTTAAATATATATTTAAAAAAATAACAGATTATAAATGTTTACTTAAAGTTTTATAATTGAGTAATATTTATTTTCTGGCTCACCATTTGTAAAATATAATATCTATTACCAAGCAAATACTTTAATAAAGTTTTGTAAGAAATATTACAACTACTGCTACTATTACTAAAAACAATTGCCCTCAAAGAGCTTCCAGTTTTTAACAATCTTATGTGGATCTAGGCAATCACATTTAGGGGATAAAAAATAAAGTTGAAGTGTACAAGAAGTTTTTTTTAAAACATGGTCTTTTATTGTACCTTTGAAAAAGATAGAGACACATAGATCTTAAAATATAATTCCAGGGAGGGAATTCTGATACCTGTAACAAATATATTCTAAGATAGAGTTTACTGTAGTTGATAAAAGCCAAGGATCAACCTCCTCTGGGAGGCAGACGGTGACTGTTTTCAACTACCTGGAGGGGCTTTGAGACATGAGGGATTCAGTTTTTGCAACTCAGAAATTTCAAATGTAGTCAGGAAAAATAAAAAATACCATACGTGTCACTTGCTCTTTCTTCTTTTTGTGACTCTTCTGCTGTGTCTTTTTTTCTTTTCTGTGGGTCTCTCTTCTTTCATCCTCTGCCTTTTTTTTTTTTTTAATCTCCTGGCCTACTAGAAATGACTGAGTTAATACCTACCAGAGTGAAGTACTCATGCATGATTAAAAAAATAATTACCCTCCTTTTTCTACTTTTCCTTCTTGCTGACATCTTTTATCAAATTTGGGTTTGTGGAAGCCTGGTTCTCCCAGAGTGAGGTCTCTCCCTGATTGTGAGTTAGGCACTTTGGGAGGTATATTAACTCTTTCCTGCCACTAGGGGACCATCCCATATAATGCTTCGATGGACTCATTATCATTTATTTACACTGAGCCCAATTCTTCCCAGACTATGGGGCGAGCAGGTTGACAGAGAGAACCTGTGTATACACACCTTGGGCAGCTTTACCGGAGGGCAAAACAGAGAAGATGTGAATCCCCTTCACCCTCTCTTCCGTGTGTTTTGCTAGCATGCTCCTCTCTTTGCCAAGAGGACGAAACCCATTATTTTACTTACCCGTTAAGATTTGGCAGAATTTTTCTTTCTAGAAAGACTGCAAAAGATGGTAGGGGAAATACAGTCAGAAAAACTGGAATACAACTGGTTACAGTCCAAACATAACCTGCTAATTGAGGCCATGTATTACCGCAAAGGGAGCAAATGGCCACTGAAGGAAAAACACAGGTTGAGAAACAGGAAGGGCTAATACTAGAAGCCTATAAAGGCAGACTCCCAGGATTTCCATTTGTATGAAAAATGAGACAGTCATAAATATCAAACTGTGCAAGCCACATGAACAAGTGATGAAATGTAGCAATTACCTTTAAAAGGGCGTCTTTTGCAATTAACAGTAGACGAAGAGGATGAGCATGACCATGAGAAGAACCACATGCATATTTGCCCAATTTCTCCTGATAAATCTAATCCACCTGACCCAACACCATTATCCCTTCCACCTGCAGCCATGCTTTCCCGCTGACTCTAAGCATCCTCTTGAGTCAGTGGTTGAACTAAAATGTACAGAATCGGAGTTCACTGGTAGAAAAGGTTGCTCTACTTTTGCAGAGGGCTTTGTGGGCTTCTTTTAGCTTTGGAGAATTCCAGTGCATTGCTGTGAAAACTTAGGGTTAACATCTTTTGCATTGAGAATGGTGTCACTTAGTCACTTAGTTCCATCTATTTACACAGCAGGCAGATTTGCATCTGGTTGTAAAGAAGAAATGCCCCAGTAGGTTTTCCTTCTATGCAGAGAAAGTGTGCTCTGGCCCTTTGTGGGTCAGACAGAAAGCGGAGGGGCGAGCTGAAGAAAAGGGGTCTCCCAGGTGTCCTTGACGGCAGCCCCTTCACTAAGGAGAAGCCAGAATTCACCAGCATCTGCAATAAATATTTAATCATGCTTTGCTCTGAATCAAACTGATAAATGTTGATAAATTCCTTATGTTTTTTTCACAAGTCTGTTCACTTTGCTGTTTTTCTCCCCCTCTGGAATTTGGAAACATGAATTATGTTTTTTTTTTAGTTGCTTTAGGCGTCTCCCATCAGGCTCTGAAGGACTCCATGTTTTCTAAGACCCTTGCATGCTCATCGGGGCTGAGTTTGGAAAGGCACATGAGAAAGGAGAAGGATCAAAAAGAAGCAAATAAAGAAAGGGTGGAGGTCAGCAGAATAGCATCTATGCTCAGAGGTGAGCCGAGTAGGAAAGTGCTCAGAAAAAGCAAAATGGAAGCCAGCCCTGTGACATTATTTTGACTTTCTCAGATGGTATTTGAGGTTAAATCAAAGTCCAGCTTGTTCATGGATGGGCACTATTGGATCTAATGGCTTCAGCAGTCCGTATGATTTTGGGGAATGATAAATTGAAAGATTCCTCGCTGCTACAGAAAAACCATCATTGTTATTTTAAGCTTAAGTTTCCTTTGGGCTGGAAGAACTGTCCATTGCCTGGAATAACTACTGCAGCCACAGCCGCCACCCGTCAGCAGGAATATCTGCCAATTGCTTTCTTTGGGGAGCAATTCTGTGTCCTGGGAGAAGTACAAATTTTATTTTATTATTTTAGCTGGCCAGAAACCTTGTTTAAAGGGGGGCATTGTGGATATGGGAGTGGTTTGTTTTGTTTAGAACGGTGGCTCATGAACTTCAGGGCATATAGAGATCACCTGGAAAGTTTGTTAAAATGCAAATTTTGGGGACCCTCCTACAGATTCTGATTTGGTGGAACTGTAATGGGAACAAGGGATCTGTATTTTTAACTAATACCCCAGGTCATGCTTGCAATATGATGTACAGACCACACTTTGGGAAACAGTGATTTGTGAATTTTAAATCAGGATAATCTTATGAAAGACTTTCTATTCTCGCCAGAAATCCATGTATAGACTTAAAATTTTCTAGCTACTCCCTAGTGTAAGTCTGGCAGAATGGTGATATTCGCAGTGCATCCCTTCCTGAGAGATGCCACAGCAAAATGCTGCATAATATTGCAACGAAAACAAGTAAGCATTGAGTCTAGGTGTCCCCTACCACCTCTCCCTCCTGAAATCAGAATATTCCAGGAACTGCAGTCCTCATCTGATCATGGAGGCCTTCGGCTTTAGACACAGCTCTGTCCTAGCCATGTGGCCTCCTTTCAGGCATGAAGTCTCTTAGCAGTGGCAAGTGGAAAGTTGGAGTGATTTCCTTAAAAATCCAGAACTTTTTCATGTTCATTACTTGATGTAGAATTTTTTTGATCTAAATAACCCAAGTGGCAGTCTCATCCCTTGTTTCTTTGATATTGGAGTTCCATTTAATGGTGAGTTGCAACATGGCCAAGTGAATCAGAATGCTTGTCCATGTTTTAGTGTCGAAAGAGCTTTCTTTTTTAAAAAAAATGACATTATTGAGGTATGATTAGACTTACAAAAAGCTTACATATTTAATGTATACAACTTGATGAGTTTGGAGATCCGTATATATCCTAAAACCATCACTACAGTCTATGCCATAAACTTATCTATTGCCTCCAGAAGTTTCCTTCCACTGTGTTTATTTATTTACTTATTCATTATTTTGATGAAAAGAATACTTAATATAAGATATACCTTCTTAGCAAATTTTAAAGTATGCAATATAGTACTGTTAACCACAGGCACAACATCGTACAGTAGATCTCCAGGATTTATTCAGCTTGTGTAATGAAGGCTTTGTGCCTTTGACTTACGCCTCCTCATTTCCCCTTCCCCAGCCTCAGGCAACCACCATTCCTCTCTCTGCTTCTATGAGTTTGGCTATTTTAGATTTTCTATATAAGTGGTATTACATAGTATTTATTCTTCTGTGTCTGGCTTATTTCATAATGACCTACCATTTCATCCATGTTGTAGCAAATGGCAGGATTTCCTTCTTTTTTTTAAGGTTGAATAATATTCCATTGTATCTATATACTGAATTTCCTTTATCCATTCATCTGTTGATGGATATTTAGGTTGTCTCCATATCTTGGCTATTGTGAATAATGCTGCAATGAACATGAGAGTGTAGATGTCTCTCCTAGATCCTGATTTCAATTCCTTTGGCTATATACACATAAATGTAATTGCTGGATCATATGGTAGCCCTATTTTTAATTTTTTGAGGAACCTTCGTATTGTTTTCTGTCATGGCTACAAAATTTACATTTCCACCAACAGTATACAAGGGTTTTTTCTCTGTATCCTTGCTCACATTTGTTACCTTTTTGTTTTTTTTTTGATAATGGTCATCCCAATAGGTGTGAGATCATATCTCATAATGGTTTTAATTTGCATTTCCCTGATGATTAGTGATGTTGAGCACCTTTTCATATGCCTATTGGCCATTCGTATATCTTCTTTGGAGAAATATCTATTCAGGCCCTTTGCCCATTTTTAAGTCAGGTTATTTATTTATTTGCTATTGAGTTATTTGAGTTTCTCTAATATTTTGGATATTAACTTCTTATCAGATGTATGTTTTGCAAAGACTTCCTCCCATTCCATAGGTTGTCTTTTCACTAGTTGATTATTGTGCAGAGCTTTTTAGTTTGATGTAGTCCCATTTGTCTATTTTTGTTTTTGTTGCCTGTGCTTTTGGGGCCATATCCAAGAAATCATTGCCAAGGCCAATGTCAAGAAGGTTTTCCCTATGTTTCCTTGTAGGAGTTTTATGGTTTCAGGATTTAAACATTTAAGTCTTTAATCCGTTTTGAGTTGATTTTTATATATTCAGTAAAATAATCTAATTCCATGTTGTTGCATGTGGATATCCAGTTTTTTCAACACTGTTTATTGAAGAGACTGTCCTTTGTTCATTGGTACCCTTGTTGAAGATCCATTGGTCATACATGTGTGGATTTATGTCTGGGCTCTTCATTCTGTTCTATTGGTTTGTATGTTGTTTTTATGCCAGCATCATCCTTTGTTTTAAAGATTTAATTTTTTTAGAGCAGTTTTATGTTCTCAGCAAAATTAAGAAGAAAGTAAGAGATTTCCCATACACCCTCTGTCCCCATGTAACTTCTCCATTATCAATATCCCCCACCACAGTAGTTCATTTATTACAGTTTATGAACCTCCATTGACACATCATATCACACAAAATCCAGAGTTTACATTAAGATTCATTATTGGTATTGTGCATTGTGTGGGTTTGGACGAATTGTATAATTACATGTAGCCACAATTAAAATATCATGCAGAGTATTTTCACTGCCTCAAGGGTTCTCTGTGGTCTCCTTATCATTTCTCCCCTGCCTGAACCCCTGGAAACCACTGATCTTTTTTTTATTGTCTTCATATTGCCTTTTCCAGAATGTCATATAGTTGGAATTATACACTATGTAGACTTTGCAGACCATCTACTTTCACTTAGTAATAAGCATTTAAGTTCCCTCCATGTCTTTTTATAACTTGATAGCTCATTTCTTTTTAGTGCTGAATAATATCCCATTGTCTGAATATACCATATTTTATTTATCCATTCACCTACTGAAGGATATCTTGGTTGTTTCCAAGTTTTGGCAATTATAAATAAAGCTCCTATAAATATCCATGTGCAGATTTTTGTGTGGACATGTTTTCAATTCTTTGGTGTAAATATCAAGGAGAACAATTACAGATCTTTTGGTAAGAGTATGTTCAGTTTTGTAAGCAATAGCCAAACGGTTTTCCAAAGTGACTGTATACCATTTTGCATTTCCATCAGCAATGAAAATCCTCGTTCCACATCTTCACCAGCATATGGTATTGTCAGTGTTTTGGATTTTTACTTTCATAGGTGTGTAGTGTTATCTTGTTATTGTTTTAATTCACATTTTTCTGATGACATATGACATGGAGCATTTTTTTACCTGCTTATTTGCCATCTGTATAGCTTCTTTGGTAAAGTGCCTGTTAAGGTCTTTGGCCTATTTTTTAATAGAAAAGTTTATTCTCTTATTGATGAGTTTTAAGCGTCCTTTATGTTTGGATAACAGTTCTTTTTCAGATGTGTCTTTTGCAGATATTTTCCTTTAGTTTGTGACTTGTCTTCTCATTTTCTTGACATTATCTATTGCAGAGAAAAGGTTTTTAATTTTAATGAAGTCTAGTTTAGCAATGATTTATTTCACAGTTAGGCCTTTGATCATTTTATATTTAGGTCTATGATCCATTTTGAGTTAATTTCTGTGAAGGAAATAAGGTCTGTGTCTAGATTCTTTTTGTGTGTATGCATGTGGGTATCCAGTTATTCCAGCATCATTTGTTGAAGACTATCTTTGCTCGATTGTATTGCCTTTGCTCCTTTGTCAAAGGTAAGTTGAGTATTTATGTGGGTTACCAAGCTGTTTTGATTACTGTAGCTTTGCAGTATATTTTTAATTTGGGATGCATGATACCTCTGGCTTTGTTCTTTTTGCTCAAAATTGCTTTGGCTCTTTTCAGTCTTTTGTGGTTACATAAGAATTTCAGAATTGTTTTTTCCATAGAAAGAATTTTAGGATTATTTTTTCCATAGAAAGAAATTTGTAGGAAGACAGTGCATTCATGATACAATGTATTGTGGTGAAAAAAGCCCTGGACTTAGAATCTGAGGTGCCAGATTCTAAGTTTATTTATTTATTTCAAATTATATTTTAATAAATATATTAGCAATATCTTGCTTAGTTTTGCATGCTTTTGAACTCTGAATGAACAAAGCTACATGGCAAGAATAATTTTGTCATTTGCCTCTTTCACTCAAGAATATGCCCATCAGAGTCATATTGCTTGTTTGTGAAGCAAGCGTCCGCAAAATCATATTCCAAAATCCAAAGTAATTTTGCTGAGTTTGACAGTGAAATATGATGTAAACTGATGTGCAGCTGTTTGGCATCCATCCTCACCCATGGGTTGAAACATTCCTATAGGTTTATTTAACAGAGAAGGAAGCAAAGGCTCAATACATGAAAATGATTCGCCTGAAGATTTAGTGGACAGAACCTGGAATTCAGTTTCATTGTCCCAAGTCTGGCGTTCATTTCCTCTGTAAAAGAGTCTTTTAGCTCTTGAAAGACTTCCTTTCTGGGAAAAATCCTCATATCCCAGACCCCACTATGAGCAGCAGTACCCTGAGAAAGTCACTTTCTCTCTTGGAGCCTTCATTTCTCAATCATAAATCAAAGATGATATAACCTACTGTGTAGGTAATTGTAAGGATAAAATAAAATGAGTATACAATACTTGGTGAGTATTAGCTACTCAAAGAGAAAAATAATTATGTTTTTAAAAAAATTCTGGGTTCAGAGTTTGCCATTTATCAATGGCGTGGCAATTGACAAGTCACATTGTTACCCTGGACCTGAAATGGGATAACAATGCCCATCTAGTTCAGGTAATAGAGAGGAGTGAATAAGGTAATACATGCAGGAGTGCTTTGCAAAAGAATGCTACTATCCACACCTTATAATCATTTACAAACTTCTCCAAGAAATTGAATGTTGGATTATAGAATATTTGTTCTTCTGTACATAGTTTTAGTCATAGTGTACTCTTGGGCCCTCTACCTCAGGGTATTCTATAAGGTAGGCTTGAATTTATTAATCTCTTTAGTATTTCTTAAAATAGGAAAAGAGATGTCATAAAGACACAGACTATGCAAGTGAATCATTTATTCTAAAATCCAGGGCCTGCAGATTATTTGTAAGAATGTCAGAGCATGTTCTGTGACCAATGTATCAATAATTCCAAGCCCCCTCTCTCTCTACCCTGGGTCAAAACCAGTGCCTATCAATGAAGACCCCATGAATGAAACCAGGCCAAGGTGAATATAATACCAAGGAAGTCTTTAGTTCTGAAATTCCCTACTTATTTGTGCTTTTTTCATCTGTCCATGGAAAGCATAAACCTCAGAAAAAGCTAGGAGTGGTACAATTTTCCTAGCAAAGATATAGCACAAGCCAGGAAAAAATTATTAACCTTCATCCTATCTCCCATTCCTTTCCTCCCATGGCCAGTGACTATGTCCTGTTGGACTGGGAAAATGAGGGGAGACAAAAAAGGCCAATATGCAGTTCCCTCGACACTAGGTTGGATCCTTGGATGTAAAGGGAGAAATTTCTGGGCAGTCCCTTTGTCAAAACAGCCTACCACTGCCTCCCAAGCATTCCACCGCCTTGTGCCCACTGCACCCCCGCCACCCAGTTATTGTATCCTTGTTCTGTGATATCCTCTACTGTCCATCATGGCATTTTATGGTCGTGGTGCCCCGGGAGTGTCTTAGTCTCAAGCTCCTTGAAGGAGAAGCCCATGCCTCCTGCGTCTTTGTTTTCCCCTCGTGTCTGGGCCAGTACCTGGTACAGAGTAGGCATTCAACCATGGAATTTGATTTTCTGTCTCTGAGCTTTTGTTCTCTGATTGTCCTTGGCCAATCCTCCTTGTCAAACTGTACTCCTCCTTCTCCTTGCTCTGCCCCTCCCTTTTTGGGCCTCAGTTTACCATTCAAAAAGACAATTTTTCTAAGGGACTTGGCACATAAGAAAGTGCTCGATCAATGTTTATCCTTGTCTTTAGTGAATCCTTTGATCACTCAGCTGTTAAGGGATGTTCCTCCTCTGAACTCTCGGTAGCTTTCAGTAGTTACCTGTGTGTATGCACCACAAACACCACAAATCCTTCACAATTAACATCTGTCATGTTAGGGAGATTAAAACATCTTTTATACATTTCTGTGTGTATGCTATTTTTTTGCAAACTCTTTTCCTGAATCCCATACGAATTAAAAAAATGGTAATTTGGGGACCCTGCTTCAGTATTCTTGAGCCTGTGACCTGATGCTGTCCTTTAGCTGTCAACACTAGCCATTCCCAAAGGTAAAAATACCTACACCCACGAATCCCATTTACTCTCCACACAGTTTTGGATGTCACTAAAACCCAGATGTTTAATAACATGTGTTTTTGAAGCTGTTGATAAGGAATGACGAGGGTTTAGAGAAATCATGGAAGGGAAAGCCTGTCTATTCCAGCCCTGGTCTTATCCAACATCCAGCCTGCAGCTCCCCGTCACAAATCATTTTTATCTGCAATGGTAAACGTGCTGGGGATACCTGCGGACAGACACCCAGGCCAGGAAAAGGCAGTATTTGTGTAGTTGTCTTCTAATAAGGTCAAAGGCGCAATGTATTATGCAGCTCTGCGGGCAGCCAGACTCATTAGAGCGGGAGTGGGTCGCGGGACCTGTGTGGGGTATTCAGAGGTGGGGTTTCATCTGGGGTCTGCGCCTAGTGGGTGTCCTGAACTCTCTCAGCAGAACATGAACTGGGGGTGGGAGGAACATTGACGAAGCCCCAGCTCTGGGAATCTGGGAACCCTGTAGGGCCCATGCCCTCCTGAATCTGAGGTTTGATTTCCACTCGGCACTCACTGAAGTTGGAAGCAGAGCAAAAGGCAAAGATGCCGGTGCCGTTTGCAAACCCCAATCGCTTCCCTTTACCAAATCCTGCAGTGCTGCCTCTCAGGTTGGGGGTAGGTTTTCCTACAGAGCATAGGCTGTTGAGGGAAGGTGGGCAAGAGGTTTTGCAAGGGAGAGCCCTGGAGGTAGTACTTTGGTGCATTTCCTAACAGTGTGAGGCAAGGAGCTGAAGGCCAGAGCCTGACAGGCTGACGGGCCTGATTGCCACTGGCGTGAACCGTGCTAGGCAAGTGGAAGTGACTGAGAGATTGATTGATTTGTTTTGCTGAGGCTCCTTTGTGGTCTTCTGGGTGGATTTCTGGCTCCACCTCTCAGCCTCAAAGCCCTTGCTTTGCCTGCTGTTGCTTTTTTATTTGGGGGTAATGAAAATTTGTTATAAGCCTTCCCTTTCATCTGTACGTGGCAGGCTGTCACAGAGAAACGAGCCATTCTGCAGCCTCACTCCTGTCCAAATTGCTAAATGTTTTTTTTCCAGTTGCTTCCCTAATGGGCCAGGATAATGGGAGCAGCATGCTCTCTGCACACGCCGGAGATGCCAGCGCATTTGTCCAGCACACATGTGTGGTGGGCACCCAGCCCCTTCTGTTCATGGTGGGGCCAGCGCCTCGCAGCTGAGTGCTCGCCCATGCACCTGCCCCTTGCCCTTGAGGCCACCAGGGGCTCAGCACCCAGGGAAGGTGGGCCCCAGCCCACAAGGTGGCCCTCCCAAGGTGTCCATCCCTGCAGGTGAGGCTCTGTGGAGGGGGCGGGTGATCCAAGCCAGAGCCCCAGACCTGGGTCCGTTAATAGACCGGGCGGGCCAACTTTTTATGGACTCCAGTTGCTGCTTTTCCGACAGGCGGGCTCTGGAGCTCCCCATGGCCGCCTGTTCCATGTGCTGGATGCTCAACTGTGGCTGACCCACAGCTTTATGGGCCTAAGTGCTTATCCAGGAACAGAAGTGAGGAGGTTATGTGTGATAAGAAAATAATTTGCCAAAACTGCAGCAATAAAGAGGGCCTGATGGGATCTCTTATGGTATGAATAGCCCCAAGCAGCTGCAGATTTCTCTCTGCTTTCACAATTATTTTCATTTTTATAACAACTAAGAGCTAAATGCCTTGTACAAGCCTGGTGAATCTTGCTTCGGTTTCCAATCCAACATTTCTTTCTCTTTTTGGGAATCTTAACATCCACGCAGCCTGAACAGAATGTCCTTGGCATCATGGCTTCAGCTGGTCTCTCCTTGGCCTGCTGACAACTGTGCTGCCCTGCTCCAATGCTGTACTCCCCCAACACAAGCCCCTGAATGCAGAGAGCTACAGCCGTGTCTTCTGGGGCTCTGGAACAGGTGCTCCTATTGCTGAGTTCTGAAGGCAGGGAGCTCTTCATCAACCAGGGCCTTTGAAACCACAGCAGTTGCTCAGTTGACAGGGGACATGCATTTGACTTGAGCACGAATGAGGCAAACACAGTCCTGCCTCTTCACATGCAGCACTACATCCTGAAGGCGCCACCAGAGCACTTAACTGAGTGCCTGCCCACCATTCTCTTGTGTGGGTGCTGAATGTTACCAGCATTTGCATTTATTAATGTAAATTGCACTTTGACCTTGTTAGAAGACAACTGCACAAATGCTGCCTTTTCCTGTACAAATAGATACTGCACTAGGCTCCTGGGCAATGTCATGTAAGAGCAGCATAGGCTGTAACGTTGGACAGAACTCGTCCAGGTCATAGCAGCATCAGTCAATACCTGTCTGACCCAAATCTCTCTTTCCTCTGTCAAATGGGGATAGAGTAGCACCCACTTCACTGGACTGTAGGTGCTATTATTAATTAAATGAGGACATAAACATAGAACACCTGGCGGGGTATTCGACACCTTATTAGCACTCAATGCATGTTAGCTATAATTATTAGCACCTCCCCTTTCTGAGCACTTTTAGTCTACTTGGGAATACACATGTGTGACATAGAGTGATAGCATGACAGAGCTTGTATTAAATGAACACATTAAGTGGATGCATTAAATGAGCGATGAAGACAATAAATGCCAGAGGCAGGGCCGTCACTTAGGGCAGGTTTCCCAAATGTGCCTCATGATTGGGATCTCCTGGGGCACTTAAAAATAACAACCCCAGGACCTTCTCCTAGAGATTATGATTTGTTCAATCTGTGAATGGGCCTTGGGATCAGAATCAAAGTCTTTTGGGCTATGACAACATGTTTATGCAGATGATATTTAGAAAAGCACTGTTCCAAAGAAATACAATGTGAGCCACATGTATAATTTAAATCTTTCTAGTAGAAATATTGTAAAATGTAAAACAGGTAAAATAAAATTACTATTTATAATATATCTTATTTAGCCTACTATATTCAAAATAGCATGAATTCAACATGTAATCAAAATTAAAAATTTTAATGAAATACTCTATATTCCTATATTCATGTTTAGTTTTCAGACTCTGGTGTGGACTCTATACTTACAGCCTATCTCAATTTGGACCCGAAAATCTCATCGGAAATACTTGATCTGCAATTTTATTTCATAAAACTTACAGTTGAAAAAGTAGATTTACACATCCAAGTTGTTCTAAATATGCTTAAAAGTTTCCCAATACCTACATTGAGTATTGGTGTTTCAGTTAAATTTAATTTTGATGATTAAGAGTTCAGATCCTCAGTCTCACTAGCCACATTTCAAGAGCTGAGGAGCCACGTATGGCCAGCGCCTATCATGTTGAACAGACAGCCTCTATTCAGACAGTTAATATTTTATAGTAGTCAAGATCCTTCCTCCTTTATTATGTCAAGACTATAGGGTGGAGGGAGGATGTATCAGGAAAGAATAGCAGTCAGGGAACAGAAGTGTTTGGTGGGAGCAGAAGTTTTGTCAGGAGTAGTGGGAAATGACATCAGCGAAGACTAAAATACCCAATTTTAGGTAGGCATCCTCTTAAACCAAGTTCAGGTTTTACTGAATAGGCAATGGGAGTCAAAGGTGGTTTTTGAGCAATGCAGTGATGTGGGCAAAGCATTGTTTCAAGATTAACTGGATTTACTGGAGTAGATAAAATATGGAAGTGGGGAGGATTCATTGGTATTGTTAGTCAGGGAAAGGGCTTAAATGAAAAATACAATAAAATAAAAATTGAATGCTCCTTGTAGGGGAGGTTAGGAAAAAAAAGGGAGAATCCAAGTTGTTTTATAATCTTTTTTAAATGAATGAATAAATATAATGATGGAAATAAGGAAATGTAGAAGGGAAGATGGTTCTGGAGAAAAAATGAAGCAGGAAAGATAACTAAGGGTCTACAATAATTGAGGATTAGGATACCAATATAAATATGGGAAGATCAATTTCAGAAGATAATGTGGAGTGGAAGTAATATTGTCAGGTGTTAGGGAATGAGAAGGCAATGAGAAAATAAACTGCCTTAAGAGCTTAGTAACTTACTAGGCGGTGGTAGATATGACCTCTGTACTCAGCGGACAACTGGGCAAACATGTTTCACCCCAAGTCATTAATCTGATGACAGGAATATCAGACAGAGGAAGGCAGGAAGAAAACATGATCTGGGGGATAAATAAGCCTTTCTACAGTTGTTGCTGACTTAACTATTGACTTTGTCTCTGCATGTGGCAGTTCCTTAGCATTTTCCATGGTCCCACACAACCCACCAAAGCCCCCAGGAGCTTTTACAATCTGCTTTCTCTGCTATTAGACATACCTTTATTATTCAGAAAAGTAGCTGTTACTTAAAATCCTTACAATAAGATCTAAAGTTCTTTTTTGTTGTATTCATTCATTCTTTCTTTCAACACAGTTTTATAGAGTTTCTATACCTATCATGTCCCAGAAACTCAAGATATAATGATGAATAAGGCAGAAAAGGTGTTTTCTTTCATAGAGCCGTTACTGCAGTGGGATAAAGGGATAATAAGCATACAATACAATGCAAGTTCCTAAGTAATAAGGTTTTGGGGCTGGGAAGCTAGTTTAGTTCAGGTGATAAGAGAAGACTTCTCAAGGACGGGGTTTTGAGACTATTCCTGGATGACAGGAAGGAGTTAACAGTGAAGACATAGGGGAGATCATGGAGGGTGGGAAACAAGAGCAAAGCCCACAAGAAGAAAGGAGCGTGGCTGTACAGGTTGGAGGTGCTGAAGGAAGCAGGTGTAGGTGGAGCATATTGTGCAAGATGAAAATAGATGGGAAATTAGCTTCTGAGAGGTAGGCAGAGGCTGCCTGCAGGTCAAGGAGTCTGAACTTTTGAGTGCAATAGGAAGCCACTGGAGGGCTTTCAGAAATGGAATGGCATGGTCTATTTGTATTTGTAAAAGATGATACTGGCCATCCTGGATTGGTGGAGAGGGGTGGTAGGTGACAAAAGTAAAAGTCATTGGGAGATGGTAAGCAGGAGGGTGGTATGGTTGCTGGAGTTGCCATGTGCGGAGTGGATTCTGGTGGAGCTGGGAGGAAAGAGTAGAAGCAGGAAGGATAACTAGGAGGGTACTGTAATCAGGGCAAGAAGGATGAGGATTCACACTGGGGAGGAAGCAGTGGAGATGAAGAGGAGTGGACAGATATGGGATCTACTTTGGAGGTGGAGTCAACAGGACTAGCTGACGGGTTGGAACTAGTAAGGACCCTAGGGTGTTTTATCTTAGCAAATTGATTGGATGGTTATATCTCATACTACTGAGATGAGAAAACCCCATGATAAATGCTCTTAAGATTGTGACCTTTGTGCTGCCACTACCAAGAGGAGCCCATTGTTTCCAGAAAATCAACTGGGATTCTTAAAATTAGAAGCATAAGCAAAAACTAAACAACAACAACAAAAAATACAAACAAAATATGTTAAAAATGGGTGAAAAATAAAAATGTAAAATAGGTGATAAGCATAAGGTTTATTACATTATTATCTCAATCTCAGTATTTGTGAATATTTGAAAATATCTATAATAAAAAGTTTTTTAAAAATTAAATGGCACGAAGTCTTCCTCTTAACCAATAAATACCAAGTAGAGAAATAGGGGTCTTTTCCTGACTTTTGAAATAAATGCCTGCCGAGGAGATTGCTTGAAGTACCAGCAAGGCCCCTCCTTAAGCCCACTAAGGCACCTTCAAGGGCGACCTGCAGCTGTGGTTTAACAAGTTCACACACTGCACCCCACCTCATGTCTGGAAGGGAAAAAAATTAATAGCAGGGGAATTAAATGGCTACCAATTTGTGAGCACCCAGTCCTAATACGTTTATTGATTTTGGATTCCAGTTTAGTGCTTGAGCTGTCTCTATCCATCAAACTTTCCACAAAAGGGCATAGATCATTCTGGAGGGGGGGCGAGTAGCTCAACTGCTGGGGCTGGAATTGGAAATGTGTAGACTATGGGTTCCAATCCACACTCCATGCAGATCCATGAGGGACCACGCACAGCAATCTCTTCACTGCTTAAGTGTCCTTGATAAACATAAGATTGATCACAGAGGGACTGCCTAGCAGTGTATTTATGCAGAAGATGGATTTTAAGCCACAAAATCAAGGGACAAAATGACACTCTACAACTAGCAGTTTTAAAAAAATACACAGTAAAGGGTTCTTCTGAATTTTCAGATACTTTGCATCTCAAAGGAGACTTAAGGGTAGCTGGGTGAGCGTTCCAAGAGTATACTGTCTCCTGAAAGACCTTAAGAAATTCTCAGGTGGGTCCAGAATACTTTGTGCATTAGGGTGAATAAGGGACTTTGTCATGTCCTTCTTCTAATACAACTGTTTGCCCTTGTGAAAGGTCCTAACGGTGAGGAGATTCAGGAAATTATAACCTTAAGAGCTAAGTAATAGAGATGTATCTCTAAATGAGATAAAATGGTTACAAACAAAATGTAGAATAGTAATGCCATTTTTGAGGGTTTGAGGCTGAGATTAAAGTCAATCTATCTAAGATCTGGGTAATCATTGTAGAGTTACAGTTGTCAGCTAGGAAATAGTTTTATTTTGGTTTATCTTTGTGGCTAGACATGCCTAGGAAGTTGTGAAAAGTTATGAAATTATATTTGTTATATCAGATTGGCCCCATTGCAATATGCCTTCATATCTAACCAGGAACATGTGTTATCCTCAGTTAAAAAGGTTTGTTTTGGGCAAAGTATTTGGCTAAATGTATGAGTCTGTAAAATGTTTATACTCTTTGACTAGTAATTCAAGTAATTGGAGACACAGCTAAAGATTTAAATAGAAGGACAGTTAATGGAAAATTGTTTGAGGAAAAGAAAAGCTGGGACCATTTTTTGGAGATTTCTAGTAGTGGATGACTTGTTGGAAAAAGTTGTGATACATACACATGATAGAATACTGTGTAGTCATTAAAAATGTTCAGTGGTGTAATTAACGATTAATGACATGGGAAATTGTTCCTATTATAATTAAAATATTGAGAAAGAAAAACGACATCAAAATGTATACATATATAAACATATTGTATTAATTATGTAAAAAAGTTTATAATATATATACACAGATGATATAACTATGTCTATAATGTAAACTAATATGTCTACTTTATGTATATTTCCAGGATATATATGTGTGTGTACATATATACACATATGAATAAATAAACATTTATTTGTATATTTAAAGATAATATAATTTATTTATTAACTATATATTTTGTTTATATATTATATATTTTATTTTGTATAATTTATTTCATATAGTACAACACATTAATGATATATAATATGTAATTATAAGTTATCTATAAAATAATACTTATAAATATGTAAATATCCCAGGATAACAAATTTTTGGGTGGATTTGTCTCTATTTTTCAAATTTTCAGGAATGAGCATGTGTTACTTTTACAATTCAATATTCTTATTAATTTTTAAAATATTACTAGCACCACCATGACAAATAAAGTTATAAAGTCAAGCTTTGAATACAGCTACCTCAAACTTGCATCTTTGTCTGGAGAACATTTGTATGTGTACATATGTGTGTATATTTAATGTTAGAATTTAGCAAGACTGATTGGAGCCTCATTTCTGCAAAGCCAGTTTCACTTGCTCAAGGAGAATATTCCTTGTTTATGCTGCAGGCCAAACAACTAGGTTTTGTGTTTTTTTTTTTTTTTTTAAACCTCAGGTCTATTGTGAAAATGAGCCATCTGCGGCAGCCGTGGTGTTTTTCCCAGGCTAATAGCACCTTTCATACTGAACTCTTGGGCTTTCCAGGAGCTTCTGACAGCTGCAGAATGATTATGTACATTATATATATATCTATAGATATATGTATAAATTGGTATAAGATTGTGTACTGGGGAACCCTCCATGGGTATGCACTGTGATGAATACAATACGAGGGTAGAGAATGCCCTGTGGTTTGGTTTGTAGAATGCCACATGGTAGAGCATCTCTGCTGAGCAATGCCAGGTTGTGAAAACGTTGCCTCCTGTCATAACTTCATCACCTCAGGAATGGAGGAAGATCCTCTCCTCCACAGTTTCACCCATCAACATACCATGAACCTACTATGTGCCCACCACTCTGCTATATTTCTACTCTACCATATCAAAAAGCTTTCTTAGGCAACTTTTTAACACATGAAAGAATGAATAACTATTCAGTTGAGGTCATTTCTTCCTGGTGACTGAAGGATTGATCTCTGCACCTACCTACTAGCATTGCTGAGGAGCAACGTGAATCCCCCTGCTCTAGAGAAGGAGGCAGGGTGCCCACATCCTTATCATCCAGATATTGTAAGCAATTCAATGATCAGTTCCTCTCCATCTAGGAAAACAAACATTTGCTATCACTGGTGCTATTTTATTAAAATCCCATTTCCCTGCTTTGACTCGGTCCTTCTAAAAAGCATAAGGGAAAGTCTGCACACAGGCTGTTAACGACGGCAGGAAAGAAACTTGGTGCAAATGTGGCCAAGCACGTTACAGACGCTCCTCCGTATGCAGCCCAGGGGCTTCACCTGGTTTAGCCATTTTTCTGATGCTATATTTTCCGGCTCCCTGGCATCTTTAGAGTTTTGAATTTGGCAGCCTTCCCTTTGATGGAAGGAAGCTGGAAGTACCTCCTACTAGTTTTCCTTGGCTCATCACTGTCACTCTGTGCATCGTCTAGCAGCTGAGATTGTGGGTAGCAGAGCCGTTTGGATCCTGTCCCTCTGGGGCAGCTGTAGAAATCCATAAGGTGGTCTAAAGCAAACCCCAAGTCTCCTTGGCTAGCTTGGCACTTCCACTTCACAGTGAAAAATATACCTGACAGTCCACAGAAGTATCCCTTCTGGGCCTTCTTTGTTTAAACTTAATATTTCCTGTATTAAATCTTATAACAATCACCACAAGGAAGGTTGAATGCTAAAGAATTCAGAATCAATCAAGACTCCACCAGGAAATCAAAACCTTCTGTTAAGCTGTAAAATGCGCTGGGATGAATTGGTGTCACCTGATAATATTGCACCAGAGATGCATTGTAAAGCCTGACACTCAAGGCCAAATGTCCCTTTCCACAAAAGCTACAATCCCCTCACTGCATGAAGTATATAAGTGCTAGAAGAATAGAAATAATGAGTGATTATACAGCACCTTAAAAGGGGGTTCTTTTCACTAATATTGATAGCAAAGATTCTTCATCCTTGTGACCACTTTCACTGCTCTTAGAAAAAGATTCTGCAGTGACAATGCGAAGGCAAGACAGCCCTGTGGTCGGTCACGAGTGTCTAATAGCGGGGTTCTTCTTCTTTATTTTTTTAAAGTGTAATTCCAAGATTAGTAACTATAGATTAAAGTAACTGCAGGATCTCAGACAGTGAGGACCAGTGGATCTCACAGTGGCTGAACACAAGGTCAAAGTCTTGATGGGCAAACACAATACCTAGTTCCCAGGTAACGGAAAAACATTTTACCTTTAAATCAATGGGTAAGCAGAACCAAGAAGTTTTCACAGCCAAAAAAAAAAAAAAAAAAAAAAAGAATTACCATCAGAATTCCTCATAAGCCATAAATGTTATGCCAAAAAGACAGTGATCCGGTTTACGTGTATTTCCTCATCCTAGGAAATTCCAGAAAAAATAATTTAAGGAACAGTGATGAGGCAAGCAACATAATTCTGAGTCTTCCTGAATTTAGGAATTCTGCTACATGAATAGATAATGCCATAGAAAACACGCTTTTATTTCAAAAAGCATAGTCAATACTTTTTAATTATGGCTTTTGTGGGTTTCTTTTAAATGTGATGTTTGGGTATGGGACCTGCAGGTTTCTTCCATGTGTTAGACCAAAGAACATGAGATATAGATTAACAGCTCAGAGGCAGTGATTGCTAAATGTTTGTCCAAGTTTCCTGTGTTGAAGACCTTTGTTAGCCTGGGTTGACTGCTTTTAAGTAGAGCCTGCTTTTCCTTTGACAGCCCAGACCTCATTTTTATTCTCACTTCTAGGAAGAACTATTTGGCTTTCTTGACCTTTGCTGGGCTTTGTTAATGGGGTTGGCATGTTGTTTGGGGCTGGTAGGTAATTTTAGTAGTGTACAGGTGGTTAATTCCATTGCCAGGGATGTGGAACTCTCTACATGGTCAGTTTGCAGCGTGCTCTCCTGATATATACACAGAGTACACTGCAGAAATGCCTACCTACTCTCAACGCAGCATGCAAGCTGTTAGCAATCTTCTTTACATTACCTGAGGCCCACTCCATCACCCCTTTCACTTAATATGATAGATTGCAGGACGTAATATAGAAAAATGTAGTGCGTGTGGCATATAAACTCACAGTGCATATCGGATTTAATATATAATGCACAGAAGCCACTCTATAATACATAGTCAAAAAGGCTGCAAGCTGCTGTATTGATGCCGTGCCCAGTTTAGGAGAATAAGGCAGGTTTCCATTGCCAGAAAAGAGCATAGTATTCAATTTCTCATCCAGTATAGAATATAAATAAAACATGGTGTACAGTAGTACCAAACTGCATGAAATGATTTCCCTTAGTACATAAACTTATAGCACCCCAGTCTTTGCTTCAAGTTGAATTTTCCCAGTTCTCTCAGATGGCAACAGGGAATTATATGACCTTCTACAGCAAGAACTTCCCACTTAACAGATTCCGGGGCTCTGCTGGGCCCTATGCTAATGGACGGCCATTAACCATGTTGGAGCTCCCTAGAACTCCCTGGAGCTTTACAGGCTGAGTTCCTGGATTTCTCCAGAGTCAGAAGTTGACAGGCAGCTGTCAGTCAATTGAAAATGTCTTAAAGCTATACTCTGTAGCAAATAAAAGTGCTCAGTGTTTATAATGAGAAAAGACGATTGTGCCAACATGAATATGATTTAATAAAAACATTAACCCAGCAGATGTAGTCTTCAAGTCTAGTTATCTATGTAGAAATGCATACACAGTATGCATTTCCTCTTGTTTATAGAGAGGTATTGCTTAATTTTGCTTTGTAGTTTGTAAGGATGATCAGGCTGTTCTGCTTTTATAATTGTACTTTAAAATGGGTAGCTCTTAGCTATAGAACTCCCCAATTTCCATGAAATTTGGTGCAAATTAGACACTGAAGAAAATATATTCTAGAGAAAAATGTAAAATATATCAACATTACTGCTCTCATCGGGTTATGTGGTCTAATGGAAAAAAAAGAACGAATACCAGAAACCTCTGAGTTTAGTTTTATCTTTGTTCTTCCTCAGTGTTCTGGGTAATTTATTTTGTTTTTATTTACTTCATCCAACCCAAAATAAGTGTGGTTGGTAAACTTATGCCTATTCCACTGGATCTGATGACTAAAGTTTGGATGCCACTTAGGAGTGAGAATGCAGCAGTTCATTTGAGATGAAGACAGGAGTCTGTTCCTTAGGGCTTATACAGAGATGTAAGTCAATCATTCTTTTGAGTCTAGCTCTCATGCTGATTCCAAACTTAGTTGTGAAGTCATCGTTCAGAGGGAATTTTAAGTGGCTACTGCTATAACTTTTTAATCCAAGTGACAAAAGTACAATGTCTTTTACCTTTTGTATCACAAACCTTTTGTCATTCCTGACCCTAAAATACAGGAAATAAATATTGCTGGGAAGAAAGGAATTAAAAACTGTTCTATCAAATCTGGGACTTTCACTGACAGAGGAGATAAAGAACCTACATGAGTACTGGGATCCTGATCATTATTCTGACTCATCGCTGATAACATCAACCACCAGACCTGCTTAGTTACAGTCATGGCCTTTTCATGGTCAGTTCTTAAATTCCAAATGTCTCTCTCTTTTTTAATTTTGAAATAATTTCAGACATAGCAAATGTTGCAAAAATAGTGCAAAGAATTCCTAAGTATCCTTCACCCATATTATGTTAACTTTTTACCACATTTACTTCACGATTTGCTCTTTTCATCTATATTATAATTACTATTCTTATTAGGCCTAAAAAATATTGTTTTTTCTGATTCATTTGAGAATAAGGTGCCATTATCTGATTTACAGACCTTATTGAAAGTTTTCCAATTGTCCTAATAAAAACAGCTTTACAGCAAAAGAGAGAAGAAAATTCTGGCTCAGGATCCAATCTGAGGTCATACATTGCATTTTGTTTTGTCTTTCGCATCTCTTTGACTCTAGAACATTTCCTTACTCTGTCTTTCATGACCTTGTCACTTTTCATACAATGTGCCTTACTGTGGGTTTTCTCAATGTTTCCCCATCATCAGCCACATGACTCTTAAATGAGATTTTTCAAAGAGAAGGTTTGGAGGAAGTTCTTATTTTTCTTAGAGCATGTGATATTAACAGGGTCTAGGGTAGAAAGTTATGAAAACCAAAGCATGGATAGATTAAGCCACAATATAAGATAGAAATAGGGTCACTCACAGAATTGTCTTCATAATTAGGTCTGAAATAGCCCCAACCCTCAAAGCACTGCATGGAATTTAGTATTTTGTCAAGACAATAGGCAGTGAAGAGACAGCTTCTGAGCATGGGTACCTGAGCTTAGAATTTGGTATGGAAATGCATAACTCACAAATGAAGGGCAATGCATATGTGCTTTTGGTTTTTTGCATCACCTTTTATTATCTTAAGACTGAAAAGTTAATAACCCAGTGTGTAATCATGCCATTATCAGTTTACATTGTAGTAAAGCCCATTCAAATGATGATTACATATGTTAATGAGTCTCGTTATAATGCACTACACAGTACATTACCTTCAATAAATATAATTGTTTATGCACTTTAATGAGGGTATATAATGCCCCAAAACTAATGGTATTGACTGAATTGTGATTCATTGCTCTAAAACTTTGCCATTAGGAAAGGAAATCTTACAAAACCTTTTATGTTTACCTAACTTTCTTTTTGCCCCTAAAAGCTGCCACTCATCTCTCCCTCCCCTTGTTACAAGAAGAAAATAGCTCCAAGACGCTTCCACAACATTCCCTGTCAATGCTTTTCTCAACCTGAAGAAGCAGGAGGTGGGTTCATTTAAAGGGTTTAATGAAGATCATTATGTTTACCCCTTAGTAAGGTTTAATGCATTATCTGGCAGCAAAACTGATGCCACGTCAGAATTTTGGCTTCAAATCAAATAGCAAGGAATAAAAACATTGTTAAATGACACACTAGGAATGGAAAATAAGGCCAGGGACAGCATTTGGCCTAGGGTCCTGCATCAGGCCAGGAAGGGACAGAGCTTTGTTAAGTTGCCTGTGATTGCATGGCTTCAACCTACAGGTGGGGACAAAGAGAGGGGTGGCTGGACCCCATATAATTCATTTTAATTCTTACAGCATCTTTCCTGCTCTCCTTGGAATCTTTCTAGGAGGACAAATTTAGTCTCATCTTGACTATGAAGCTGAAACAATCCTCATATCTGATAAACAACCACAACAGAAAAACATAGTTATTGTACATGGTAGCTATTTTGTTTTTAAAATTAATATACATACTAAAAACAAAGACTAGAGTCTCCAGATGGGCTTCCTGTTGCCTATACATTTTGGCTTTCATAGTCTTTGTGGTTCTAAGCAGGCAGGCATGCTGTAGCTAATGTCCTCTGCAAATATTTCATTAATTAGAGTTCTGGGAATTACTGGCTAATATGTACACATGCTAAAGTCACTGCTCCTATGCTGAACCTGAACCAAACACACTTATGCCAGTCGTAACAGCAATTCCTTCTTCTCCATCCAAGGAATAGAATCTCATTTGGAGCATTATCTGGTCTCTGGTTTCAGTGTGCATATTAACCAGCTAATTTCCAGCTTATCTAGCCACAGAGTGTGCAGCCATACAGTAATTGGGGTGTGATCCATCGTTGTCTGTTAGCCCATCCTTTAGCCCATGGATGACATAGACCTAGCTTCCTGGTGAAAAGCAAGCTTGCAGGAGCAACTTTCTCCAAAATCCCTAGAAATAAAGTTCTGTCACCTTTGTGTGCAAATTTGCATATAAGGTCTCCTGGTTTTTTCCACTTCCACGGCACACTATCTGAAAGGATTTTAGGAGTCTTTACAAATAAATAAAACAATGCAACTTAAAGAAGAAGATTAATTCATCAAGATACTCTAAATGCCAGGTAGAAATGACAACAGGGGATCCATACTGGCATCTTGAAAGGACTTTTTGAACAATAGCAGTTTCTTAAAGCAGATTCCCCAGGATGGAAGGTAATCACTTGAGAAACTTTCCAACATTTACAATGGCGTTCCAAGTAGTTTGAAAGTCAGTAGTTTTGAGAAAAAAAAATTGACATTGAGATGCAATTTGTGGTAAGATCTAATTAATTTTTTTGCTCCTAAGAATAATTTATTATTTACACTTCTTATTATATATGTATTTTAGCTTCATTAGTTGGCAATGCTGGAAAAAATTATACCTTCAAGTCCTATTTATCAAATTAATGGTGCAATTTCATAGTGACACATTCCACATTCATTAAACCAAGTACAGTAAAAATGCATTTAAATTAGATTAGTGTGATGTAATAAAGATTCCAGTGTGTGGGGGGGTGATAGTCTAGGTGAAGAGAAACACCCAGATCGAGTTGAAAGCAACTTGGAGATAATGCTTCAAAATTGATTTTGGCGCTGGTTTAAGTGAAAAAAATAAGTGATGATGACTCTCTCCTCTAACTGCCTCTGCTTAGCTACTGTCATGCTTTACCATGATAAAGGAAGAAGAACTCAAAGATATTGCACACTCCTCAGACAGAATGCTCAAGAGTTGCTCAGCCAAAGGCTATGGTAGAAGCTTGTCCAAAGCTTTTGAACTGTGACAGCTTTGCACATGATACAAATACTGTACCCATCATCTTCATTAAGTAGTTTACATTTGTGGATGATAAAAAATACCAAGTAACCACAAGAATTATGTTACTGTGCATATTATACTTTTGAAAAATTCAGAAGGGGTTATGTAAGTTGTAACCCATAATATCTCACAAGGTGAGCATGTCACATTTCCAGATTAAATGTTGTGTGTCCACAGCATTTGAGGATGCTTCCTCTTGAGTTCACATAATACAAACATTTGAGTAATAACACTCTTTTAAAATGTGTGCACTTACATAGATTTGCCTGTGCCATTGTGTTGCAAGGCCCTAGGAAGCTTTTAAATGACCTTTGTCCTGAGTTTAACACAGCGCCTAATGCAAATTAGTGCTTAACACATCTTTTCAAGATGATGGAGATTCTTGGAGATTAAGCGAGATGATGTTAGTGAACAAGGTGAGGAAGTATGTAGGCAAACAACAGTCAACTTGTGAGCATGGAGCACTTAAATCTCTAGCAAACAATTTTCTACAACTTTCTTCAAAATTAGGATGCAATCATTCTAAGTTCTGGATGTACTCACACTCCACTGAGCATTAATTTTTATGGGAAAATTATATTTATTTGTAACTTGCTACTTAACGTTTTAAACTCATTGAGTCATTTAACATAAAGACGGCTACATGTGGAAGGGTCTTATCCATGGTAGTCCGATTGTCTGCTCTGCTCTTACAGGCAGTTTGCTTCAGGTTGCCATAAGAAAGTGAAACCATGGCATGGCTTCTAGTATCTGGGCTCAGGTTTACCTCTGCCTCGCCTATGCCCTTGCCTATGCCTGTGACGGCTGACGTCGTTTCTCCCTGCTGTGTGTTTTGCTTAGATTTATAATATATCCTTAATAGTCATTATTGACTGGCTTAGATAATAACTTGTATTGTATAGACAATAAAAGTTTAATGAAAAGGTAGTGAGGACATGGCTCTTCGGTTCAGCCTTCTTTTTCTTTTGTTTAAAATTGAGAGCTTTTATAAAAAATGAAAGGACAGTGCTTGATCTTGGATTGCTGAAAAATATTATTTTCTATTTCTGTTTTTAAAAGCACTGAGATCCAGCACGAGTTCTCTCTGTTGTGGACATGATTGTTCTAAATATCCTGTTAGAAAAACAGATGTTTTGGGAGACAAAGAAGCTCAAAGACCAACAGATGGTAACTTCAGGGCCTGGAACCAAAGGTGGTTCATAGAGGGCTGTAAGAACTCAGATTCCGTGATTTTAGGGAGATGTGCTCTTTGATGCAGGAGACTCCCCTAGGTAAATTGAGGAAGTTAGTTGTGGCCCCAGCACAGAACTATATTTCTTCCATTCTAATCCCTCTTGGCATTCTTTCTTTATCTGTTGCCTGCCAGGATCTAAAATGATAAGGGAATTAAGGCTGTTCTTCATCTACCACACCCTTCCCCGCACTCAGGACAATGTCATAGTAAAGACTTGGCAAAGTTCTCTAGGAATCACAAAGGTCATTTATCTAGGCTAAGTTTAAATTTAATGCTCAAAATACATAAAAATTTAGTATTGTAACTATTCTAACGAGGCTTGATTTCTCCCTGTGGTTCTGCAGGGAAATGTTCTGGCAATTTTGCCCCAGTGAAATGTGAGACAAGGTGCCTAAAATAACTAATACGTTAGCTTTTGAATTTTTAAGGAGGATTTGCTCTGATCCTAGAGAAATGACTACATCTCTCTTTTCTTCAATTTCCTCATCTAAATAAGGGCAGATGCTGCTCATTTGCCCCATGTGATTGTTACAGAGAAAACTATTTAAATTATTCTAAAATACTTTAGAAGTGTAAAGTGCTAGAAAGTGCCAATTAATAGCAATATAGTTCCACTTATAGAAAGGAAAACATTGGTGGAAAAGATAAAGTAACATGATCCTCCTAGAAATGATAGGGGGAGAATTCTAAAATATTCATAGCCAGAAGCTAAGAATTTTCTCTTGGGAAAAGAAAAAGAAAATTTAAAACCTGCTGTTTCCAGTTTCTACTTAGGTTGTGGAGAGTTAGAGGAAGCATCATTCACAACCTAACAACAACACACAACAAGCTGGACAAACTCCAAGGTCACAACTTTTTTGAACTCATCAGAGAGCTAAAATTGCTTGTAACCAACTAGCACAAAACTTAAGGAGACACGGATACATTTGGGAAAGATAGGACCTGAGCACTTGCTTACCTGAGGCAGATACAGACAGACATAAATAAGAAAAATTCATCTAGAATAATTAATGAATTGGCAAAGACTGACTGATGGCTGTGAAGAGACTATGTAGCTCCTTGGGGCCACAGATACAGGAAGAGTTTGCACTAACTTTTCGCCTCTTTTCTATGGACTACACAAAAAGATTGGAGACAGCTCCAAGAAACCATCCCTTGTGGTGCAAGAGGAACAAGCTGTTATGAAAAGAGACAAAGCAGAAGCCTTAAACTACAGGGAGAAAGGCAACATACACTGTCACTCTTAGGGAACTAGAGAAAATTCATTGTAGCTAATGGAGATAAACAGAAAATTACCATCTTCCCCTGGGAGAGAGACAGGATTATGTCCTGGGCACACAACTACAGCTAGAAGGGGGCCAGAGAACTGAGAAAAACCACCCTCCTAAGACCAAGACCAGGGACAGAGTGCCTGCCCAAGACTTCAGCTTAGTTTGCACAACTGAGAACACCTCCTTTCTTCTCCACCATCAGGCTAACAATCTTTGAGGACAAGTAACTAGAGTACTGCTGGCTAAGTTGTAAAAGCATGGGAAGAGATCTTCTCTGAAGCACAGCACAAAGAAAAGACCCAAAGCTGAGGATGGAGTAGACAATTGCCAAACTTCTGAGAAACCTGTCCTCAACCTAAGTGCAGGGTACCAATAGAGAAATTTGAAACTTATGATACACTGATGGTAGTCAAAGCAACAGTGAACACCCAAACCAGCTAAATTCCTAACTAGATTGTCTCAGACTTTTGCACTAAGAACCTCACAGAAAAAATGGATGTCCATTTCCATGCAAAAAAAAAAAAAAACAACAATTTACCTCACTTCAATATTTACTGCCCTACAAGAGATACCAGCCTTTCAACAAAAATTTGTGAAAACCCTTGCATTTGGAAAAGCAAGGAAAAAAATCTCAACATATTACCAAGCCAAGGCAATTAACAGAACCAGGCTCAAATATGATATAAAAGTTAGAATCTAAGACCAAGAATTTTAAATAATTATGATTAACATGTTAAAGATTATAATAGAAAATATATAGAAAAATGCAAGATCAGAAGGGAATTTCAGCAGAGAAGTAGAAACTATAAGAAAAATCAAACAGAAACGTTACAAATAAAAAATACAGTGGCAAGGATGAAAAATGCCTCTGATGGGCTCACTAGTAGACTCATATAGCCAAGGAAAGAATCAGTGAACTTGAGGATAGGTTGATAGAAAAGACCCAAACTAAAAAACAAGGGAAAAAAGAATAATAGCTAAGAATTTTCCAAAATTAATGGCAGAGAAAAAACCACAGATGTAAAAATCTCAACGAAGATTAAGCAAAATTCCAAAAATTGTACATCTAGATATTTTAGGTCCAAGCTTCTTAAAACAAGAAACGAAAAAAAATTTTGAAGGCACCAGAGGAAAAAATATACACTACATGTAGAGGCATTAAAAGTAAGAATTATAGCAGACTTCTTGACAGAGATTATGCAGGTCGTCTGGCAATGGAGTGGCATCTTTTTTTTGTTTGTTTGTTTTTTGTTTTTTTTCTTGTTGTTTTGCTTTTTTTGTATTTTTTTAAATTATACTTTAAGTTTTAGGGTACATGTGCACAACGTCCAGGTTAGTTACGTATGTATACATGTGCCATGTTGGTGTGCTGCATCCATTAACTCATCATTTAACATTAGGTATATCTCCTAATGCTATCCCTCCCCTCCCCTCCTCACCCCACTACAGGCCCCAGTGTGTGATGTTCCCCTTCCTGTGTCCATGTGTTCTCATTGTTCAATTCCCACCTATGAGTGAGAACATGCAGTGTTTGGTTTTTTGTCCTTGCAATAGTTTGCTCAGAATGATGGTTTCCAGCTTCATCCATGTCCCTACAAAGGACATGAACTCATCCTTTTTTATGGCTGCATAGTATTCCATGGTGTATATGTGCCACATTTTCTTAATCCAGTCTATCACTGATAGACGTTTGGGTTGGTTCCAAGTCTTTGCTATTATGAATAGTGCCGCAATAAACATACGTGTGCATGTGTCTTTATAGCAGCATGATTTATAATCCTTTGGGTATATACCCAGTAATGGGATTGCTGGGTCAAATGGTATTTCTAGTTCTAGATCCCTGAGGAATCGCCACACTGACTTCCACATCTTTAACGTGCCGAAAAGAAAACAAATCTGACAATCTAGAATTCTACACATCAGGGAAAATATCTTTCAAAAAATAAAGCAGACATAAATATTTTCTCAGGAAAACAAAAACTGACAGAATTAATTTCCAACACACCTACACTTCAATAGGAGTCAAACAAATTTTTCAGAAACATGGAATATGATACCAGGTAGAAAATTGAATCTATGCAAAGAAACAAAGAGTGCAAGAAATGGACTAAATGAAGGTGATATAGTTTGGATATTTGTCCCCTCAAAATTTTGTATTAAAATGTGATCCCCAATGTTGGTAGTGAAGCCTAGTGAGAGGTGCTTGTGTCATGAGGGCAGATCCCTTATGAATGGCTTAGTGCCCTCCCCTTGGTAATGAGCAAGTTCTCAATCTATTTGTTCACATGAGAGCTGGTGGTTTAAAACATTCTGTCACCTCATTTCCTTACTCTTGCTTCCTTTGTTGCCATGTGACTTGTCAGCTCTCCTTCCCTTCTGCCATGACTAAAAGCTTCATGAGGCCCTCGTCAGAAGTAGATGCTGGCACCATGTTTCTGTACAGCCTGCAGTACCATGAGCCAAATAAACCTCTTTTCTTTATAAATTACTCAGTCTCAGGTATTCCTTTATAGCAATGCAATTTGGACTGACACAGAAGGTAATAGTACAGTTTATTTTACTACCTTTAATTACTCTAAAAGTTACCTGATTATTCAAAACAAAAATAATAACAATGTATTTTGTGTTTAAAGCATATCTAAAAGCAAACTATCTTATACAAATGCTAACAATAGCACAAAGGTTGGGGAGGAGAAATTGAGAATATCCTATTTTAAGGTCTATACACTAATGTGAAACATTGTATTATTTAACAACAACAAAAAAAACCTAGACTGAAAATCAGTAAGGTTACAGAAGGTCTAAACAACACTATCAAACAACGACCTAACTGACATTTACAAAACACTTCACCAACAACATAAAAATTCACATTTATTTCAAGTGCACATGAAAGCAAGATAGACTACATTTTGGGACATAAAACAAACTTTAACAAAATGAAAAGAATAGAAATCATGTAAATTCTATTTTGTAACCATAACTGAATTAAACTAGAAATCAATAACAGAAAGATACTTGAAAAAATTCAAATATTTAAAAATTAAGCATATTTCTTAGGAGAGGTCAAAGCAAAATTTATATATATTTTCAACTGAATAAAAATTAAAATGGAATATATCAAGATTTGTGGAATGCAGCTAATTCAGTTTTTAGATTATAATTTGTAACATTAAATGTTTGTATTAGGCCAGGTGCAGTGGCTCATGCATGCCTGTAAACCCAGCACTTTAGGAGGCCAAGGTGAGTGGGTCATTTGAGCCAAGGAGTTCAAGACTAGCCTGGGCAATATGGCAAAACCCTATCTTTACAAAAACAAACAAACAAACAAACAAACAAACAAACCCCAAAAATTAGCTGGGTGTTGTGGTGCTTGTCTGTAGTCCCAGCTACTTGGGATACTGAGGTGGGAGGATCAACTAAGCCTGGGGAGGTCAAGGCTACAGTGAACTCTGATTGCACCACTGCACTCCAGCCTGGGTGATAGAGTGAAACCCTGTCTCAAAAAAACAAGTTGCACTTAGAGCTTTTATAAACGAATCAACTTTTAGTTGATTAGTCTTAAGTCAACTGATTTTTGATAAAGATGTGAAGGCAGTTTGATAGAAAAAGGATAGTCTTCTCAACAAATGATGCATCAGTTTGCAAGAACATTGGCCCATTCTTCATACTTTATGTAAAAATTAACTAAAAATAGATCACAGATCTAAATGTAAAACAAAATTCTCAAATTTCTGGACTAAAACGTAAGAAAATCTTGGTAATCTTGGTTTAAGCAAAAAGTTCTTAAATTAGGTGACAAAAGCTTGATCCAGAAGAAAAAAAATCGATAAATTGGACTTTATTGAGGTTAAAAATTGTCACTCCAAAAATCATGTAAAGAAAATAAAAATACATGCTAGATCCTTTTTTACAAACCATGTATCTCACAAAAGCTTGTGTACATAATATATTTTTTAAAAAAACTCTTGGCCAGGCTCAGCGACTCACGCCTGCACTTTGGGAGGCAGAGGCAGGTGGATCACTTGAGGTCAGGAGTTCAAGACCAGCCTGGCCAACGTGATGAAACGCCTCCTCTACTAAAAATACAAAAATTAGCTGGGCATGATGACAGGTGCCTGTAATCCAAGCTACTCAGGAGACTGAGGCAGGAGAATCGTTTAAACCCAGGAGGCGGAAGTTGCAGTGAGCCGAGATCGCGCCACTGCACCCCAGCCTGGTTGACAGAGCAAGACTCCGTCTCAAAAAAACAAAAACAAAACAAAACAACAACAACTCTCAAATTCAAGAAGATAAACAACCCGATAAAATGGACGAAACATTTGAACAGCACTTTCCCAAAAAAGATATAGAGATGCAAAAACGCACATTTAAAAAATTCAAAATCATTAAACATTAGGGAAATGCAAATTAAAATGACAGTGAGCTGCCACTATACACCTATTAGAATGGTAAACAAAACAAAATAAAACAAACAAAACAACCCGACAATATCTTATACCAAGTCCTGGCAGGGATGAAAATCAATATAGAGTTCTCATATAATGCTGTATTGAATACAAATTGGTATAGTCGTTTTGGAAAATAATTTGATACTTTCTTATAAAGAAAAACATGCATACATTTACTTTGTGATATGGAAACACATCTAGGCATTTACTCATGAGAAATAAAAACTTATGGCCTCACAAAAACCTGTATTGAATTGTTTACAGCGACTTTATTCATAACCATTAAGAACTGGAAACAAATATCTTTTGACTGGTGAGTGGATAAAGCTTGGTACATGCATACAGTAGAATACTACTCCTCTGCCAATGAAAAAGAGGAGCTATTAATAGACATAAGAGCACTGATAAATCCCACATAAATTGTCACATGACAGAAGCCATCTAAAGGATAGATAACATATGATTCCATTTATATGACATTCTGGAAAAAGAAAATCTGTAGGTAGAGAGTGCAGGTCAGTGAGTCCAGAGATTGAGATGGGAGGTGGGGCTGACTTCAAAGGAGCAGTACCAGGGAGCTTTTCGGGTAGTAGAACAGTTTTTTTTTAATCATGACTGTGGTGGTGAACATACAACTTGATACATTGTCAGCACTCATAGTATACCACAAAGTGTAAATTTCAGTGTGTGAAAATGTTCTTAAAAAAAGAAATGAGTCCTGACAAACCTCCTAAGTGCACAACTATATCTGGTGATACACAAACAACACACTTGAGTAAATTGTCGCAATAGTAAGGTATTAGATGGAATTATGAGGGGAGCAGGCATATGTCCTTCTCTATAATGCCTCTGATAATAAGAAAGGCGGCAATTTACCCCAAGACCCCCAGAAACATGCAGTTGTAGTTAAGGAGGAGATGGAAAAGAAATAACATTTAATGAGTACTTTTTTAATACCGTGTGTTTTGCTAGATGCTTACTTATATAGAGTAACGGATTCATTTCTCACTGTGACCCCAAGGTATCATTATTTCCACTTTACAGATGAAGAAACGAGGGCAATGAGTGGCTAAATAACATACTCAAATTTGTTGGTCTTTCTTAGCTATTGTTATGATTTCTTTCTCTGGAAGCTATAGAGTCTGCATAGGGTCACAACAAATTTTAAAATAGATTGTAGGCAATAGGGATCTCTCATTCTATTGCAGCATGTTGCTCTTCATACTCAATATTAAATACTGCTTAATACAATTTAAAAAATTTTTCACTTAAACATTCGTAAGTGAATAAAGTATAAAATACTTTATTTTATAAAGAATAAAGTTGGATTAAGACTTACATGACTTATAAAATTCATCCCTCATGGTTTGTTTCTGCAAGTGTTCAGAGATTTAGAAATGTCTTGCTTATTCTAGACAAGGATTAAAAAAACCACATGGGGAAAAAAGTACCACTTTCTTAAAAACAGAGAAAAGGGCTTGATGTCAGAATAGGGAGGGTTAGAATTTAATTAAAATTGATTTTGGCTGAGTACAGTGGCCCACGCCTGTAATCCCAGCACTTTGGGAGGCCGAGGTGGGAGGATCGCTTGAGCTGAGAAGTTCAAGACCGGTCTGGGCAACATAGAGATACCCCATCTCTAAAAATAAAATAATAATAAAATTGATCTCACTGGGCTGAAATATTATTCATATTTTTCCCTTTCTATGATAACTATTGTAATATTTATCTGGTATTTGACCATTTTATACTACCTTCAATTAAAGGGATCTCCTGAGTATAAAATTTAATAAATGTCTAAAACCAACAAATACTTAAATAGAAATGTTACATTCTTGAACACAAAGACAATACTTCAAAGTCTATAAGAAATTGTGCAAGATGGCTGACTAGAGGTACTTAATAATTGTCCCCACCACCCTCCAAAACAAAGCAAAGCAACGACACCTACATTTTGACCAGAGGGATAAAAGGAAAGTACTGAAATAAAGCAAGGGAATGGCAGAAACCTGTGGAGCGTGGAGAAGGGAAGGAAACGCCTTGTTTCTGCCACTCATTCCTCCCAGCTGGGATCAGCTCAGAACCAGGAGGGACTTCTCCCTGTTGGAAAGGTAAGCAGGAATCCCCCAGTGGTCTGCATCACCACTTTGGACACCTGAAGGTCTTTGCTACTAGAGAATCCTGCAGTGGTTACAGGCTCTGGGCTCAGCTCACATAGCTGCAATATCCCAGAGAAGGAGCCTACCTTCTGTCCTGCTCCCTGTGGCCCAGGCTGCTATGGCACAGTGCCATCTTGAAACCAGATGCCCCTGCATCCCATTTCAGGGACCAGTAGCCACTGTATTCCCCTCAGCCTTGAGCTTCTGCCATCATTGCACCATGCTTTCATACATACGATAGTATATCATTTCCTAGCTGCGCTGCTGCAGCTCTCTACCTCTGGGTCAAGCTGCCTCAGAAGGACTTCATTTCCCCTAGTCAAGTTGTGACTAGGCTTTCTCCCTACCAACTTGGAGCTTACGCCCAGTGGAATATCCTCCCCTGCCATCCCCTTCCTCATCTGGCCTAAACCAGCCCAGTGCCTAGCCCTCACAAGAATCCACATGTCGGCTTAGGGGAGCATCTGTGACATGGTGCCCAAGACCATGAGGCACTCTGCTTCTCAGGGGACCAGGAGCCCCAGCCCAGTGAAGAAGTACCACTTTCTTGGAGCCTGAGCCAACCTGTGCACTGACCCTAAGGAGACCCAGGAGTCAGCCTAGTAGAACACCTGTGCTCCTAGGTACCCCAGCTGATCGGGCATTCCACCTGCAGGGAGATAGAGCTTTGGCTGGGTCGTACCACACTACCCTCTGAGCCACATAATCCCAGTGCCGTACTTTATGGGATCTGGGCCAGCTCTCTGGAGTCTGAGCTGCTGAGGTGTCCCACCTCCCTAGGGAGTGGTGTTATCCATGTGCTACTCTCCATAACATAGAGACCAAACCATAGCTGCACCCCACCATTCCTAGATCCTTGTTGCCACTACACCCAACCTTGAAGAGCCTGGACCACTTTTGTGTCATACCACCCGACTCCAGAGATACCACTACACTATCATTCCTCTCCTGGGACCCAAGTTGCCACTGTGCCCTGTTGGCTCTGTGACCTGAATGGCAGCTGTCCTCTGATTCCCCAGACCTGAGCCTTTGGGATACTCCTTCTACTTCAACCTTTGCCAGTGCTGCACTTTTACCCCCAGGATCAAAGTCACAACTACATCCTTGCCCCCTGGGTCCGAGCTAACTGGGAGTGCCTCACAGTTACAGTCCCTAGCTTTATAGGAGAGCTGCATTCACCCATGCCTCAGAGAGTGAACCTGCACCCATGTCACAGATACCACAGTAGTTTAGCAGGATACTGAGCCCAGCACCCCAGTTCCACAGCCATTCTGGGCATCTGTTCCCTGGAACACAACACTGCTGTGGCTGCTTGTGGGCTGTGTCAGACCTTACACCAAGAGGAATTTCCCCAGTGATGTCTGTCCACTGTGGGGAAAACAGAATAGACAGACCTCTAAAGTCCTTGCCACCAAGAACATATGCTGCCACCATTGCTGCCACAAACTCCTACAACCTAGGCCATTAATGTAGTTGCAGTCATTGCTGACATTGATCACAGCTGAAGAAGCTGCCTGGAGACTACACTACTGCACCCTTCCAGAATCAGAGCCAACACACTCAGCCATACCAACACCTTAGGGCCCATGTGCAGGTGAAACCCTTTCTCTGTGAAAGCCACTCTATAAATTTGGAAGAGGTAGAAGTCAGATACACAGACATCAATGCAGGGACAAAAGAAATACGAAAAAGCAAGGCAACATGACACCACCAGAGAGACATAATAATTTTCCAGTAACTGACTCCACAGAAACAAAAATTCATGGATTTCCTAAAAGGAATTCAAAATAATGATCTTAAGGAAATTCAGTGAGATAGAAGAGAGTGCAAAAAGAAAATTCCATGAAATCAGGAAAACAATTCATGATCTGAATGAGAAACTCAACAGAGTTAGATATCATTAAAAAGAACCAAACAGAAATCTGGAAGCTGAAGAGCTCAGTAAATGAAATATAATGTATAGTACGGAATTTCAGCAGTAACAGTAGAAGAAAGATCAAGCAGAAAAAAGAATCTGTGAACTTAAAGACAGGTCTTTTGAAATAGTTCAGTCAGAGGACAAAGTTTAAAAAAAAGAGTGAAGAAAGCCTATGGTACTTATGGGACACTATAAAGCAAATGAATGCTCACATTATGAGGGTTCCATAACGAGAAGCAATGGAGAAAGTCACAGAAAGCTTATTTAACAAACTAATTCCTGAAAGCTCACAGGTCTTGGGAGAGACATAGATATACAAATCCATGAATCTCAAAAGCCTCAAACAGGATCAACCTAAAGAAGTTCTCACAGAGGCATATTATAAATAAAAGTGTCAAAAGTCAAAGACAAAGAAATAATTTTAAAAGCAGCAAAGAAAAGCATCAAGTGACATACACGGAAACCTCCATTAGACTATCCATGGATGTCTCAGCAGAAAACCTTGCAGGCCAGGAGAGAATGGGATGATATATTTAAAGTTCTGAAGAAAAAAAAAAAAGAGGAAAAAACCCTCAAAACCGCATAGCCAAGAATACTATATCCAGCAAAACTTTTCATCAGAAATAAAGGAAAAATACTCTTTCTCAGACAAACAAAAGCTGAAGAAATGTATCATCAGTAGACCTGCCTTGCAAGAAATGCTTAAAGGAAATCTTCAACCAGAAATAAAAAGATGATAATCAGTACCAAGAAAACATATAAAAGTATGAAACATTGGTAGAGGTAAATACATAGTCAAAATCAGAATACTCTATCACTGTAATGGTGGTGTGTAAACCTTTTTTCTTTCTTTCTCTGAGATGAGATCTTGCTCTGTCACCTAGGCTGGAATTGAGTGGTATGATCTCAGCTCACTGCAACCTTTGCCTTCTGGGCTCAAGCAATCCTCCCAACTCAGCCTCCACAGTAGCTTGGACCACAGGAACATGCCCAAATCTTTCAGATCTCTAGTATGAATGCTGAAAGTCAAAATAGCCAAAAATATAGCTATATATATATAATAAGTTATTAAAGAATATACAATATACAGTGGTGTAAGTGGTAAGAGGAGGGTAAAAGTCTAGAGTATCTGTATGCAACCAAAGTTTTGTTGTTAGTAGCTAAAAATAGTGTATTAAAACTATAAGACGTTTCAGGTAAGCCTTATAACAACTGCAAAACAAAAAGCTATAGCAGGTACACAAATGAGAAAGAGAAAAGAATTAAAGTTTAGCACTACAGAAAAACACCAAACTACAAAGATAGACAACAAGAGAGGAAAAAATGAAGAGAGGATATACAAAACAACAAGAAAACAATAATAAAATGTCAGGAGAAAGTATTTGTCTATCAAAAATAATATTGAATGTAAATGGATTAACTTTCTTTTTTTAAAGTAATTTTTTTTATTATAAATTCTAGGGTACATGTGCACAACGTGCAGGTTTGTTACATATGTATACATGTGCCATGTTGGTGTGCTGCACCCATTAACTCGTCATTTACATTAGGTATTTCTCCTAATGCATCCCTCCCCCCTCCCCCCACCCCATGACAAGCCCCAGTGTGCGATGTTCCCCACCCTGTGTCCAAATGTTCTCATTGTTCAGTTCCCACCTATGAGTGAGAACATGTGTTGTTTGATTTTCTGTCCTTGTGATAGTTTGCTGAGAATGATGGTTTCCAGCTTCATCCATGTCCCTACAAAGGACATGAACTCATTCTTTTTTATGGCTGCATAGTATTCCATGGTGTATATGTGCCACATTTTCTTAATCCAGTCTATCATTGATGGACATTTGGGTTGGTTCCAGGTCTTTGCTATTGCAAATAGTGCCACAATAAACATACGTGTGCATGTGTCTTTATAGCAGAATGATTTATAATCCTTTGGGTATATACCCAGTAATGGGTTGGCTGGGTCAAATGGTGTTTCTAGTTCTAGATCCTTGAGGAATTGCCACACTGTCTTCCACAATGGTTGAACTAGTTTACAGACCCACCAACAGTGAAAAAGTGTTCCTATTTCTCCACATCCTATCCAGCACCTGTTGTTTCCTGACTTTTTAATGATCGCCATTCTAACTGGTGTGAGATGGTATCTCATTGTGGCTTTGATTTGCATTTCTCTGATGGCCAGTGATGATGAGCATTTTTTCATGTGTTTTTTGGCTGCATAAATGTCTTCTTTTGAGAAGTGTCTGTTCATATCCTTTGCCCACTTTTTGATGGGGTTGTGTGATTTTTTTTCTTGTAAATTTGTTTAAGTTCTTTGTAGATTCTGGATATTAGCCCTTTGTCAGGTGAGTAGATTGCAAAAATTTTCTCCCATTCTGTAGGTTGCCTGTTCACCCTGATGGTAATTTCTTTTGCTGTGCAGAAGCTCTTGAGTTTAATTAGATCCCATTTGTCTATTTTGGCTTTTGTTGCCATTGCTTTTGGTGTTTTAGTCATGAAGTTCTTGCCCATGCCTATGTCCTGAATGATATTGCCTAGGTTTTCTTCTAGGGTTTTTATGGTTTTATGTCTAACATTTAAGTCTTTAAGTAAATGGATTAACCTTCTAATCAAAAGACCTAGAGTAGCTTAACGGATTAAAAAGGAAGATTCAATTATATGCAGCATACAGGAGATCCATTTCAGCTTAAAAGACACTCAGACTATAAGTGAAGGGATGGAAGAAGAAATTTAACATCTGGGTCATGTAAACAGTACCCAGAAGAGAGTAGGAATTGCTGTACTGATATCAGATAAAATAGACTTTAAGTCAAAAAATGTCACAAGAGACAAAAAAGGTTTTACTGTTTAATATTTATTTATAATAAATCATTTAATTATAATAAATTATTATTTAATAATAAAGGAGTCAATTATTCAAGAAGATATAGCAATTGAAAATTTATATTTATCCAACATTGGCAAACATATGTATATGTAAATAGGCATAAGGATAGAGATAGATAGCAATACAATAATAGTATTGTTGTATTAGTAATAGTACCCCACTTTCAATAGTGGATAGATCAACTAGACTAAAAATTAACAGGTAAGTACTGGGCTTGAACTGCACTTAAGATCAAATGGACCTTACTGACAAATTTAGAACTTTCCATCCAACAGCAGCAGGATATGTATTCCTATCTAGTGCACATGTAACATTCTCCAGATAGACTATATGTTAGACCACAAAGCTAGTCTTAAAGAATTCAAGAAGATTGAAAAAGCATCTAGTATTGTTATTGACAACAACGGTATGAATTGTGGTCAATATTTAGTATCAGTAAAGAAGGAATCTTAGAAAATTCACAAATATGTATAAATTAAATAATATGCCCCTGAACAACCAATGGGTCAAAAAAGAAATCAGAACAGGAATTTAAAAAATATTTTGAGACAAGTGACAATGGAAACACAACAAACTAAAACCTATGGGATGTGGAAAAATCATTCTAAGAGGAAAGTTTATAGCAATAAATGCCTACATTAAAAATGGAAAAGTATCTAAAATACATAACCTAATATTATGCCTGAAGGAGCTAGGAAAAGAACAAACTATACCTAAAGCTAGCAAAAGGAAGGAAATCATAAATATCAGAACAGAAATATCAAATAGAGAATTAAAAAATCCAGAAAAATTAATAAAACCAAAAGTTGAATATTTCAAAAAACAAAATTGACAAACCTCTAGTGATACTAATATGAAATAAAGAGAGAATACTCAAATACATGAAACCAGACACCTGATTTTACAACAGACATCTCAGAAATTAAAATAATCTTAAGGGACTATTATGAACAATTATATGCCAACTGAGTGGATTACCCAAAGCAAATAAATAAATTTCTAGAGAAATGTTACTTACCAAGATTGAATCAGAAGCAAATAGAAAACTTCAACAGACCAATAACAAATAAAGTCCAGGTACTTAAAAACCTTCCAACAAGAAAAGACCCGGACCAGATGGCTTAATGGCTGAATTCTACCAAATATTCAAAGAAGAATTATTATCAATATTTTATAAACTCTTCAAAAAAAAGAAAAACAGAGCTAGAGGGAATACTTCCGAACATATTTTGCAAGACAAGTATCATCTTGACACCCAAGCCAGACAAAGACACTGCAAAGAAAGAAAACTACAAATCAGGATCTCTGATGAAATATGATGCAAAAATCTTCAATAAAATATTAGCAAACTGAATTCAACAACACATCGAAAGGGTTATACATTATGACCAAGTGGGATTTATCCATGGCATGGAGGTTAGTTAAGTATATGCAAATCAGTCAATGTGATATACCACATTAATAGAATGAAAGATTAAAATGACATGATTATCTCAAATGACATATAAAAAGCATTTTTACAAAGTTTAAAATTCTTTCTTGGTAAAAACTCTTAACAGTTTAGGTATAGAAGGAAAATTTTTCTTTCTTAAAGTAAAGGCCATTTATTAAAACACACACACACACGCACACACACACACACACACAAACACCCCTAACATTGTAATCAACAGGGAACAACTGATAATTTTTCCATTAAGATCCAGTATAAGCCAAGGATGCCCACTCTCTTCACTTCTGTTCAACATAGTACTGGAAGTACTAGCAAGAATAATGAGACAAGAAAGAGAGAAAAATCATTAAAATTAGAAATGAAAGAGTAAAATTATCTCTATTTGCAGATGACATGATCCTACATGAAGGAAACCCCAAAGATGCCACAAAAAAACTAATAGAACTAATGAATTCAGTAAGGCTGCAGGATAAAAAAATCAATATAAAAATAGTAGTATTTCTATACACACACAAATAATGACCTAGCTGAAAAAGAATCTTTTTTCAAAATCCCATTATGATAACATCCAAAAAATTTAACCAAGGAAGGGAAATCTTTGTACACTGAATACTGATGAAAGAAATTGAAGAAGACAAAAATAAATGGAAAGATACCTTGTGTTCATGGATTGGAAAAATTAATATTGTTAAAATGTCCATACAACCCAAGTAATATACAGATAAAATGCAATCACCATCAAAATCCTGTTATTTTTCACAGAAATAGAAAAATATCTTAAAATTAATGTATAATCACAAAAAGCCGTGAATACCCAAAGCAATACTGAAAAGGCAAAGTTGAAAATATATATCACAATTTAAAATTATACTACAAAGCTATAGTAATTAAAACAGTACAATACTGGCATAAAGACAGAAACATACACCAAAAGAACAGAATAAAGCACCCAGAAATAAGTCCAAACATAAACAGTGAACAAATTTTTGACAAGTTCACCAAAAGGACACAATGGGAAAAGGATAGTCTCTTCAATAAATAGTCCTTGGAAAACTGGATTTCCACATAAAAAAGAATAAAACTGGACCCTTATCTTACCCCAGACAGAAAAATAAAATCAAAATGGATAAAAGACCTAAGTGTAATATATGAAAACCATAAAACTTTTAGAAGAGAACATAGGGGAAAAGCTCCTTGATACTGGCCTTGGCAATGATTTTTTAGATATCACACCAAAAGCTCAGGCTACAATAGCAAAAGCAAATAAATGCGACTATATCGAACTAAAAAGCTTCTGGCCATCAAAGGAAACAACCAAAAAAAATAAAAAGGCAACCTGTACACTGAGAAAAAATATTTGCAAACCACATATCTGATAATGTGTGTATACCCAAAATCTGTAAAGAATGCTTATAACTCAAAGTGGAAAAGTAAATAACCCAATTCAAAAATGGGCAAAGGACCTGAATAGACATTTCTCTAAAGAAGACATAAAAATGGTCAACAGGTATATGAAAACGTTCTCATCATCACTAATCATCAGGGAAATGCAAATTAAAACCACTATGTGCTATCACTTCACACCTGTTAAGATGGCTATTATAAAAAACACAAGAGATAACAAGTGTTGGGGAGGGTATGGAGAAAAAGAACCTAGCACCCTGTCAGTGGGAATGTAGATGGGTATGGTTATTATGGAAAAACGGTATGGAGGTTTCTAAAGAAATTAAAGATAGAACTACCATATGACCCAGCAAACCCTCTTCTGAGCATATACCCAAAGAAAATAAAATCACTGCCTCATAAAAATATCTGCACTCCCCTGTTTAGTGCAGCGTTATTCACAATAGCTAAGATACAGAAATAACATAAAGTGTCTGTCCATTGATGAATGGATAAAGAAAATGTATATATGCAATAGAATATTATTCAGCCTTAAATAGAATGAGGTCCTACCAATTTCCACAATATGAGTGAACCAGGAGGATATTATGCTAAGTGGAATGATCCACACACAGAAAGAAAAATATTGCATGATCTCACTTATATATGGAATCTAAAAAAACAGAAAAGATGTCAAATATACAGAAATAGAGAATGAAACAGTGGTTGCCAAGAGCTGGGGTGAAGGTGGGGAGAAGTGTGGAAAAGGGGAGACATAGGTCAAAGGATGCAAAGTGGGAGATATGTAGAATAAAGAAGTCTAGACATCTCATGTACAAAATGAGGACTACAGTTAATTAAATTATATTAGATTAGGATTTTTTGTTAAATAAGTAGATTTTAGCTACTTTTGCTAAAAAGAAAAAGTAACTATGTGAGATGAGAAGTATATTAATTTATTAATTTGCTTCATGATTGTAACCATTTCACTGTCTCTCTATATCTATTTTATAACATCATATGGTATACCTCAAATATGCACAATAAAATTTATTTTTCAAGTATGTAAGAAATTAATATATAATAAAGACTATATTCCTAAATATTCTATAAAAAAGTAATTGTTCAGTAATTGGTTTTTAGACCAGCTTGGGAGAAAAAATTCAGATCAGAACCCCACATGTCAAGTAAGTTCCAAAAGAATTGAATATTCAACTATAATGAAGAAAGAAAAATGTACTAGGAAATTATTAGTCTCTTGAGAATGAGGGAGGCCTTTCTAAGTATGACTATGACATCAAAAGCAGAAATGAAAAGGAAAAAAATGATAGTGTCAACTACATATAAATGTAAAACTTCCATAAATCAAAATCTTTATAAACTAAATTAAAAGAAAAATGCCTAGCAGAGAAAAAAACACCTGCAACATATAGGGCAGAAAAAGTGTTGATATCCCAAATGTTAACATTCCAAACAGTATAGACATAAACAACCTACTAGAAAAAAATGGCAAAAAACTTAAGTAAAAGTTACATAAAAGAATATAACCAGCTAATCAATATATGAAAAAATTGTCTTACACTAAATACATAGAAATTTAAAAATAAAAAAATTTAAAGTTTAAATTTAAGATCCCTTTGGACTTTATCACATTGGTGAATAATAATTATAAATATCCAGGTGTGGCAAGTGATATGGTTTGGCTGTGTCCCCACCCAAATCTCATCTTGAATTAAAGTTCCCATAATCCCCACGTGTCGTGGGAGGGACCAGGTGGAGATAGCTGAATCATGGGGGCAGTTTCCCCCATCCTGTTCTTGTGCTAGTGAGTTAGTTCTCATGAGATCTGATGCTTTTATAAGGGACTTCCCCACTCACTGGGCACTCATTCTCTCTCCTACCACCCTGTAAAGAGGAGCCTTCACCATGACTGTAAGTTTCCCAAGGCCTCCCCAGCCATGTGGAACTCTTTCCTTTATAAATTACCCAGTTTCAGGTATGTCTTTATTTGCAGCATGAGGATGGACTAATATAGCAAATTGGTACTGGGAGAGTGGGGCTCTGCTATAAGGATACCCGAAAATGTGGAAGCAACTTTGGCCCTGGGTAACAGGCAGAAGTTAAAACAGTTTGGAGGGCTCAGTGGAAGACATGAAAATATGGGAAAGTTTGGAACTTCCCAGAGACATGGGCCTCAGAAGATAGAACAATGTGGGAAAGTTTGAAACTTCTTAGAGGCTTGTTAAATGGCTTTGATCAAAATGCTTATAGTGATATGGACAATGAAGTCTATGCTGAGGTGGTCTCAGATGGAGAGGAGGAACTTGTTGGGAACTTGAGCAAAGGTGACTGTTGCTATACTTTACCAAAGAGACTGGCAGCATTTTGCCCCTGCCCTAGAGATCTGTGGAACTTTGAACTTGACAGAGATGATTTAAAGTATCTGGTGGAAGAAATTTCTAAGTGGCAAGGCATTCAAGAGGAAGCAGACAATGAAAGTTTGGAAAATTTTCAGTCAGATGATGCAATAGAAAAGAAAAAACCATTTTCTTTCTTTCTTTTTTTTTTTTTTGAGACGGAGTCTTGCTCTGTTGTCCAGGCTGGAGTGAAGTGGCGTGATCTCAGCTCACTGCAACCTCCACCTCCAGGGAAAAACCCATTTTCTGGGGAGAAATTCAAGCCCGCTGCAGAAATTTGCATAAGGAATGAGGTGCCGAATGTTAATCACCAAAACAATGGGGAAAATGTCTCCAGGGCACGTCAGAGATCTTTACAGCAGCCCTTCCCATCACAGGCTTAGGAGGGAAAAATGGTTTCCTGGGCCAGGCCCAGAGCCCCTCTGCCATGTGCAGCCTTGGGATTTGGTGTCCTCTGTCCCAGCCGTGCCATCCATGGCTAAAAGGGGCCAATGTACAGCTCAGGCCATTGCTTCAGAGGATGCAAGTTCCAATCCTTGGCAGCTTCCATGTGATGTTAGTCTGTGGGTGCACAGAAGTCAAGAATTGAGGTTTGGGGACCTCCACCTAGATTTCAGAGGATATATGGAAATGCCTGGATGTCCAGGCAGAAGTTTGCTGCAGGGGCAGAGTACTCATGGAGAACGTTTGCTAGGGCAGTGCAGAAGAGAAATGTGGGGTGGGAGCTCCCACACAGAGTCCCCACTGGGACACTGCCTAGTGGAGCTGTGAGAAGAGGGCCACCATCCTCCAGACCCCAGAATGGTAGATCCACCAACAGCTTGCACTGTACGTCTGTAAAAGCCACAGACATTCAATGCTGGCCTGTGAAAGCAGCCAGGAGTGAGGCAGTACCCTGCAAAGCCACAGGGGCAGAGCTGCCTAAAGCCATGGGGGCCTACCTTTTCATCAGCATGATCCGGGTGTGAGACATGGAGTCAAAGGAGATCATTTTGGAACTTCAAGGTTTAATGACTACCCTATTAGATTTTGGAATTGCATGGGGCAATTCCAAAAACAAAGGGGTAGCCCCTTTGTTTTGGCCAATTTCTCCCATTTGAAATGGGTGTATTTACCCTATGCCTATACCCCCATTGTATCTAGGAAGTAACTAACTTGCTTTTGATTTTAAAGGCTCATAGGTGGAAGGCACTTGCCTTGTCCTTTCCACCTATGAGCCTTTAAAATCAAAAGCAAGTTGGATTTGGACTTTTGAGTTAATATTGGAATGAATTAAGACTTTGGGGGACTGTCGAAAGGGCATGATTGTGTTTTGAATTGTGAGGACATGAGATTTAGGAGGGGCTGGGGGTGGAATGATATGTTTTGGTTGTGTCCCCACCTAAATCTCACCTTGAATTTTAGTTCCCATAATCCCCACATGTCATGGGAAGGACCAGATGAAGATAATTGAATCATCCTTTTCTCTGGTAGTGAGTTAGCTCTCAAGAGAGCTGATGGTTTTATAAGGGGCTTCCCCCTTTGCTGGATACTCATTCTCTCTCCTGCCACCCTGTGAAGATGTGCCTTCTGCCATGGTTGTAAGTTTCCTGAGGCCTCCCCAACAATGTGGAACTGTGAGTCAATTAAACCTCTTTTCTTTATAAATTACCCAGTCTCAGGTATCTTCATTAGCAGTGTGAAAACAGACTAATACAGCAAAGATTTAAGTGAAACAACATTCTCATTTATTACTACAGAGGACAAACGTGAAAACAAGTTTTTACATGGACATTTGAAAAAACATTTTAAAAGCCTTAAATACTGCATAGTTTTGACTCAGAAACTTCAGTTTTAGGAAGCTTTCCGGAGGAAATCGACAATCTGGGGCAAGATTTCCCTATGTTCGTTGCATTACCGTCACTAATAGCAAAATGTGAAAATAGCCTATATACCTTACAATGGGACATTGGTTGAATAATTTATTGTCTATATGTGGAACACTTTCAGCAATTTGCTGGAGCTGGCTCATACTAGCTTGCAAGTGTCAACTGCTAAAACTTCAGGAATTTTACAAGGCAGTTGTTGAACTGTTAGTAGCTTGAAATCAACCATGGTGGGAATATTTACACCATGGAAATCAGAAAATGCTACAAATTCAGGCTGGTTTTATCCCTTGGAGAGCTAGTTCATAAATATCTACCAGCATATTACTGCCTTACATCTATTAGTAATGATATTTGTATAATACTAAATGACAAGAGAAAATGTTTACTATATTTTATGTGAGGATGATAGCATCTAAAACAATATGTATAAATCCAGTTACTTAAAAAACATAGGAAAAAGACTGGAATATGAGCCATGTTTTATTTTCTGAGTGGTTAGATTAAATATACTTATTTTCAGCCAGGTGTGGTGGCTCTTGCCTGTAGTCCTAACATTTTGGGAGACCAAGGTGGGCGGATCACTTGAGCTATGGAGTTCAAGACCAGCCTGGGAAGCATGGTGAAAACCTACCTCCACAAAAAAAAAATTAGCCAGGCATGGTGGTGCACATTTATAGTCCCAGCTACTTGGGAGGCTGAGGCAGGGGGATTGTTTGAGCCCAGGAGGTGGAGGTTGCAGTGAGCCGAGATCATACCACTGCACTTCAGCTTGGGTGGCAAAGCCATACCCTGTCTCCAAAAAATATATATATTTTTAATATAATACAATATTATTATATATAATATATATAATAAAATATTACTTTATATAATATAGAATTATAAAATATATGTTAATATGTAATACTTATTATATATAAATACATATGTTCAACATATGTGAATTTTCTATGTGGAACATGTGATATTTTGTAATAAAAAGTTTTTTATTGAGAGAAAAGTTTTTGATGCTCTTGACTGTTATTGTGTTACTGCTAAATAACACTATGAAACTCCCTATAATAATTTAGAGCAGAGATTAGCAAACTACAATCTATGGGCCAGGTCCAGCTTGCCAGCTGTTTCAGTGAAGTTTTATTGGAACGCAGACATGCTTATTTGTTGTCGTATTGTTTGCAGTTGCTTTTGCACCATACATGGCAGAATTTAGTGGTTGTACGGAGACCATGTGGCCAAAAATTACCTCAAATATTTGCTGTCTGGCCGTTAATAGAAGGGGTTTGCAACCACTGCTCTCGACATGCCTTGGGCTGCCTGCTCAGCCCTGCTTCTACTTCATTTAAGGAATCTGTTCTCTCTCACAGCCCCTCCTGAGTGGGGTTGCCCAAGTTCATCCCCTTTCCCAGGTCATGACTGACTGGACTAAAGAAGGGAACTTGACTCTACCACTGACCATTCTGTTTTTGTTTTTTTTGGAGACAGGGTCTCACTCTGTCACCCAGGCTGCGAGACCGGAGTGAGATTTTAGCTCACTGCAACCTCCACCTTCCAGGCTCAAGCAATCCTCCCACCTCAGCCTCCTGAGTAACTGGGACTACAGGCACGTGCCTGGCTAAATTTTTTGTATTTTTAGTAGTGATGAGGTTTTGCCATGTGGCCAGGCTGGTCTCAAACTCCTGGGCTCAAGCAATCTGCCCGCCTCATGCTCCTAAATTGTTGGGATGACAGGCATGAGCCACTGTGTCCAGCCCTATGACTGACTATTCTTAAACTGGCTTGTTTTCTACAACTTATGTTGTAGAAATTCTTTTTGGAGAATTTTGTGTTGGGAAATCAGCAAACTGTTTAAAGTAGTCACAGAGGCTGCAGCTAGGACCCAAAAGCAATCGCAGGCTTAAGGTCTATGCAAACTGAATCTACTGAGACAGCTGGAAGACAGAGAGAAAAAAAAAAGCCCAAGTGGAGCCCAGATAGGAATCATGCAATGAGCAAGACCGCATGGTGTCTGAAAAGAGAGAGAAGACCTGGTTCCTTCTTCTAGAGTTCTTTGTTTTTGTTCCTATGAAGCAGAGTTACACTTTGGTTCTTGTATATAAATGTCTGTCAGGTTTCCCATTTTTAATATTTTTAAAACTTCCCTCTTCTTGAGCTAGAATTGAGTGTAATCAGATGAGCCTTGAATAGATAACATACTCTTAGAGGTACATTAGGACTCATAGAAAAAGTTTATTGTTTCTGAATGAATATAATTTGTCAACCATGATTAATAAAAGTAGGTAATTTACCTATATGATAATGACTTGTGTGTCATAACAGCAAAAAAGTCACAATAAAAATAATTTTATTACTGCTAATATACCGTTTAGATTTGTATTAAAACCCACTGCATGGTGAATGCTCCCACTGCATGGTGATAGGAATGGGTATTTAAGCTTGTTAAATATGCACTTTAAGATGTCTTTGATACAGAAAAACCTGTGCAAGAGAATTTGAAGCTTATCTTCTCTGAAAAGTCAGTAGCTCCCAAATTTCTCATTTCTTACCTCTAGATTACCTAGAGTGATCTAGTCCAGGGGTGTCCAACCTTTTGGCTTTCTTGGGCCACATTGGAAGAAGAACTGTCTCGGGCAACACATAAAATACACTACCATTAACAATAGCTGATGAGCTAAGAAAAAAAATCACATAAAAAATTTCATAATGTTTTAAGAAAGTTTATGAATTTGTGTTGGGTCACATTCAAAACCATCCTGGGACACATGCAGCCCATGGGCCATGGATTGGACAAGGTTGATCTAATCTAATAGTTGAACATTGGTTTGTCCAAACTTCTGAATTCTTTTGATTTCCGATCTAATGCTGTCTTAGTCCATTTTTGTGACTACAACAGGATATCTTAGACTAGGTGGCTTATAAACAACAGAAATTTATTTATGACAGTTCTGGAGGCTGGAAAGTCCAAATCATGGTGCCAGCAGATTTGGTGTCTGCTAAGGGCCATTCCCGGGTCATAGACAATCGTCTTCTTGCTGTGTCTCTCACATGGCAGAAGGGGTGAAGGAACTGTCACAGGTCTCTTCTATGACAGCACAATCCCATTCATGAGGGCTCTGCCAAAGGCCTCACCTCCTATTACCATCACACTGGGGATTAGGATTTCAGCATATGAATTTTTGGGGAACACAAACATTCAGTCTTCAGCAGGTGGCAAATGCATTCCCTTAATTTGCACTACTCTTTGTCTATTTCTTCTACAACAAATTTGAAAAAGGAGAAATGGGATTTTGAGATGTAAAGATGCAGCTGTTCTAATTGTAAAAGCAGAGATAAAAGCAGAGCCAAGCCACAGTAAGGAGAATGTAAAATGCTCACCTGAGAGTAGAAGAAGGGATGTACCCACTGAAACCGTAATATTCTGGGCACATGCAATGGCCATGGTAAAACCAAAAACATTACGGGCTTTTAAAAGCAAGCTGGTTAGCATGTGTGTGTGTGAGCAGACTGTGTTTGTGTGTGTGTGTGTGAAGTGCACAGTGGAGGTAGAGAGGAGGAGTCAGATATGTTTATATGGCTTTTTAATTTACAATTTTCAAAGATATTCTTGTGATGCACCGTTACAGAGCATCTCTCATGTGCTAGGCCCTGGCTATACTGGTTTATAAAATGTGCTTCCTGCCCTTGGGGAACTTACAATCTGGCAAGTGAAACAAACACATCAATAATTAACAGATAACTAGCATTCCACTGGCCAAGTGAACACACAACTGTGGGAACACAGAGGGACCATTTATTGTCCTAAAGGGAGTGGGAGGTGAAGAGTGTTAGAGAAAGCTCCTTGGAGGTTGGCTTTCAAAAAATGAGTAAGATTTCACTTGACATAAAAATGGGGCAAAGTCATTCTAGACAGATGGGACAAAAGCACAGACAACAAGGTTGGGTAAGGCCCTGGCCCACTGCTGTGGTTTGTCAGGAGATAAAAAGTGTTAGTAAGCAGTTCAGATCCAAGAGCAACAATGTATCCAAGGCAAAGTAAGGGTCCAAAGGGCAGCAAAGGAGTGCAAAAAGCCAGCCATCCAACAAACTAAAACCCAGCCATTTCTACTGCCTTTTAACACCATGAACAAAGTAAGACATGATCAGCTTTACTAAAATCCAAGTATGCCCTGGTCGTTTATTTGAACACGGCAAGATGGAGCGAGTCTTGTAACACCTCATGATTCCGTTCATATCCTTGTACTTTGTGATACATCGAGGAAAGGAGGTGACCAACTCCAGTCATTTCTTCTGCAGATATTCACAGTGCATCTACTTTGTGCCTGGAGTTGTACTTGGCACTGGGGAAACAGGAGCAAACAAGTTAGGCAGTGTCCAGCTCACCTGGAGCCCCATGTGGCTGAGTGAGTCCATAGGAAGGAGTCTCCTCTCTAAATCTTGTCTCATGGGAGTAGAGCATGGAGGCCCCAGGCTGAGGATCAACACAGTGGAGAAGTAACCCTGGATGCAGCTCCTGTTCTTCAGTCACTTTCCTGATCAGCCAGTAAAAGGAGGAAACAGAAATGGAGCTCCAAGGCAAGAGATCAGCAGCATTGCCTCCAGAAATTTTGACAATGGCAGAAGCTTTGCCCATGGCCCAGTATCAGAACCCTTAACATCAAGCCACATGGTGCCATCATGGTGAGCAGCAGCGTGTGTTCATGTATGTGTGAGTGCATATGAGGTATGTGCACGTGTGTGTGCAGTGCATTTGCATATGCAAATATCAGCCACACAGGGATCCAGGTGAGCTAGACCCTGCCTAACTTGCTTGCTCCTGTTGCCCCAGTGCTGAGTACAACTCTAGGCACAAAGTAGGTGCACTGTGCCTAACATGTGAGTATCATAAGCCATGTTGATGCTTTCAGCAGGGATTGGTAGCATGATCATGCCTTTGATGCTGGCAGCAACAGAAGAGGCAGCAGACAGTGGATCTCACGGAGAATCCAAGAGGCCGAGAACCACATGTGGGTCCCTTCTCTCGGGGGCTTCTGAACTATTTTTGGAGAAATTTGAGTGTGCTAGAGTTCTGGGGTGGAGAGAAAAGCCAGTGAACAATGATTTCTGACCATTTTTGTGGTCATTTTTATGACTCCAACAACTCTGTAAAACAGATTTGGGATTTTTATCCTGGAGTCACAAGCAAGGGAACTAAGATTCAGACTGAGGGCCATAGAGTTGATAAAGAAATTGGACTGGGGCTCAAACCCAGGCCTGTTTCAGAGTCCTTCATTCTTTTTATTGTGTTTTTAACAACTGGTCATCATGTTAGCATTGCTTGTCACGTGATAGGAATAAATAATAACTGGAAATGCTACCTTTAAACACAAAGAATCAGTCTACACTGATGAAGTGGATGGCCTAGTGGCTTGAACACAAGGGGTGTACAATCGAGTTTTTAAAATCTACCCATTGGTAGGCCCTAGTCATATTGGCCAAGGCAGGTGCCTTAATTCTCTTATTCTATTCAGAGAAGCAACAGTATCGGGGGACGTTCAGGAAGCTAATCCCTTCATGGGTCGGTGAGCTTTAGAGTCAGACATCTTTCTCTTCCCTGTACCTTGTGAGTCTGACCTTGTAAAGACTGAGAAGGAATTTAAACTCACATAGTTTTTTTATAGCAGGCCAGATAACTTTTTAAAAAAATAGATAAAGGCATCAATATTATTGCTGGTAAGTATCGATTTTTAAAATGATTTTCAAGGTCAATACATATTCATCGAGAGTACTATGATACCTAGTGGCTTTTCTAAGAATTTCCTGGGCATTACCAGAAAGTAACAGATCTTCTTGGCTTTTCTTCTCTATTCCAGTCTATTCACATCGGTGGGCACTAAGCAACACTAAGCTTAGAAAGGAATCGGAAAATTGTGGATGGCAGGCAGAGAGGAGCCCCTTGTTTAATTGTATTCAAACTTGTCTGAACTGGTTTCCAAAGACCTTCATCCTCTCTCTCCCCTCCCCAAGAAAAAGAGCAAACCAGCATTTTCTTTTAACTCAATTCTATTTAGGAAGGGTTTTGAAACTGAAAAGCGATGGATAGAGGGGGGACAATCTGATCTACCCGCTTTTGCAATCCACTGACAGTGCTGTATGCAGAATAAGGAAGCTTCGTTTCAGATTGAGGTTGCAAAGGTCGCAAGATAGCAGTGTGAGCCCCTGCTTTAATGCTGAGCGTGACATTTTTTGTCTTCTTTGTGAGGTGGTCCATATGGAACAGCATAGCACCTAGTCAGAGCTGGGCTAATTCCTTCTGGAAGGAGAGGAGAGGGTATGAACCAGCCAGGAAGAAGCAGAAGCATTTGATTCCGCAGGTTTATGCCAAGATGAAGGCTGCTGCCTACTGGGGGATGCTGCTTCATGCCAGCTTCTCCTAAAGCAGACCAGCGGTACGAGATGACACTGGTTTCTCCCCGGCTTTTTGGAGATAATTTCCAGTAATTATGTGACTGCATGATCGTCTGCACCATTAATGCTCATGTCCACAGTGGCGGTGGGAGAGGGAAGAAGGATGAACTCTGTGATGCCGACAGATGTAGGAGTCTGGGCTGCAGAAGTCTTCACAGTCTTTTGCTTTTAGCCCTGGTTGGTGTTCTCTCCCTACTTCCTGTTCAGAAAATGTATCCCTCAAGAAAGCTGCCTTTAAAAGTACTTGGATTCAAGTTATTTCAAATTGTGATTATCGGAGAGCTAATTATTGCCTTTTGCACTATCCCTTGGCTTTTTCTTGCCTTCCCTGTCCCTCCTGCTGCTGTCCCTTTCCCTGTCATTAGCACTTCCACCAGACACTGTGGAAGGGACAGCAGAGGAGCTCATGCTCAAATCTGCCACCTGTGCTGGGGTGTAGCAGTTCGGCAGCTCTGTGTACAGGTTTCTGAACTGGGGGAATTAAGGTTCTGAGATTCAGCCGGGTGCAGTGGCTTCTGCCTGTAATCCCAGCACTTTGAGAGGCTGAGGTGGGCAGATCACTTGAGATCAGGAGCCTGGGCAACAGAGCTAGACTCCATCTCAAAAAAAAAAAAAAAAAAAAATATATATATATATATAAATTAGTAATTCTCAAATAATTTACTTGTTATCTTTATGCATTTCTGGGTAACTTACTCCATTTGTATTTGTATAAATAGCAAATCAAACCACAACAGGTAAATCCTGATGTCCATTTTCAATCAATTTTAATGAAGTATAAACAGGAAAGAACCTTTCTGGGAGATAATTTTCAAAATTTAACAAAACCCCTAAAAGTGTACATATCTTTTTTTGGCTCCCAAATTCCACTTTAGCAATTTGCCCTAAGGTGATAAACATGAGAGAATCCAAAGACTTAATTAGAAGAACATTTAGAAGGGCAACAGAGTTAATTTTTTCCCTTTTAAAAAATCTTTCTTATTGAGGTGTAATTTATTTGCAGTGAAATGCTCACATCCTCAAGGTACAGTTCAGTGAGTTTTCACAGATGCACACACCCATGTAATCCACATGCCTTCAAGATATGGAAGATTTTTATCACCCCAGAACATTCATTAATACCCCTCCCCAGTCAACATATGCCCTGGAAACAATCTCTGTTCTGATTTTTATTATCCTAGTTTAATTTTGCTTGTAAGAGATACTATTGGCTGGAGGCGGTGGCTCACGCCTGCAATCCCAGCACAATCGGGAGGCCGAGGCAGGCGGATCACAAGGTCAGGAGTTTGAGATCAGCCTGGCCAACATGGTGAAACCCCATCTCTACTAAAAATACAAAAAGTAACTGGGTGTGGTGGCGGGTGCCTGTAACCCCAGCTACTTGGGAGGCTGAGGCAGGAGAATTGCTTGAACCCTGGAGGTGGAGGTTGCGGTGAACCGAGATTGCACCATTGAACTCCAGCCTGGTTGACAGGGTGAGACTTCGTCTCAAAAGAAGAAAAAGAGATACTATTGTGACACTACTAAATAACTGTATGTGTATATATATATGTGTATGTGTATCTGTATATATGTACACATATATACATATATACAACATATATATGCATATACACATATCTACATAACATAGTTACATATATACACACATATACACATATGTGTGTATATATGTTTGTGTGTGTATATAAATATATATATTATATATATATATATATATTTTTTTTTTTTTTTAAATTCCCTTCCTCTGTGAACCATGACCCCTAGTGGCCACTCTCGGTTCACAGATCCAGGGGACAACAAAGTATGAATGCTACCTCAGGAAAGAGGGACTAGCAGGTGGCTATCTCAGACAGAAAGAAAGAGGAACTAGGAAGAAAGTCTGTTCTTTCTGCCCTAGTGGATTGTAGGGGAAAACGGAGTCATGGAATCGGGCAACGTTACCTGATGTCCTGATCACCCCCACGTGGGGAGACATGTTGGACAGGAGGAGGTAGAATCCTGCAGCGCACACTCCTCTCTTGCCAACTTTTACTATAAAGGTCTCCCTTCTGGGCAATGAGACAGAAACAGAATTGATGGGCAGAAATGACATCTGATTGGCCTCCAGGACACAGTTAACCTCATCACAACTCTGTGTGTCGAAACAAAGGCCCAGCATTTCCCACAAGGTCAAAGCCAAACCCCATTGCATGGCATACAAAAACACTTTCTTCAACTAACCCTAGCCTGTTTATTGCTTTAGCCTCCTTTCTGAGGTTTACCAACGCATGCTGGTTTGCCTGAGACGTTCCTGGTTTTAGCACCTGGGAATCCCTCCCAGTTCTGGGCAACCTGGAGCAGTTGGTCACTCATCTCAACCCTTGCCACCCTCCACCACTGGCATGTAAACTAAGCCTGTGCACTTAATAAAATGGAGCAGGTCACTGTCTTAGTAATTTTTACCTTCTCCAAACCTGCATAGGAGCTGGCATGGAACGGGCACTATTTCATCTATTAATCTCTGATCATTTATTATGTCAATGAGTCGTATTTTCTTCACGATTTCTTGGCTCCTTTCTATTACTGGTCTTCAGAATAATTTTTTTTAAAAGAAACTCCATTGTGATGCTCTTTCCTTTTGTAAATGATACAGGCTTAACATGCAATGTTAGTTTCATTTCATGTGTCTTCTCTACCACTTCCCAACTGAGAAACAGTCAGCAATATTCATTTGCCTAGAATTACTAAATAGAATCAATATTATCACAAGCAGGAAAGTGGACACAGCCCCTATATTCCACGACGTCCAGGCACCTGTGGAAGCTGTCTACTTCTGAATATTTGAGTGTCATTCCCCTTGTAAATGGCCTTGCCTTTATCCTCCTTCCTTAAACACACCAGAGAGGTGAAAGCTGTAAGACTCTGGAAGCATGCTTTACAAATTCTGTGGCTGTTAATTCCCAAGGACCATTTTATCATTATAAGTAGTAGGCTTAATGAAAAACCCATCAAACACAAGAGGAAAAGCAGTATTTTTCTTTTGTTCTTTTCACTCATTTTTACATTTTAACAAATGTTATTTTATGAAATGGATATTTAGATACATTTGCCACCAAAATACTCCATTACTACTATGAATTCTATTAGAGTGCTTATTATATTAATGTTCAGAGCAGGGATCACTGGAAATGACATTTATTTGAGAAAATTAGGAGAGAACTCTTCAAAATTAAACAACTTAATCCTTGTTTCTGATTGTGATTCACTCAAGTCTGCACAGCTCCCAACGCCCTTGGTAATCTGCATTTAATTCTGTCTTGCAAAGCTTGTTTCTCTACGCAGGGCATTCCAGAAGGCAGACTGGCTCTGCCCGCTTGGCTTTGCTGTGGAGTTCCTGCATGCATGTGTTCTATTGCAAATGCCCAGGAAAGTCTTTGGGACTTCAGCCCAGAACTTGTCCTTTTGTACAGTTGGGTGTGGTAAGAGGATCAGATGTTTATAGTCACATCAATTGCAAAGTCTTTTTACCTCCTTTTGCACACTAGAGACTTATTTTTGTAAAGATACGTTGTGTGATTTGAGTTCAACTGCATGGCTTTTGCTCTTATGGGATGTCTTTTCACTTGTAATCCTCTCCTCCTCATCTTTTGCCCTCTTACAAGAGGTATCAGATAATCTGACTGATAGGTATTTTGTAAAGAGCATTTATTTTGATTTGAGTAAGTGATCCAGCCACTCAGGCTGAACATTACCTTGTGTTTAACTGTTTTCAACTATTCAGGCCTCCACAGGACTTTCAAGCTATTAAATGAGCTATTCTGTTTCCTTTCACAGATGTTTGCATGGTGTCCAGATAAGGTCATCACTTGCCGAGGACTGACCCTTACCAGACTAGCAAGGTTAATTGGCCTCACAACACCAGTGCAAAAGCCTATCAGAATAGTCAGCCAGGTCCTGAAGATCTGGAGTCCAAAACAGACCACAAGGCCAGAGTAGGAGGCTTGCTGAACTTGGATTAGGATGCCAAGAACTGCTTAGTCTCTTTGTCTAGGAGAAGAGTAGTTGACATTTAGAGAAGAGTTAGAGTAAATGATGAAAATGATTGAAAGCCTAGGAAGTAGGAACTCGAATGTAGAAAGTCAATGACATCTTGATGCATGAGGAGTTGAATAATGACTAAATGACACCATAGGGTTTGGAGTCAGAAGTTGCAATGAAGTTCAGCATGATGCCATGCTCTCTCTTGCCTCCAGAGATTCCACGTACACTGCTTCCTTGGCTTGGAAGTCCCTGCCCTCCCATTCACGCTTCTCCCCCCGACAGTCTCCTGCTTCTTAAGACACTACTCCTTACCTTGCTGGTTTAGGGTTAAAAGTTACTTCTCCTATGAAGTCTTTTCTGAACTCCTATCACCACCACTTGGATATCATTCCTTTGTTTGCTCCCAAAGCATCTGTACTTAATCTCATTGTAATAAAAATAATGGCCCATTTATTGAGCATTTACTAAGTGCCAGATCCTATTCTAAGCACTATACACATAGTATCTCATTTAAAGCTCCCAATAACTTATCAGACAGGTACTATCACTATATTTATTTTACAGGTAAGAAAAACAGAAACACAAAGATATTTAAAAACTTGTTTAAAGTCAAACAGTGTCAGATCAGAGACTGGGACCCAGTCTGAACTCTTAACTGTCATGCTACTCAGTTGTATATATCTCTTTTTTGTATTTCAAGGACACACTCAGGTTTAAGGGTAGTACACATAGTCCCTAACCCTCGATCAGAGGAGTGTCCAAGGATATGCAGATTTGCAGCCACCCTTAACTATTACCCTAGTTGATTAAAGATGTGTGTGTGTGTGTGTGTGTGTGTGTGTGTGTGTAAATTTAGCTCATCCAGCCAACTGCCTAGCTAGTGCTTATAAGGAGAATCTGGGTATTTTATTACATGACAATCTCTGATCTTGACTCAGAGTCAAACTTACCCTTTAGTGCTTCTATATTGATTCTTATGATCACTAAAGAAAAATAAACAGGTTTCAGAATGATAGCTTGAGTCTGCAGCAAATGATATCCTAATCTCCTTACATTTTGGCAAACATTCCCAAAACTAAATGCCTTCTGTGCAACCTCATATAAAGATCCCATCCCTCCTTTTTACACCAATGGTAGGCTTCATTAAATAATCAAGACACTCTGGCTATTTCTTAACCCAACCCTGCAGGTAGGCATTATTAATTAAACAGTTCTGGCATATGAGATAAAGCCTATTTGCCACTTCTCTTCTATGCTATTATTTTCTAACTTACTCTTCCTCCCAACATTAAAGACAGTATGAAATGGATTTTTTTTTAATTTGAAGGAAAAATAGGTTGAACAGTTCATAAGTAGTCCCATATTTTTAGATAAACTGTAAAAAGGCTTTAAGCATTACATTTTCTGAAATCTTAAAAAGGTATTTGGGCCAGGCGCAGTGGCTCACGCCTGTAATCCCAGCACTTTGGGAGGCCGGGGTGGGTGGATCACCTGAGGTCGGAAGTTTGAGACCAGTCTGACCAACATGGAGAAACCCCATCTCTACTAAAAACATAAAAATTAGCCAGGCGTGGTGGTGCATGCCTGTAATCCCAGCTACTTGGAGGTTGAGGCAGGAGAATCACCTGAACCCGGGAGGTGGAGGTTGCAGTGAGCCGAGATTGTGCCATTGCGCTCCAGCCTGGGCAACAAGAGTGAAACTCCATCTCAAAAAAAAAAAAAAAAAGATATTTGAACTGAAACTATTGGTTTATATACAATAATTTTAAGATAGTTCCTGATACTCTTGAGGAGGTTAAAATCAAAATTGATTTTTCTTCTCTTTCTTAAAAAAAGCATTTATTGAGTGCCTAATTGCATATGGTTCTAAGCTAAGCATTGCATAGATTATTCAGAAATAGTTTAAAGTTCATAGGCATAAATAATTTTACTCACATGTCTACAGGAGCTGCCAGGGTTATAAAACAATGTCTTTATAACTCAAGATGTTACTTTTTAAGGTGTTGTTATTTTAAAATTCATGTGTCAAGAATTCAAACAGCAGTGTTATATTCAATGATCACATTTATGGTGGCCAAACTGTTGTGCTTAGAAGCAAAGGCTTCCAATCAACCCAGGATCTATACAACCATTTTACTGCCCAATTGCACCCTCTACCTCCACTATTTCAGATAAAGTGTCAGGTTAGTGCTCAGCTGCTGGGAAAACCGATGATCAAAACTCAGGAAAATTCTACACTTTAGAGGTTTCCTGGAAGCTACCTATAGTCTGGAGGGAAGTGTTACACAGTGAAAATGATCATGTTCACTCCTAAGCTAACCGGGCATTCATCTTTTTATTCTTATGCCTGTCGTGGTATACCCAGAAGGTGCTAGATGGAATTAGCATAATGGAATAACTCCTTGCCCTCTCCAGGGAAAGAAACTTCTCATTTAATGTTATGGTGTGCTCTATAATAGTAATGATCTTTATGGCTTTGTAGTATACTCTCAACAAACAGCTTTGGAGATGGATTAAATGATTTCATTTTGCTTTGGCTATTAGTCTATCTCAGAAACAGTTTTCTGTCTCATACACAATAAACCAATAGCGATTATCCCTTATTTCTAAATAACACTATCAGGGATTCAGCGACAATGAGAACAGCAGGAAACTCCAAGTAGCATGGTAATAGCTTCCTAAGCAGCTATGTAACTTCCCGTTTCTCTGAGGGATGAGGCAAGCCAGAGGACTGGTGGACAGAGAACTTTCGTCTTCTGAATATTGTCTTATTTCCCCCTTAAGAGCCAGTGATTGAGAAGGGTGTCAGTACAAAAGAACTTGAGCCGGCGATACAAATTTATTTCATATCTTGGCAGAAACTCGCACACCATCCCAGTCCAATGTGATAATGGGATTCTTTCAGGACTCTGCCCCACCACAGGAAAACCAGGAGGGTCATATAATGGCCAGAAATTAACTCTTGACATACTTGCAGCTCTTCCAGCAAGCACTGGGACTTAATATTACAGACCTAGAAGAGTTGATCTCCCCTGGTGATAGCAATCTGCCTTTCAATTTTGCTGTCTTGAATAGCCAGCTGTGAGTCTTTATATAACATTTCACAGTCCCTTAATTACCGCATGACAACCTCAGGGTTGCTAATCCTAATACTGTTCTGAAGTGAGGGACTTGCGACATATCAGCAGTTTAATACAACTCTTTCTGTGGTTAATCATGTTTGGTGGAAAATATAGCTCTTCCCAAACACCGTGAACTGCTAACCTTAAAATGTTCAGATAAACTTTTGCTTTTGCCCTACATCAATGGAGAGAAATAGCCTCTTGTGCCCTGGCTGATAGGTGCATCATGGATGCTAAATATATAACAAAAAGCTAAATAAGAGAGAAATGTAGAGAAAAAAGTGGAGAAAAACTGGCAGGAAAAGATTCCTCAGATGATTTGTTGTACTGCTCAAGCTTAGCATGCTATTCTTTTCTTGGTAGAAACTGGATCACAGATGCAGCTTTCCCAGGCCATGCAATGATGCAAAAGGACTAAGTAGGCCTTGATGGTCTTAATATGGCAGCCAGGACTGTTTTATTACTTATGGGCAGATGAAAGCAGATCAAGGCACCTACAAGTGAAAACAATGTCTTGCCTTTATTTGGTTAAACAGAGACTTCAAATGGCCAGGCCCAATCATTCGGGATCAGGATTGACTGGGACTCCCAGAAGCTGGATTTCTTCCCTGTGCTTCTGCTCACTTTCTGCCCAAGTTGGTACGCTACTGACTGCCAGAAAGCAATTAATCAAGTCTATTCTTCAAATGTAGCTGTGTAAATAGAATATGAGGTTTGGAGTTTGGTGAGTTTCCTAATATCCCAAGGCATATTAATCAATCAACAAATACTTACTGAGCCTCTGCTGTGCACTCAGTATTTTGCTTAGTGCTCTGGGACATAGGAGATGTCTGAGATGGAGTTCGAGTCCTCCAAGACAGTGTGGCGAGATGGCTTAAAGTTCAATAAGTCTGGGTTTGAATCTTAGTTTGTCACCTTACCAGGTTGGTAACCTTGAACAAATTAAGTCACATTTTAGATCCTCATCATTACATGAGGTTAAAAATGCCTGGTTTACAAGGTTAGAATTTCCAGCCCAGGTCTTTTCTCTGGCTCCAAACTTATACATCCAACAGTCTCCTTGCTATCTTCACCAGGATAGCTAACAGAATACAAACCACACATGCCCAAATGCTTTATCCTTGCCTGCTCCATCCCACCAAGATCCTTGCTACAAATTTTTGCCTCCAACATTTCTCTCTCAATAAATGGCATGCAATGACCTTCTTTTATTTTGTAATTCATCAGCAAGTCAGTTGGTCTCATCCTGAAAATACATCTCCAAACCACTTCCTTTCTTTATTAATTTTTTGTCTTCGTTGCGTCCAACTAGACTTCTGACAGTTATCATTCATCTCCTGGAAAACTGCAACAGCTCCCTTTCTAGATTCACAACTGATTTCAACCCTCCATTTCAATCTCCACTCAGTAAAAAGTACTTTTAAATCTAAATTGGGACTTTCAGTTCAGGTTAAAATGTAGAAAGTCGTGAATTTCTATTGTTCAGTGGCTTGCAATTTATTACTGTAGTTAGTTATTTTGGTACTCAAATTATCCCAGATCTGACCAGTGGCAGCCTCTTCAAATGACTTCTACATCTTTGTGGCATGCCCCTATCACTTTTTTTTTTTAAAGCAGTTCCTTATTTGTTGACATAATAAGATTTTCCAGGCTGTCTTTGTCTTATCCTAGGTCTAGAATCAGTTTCTTCTTTGAGGATCCCTGGTTCCTTTTATTGAGAAATAGTGTTAGAGACCAAGATCTGGGTGCTAGGAGGGCTCATTACTCCTAAGATCTCATTGCTTCTTGGCCCTTTGAGAAGGCAGAGCTAGGAAACATATGTATGTAAATACATACACATACAAATATACTGACACAAATATTTATGTGTATGTGTGCACAGATACAAGCATACTTATATTCATATTTTTAAAATTATGAATTCATATTGTTACCTCTTATTCCAATCTATCCCTGCAGGATTGACTTATTTCCACCTCACATTTGTGTTTTCTTTCTTCCACAATGAGACCCCAAGCCCACAACAGTATCAATAAATTTACTTGTTTGTTCAATCTTTTAATACATTTTAATTTTTTTCAGAATTGTTTCACCCATACCTCTTCAAAATTAAACCTAACTGAAAGGAATTTAGAATTTGCTTGTAATTCTCTCCCTGCATTCCACCCTGCCCTACACATAGGGCCTAATAGTCAAATTCTGTGCTTGTCAGTTACCTGATTTTTCTTTTTTTCTCTCTACCATAATGTGATTATGGTATTCTTCGAAATAACATCTGGTTCATTTGTTTCACTTTGCTTTCCATTTTGATCCCCCTTTCCATCTTTATTGGGTTAATTTCATTTTTTGAATATTTAGAACATCAACACGATTCCAAAGGCAGAAATGGTACAGAAAGGAATATTCTGAGAAGGGTCACTTCCCCTGTATCGTTTTGCTTTGTTTCTTTCCTCTGCTCCCTAGTCTTATGGGTTACAAACTTTTTGTTTCTGATGTATTTTTCCTGTGTTCCTTATGTAAAGGTAGGAAGATGTATCTGTGGTTTCCTATTTGCTCTTATTTCCTACACAAAAGGCAGCATAAGATATATACTCTTTTGTACTTTGCTTTTTTCTACTTTATAATGTCTCCTGGAAATCACACCATGTCAGTTCATAGAGCTCTTCCTCAACTGCATAGTGTGTTCAAAACCACTGGGTGAATGCATTGTAGTTTATCCCATCAATGCTTGGACATTCAGGGAGATTCCATTATTTTGCAATTACACATATGCTCAATGGATGAATTTGCACATATGCATTTTCGTACTACTGGAAGTGTATTTCAGTGTAAATTCCTAGAAGTTGGCTTGCTGAGTCAAAGAATACCTGCAATTATAGTTTTGTAAGATATTACCACTTTTACCTCCATAGGACTGGCACCATTTTGCATTCCAATCAGCACTGCATGGGAGTGTCTGTTCCCCCACAGTGTCCCAACAGAGTACATTGCACAACTTTTGAATTTTTGCCAATCTGATGGGTGAGAAATGGCAAATGAGTGTGGTTTAATTTGCATTTCTCTTATGTGTAAAATTGTACAAATTTTCATGTTTAAAGGTCATTTTATGTCTTTTTTTGTTCATATCTTTTGTCTATTTTTCTACAGGATTTTTGGTCTTTTATTCTTCAATATTTAAATATTACTGGTATATGAATAATATTTATCCTTTTTCTGTGAAATATTTTGCAAATATTTTCTCCCAGTGTGCTTTTTGTCTTAAAGATTGCTTATTTTTTCATAGTCAAATTTATCAATTTTTTAATATTGTGTATGGATTTTGAGTCTTAGTTGGGAAGCCTTTCCCTACACTCACATTACATGCAAATTCACCCATGTTTTCTTCTAGTACTTTCATAGTTTCATTTTTAACATTAGATCTCTGATCCATTTGGAGTTTGTGTATTGTATGAGGAATGGATCTAATTTCACCTTTTCTTTTGCTTTTGAGATGGAGTCTCACTCTGTCACCAGGCTGGAGTGCAGTGGCACCATCTCATTTCACTGCAACCTCCATCTCCCAAGTTCAAGCGATTCTCCTGCCTCAGCTTCCTGAGTAGCTGGGGCTACAGGCATGCGCCACCACGCCTGGCAAAATTTTTTTTTTTTTTTGTATTTTAGAAGAGACAGGGTTTCACCATGTTGGCCAGGATAGTCTCAATCTCCTGACCTCGTGATCCACCCGCCTCAGCCTCCCAAAGTGCTGAGATTATGGGCATGAGCCAGCACGCCTGGCCCTAATTTTACTTTTTCTAAAGAGATATCCCACTGTCTTAACATGATTTATTAAGAATAAAGAAGACAGTCTTTATCTGAATTTCTTGGGATACCACATTTATCATATACTAGATTTCTGTGTATAATTGGGTCTATTTAACCCAATTATTTGCTATTTTAAAGCAAACTTAACAAACTTCTGAGCCCAGAGTGGTGGCTCAAGCCTTGTAATCCCAGTGATTTGGGAGCCTGAGACAGCAGGATCGCTTGAGTCTGGGAGTTCAAGACCAGCTAGGCAACATAATGAGACCCCATCTCTTGAAAATTCAAAAACAAAATAATAACCCAGTGTGGCAGCAGGCACCTGTAGTCCCAACTACTTGGGAGGTTGAAGTGGGAGGCTCACTTGAGCTCAGGAGTTCGAGATGCATTGAGCCACGATCGTGCCACTGTACTCCAGCCTGGTCAAGTGAACAAGACCTCAACTCTTAAAAAAAAAAAATCTGCTTATTTTGTTTTAAGTAATTTGCTATTTAATAGCAAACTTAAAAAAATTTTTAACATATGTGGGCTGATATGACAGATTGCAATTCAGAAGAGCCCAAGCCACAGAGCAAGTCTGCACCAACTTGCCAACTCTTTGCCATAAGCCTCTGTTGAGTGCTGAGGAGTAATATCCTGATAGTTGGGGACAGGGCAAGAGAGCTTTAGAGAATCATCCTTCCCAAGACACATGGCTCACTCCCTACATGCAAGGCAGTGTATAAAAAAGCCACCCCTATTGAGCTCTGACTGAATTCTTAACCCATGGATTAATGAGCAACAAGATTATTATTGTACTAAGCCACTAAGTTTTAGGTTATAATGATACGTACTGAAAGATGATGGGTATACCACTTTTATTAAACATTGTACTGGAAGTCTTGGCCAGTGAAATAAGACAAAATAAATAAATGGCATATATATTGGAAAGGAAGAAGTAAAATTTCTATTGTTTGCAAGTGACACGATTATGTACATAGGAAATCTTATGGGAGTTCAAAAAAAAAAAAAAAAACAACTAAAACCAATAAGTAAATTAGTATGGTTGCAGAATACAAGGTTATATATAACTAGCATGAAATTTTAAAAATTGAATTAAATTAAAAAATTTATAATAGCAGCAAAACATCAAATAAATCTAACAAAATAAACAGGAATAAATCTAACAAAAGATGTGCAAGATCTCTGCACTGAAAACTACAAAACTTTGTTAAGAGAAACTAAAGACATTATTAAAAATAGAGAGATACTATGTTCTTGGATTGGAAGACTCAATATTATAAGGACATCAATCAGGTCTCCCCAAATGGATTTTGACATTCAACATAATCCCAAGCATAATCCCAGCAGGCTGATTTAAAATTTTTATGAATGTTCAAAGAATCTTATTTTATTTACTATTCTATCAATCTATGGAAGATTAAAAGAATCTAGAATATCTATAACAACTTTGAAAAAGAAAAATTTGGAGATTTACAATACCTGCTTCACGACTTAGAATAAAGCTACTATCATCAAGATAGTGTGGCATTGGCATAAGGATAGACAGATCAGTAGGGCAGAATAGGAAGTCTAGAAATAGACCCATAAAGTATGGTTGATTGATTTTTACAAAGCCTTAAGTCAATTCAATGAGGAAAGTCTTAACAAATATTGTTGAAACAAATGGATACCATATGAAGAAAAAAAGAAACTCAACCTCTATACATACATAAAATTTATGTATGCATATATATATACACAGATATATGTAATTTAAAAATTAATTTGAGAGAAGTCATATGTCTAACTGCAAAAGCTAGAACAATGAAAAAACATATAAAAGAAAAAATAATAAACTTCATGAAAATTAAAAGGACACCACTAAGAAAATGAATAGGCAATCGAAGACTGGGAAAACATTTGCAAACCATGCCTGACAAAGGACTCATATCCATATACATAAACAACTACTACATTTGTCAACCTAATACAAACATGGGCAAAAGACTTGAACAGACCAAAAAGGATGTACAAATGTCCAAAATGTGCAAGAAAAGATATTCAACATCACTGGTCATCATGAAAGTGCAAATTAAAAGCACTATAAGATACAATTTTCCTTCCACTACAATGGCTGAAATCAAAAAGACTGATATTGCTAAACGTTAAAGATGACGTGGAGCAAATAAACATCTTGTACTTGGTTAGTAGAAATGTAAAATGGTAAAAATATTTTGGGAAACTAGAAGTTCCTCATAAAATTATACATCTACCTTTCCTATGGCCCAGCAAGTAAGTGAGAATGTTGAGAACAAGTTTATTCATAATAGTTAGAGACTGGTACCAATATCAATGTCCATCAGTAAGTGAATGGATAGTTCAATAGGGACAAATGCGTAAAATAGAATACTCTTCACCAATAAAAAGGAGTGGATGATTGATACACATGGTAACATAAATGAATCTCAGAAATATGTTGATTAAAATAAATTGGACACATTTATATAAAGTCCAAGAATAGGCATGATGATAGAAATCTGATCAATGTGAAGAGAGTGAAAATGGCTTGTTGATGGTTGGTGACTGTCAAGGAGCCTGGGGCTGAGGGAAATGTCTACATCAAGCTTGTCCAAGCATGGCTCATGGGCCACATTGGATTACTTTGAATGCAGCCCAACACAAATTCATAAACTTTCTTAAAACATTATGAGATTTTTTTTTGCAATTTTTTTTTTTTAGCTCATCAGCTATTGTTAGTGTATTTTATGTGTGGCCAAAGACAATTCTTCCAATGTGGCCCAAAGAAGCCAAAAGATTGGACACCCCTGCTCTGCATGTTTTTATGAGTGGTAGTTACACAGGTTATACAAACCTGAATTGGATCACTTTACTGTCTTTGATGGCTTCAATTTCCCTTGTATATTTTCCAAACACCTTATTTGTGTCTTTCATTCGCACTTATAGAAACTTGAAAGTGTTTTATTTATTTAGACATTTCCTATCTCTATCATTATAATCCTTGCTTATGAGTGCAGGAACCATGTCTGTCTTGTTTACTATTGTATCCTCAGTGCCAGGAGTTTTTCGGAAGATCTATAGCTGCTCACCATATTTTAACTCCCTTCTCTTTCCTTCTTTTCCACCCCTTGAGGAACTGAAATTATTGCCAAGTCTGAACTAGAACTGGTAACACACATGATTCTTTCTGTATATAGCTTAACAGTATTTTTCGTTTGGCTTTCATCACATGCTTGTTGTATCCAGATATGGGATATGATGTCCAAGTGATGGGACTGGAGTTTCTGCCAATTTAACAGCAGACATTTTACAGGAATCCTAATTGGGTGTTTTGTCAAAATGCAGTGTTCTCGTATTGTAGGTTAAGACCTGGTTTTATGTCCTTTAACTGAAGTGAATTCATCTCATCACCTTAGCCATGGAAACTGAACAGGATAACACTAGATGTGTCATAGAGAAAACATCTACCATCTGTTCTCTGTAAATTTCTGGACTATCAACCAATTTAACAACAAAGAAGCTGTAGCCATGTTTCTGTTTTTTTTTAAGGAGCTGTATAGAATTTAGACCTCCAGTACTTCCATCTCTCCTTACAATATTTTTAAATAAACTTTAAAAATTTTATTTTTAATTATTATGGTACATAATAGAGTACATATTTTTGGGGTAGATGAGATATTTTGATACAGGTATAATAAAAATCACATCAGGGTAAATGGATTATCCATAACCTCAAGCATTCATCATTTCTTTGTGTTACAAACAATCCAATTATAATCTTTTAATTATATTTAAATATACAATAAATTATTGTTGACTGTAGTTACCCTATTGTGCTATGACATACTAGATCTTAATCATTTTATCTAATTATATGTATTTTTTTTTTTTTGAGATGGAGTCTCGCTCTGTCCCCCAGGCTGGAGTGCAGTGGCGCCATCTCGACTCACTGCAATCTCCGCCTCCTGGGTTCACGCCATTCTCCTGCCTCAGCCTCCTGAGTAGCTAGGACTACAGGTGCCCGCCACCACGCCCAGCTAATTTTTTGTATTTTAGTAAAGACGGGGTTTCACCGTGTTAGCCAGGATGGTCTCGATCTCCTGACCTCGTGATCTGCCTGCCTCGGCCTCCCAAAGTGCTGGGATTACAGACGTGAGCCACTGCGCCTGGCCATCTAATTATATTTTTGTACCCATTAACTATACCCACTCCTGCCACTTCCCATTACCCTTTCCAGCCTGTGGTAACCATTCTTCTACTCTCTATCTCCATGAGTTCAATTATTTTCATTTTAAGTTCCCACAAATAAGTGAGAACAAGTGAAGTTTGTCTTTCTGTGCCTAGCTTATTTCACTTAACATAATGACCTCCAGTTCCAACCATGTTGTAGCAAATGATAGGATATTCTTCTTTTTTATGGCTTTATAGTACTCCACTGTGTATATATACACCACATTCCGCTTATCCATTTGTCTGTTGATGGACTTAGGTTAATTCCAAATATTTGCTATTGTGAATAGTGCTGCAATAAACATGGGAGTACAGATATCTCTTCGATATAATAATTTCCATTCTTTTGGGTATATACTTAGCAGTGGGATTGATGGATCATATGGAAGTTCTACTTTCAATTTTTTGAGGAACCTCCAAACTGTTCTCCCTAGTGATTGTACTAATTTACATCCCCACCAACAGTGTATGAGGGTCCTTTTTTCACCACATCCTTACCAGCATTTGTTATTGTTTGTCTTTCAGTTAAAAGCCACTTTAACTGGGGTGAGATGATATCTCATTGTGGTTCCGATTTGCATTTCTCTGATGATCAATGATGTTGAGCACTGTTTCCCATTTGTATGTCTTCTTTTGAGAAATGTCTGTTCAGATCTTTTGCCCATTTTTAAATCAGATTATTAGATTTTTTCCTATTGAGTTGTTTGAGCTCCTTATATATTCTGGTTATTAATCCCTTGTCAGGTGGAGCATTTACAACTATATTCTCTCTTTCTGTGGGTTGTCTCTTCACTTTGTTGATTGTTTCCTTTGCTGTGCAGAAGCATTTTAACTTGATATGATCCCATTCGTCCATTGGCAGTATCAGTTTTAACATCTCCATTTTCATCTCTGATTTTATTTATTTGGGTCTTCCCTCTTGTTTCTTAGTCTGGCTAAAAGTTTGTTGGTTTTGTGTATTTTTTCAAAATGCCAACTTTTTGTTTCATTGATCTTTTATATTGTTTTCTTCATTTCAATTTCATTTATTTCTGCCCTGATCTTTATTATAATATTTCTTTTATTCTACTAAATTTGGGTTTGATTTGCTCTTGCTTTTCTAGTTCTTAAGATGTAACATTCGACTGTTTATTTGAAATTTTTCTGTTTTTTGACGTAGACACTTATAGCTATGAATGAACTTCCCTGTTAGTATTGCTTTCACTGTATTGCATTGGTTGTGGTATGTTGTGTTTCCATTATCATTAGTTTTAAGATATTTTTAAATTTCTGGCTGGGCGCGGTGGCTCACGCCTGTAATCCCAGCACTTTGGGAGGCCGAGGCAGGTGGATCATGAGGTCAGGAAATCGAGACCATCCTGGCTAACAAGGTGAAACCCCGTCTCTACTAAAAATACAAAAAATTAGCCGGGCGCGGTGGCGGGCGCCTGTAGTCCCAGCTACTCGGGAGGCTGAGGCAGGAGAATGGCATGAACCCGGGAAGCGGAGCTTGCAGTGAGCCGAGATTGCGCCACTGCAGTCCGCAGTCCGGCCTGGGCGACAGAGCGAGACTCCGTCTCAAAAAAAAAAAAAAAAAGAAAGATATTTTTAAATTTCTTTCTTATTTCTTCATTGACCCACTAGTCACTAAGAAGTATATTGTTTAATCCTCATTTGTCTGCATAGTTTCCAAAATTCCTCTTGTTATTTATTTCTAGTTTTATTCCATATGGTCAAAGAAGATACTCGATATAATTTTAATTTTTTGAATGTTTTAAGAGTTGCTGGCTGGGCGCTGTGGCTCACACCTGTAATCCCAGCACTTTGGGAGGCTGAGGCAGGCAGATCACCTGAGGTTGGGAGTTCAAGACCAGCCTGACCAACATGGAGAAACCCCATCTCTACTAAAAAATAATACAAAATTAACCGGGCATGGTGGCACATGCCTGTAGTCCCAGCTACTCAGGAGGCTGAGGCAGGAGAATCACTTGAACCCGAGAGGCGGAGGTTGTGATGAGCTGAGATTGCACCATTGCACTCCAGCCTGGGCAACAAGAGCGAAACTCCGTCTCAAAAAAAAAAAAAAAAGAGTTTTTTTGTGACCTAACATATGGTCTATCCTTGAGAACTATCCATGTGTTGAGGAGAAGAATGTGTATTCTACAGCTGTTGGATGAAATGTTCTGAAAATATCTATTAGTTCCATTTGTTCTACAGTGCAGATTAAGTCCAATGTTTCTTTGCTGATTTTCTATCTGGATGATCTGTCTGATGCTGAAAGTGAGATTTTGAAGCCTCCAGCTATTATAGTACTGGGGTCTGTCTATCTCTTTCTTTCCTTTTTTTTTTTTTTTTTTTTTTTGAGACAGAGTCTTTCCCTGTCACCCAGGCTGGAGTACAATGGCGCGATCTCGGCTCACTGCAACCTCTGCCTCCCGGTCTCAAGCTATTCTCTTGCCTCAGCCTCCCAAGTATCTGGGATTACAGGTGCACGCCACCATGCCCAGCTAATTTTTTGTATTTTTAGTAGAGACAGGTTTTCACCATGCTGGCCAGGCTGGTCTCGAACTCCTGACTTCGTGATCCACCTGCCTCAGCCTCCAATAGTGCTGGGATTATAGGCGTGAGCCACTGTGCCCAGCTCTATCTCTTTCTTTAGCTCTAATAATATGTGCTTTATATATCTGGGTGCGCCAGTATTGGGTGCATATATATTTAAAATATTTATATCCTCTTGCTGAATTGACCCTTTTTCATTATATAATGTCCTTCTTTGTATTTATTAGTAGTTTTTGTTTTTAAATCTATTTTGACTGATATTCCTGCTATTTTTGGTTTCAATTTGAATGGAATATCTTTTTCCATTCCCTTATTTTCAGTCTGTGTGTCTTTATAGGTGAAGGTGTTTCTTGTAGGCAACAGATCATTGGGACTTGTTTTTTAAATCTCTTTGGCCATTCTATGTACTTTGATTGAAGAGTTTAGTCCATGTACATTCCATGTAATTATTGATAAGTAAGGAGTTACTCCTGCCATTTTGTTATTGATTTTCTGCTGGTTTTATGGTTGTCTCTTCCTACTTTTCTTTCTTCCTGTCTTCCTTTTAGTGAAGGTGATTTTCTCTGGTGGTATGTCTTAATTTCTTGCTTTTTATTTTTTGTGTATCTATTGCATGTCTTTTAATTTGAGGTGACCATGTTGCTTGAAAATATTTTATAACCCATTATTTTAAGCTGATGACAACTTAACACTGATTGCATAAAGAAACAAACAGGCAAAAGAAAACTAATAAAAACTTTACATTTTAAATGTGTCCCCTCACTTTTAAACTTCTGGTTGTTTCTATTCATATCTGATTGTACCATCTATGTCTTGAAACATTGTCATAGGTATTATTTTTAATTGGTTCATCTTTTAGTCTTTCTGCTTAAGATGTAAGTAAAACCAGGTACTGTGATTACTCACCTAATTTTTGGTTCGTATGAGGTGTTTTTTGCACAGATAGTTGTTCAATTTGGTGTTTCTGTGGGGGAAGACCATTGGTAGAGGCTTCCATTTGGCTATCTTACTCTGCCTATTCTCTGTGGCCATGTTCCCGGAAAGAACTATATTGCTCTAAAGGCAGGCAAGAAAAGGCAAATCATTATGCTTTCATTCTTTACTCAAAGTAAGCATTTAGTAACTGTTCATGAGGAGAGTACCCAAGTAGCTTATGCAACAACTTCCTTGTAGAAGTAATGGTTCCATTGAAAATGGGGAAGTGGAAGCCACAATATGACATCAAATTAATATTTCCTATATATCAGAATCAGCATTTCAGAATGGAAGCAGGACAACAGCCCCCAAATCACAGTAGCAAAGGCAACAAAGTTCATTTCTACTACTGCTACATGCCCATCATGGATTAGTTAGGGGCACTGCTCCATGTTGACTTATCTCTGTGATGACAGAGCTAGTAATAATAGCACTAACAGGAACATTACTGATTGTCACAGCAGAGAGAAAAAGAGTGAAAGGTAGATGACTCAGTGGCTCTTGAAACTTCCCCAGAAGCGACATGGATCTCTTGCATTCATATTTCATGTGGTCAATGTTTCACAAGGTCATATCTAACTCTGGAGTGGATAGGCAGTGCAGTCCTACCATGTGCCTGGAAAGAGGACAGCTGAGACTCTCAGGTACACAGCACTAATTCCTAGCATCCTGATGAAAGTTGAACTTTTCTTCTATTTCAACCATCAACACAATTATTACCACCCTCACTACCACCACTAGTTAAAAGGTATTGAGTATTTACTACTTGCCAAGTACTATGCTTTATTCATTAGCTCCTTTACTCATCACATTAAGCCTTACAAGTAGATGCTATTGTCATTTGCACTTTTAGATAAGAAAGTAAATCCTTAAAGAGGAAAGTATGTAGGTGCAGGTCATGTGCTCAGTGTGGGAAAGAGTTAAGATTTGAACTTATATACCTCTGACTCAAGGACTTGTGCTCCAAGACATCCTATAATATTATCATTCTAGCCTTGTTGGACTATGTTTAAAATTAATACTGAAGACTTACATATCTAAGCCTTTTTAAAGAAGTTCTTAAGTCAAACCAAAGATATGCAAAAGTAAGATATTTGGTACAGGCTTAGTCACCTTGACACATCTGCCAGGCTTTGTGAAAAGGGAGACATGGGGAAAGGGAAGGAACTCATGGGCTGGTCAATATTCCTCTTTCTTTTTATGAGATCCTATCTAGCTACCTACAAAGTGGTAGGCTTCTTCCTAGGTATGACTCTCAGAATCCCATAACCTGGGGTCTAGTTTTTAAAAATTGCTCTCCATGACTTCTGAACCTCAGAGTCAGACTCATATGAATACATATTTTTCTTCTTCTTAAAGGGCCCCACCTTAATTTTCTTTTAAGAAACTGAAAAGCTGCTTTAGCGTACTAATTTGGGTCATTAATCCCCACAGATCTGAGCCTCTTGTAGAGAGATTGATGCTAACATTTAAATATGTGGCCTTGTTTGTCCTTCACTGACAACCTTTTACTATATTTGGACAGTACAATTTTATCTTTATTGCTTTTGGTGTACACAGAGTGTCAAGGTAAGTAGTTGAGATATCAAAATGGAGAGATAACACCTGTGCTGAGCAAGGTAGACCAACATCTCTTTCTGTTGTTCCCCCTCAAGTCCTTGCTAGCACCTCAGATAGAGCTGCCTCTCCATCAGATGACTCTGTTGGCCTGAAGAGCTGTCCTGCAGTGATTTACCTACTACTTCAAACCACAGTTCTTGGAAGTTCAACTGAATTTCAAGTTCATGTTTAGTTTTTAGAAAATGCTGTGTCTAGCCTACAAGGAAGCTCAGTGCTAGGGCTAGTGCCACATCTGCAGTACTATGAATTCCCTGTGAGTCCAGGTGAGAAGCATTAAACGTATGTGGTTCTTCCTCTTGCTTCACATTGTCTATCATCTGCATTGACAATATGCAGATCGATGTACTGGGCAGGAGGATGAGTTGAAGTAAAGCTCAAGATCTGGGGTCTGCTCTGGAGGATTTAATTTAGGAAATTAAATTAAGCTACTGTGGTGTGTGTGTGTGTGTGTACGCTCACACATAACCGTTAAGTTGGTTTGTAGAACTATTATGTTTAGAGCTTGGAAGGAACTAGGGAAATCTGATGGCCCAAACTTGTACCTGTCAAATAGCATTTGCTAGTAATCCAATGTCCTCAAAAGAGCAAAGCAAGAGTGGCTAGCCACTGTTCTGACCTAGACACTGACAATGTTATTCCTAACCTTCTCAGAGGAAATATTTGTTTTGTATTTTCTCTTGTCTGATCTCTCATCCCAGTACCATGATAAAATGGCTTCTGTATGCTTTCTCCTGTTTTTCAAGAAGCCATCAAATGTGAAGTCACACATCTCTTCTGTTGTGTGGATGCATGCGTATCTGTTGTCAATTACCATTTAGTCTACCCCTACCCCTGCCCCATATAGGGGAATCTACTCTGTTGCTAACTTTAGGACACACTCTCAGTGTCTCACCCATATTTCTTCACCCTTACCACATCAGTGCACACCTGCTGACCTCCCACTGCCAGAATATGCTTTTTTATTTTTTATTTTTTGCTTGAGGGCTTTCCCCCAACACTTTGCTACTCCTATGAGAATCTACAGCCCTCATCTACCCATACACACCCCCAAAGCCCTCAACCTGTGACTGATGGGATTTGGTGTAGAAATACCCAAACTCCCAATCTGTTGTGTGGGGTAACTCTGATTAATTTCCAGTGACCTATAGTGGCAGCTGGCTTGATAACACACCTTTTTACTGACTCTCTGTCCTTTGTCCCCTCACTTTCTTACCCCCCCAAGTGTCCCTTTATCTTCCCAGCACACAGCTTTCTGGCTTCTCCTTGTCTGAGGGTCTGAGTTTGGAGGCACCCTAAGGCACCAATTAAGAGCAAGTGCTGACAAGCTGGTATTGGAGAATTTCATGAAAGATTTATTTTTTAAAAGGTTTGCTAGAGCAGAGGGGTTGAACATCTGGAAAGTTTAAGTTCTCCTTCTAAAGAAACAGTGGTGAAATGGAGTCGGAAGCAGAAACCTGATCTGCAAAGCTGGTCAAAGAGGCTGTACCTGCTTCTTCCCAAAGTTAGAGGGACTCAGAAATAGAAGCTGTGCTGGCCAGAAGCTGGAAGGAGAAAGGGAAAAGTCATTTGTGCTGGGCAGCATATCAGACTTTGTATGTGATGGCCCTGGGGCAATTTTGAAGCTTCCATTTGTCATTTGTTTCCCCTCTGGTGAGAGAGAAGCCACTGTTTTGTTTTGAAGCATTTTGTGCTACGCACAGGTGTGCCTAATTCCACATACGACTCTCTGTGTTCTCTGAGCCCAACTGCAAACACATCTTTCACAACGTCCCAGTGCATTTGTCACTCACCCCGAGTGTTTCCTACCACAGGAGTTTTGCTCAGGGAATGCTCTTCTAACTCTCCTAGCTCCATCTGCCCAAGGATTTGCTTCTGATTGCAAATATCTTTCTAGGAAATTTGCATTTCTTCCAAAAGTCTCGTAAAATGTTTTCAGTCTCCATGCTTTATTATCTGTCCCATGTGATGTTAGTGGTGTATAATGGGTTATGCATTGGAAATTCCTGGCAGCTTTGGGGATAGGATTATCATTTCTCTTCTAGCATCATAAGTTAAACACACACACACACACACACACACACACACACACACACACACACACACACAATTTCTATATAGCTCTTGGCAATCTCCTCTTCTCTCTGCATTTCCCCATGTGTTGAACCTAAGAAAAAGTCTTGACTTTCTCCATCCCCTCACTGCTCCCATATCCAGTCAGTCAACAAAGCTCCCCCATTTCACCTGGTAAACCTACCCATATCATTTTGCCTTTACTACCATTATCTCATCCCATTCCTCCCAACGAGACGATTGTCTCTACTCTTTTCCCTTTCCGTCATCTCTTCACAATGCAGCCAGACTGATCACACCAAAACACAAATATAATAATTTCAATTCCCCTACTAAGCCTTTTCAGTGGCTTCCCACTCCCCATGCTAAACTCTCACCTGGACTTCCGGGCCTTCCTACTCACCTCTTCAGAGTCATCTCTCACCATCCTCTGCCTGGCCTTCTCTTTCCTCACTCTTCACCCTTCTGTTTCTGTCTCCAACTTAACATCCCCTCTCCCTCGCCCACAGGCCTCTGCTACTGTCCAGGACACCTCTTTGTCCCTACTTTCTCACATTTATCTACCTCATACTTTCGGCTTCAACTTAAAAATATTTCCTTGAGGGCTTTTCCCTGATCTGTAAATGAGTTTAGGTTTCTACTATATGTTAGACTTCGCCTTCATAATGCTTATCACATTTTATTATTTTTATTTACTTATTTGTCTTCCCAGCCAAACCATAAACTCTGTAAGGACAACTGTGTCTTTCTTGCTTGTCATTGCATTCTCTGTGCCTAAAATAGTGTCTGGGTGTAGAGTTAACTAACTAAAAGGCTTTAAATATATTTCTCTATATTATGAAGAGAAAGGGCATCACAATATATTGTAATTGGACATTTCTGGTCTGGTCTCAGTCACCTCTCAGCTTTACTTAGTCAATATTGGTTATCTGTAAAGAAGCTGAACTAGATGATATCTATTTCAGACCTAGTATTATAAGTGCTTTTATATACCTGTATATATGTTATGTGGTCTAATATAACCTTGCTATGTTTTTAACCCTATGCCGATGAAGTATCTGAATAATTATTTCATTATGGTTTCTTATGTATATACCTTTTGTGTTATTGACTCTCATCTTTATTTGGCTTTTTCAATAGAAAGAGGCAAGATACTTTAACAGCAATTAATGTAATTTTTGACACATTCATGAGGATTGTACATCCTTTCTGCTCTTCTTCCTATAGTAGTTTCAGTGATTGAGGAACATTGCCCTAACATGACAATTGGTTCTGATGGTTAACCTATACATGTTTAGATAAATATATTATCCTCCTTCTCTTCCTTTTGATGCTTGGAAAATCACTGATATTCAGAGATTCCACTGGCTGGAGCTACAGACAGGTGGCAGGTAGGGCAAAGGAGGTGACATAAGTGCCCCAAACTACCTAAGAGTTATATATATGGGGAGTTAGGGCCGTCTGCCTTGTACAATGCCCAAATTGCGTGCTGTCCATTTTGGAATTCTCCTTGCCTTCTTTTGCCTTTCAAGGCTGTCCTTGATGACCATGTCTAACTCTATTCAAGGTGTTAGAGGATGAGAGCACACAGTAATTTGCCCCAGGCCCTAAGAGCACTAGTATCTCACCTTTATTGAATTCATTCTGTGCTAATATTGGATGGGATGGTGTTAATTTTCTATTTCTTTGTTTGAAGAGATCCTGGAAGAATCACTAAGGAGTATTTACAGGATAATAATGTCACAATCTGCAGTCCTTAATTTATTGATTCTCTGCAAGCCTTCTTTTACTTTAACTGTTGTCTTTTCTTTTCTGCTTCCATGAGAATTAAAAGTCATTTGGTTTGTTGTTGGCTTTAATATAGTTTATTATTAGCAAGGTTATTATTTGAAGTCCAAGGGATGGCTACGATCCTACCAGCAGTTTTGTACAAATAGTGGACACAATTCCTCTTCATTATTTCTAGTCAATTCTCAAATGCTATTTTCTTAGCACTGCCAGGGCATTCTTTTTTATGGATATCAGCGATCATTTAAAAAGCAATCCAAGGGTATTGAAGAAGAGATTTCATACTGTAAAAACCTGACAGCCTTTATCATGTAGAATAAAATAGCAACTATATTTTTTTTCTAATTCACTGCTGTTGGTGGAGATTTTAAAAGATGATTATAATAAGCACTCTTCTTAGTTGACCCATGAATTATTTGGCTCTGTTGCTGAAATGTCAAGCAGTCAACTAAGAAAAGGAGTACAATTTAACTAACAAACCTATTCCCAGAGCAGTGCAGATGGTGTTTCTGCTCCTTCCCTTGAGAGACCACTTTGTAATCCAATAGTTCTTACAGTCAGGAATTTTTTTCTTGACATTCAGCCTAAAATTTCCCTTACCTGAGATCATCTCATTATGAAAAAAAAAAAAAAAAACCACACACACACATAACAAAAAACAAAATCCACTCACAGCTGGTTTTAAAAATTATCCCCTACAGTGGTACAAACCCCTCTATTTCAGTGCATTTATTCTTAATAATGGATTTGTATAGATTTTTGTTGCTAGTGTCTGGGATCCCAATTCTTGTTACTACTATTACTATTATTTTGTTATTTTGTATTTTCAGTCTGTTTTTTCCTATGGGTAAGCAGAGTTCTAAATGCTCTTTTTTCTGCCTGGTTTTTTAATGCCTTGTCTATTCTATTAATCTCAACTAGTCTAAGGCTATTCTTTGAGTGGTTGTGACATGGCTAATACTGCCATCCTGGACCTTACAATGGATAGCAATCATCACCTCCCACAACTAGACTGCAAGGCCATATACGCCCACTGCCAGCATGGCAAAACCTCAGGGCCACCATATTCCAGGGTAATTATTTCAATAGGACTCTGTTTCTTCCCTTCTTTCTTCACTCCCACTCCCATACTCTCTCTCTCTCTTTCCTTCTTTACTTCTTTAAGGTGAGATAAGGTGTCTTTCTTCTCTTGTTGGGTTGATTGATACTCAATACTGTATTATCCATTTTCCATCATCATTTTTAAGTACAGAAAGCTCCCACTAAGTAGGAAGTGTGTTTTGAGCTGGTGTGTGTGTGTGTGTGTGTGTGTGTGTATACAGTCATGCGCCACACAACGAGAAACCGCATATATGACAGTGGCCCCATACGATGATAATGAAACTGGCCTAGTGACGTCATAGCCCCATCATAATGTCCTGTCACAATGCATTACTCACGTGTTTATAGTGATGCTAGTGTAAACATACCTACTACATTGCCAGTCAGTTGTATAAATTTATAGCACATACAGTTATGTACTGTACACACTACTTGATAATACATGACTATGTTGCTGGTTTACCTATTTACTATACAATACTTTTTATCATTATTTTGGAGTATACATCTTCTACTTATTAAAACAAAGTTAACTGTAAAGCAGCCTCGGGCAGCTTTTTCAGTAGATATTCCAGAAGAAGGCACTATTATTATAGGAGATGACAGCTCTTTGTGTGTTATTGTCCCTGAAAACCTTCCTGTGGGACAAGATGCAGAGATGGAAGACAGTGATACTGATGATCCCGATCCTATGTAGGCATAGGCTAATGTGTGTGTTTGTGTCTTTGTTTTTAACAAAAAAGTTTAAAAAGTAAACAAAAATAAAAATAAGAAACAGCTTATAGAATAAGGATATAAAAAAGTATTTTTGCATAGTTGTACAATGTGCTTATGTTTTAAGCTAAGTGTTATTATAAAAGAGTCAAAAAGTTTTGAAAAATAAAAAGTTTAAGAAGTAAAAAAGTCAAAGTAAGCTTTCTCTAATTTATTGTTAACGAAATAAAAGAGTTTTAAAAATAAACTTAGTGTAGTCTAAGTGTACAGTGTCTATAAAGTCTACAGTAGTGGACAGTAACATCCCGGGCCTTCACATTCACTCACCACCCACTCACTAACTTACCTGGAGAAACTTTTAGTCCTGCAAGCTCCATTCATAGTAAGTGCCCTATACAGGTATTTTTAAATTTTTTATACCATTTAAAATTTTCTGTTTATATACACAAATACCACTGTGTTACAGTTGCCTGCAGTATTCAGTACAATAACATGCTGTACAGGTTTGTAGCCTAAGAATAACAGGCCATACCCTGTAGTCTAGGTGTGTAGTGGGCTACACCATTCAGGTTTGTGTAAGTACACGCTATGGTGTTTGCACAATGACGAATCCATCTAAGGACATATTCTCAGTACATATCTTTGTGGTTAAGCAATGCATGATGGATTACATATTTAATTAATTAGTAGGCTTTATATTTTAGAGTAGTTTTGGGGTCACAGCAAAATTGAGTATGAAGTACAGAGTTCCCACTTAACCCCTCTGTGCCACACACACACAGCCTCCCCCACCATTAGTATCCCACATCAGTGCGGTACCTTTGTTACAACCAATGAATGAACATATACCCACCATTATCAACCAAAGTCCATAGTTGATATTAAAGTTCACTCTTGTGTGTTCTATGGGTTTCGACAAATGTATAATGATATGTATTCACCATGATATTGTGTCAAACAGAATACTTTGACTACCCTAAAAGTCTCCCTGATACAGATACTTTTGTGGTCTCAGGATCTTGCTCATAATCCCAGTTTTCCTGAGTTATATGCAAGAAAAAAATTAAAAGTTAATGGTAACAATATATGCTATCTAACAATCTTATTAACCATGTATTCTCTGGGGGTCAATCTAACATGCACAGAAGAACACCTTTAAGAGGGTTGTAGTCATGATAACTGTGTGCATTTAACTTCAATGCAAAAAGTTACAGAGTGGAGACCCTGAATTAACCCACAATATTTCCAAGTGTGGCTAATGTATCATTTTATAATTTGACTCTCCGAGGTCCAGATTAAGATCTATATGCTGCTAAAACTATGGTGTCCCCAGCTACTCAGGAGGCTGAGGCTGGAGGATTGCTCGAGCCCAGGAGGTAGAGGTTGCAGTGAGCTGAGATCACACCACTGCACTCCAGCCTGGGTGACAGAGAGAGAGACCCTTTCTCAAAACAAAATGAAACAAACAAACAAAAATATTATGGTGTTCATCCTCATATTTAATTCAAAATACAAACAACAATAAACCACAGAATAATAATAATAAGTAAGTCCGATCGGTTTTTTATTGATGATGACTACCTGAATGTTCCTTTGAAAATATCTGAAACAGCACACCCTTAAAAAACAAAACAAAACAAAATCTTTCTCTTACTCTACATTTGCTGATACCTGAAGCACACATTTGGCCAGCTTGCTGTATAATCTAGAACTATTTTTTTCTGTATTTCCTATTCTTGTAAATTGTTTGTGTTCTTACTTTTGCTAAATAAAAAACTTATTTTTTTAAATACAGTGTTTTTACTATTTTTGTGCAAATTTATTCTTTAAATTTGGATAGAATGAAGAGAAAAGGCAAAGGGGGAAAGGGAGGAGAATTGTAAATATCTGTGAAAATCCTCCATGTAGCTTGGACCAGATTGTCCATAGCTAACTGGTTGATGATCCTTGAATCTCTAAAAGCCTGAGTGTCCTTTCTTCACAGTTAGCACCAAGGGAATCACAGATATTTTAGATTTCAAGCCCCTTCTTCGGTTGCAGAAATTTTTCATGAAAAAATACACCCTGGACTCATTTCCTACTATGGAAATTGCAACCTGGAGAAAGTTTTGCAAACATTAAATGGCATGCCGAATCAAACAATTCATAACTAATTAAGGTACAACCAAAGCACCAAACTGTGGCTTTAAGAATGATGAGACTGAGCCCTCTTTAGTGGGTTTGTTGATTTGAACTGTGTTTGTGGTTAGCCAGACCAAATAGTCCCAGGTGGCTTGGGTCCTCACCTCCTCACCCACTCTTTTTCTCAGCAGTATTCTCATGCTGTCACTCCATCAACAAATATTTGCTGAGCCCCTGCTGTGCATAAGGCACTGTGCAATGAAGAAAAATGAATAAAAAGCATAAATTTTGCCACCAAAAAATGCTTATGGTCTAAATAAGGAAGATATTTTATATTCATTGGTTCATTCATCAGATACTATACAATGCTGTGCATTGTAAAGCATAACATAAGTGCAATATCAGATGTACTGAGAATTATCCTCAGGTTACAGTCTTGTCCGCTGACTCCAGTGTCAAGTGTTCAGGTCAGCAATAGCTGAAGCTCTTAAAGACCAGAGTCGTGACATTTGTTGTGTGAAAATAAGTAGATAGTAGATCTTCTCTTGTTATTCTGCAGGTAAAGAATGACTTTTCAGTCCACTTTCTTTCAGAAAAAAATCAGCCTTACATATTCTCCAGATGTCAGTTTGTTTCATTTTCTTTAGAATCTGCAACAGTGCTGATAGAAATATAATGCTAGCCACATATGCAATTTTTTTTTTTTTTTTTTTTTTTTTTTTTTTTTTTGAGACGGAGTCTCGTTCTGTCGCCCACGCTGGAGTGCAGTGGTGCCACCTGGGCTCATTGCAACCTCCGCCTCCCAGGTTCAAGAAATTCCCTGCCTCAGCCTCCCGAGTAGCTGGGATTACAGGTGCCCACCACAATGGCTAATTTTTGTATTTTTAGTAGAGGCGGGTTTCACCGTCTTGTCAGGCTTGTCTTGAACTCCTGACCTTGTGATCCACTTGCCTCGGCCTCCAAAATGCTGGGATTACAGGCATGAGCCAGCACATGTGGCCATATGCAATTTAAAATGTACTACTGGTCACAATAACAAACATAAAAAGAGGTAAAATTTATTTCAATAATATATCCTATTTAATTCAGGATATCTAAAATGTTATCCTTTCAATATGTAATCAATGTAAACACTTGTTAATGAGATATTTTATATTCTTTTTTTATACGAAGTCTTTGAAATGCAGTGTGTGTTTTAAAAATCCAGCACAGTGCCATTTGAATGCTTTCCAAGTACTCAATAGCTACATGTAGATAGTACAGATCTCTGGTGTTTAAACTCTCCACTTGAAATTACTGGAAACTTTCTTAAAGGTTTTCTGTGTAATTACATGGAGAACATTTTATGTCAATAAGCTGATATGAAAATTTCTTTGTAGGGAGAGCATTTTGGAAGAGCCTAATATGGAATAAAAGCAGCCTCCAGGATCTGGGGGTACCTGAGTGGTGCCCAGTTTTCAGGAAGGAAAGAGACTCTGTGTATTAAAAGGAGGCAAAAGGACTCTGCATATGGGAAGGAGAAAGAAAGAATCCAGGAGACAGGAGCAATAGGGCTGAAGACTCAATGGAAGATGGTCAGGGACATGGTGAACTTTTCCCTCCATTCTCTGAATAATCTACATCACTCTAACATGAATTTGTATCAGTGGATTTTCATTTTTGGTGGTGCCAAGAGTGGGGAGAAGCTTGCAAACAAGAACAAAGGGACAGCTCATATTTGGGTAACAGCAGTACACTTCATAACTAATTCCTATAGTAAAGATGGGATCTTGCATATCGAAGTGAGTTCGAAAAATTATGACACCTTAAAAACAACATTTACTTTCTTTACATTTTGTGCGTGGACTTTTTTCCTGCATCTTGTGTGGTATATAGCCTGAAATTTACAGTCAGTTTTCTAGAGACTATTCATATCCCCATCACTACTCAGCACAATGTAGTAGTTCATAGTGAAGGACTCGAATTCAGGCCAACTCATGTCTAGACACCAGTGCTGCCCCTACTTGCTGAGTGATTTGAGTGATGGTTTATTGTCTCTCATCTTTACGTTCACCCTTGGTACTGTTGCAGTCTTGCCAATGCACCACAATATAGCAGTCTCTTGTTGCCTGAGTTAGTACCCAGCGTCCTTTGTCTCAAGACCAAGAAAGTTAAGGAGAGCAGACACCATGTGTGAGGTTGGAGCAAAAGTGAAAGAAAAAAGTTCTCTGCTGCAGAGAGGGGCCCTGGAAGAGGGTTGCTCTTTTTACAGTTGAATGCAAAGGCTATTATAAAAAACCAATGAGGGCTGGGCATATGATTTGCATAAGTCACGAATTTCTGGTAGCTCCACCCCATGCTTCTAGTGCACATGTGGGCCCTTAGCTTGAGTTACTCCATATCGCTTTGTTCTCCTCAATGCGCATGTGTCAGGGGATGGAATTTTCCATTGTGGGCATGTCTGGGCAAGTAATCTGTGTAGTCTTTCTTATCTGTGCAGCTGTGGGCATGTCTTAGGCAAGCCCCTCATGCAAGTTCCCTTATCTGTGCCTGCAGTTCTTTTGTTTGAAAGAATTCAACCGAGGATCTACCCTAACTACCTGCCTGACCAGTTTCTTCCTTTTTCCTCTCTCAGTACAATGTGGGCGAAAGTGGTATCCACCTAATAGAGTACACGTGGCCTGTGTATCGTTAGAGCTCAACAGGTGGTGGTTATTGTCGTTATTAGACAGAGCTGTGCCTAAACCAGTGCTTCTCAATGTGCGTTCCCTGGATCCACACCATCAGCCTCACTCCAAACTTGTCAAAAATGCAAACTCTCCAGGCCATCCCACTGTCCAGACCAACTGAATCAGAAACTCTGGGAGTGGACCCAGAAATCCATGTTTTAGCAAGTCCTCCAGGTGATTCTGATGCAAGCTAAACCTTGGAAACCAATGGCCTATAACAATTCTGGATAAATAAGGAGCTACTCTATATATGGCTTCAAGCTCCCTTGTCAACTGGTTTAAATGTTTAGCAGCTACCATTGTCAGGAACTTCTTAGCTTCCAGTATATATGTGAGGTGCTTGGAGATCCTTAGAGGAAAATTGCAAGATGAAGACAAATGTTATTGCTATCTTAACTGATTTCTCCCAAGTTGAAGCCTGTTAGTAACATTTAGTTCTTCAAGAATCTACCTTAGTGGAGTCCCCTTAGAGCAATACTTAAATCAACTCTTTCCTCTTTTTAATGTTATTGTTTCCTCCTTCCTTCTGTTTATTACCTGAGTTTATTTCATTGGTATTGAATCTTGTCTGAAATTGAACTTCTATTTTGCTTTCTCATATGCCTATTCCAGCAACTACTCACTGTATGTTCTTCAGTAGCCTTGTCTCTAAGCCCTTGTGAGTAAAAACATTACGAATGGTTGGTGTCCCATATAAAAATGATAAACAATGTGTAATTGCGTATACAGCGATGTACACTTTTTATATCTACAAAAGTAAAATAAATTAAATCTCTCCCTCCATCTATCCACTCCAAATACCAAGCTCCTTTAGTTGCATGCCATGAAAGGACAACTATTTGTCCTTGAAATAATGTTTGGCAAGTACAAAAAAGCTACAGGAGGGAAGAGATCCTAAGGAATATTATTCTCAGTGTCTTTCCCTTTAACGGGTTTCTGTATTTTTCCTTCACAGTGCAAAACCATTGCCCTCTTCCTGTTGCTTCTCTTTACAGAGAACATTGACCTGCTGCAGAAAAAACAGCCCCTAAAACACTCTTGCTCATCATAGGAAGTAATGGAGCAAGACAGCCGCAGCATGAAGTAGGAAATCTTGAAATTTTTCCCCTGCCATCTCTCCCCCAATCCTCCATTTTGTCCCTCCTTTTCCCATACCCCGCATTCCTCCGGGTTATAACTTAAAAAAAAAATTTCCCTAGAAGAATCACTGTATGCTTAATTAGGATTTCATAAATGTTTCTTTACACCCCACACAAGCTGACTGCCAGAATTCCTTCTGTAGGACAATATAAAACAGGCTGGAGCCACAGGAATGGCAAGGTGCTACTGCTGAACGTCTATAAAGCCAGTTATGTGAACACAACATTTCTTATCCCAGGCTCTCTTTTCTCCCCCTGCCCCATCCCCACCTCAAATACCATGGGGATTTGAAGCAGTTCAGTTGCATTGTGATGATCTGTTCTTCAAATCATAAGACTGTTTCTAGGTTGATTTTTTTCTCAGCAACCACTATGGTTGTTCTGAAGCCTACTGTTTTCATTAATATTTACAGATATAGAGGTTTCCATTCTAATATCCAATTTGATGATATTATGATCTATTTTGTGCAGTATGGCATATACTATCTCGAGTTACTGTTCATGCCACCATCGTTAAAGGTAGTTTAGTCTCTCTGTCATAAGCCCTAGAATTCATGGGTTTATAACAGCCATAAAAACACACGTATATTCCATGATGACAGAGCCACACTCAGGGAGTGAATCTTTGTGGAAAATGAGAAGGACCTTGCTTACTGTTTCAAAAACCAAAAATGCTATTGTTTTCAGGGCATTTGACTTTTTTTTTTTTTTTTTTTTTTTTTTTGCCCATCAAAATGAAAAATGGTTTAATTTAATTTCTCAAAAGAAATATGAGGAGCTGTGTACTCATTACCAGCTCCTTTGCTAGATTTTTAAAGTCATTTCATTTTTAAAAAGAATTGTGGCCTATCTGGAATAAAATTATACTTGCATAAAAATTTATCACATTCTTCATGTGTGTTCATTTTGCCTGCGATTTAATCCATGCTGAATGGTGTTTGCAAATCTGTAACAGCAGACACGCTTGTGTCTGCTAAGCTAACGCTTTTATGTAGTTTCTTTTCCTGATCCCTGATAATTGTTTTGGTCATAGAAAGTTAATGTTTATTTTTTAATCTGTGTTAATTTTTGAGTTAATTAGAATAAGGAATTTATTGTCTGCACATGCAAATGTAGCCCCCAAAGTTCATCATTCAAAAGACTTTGAGACTGCAAATTTAACTATCAAATGACAAAATAAAGGACAATTAAGGATCATGGAGATTCTAAGTTTTCTTGGTCACAACGCCCATCCTCAATCTTTCATGTGCCTCTTTCATTATTCTCTCATTTATATACCCTGATCTCTCCTGTCCCCAACCACCAATCAATACTCATCTATCTAATTACTTCGCCCTTTGAGGAGTGTATGGGTATTGTTTCTATGCTTGTATATTTCTACGTGGGTAAGAAGAATATTCATTGAAAATGAATATTGAGGGACAGAAATGGTCTTTGGTCACTACTTCCTGCCTATGCTTTTTGAAAAGAGTTGAGTGGGTTACAAAAGGTAAGTAACTGCCGATCTAACTTTTTAATAGATGGAACTTGGCAAATCCTTTACAATTGCATTGTATATATAGATTATACATACATATACATATATCATTAGAATAATGGAATCCTTGTTGTGGCTTTTAAAAATAGCTGTATAACAGCAGACAAATCACATAATAAATGCGAGCCTGGCTGGGCATAGTAGCTCATGCCTGTAATCCCAGCATTTTGGGAGGCCAAGGTGGGCAGATCACATGAGGTCAGGGGTTCGAGGCCAAGCCTGGCCAACATGGTGAAACCCCATTTCTACCAAAAAATACAAAAATTAGCCAGGCATGGTGGCACATGCCAGTAGTCCCAGCTACTCAGGGGGCTGAGGTAGGAGAATTACTTGAACTCAGGAAGTGGAGGTTGCAGTGAGCTGAGACTGCGCCTCTGCACTCCATCCTGGGTGACAGAGTGAGACCTTGGCTAAAAAAAAAAAAAAAAAAAAAAAAAACGGAAAAAGTGAGCCTGTTTCCTTATCTGTAATAGGTGATAATATTATAAACCAAGCTTTCCTTTCATGATTCCTGCAAAACTTATGGCTTAAATTTTGTCCTTGCTTTGGACTCACAAATCTACACTTTTAGTTTTGAATTCATTCCTCAGTTCCAAAATACTTGTATTTACATATGCTTATGCATTAATATTTTTTATATATCTATACCTCTATATATTAGCTTTATTGAGGTATAAATCACATACCAAAAAATCATCAATTTGGAGTGTAATATTTGATGACTTTTAACATATATGCAAATATGTGGTGGTGGTGTGCAAACATTACCACAATTAAATTCACTGTATTTTATGGATAAGTAATACTCCTTTATATGAATATAACACAATTAGTTTATTGATTGCCCGGTTAATGGACATTTGAATTGCTTCCAGTTTTTTGTTATTATAGATGAAGTTGTTATGAACTTTGTATACATGTCTGGACATATTTTCTCTCTCAAGTAAATAAATACCGGAGATCTTCAACTTATGATGGGGTTACACCCCAGTAAACCCATCTTAAGTTGAAAATACGTAAAAAAATGCAGAGTATCAGTTGTTAACTCTTTGATCATGTGGCTGACTGGGAGCTGTGGTTCACTGCTGCTGCCCAAAATTACTAGGGAGTATCACACCAAACATTGCTAGCCTGGGAAAAGATCAAAATTCAAACTTCAAAGTATGATTTCTGCTAAATGCATATTGCTTTTACACCATCGTAAAGTTGAAAAATCCTAAAAAGAACCATTATAAGTCAGTGATAGTCTGTTTGCCATTTTGCACGCCCATAAGCATTGTGTGAGAGCTCCAGTTTCTCTAAACCCCAATCAGTACTTGACGTTGTGGAACTTTTCAATTTTCAGTATCCTAGTAGGAGTGTGTGCTAATATCTCTTTGTGGTTGAAATTTGCATTTCACTGACTATTGACTAATTATGTTAAACATTTTTTCATGTGCTTGTTTACCAGGATATATCTTTTTTATCAAAGTGCTAATCATATCTTTTGCCTATTTTTTTCTTTTAGGTTGTTTTCTTATTAGTATTGAGTTATAAGTGTGCTTTATGTATTTTTGGGTCTTCAAGGAGTTTCATATCATTGTTGAATGTATTGGCATAATGTTGTCCATAATGTTCCCTGATAATGCTTTCAAATCCCTAATTATGCAGTGATTTCTGATATTGATCATTTTTATCTTTCTTTTTCTTATCAATCTAGAGGTGTGTCAATTTCATTATCTCCTAAAATGAACAGCGTTTGGTTTTATTGATTTTCTCTATTGTTCTGTTTTCTATTTCATCGACTTCTGCTCTTATCCTTTTTATTACCTTCATTATACTACAGAGATGATTAATTTGTACTTCTTTTTCTCACTTTTTATGGGTAAAACTCAGATCTTTTATTTATGGTGTTTCTCCTTTTCTGAGAATTTATTGCTATAAATTCTGCCCGAAGATAGTCATAGCCATATTCTATAAATTTCATGCCAAGTTTTAATTTTTGTTCAGGTCAAAATATTTCTATTTTTTTAAAATTTCTTCTTTGATCAATGAGTTATTTACAAATGTTTTATTTAGCTTAAAAATGTTTGGAAAATATTCAGATATATTTATTTAATTGATATCTAACTGAATTTGCTTGTTCAGAGAACATATTTTGTATGTTTCCAATGTTTTTAAAATTAATTGAGATATTGAGACCATAATATGGTTTGTTGTGTGCACTTGAAAAGAAAGGTTTATATTCTGCTGTTATTAGTGGAGAAATGTTCTCTAAATATACATCAGGTCAAGTTATTCGATAGTGTTTTTAGTTCATCTATATTCTTACTGATTTCTGTGTACTTATTCTACCAATTACTGCAAGAAGACTACTCTTCAACAATAAATTATGGATTTCTCTATTTCTCTTTTCAGTTCATCAATTTTTGTTTCATGTATTTTGAAGCTGTGTTACTAAATAAATGAACATTTAATTTTGCTATTTCTACTTGATGAATTGACACCTTTATTATTATGTTTTGTTCGTCTTTATGTCTCATAATATGTGTAGTTCTAAAATTTATGTGTAGGTGCTTTAGGTAGGATGGTAAATCTGATTCTCATTATTCCATATTGCTCTGAAACAGAAGTTTCTCATTTTCATTTTTGTAACATTTTTGGGGGGAGACTAGAAGTCTGAGTTGATAGTTTTTTATTCTTCTTCTTTCAGTTCTGTCAAGATGTTACTGCTCTTTTCCTAACTTGAATGGTTTCTGAGAAAAATCTACTATCATTCTTTCATTCCACTCTGTATCTTTCTCTGCCTACTTTTAAGAATTTTTTTTTTTTTACCATTGGCTTTCAGCAATTGGATTATGTCTAGGTGGGTATAATTTTTCTTATGTTTTCTCTACCTTTCAGTGGTTTCATTGAGCTTCTTAGGTTTGTGACTTTCTACTTTTCACCACATTTAGAAAATCTTGTTCACGCAGCTGCTATATTTGAATAGTTGTCAGCTTTGGTTATCAGGACAGCTGATGTCTTTTCACTTTTCTACCTCTTGTACCTAGAATGGAGAGGTACATAATAGGTGCTTAGTAAGTGAAAACTGTGAAAACTGGCACAAGTAAATATGGCAGACTAGGCAAAATACAAGATCTGTAGTTGGATACTCTGGGACTGAATCTTCAATTCATTCTTTTATGGCTTCACATTCTTGAGGCTCACATTTTTAATATGGAAATGTTTATAGTGAGGTGATACTTGTATTAAATAAATCTTAATTTTGCAACCCCCAAAAGTAACAACTGACTCCAGCAGGGATTATCCCTGCATGTGAGAAATCATTTTGTGATGGTACATTTTTACCATAGAATACCACTCAGCAACAAAAAAGTGGTAAACTATTGATGGGCACAACAACTTGGATGGATCTCAAGAGAATTATGCTGAGTGAAAAAACTAATCCCAGAGGTTTACATACTGTGTAATTCCATTTATATAACATTCCTGAAATGACAAAATTACAGAGATGGAGAACGTTTTGGTCACCATGGGTTAGGGATGGGTGGTGGTGGTGGTGGCTGTGGTTACAAAGGGGTAGCAGGAGGGAGTCCTCTGGTAATAAAACAGTTTTAGATTTTGATTGTGGTGAAAGATACATGAAGCTACACACTTGATAAAATTGCATAGAACAACACACAAACATACATACAAATAAGTGCTTATAAAACTAATGAAATCTGAATAAAGTGTGTGGATGGTACCAATGTAAAGTTCCTGGTTTTGCAATAAGAAGTTCTGAAATGGAGGCAATAATTAATAGCCTACCAACCAAAAAAAGTCCAGGACAGATGGATTCACACCCGAATTCTACCAGAGGTACAAAGAGGAGCTGGTACCATTCCTTCTGAAACTATTCCAATCAATAGAACAAGAGAGAATCCTCCCTAATTCATTTTATGAGGTCAACATCATCCTGATACCAAAGCCTGGCAGAGACACAACAAAAAAACAGAATTTTAGACCAATATCCCTGATGAACATCGATGCAAAAATCCTCAATAAAATACTGGCAAACCGAATCCAGCAGCACATCATAAACCTTATACACCACGATCAAGTTGGCTTCATCCCTGGGATGCAAGTCTGGTTCAACATATGCAAATCAATAGATGTAATCCATCATATAAACAGAACCAAAGATAAAAACCACATGATTATCTCAATAGATGCAGAAAAGGCCTTCGACAAAATTCAACAGCCCTTCATGCTAAAAACTCTCAATAAACTAGGTATTGATGGCAGGTATCTCAAAATAATAAGAGCTATTTATGACAAACCCACAGCCAATATCATACTGAATGGGCAAAAACTGGAAGCTTTCTCTTTGAAAACTGGCACAAGACAGGGATGCCCTCTTTCACCACTCCTATTCAACATAGTGTTGGAAGTTCTGGCCAGGGCAATCAGGCAGGAGAAAGAAATAAAGGGTATTCAACTAGAAAAAGAGGAAGTGAAATTGTCCCTGTTTGCAGATGACATGATTGTATATTTAGAAAACCCCATCGTCTCAACCCAAAATCTCCTTAAGCTGATAAGCAACTTCAGCAAAGTCTCAGGATACAAAATCAATGTGCAAAAATCACAAGCATTCCTATACACCAATAACAGACAGAGAGCCAAATCATGAGTGAGCTCCCATTCACAATTGCTTCAAATAGAATAAAATAACGAGGAATCCAACTTACAAGGGATGTGAAGGACCTCTTCAATGAGAACTACAAACCACTGCTCAATGAAAGAAAAGATGACACAAACAAATGGAAGAACATTCCATGCTCACGGATGGGAAGACTCAATATCATGAAAATGGCCATACTGCCTAAGGTAATTTATAGATTCAATGCCATCCCCATCAAGCTACCAAAGACTTTCTTCACAGAATTGGAAAAAAACTACTTTAAAGTTCATATGCAACCAAAAAAGAGCCTGCATTGCCAAGACAATCCTAAGCTAAAGGAACAAAGCTGGAGACATCATGCTACCTGACTTCAAACTATACTACAAGGCTACGGTAACCAAAACAGCATGCTACTGGTACCAAAACAGAGATATAGACCAATGGAACAGAATAGAGCCCTCGGAAATAATACCACACATCTTCAACCATCTGATCTTTGACAAACCTGACAAAAACAAGAAATGGGGAAAGGATTCCCTATCTAATAAATGTGCTGGGAAAACTGGCTAGCCATATGTAGAAAGCTGAAACTGGATCCCTTCCTTACACCTTATACAAAACTTAATTCAAGATGGATTAAAGACTTAAATGTTAGACCTAAAACCATAAAAAACCCTAGAAGAAAACCTAGGCAATACCATTCAGGCCATAGGCATGGGTGAGGACTTCATGACTAAAACACCAAAAGCAATGGCAACAAAAGCCAAAATAGACAAATGGGATCTAATTAAACTAAAGAGCTTCTGCACAGCAAAAGAAACTATCATCAGAGTGAACAGGCAACCTACAGAATGGGAGAAAATTTTTGCAATCTACCCATCTGACAAAGGGCTAATATCCAGAATCTACAAAGAACTTAAACAAATTTACAAGAAAAAAAAAATCAAACAACCCATCAAAAAGTGGGCAAAGGATATGAACAGACGCTTCTCAAAAGAAGACATTTATGCAGCCAAAAGACACATGAAAAAATGCTCATCATCACTGGCCATCAGAGAAATGCAAATCGAAACCACAATGAGATACCATCTCACACCAGTTAGAATGGTGATCATTAAAAAGTCAGGAAACAACAGGTGCTGGAGAGAATGTGGAGAAACAGAAACGCTTTTACACTGTTGGTGGGACTGTAAACTAGTTCAACCATTGTGGAAGACAGTGTGGCAATTCCTCAAGGATCTAGAACTAGAAATACCATTTGATCCAGCCATCCTATTGCTGGGCTTATACCCAAAGGATTATAAATCATACTGCTATAAAGACACATGCACACGTATGTTTATTGCAGCACTATTCACAATAGCAAAGACTTGGAACCAACCCAAATGTCCGTCAATGATAGACTGGATTAAGAAAATGTGGCACATATACACCGTGGAATACTAGGCAGCCATAAAAAAGGATGAGTTCATGTCCTTTGTAGGGACATGGATGAAGCTGGAAATCATCATTCTGAGCAAACTATCACAAGGACAGAAAACCAAACACCACATGTTCTCACTCATAGGTGGGAATTGAACAATGGGAACACTTGGACACAGGGTGAGGAACATCACACACTGGGGCCTGTTGTGGGGTGGGGGGAGGGAGGAGCGATAGCATTAGGAGATATACCTAATGTAAATGACGAGTAAACGGGTGCACCACACCAACATGGCACATGTATACATATGTAACAAACCTGCACGTTGTGCACATGTACCCTAGAACTTAAAGTATAACAAAAAAAAAGTTCCTGGTTTTGGTAGTGAACTATCACTATGCAAGGTGTTAACTTTGGGGAATGCAAGGTCAAGGGTGCACAGGACCTTGCTGTATATATCTTTTGTAACCTTTTGTGTATCTATAATTATTTTTAAATTAAGAGTTTAAAAAATATGTAAAATCTGATTGAGAAAAATTCTCAAAATCTCAAAGTACCACCCAATATATTATTTATTAATCAGAAAGGAAAAGAAGTATCTTTACAATTGAAAAGTCTGGTGGGCATCACTTTAACAACCTGATGAAAACTTGGCATGACCGATTATTAAACAAACTGTTGTTATGAGTCCTCTAATATAGAGCATCATCTATGTAATAATTTTGTCAAAAATATTAAATCTGAGTCTAATCATGAGAAAACAATGGAGCAAATCTAGATTACAAGACATTCTACATAACTTTCCTGAGATCTTCAAAAATGTCGTTATCATAAAAGATGAAGAAGAATAGACTAAAGCACATACTGACCAAATGTAATACATGATCTCTGATTAGATCTTGAATCCAAAAAACAGAATCTCAGCTATAAAGGATATTTTGGGATCAGTGAGGAAACTTTGAGTATAGGCTGTATATCTTACAGTGTCAATGTTAAATTTCTCCTGTATAACAAGGCAAGACATGGCTGGGCAAGAGTATAAGGGCCTCGTGGCCAGGCCAAGAATGGGTTCCTGGGAGCCAGGACTAGGATAGAAGGGTGGTAGATTGAAAATCAGAGTCCTTTAGGAGAAGTAGGGGTTAAACCCTGGGGAGATTGAGTACATAGGACAAAGTCAGGTTCAGGGTCACTAAGCATACTGTATTAGTTTGCTAGCGCTGGCATAATAAGGCACAGCAAAACAAGTGGCTTAAACAACAGAAACTTAATCATCTCATAGTTTTGGAGGCTAGTAGATCTCCAGAATCAAGGTGTTGACCAGGTTGGTTTCTTCTAAGGGCAGCGAAGAAGAATCTATTCTATGCCTCTTGTAGCTTCTGGTGGGTTGCTGGCAATCTTTGGTGTTCCTTGGCTCATGGGATCACTTCAACCTCTGCCTTCATGTTCACATGGCATTCTCCGTGTGTGTGTGTGTGTGTGTGTGTGTGTGTGTGTGTGTGTGTGTGTCTGTGTCTGTGTCCAAACTGCCCCTTTTTATAAGGAGACAGTCTATTGGATATTAAGGCCCACCTTAACAACCTCATTGTCACTTGATCATCTTCAAAGACCCTATTTCCAAATAAGGTCACATTCACAGGTTCTGGGGGCTAGAGCTTCAACAACCTTTTGGGGGAGACAATTCAAACCATAGCAATTACTAGGAGTTTTAAATTTGGTGGAAATAGTGCTGGGAAAATGGACTGGGAATGAAGAGGGAAGGTCTAGGCACAAACAATACAAACGTTTGCTGCTGACCTCTAGGTAGTTGTATTGGTCTAGCCTTTAAGCTAGAGGCAGGACAGACAGCAGCAAGCTGTGGCAACCCAACTGGTTGTGAGGCTTTAAGTATGGGCCTAAAGGTAAAAAAGATCACCCCCTAACACCTCTTCTCACCTCATATTTTCATAACTCTTACCTCAGTCCTATGCAAAAATAATTCACAACTCAGCACAGTCTTTTTAAAGGTTACAAATGACTGTGTATGTCTAGAGTTTAATTTTGCACCAGTTTTTATTCATGAATCACATTTCTGCAAAGACATTAATCCTTACTCATTACTAAGTGCATTGTCAGCTTGATAATTCACCAATGTGTTTTTGTGTGTTATGTTAGAACAAATAAGCGTCTTAATAAGCTTAAATGGCATTCATCCTTTAAAAAGTTCTTATCTAAATAAAATGAAAAGATTAGGGGATTTTTAAAGGCATATTGGACCATCTCTTCATTCTGTCTCAATCTCTTGAAGCCTGATTCTGCAAGTGAGTTGGAGCTGAGCATATTAGTTACATGAGGAAAGATCAGAAAGCCAAGGAGACCTCTGAGAATAAGGCCTCATGGATCTTCTAGTTTCAGATGGACACATTTATATACTTGCCTTCCATATCTGATGGTACCTTTAGACTGTGAAGACTAACATAAATTCCCCAACTCCTTGCTTCTGCACAACAAATATAATAGTGGCCAATTAGTCTACCCACTTATCAGATTTGTAGCTAGATAGCAGGGCATGTCCTCAAGTACACACAAAAATGGAAACAAAGAGTCTCATTTTTATAAGCCCAAACTTATTGATAAATTTTATTATATTTTCTTCCTTTGCTTAATATTTAGAACTGCCTTAAAGCTTACCTTTGGTCTGATGAGAAATGTATTTTCTTCTAGTAGGTTATTTTATGGAAAAAATAATCAGAGGTATACACAAATACTTCTGTAGTGTTACAAGGATGGTTATTGTAGGTTTCCTCTATTGGTAAAACTGGAAATAGCCTAAGTGTCCAACAGGAGGGAAACTAAGAAATATGAAATACTATATAACAATTCAGTATATGTTTAAGTAAAATTAAGTGAAAAAAGGTTAAAATCATATATACATCACAATCCCACTTTTATAAAATGTGATATATTTGACTAGATGTATTATAGCAAAATATAGTGGTCTTTAGTACTTGGAGTACCCTTTCTGGACTAGGAGATGAATGGAGCAGGTGAAAGTAGGACAGGTTTCCTGTCTCCCTCCCTGGCTGCTGCAGTCCACTGTTGGCTTCTCTAACTCCCGTAATGTTTGCCATTTATAAAACACAGTATCACATTTAATTATATTTTGTGTTGTATTGTTCTTGAAAGTGTCTGGAAGACTTCAAGAAGAATTTTATGTCTGCTAGATTTTCAGCACCTTGTGGCAGAAACCATGTTGTGTCATTTAAAGAAAAAATATGCTTCATGGTTTCTTGCAGAGTTCTGGACACATAGCTAGTCTTCAATTAAATAGGAGATTAGGATAATTCAGTTCTGTATCAACAGGTTAAAGCAGTTATTAAGCAGCATGAAATACAGGTAAAAACAACTCTTTCAACCTTTTGAAAACTTTAATGTCTATCACTTTGTATGCAAAAAACAATTTTTTTTTTCATAACTTAGATAACCCAAGACAACCTGGCCTTTTGCTATGCAGGCCTATGTCATCTAGTGAAGAGTTGAGTCCACCAGCAGTTCTTCATTGAGGCAAAAGAAGAAAACAAACAAAAACAACAACAAATAAATCCGACTTTTAGCAAACCATCTCAAAATATTGCAACATACAAGAACATCAAAGAAACAAACAAAAATAATAATAATAATAATGCTTCCTTGGCTGACATGGAAATGTTTACTAGTCACTAGCATGATAGACCGTGCATGACCCAGGTCTTCGATTTGATTGTCAGTGGTAGATAATTAGCTTAGAATTCCCAGCAAAGGCAGGGTGCAGTGGGTTACTCCTGTAACCCACACTGGCTTTGCCTCCCTCTTTAATGAACCCTCAACTGATTCCTCAAGCCCACAATATTCCCTCCCAGCTGATTCCTTCAGCAGATGAGTTCTGATTCAAAGATGGTTTTGTTGCAAATCAGCTAGTTTAAGTAAAAGAGGTTTATCATAAGGACAGATAAGAAGCAGGACATATTTTTGGATCTCATCAACGGAGTCCTTGCATTTTATTTATTATTCTTATGGTAGCCTGACTCAGCATCCAACTTCCTTAATGCCTGTGTTACTAGTTTAAGTTCTTGAAAAAGTCACTGTGATTGGCCATGCAATGGATTGGCTGCACCTGTGTTGGTAACGAACCTCGCCCATCAGCTGTGGCTGGCTGTCTAGCTGGGATTAAAGAAACTGTTGTTTTGGAGTCTGGAAAATTAGGAAAATCTACTCTCTTCGGGCTAGACTGTATTAATATTTCTTTACTTTCAACAAGATGGAAATTTCAGTAGAGCAAGAAACAAGTCAAGCAATCACATACCCCTATGTTCCCTATCAATTGCAGCATCCTGGAGGCAAATCCAGGACAAGGCGGGCAAATCAGTTGATGCCAGGAGTTCTAGACCAGCCTGGCCAACATGATGAAACCCTGTCTCTACTAAAAATACAAAATAAAAATTAGCCAGATGTGGCCGGGCACGGTGGCTCACACCTGTAATCCCACCAGCACTTTAGGAGGCCGAGGTGGGTGGATTACGAGGTCAGGAGATCGAGACCATCCTGGCTAACACGGTGAAACCCCGTCTCTATTAAAAATACAAAAAAATTAGCTGGGCGTGGTGGCGGGTGCCTGTAGTCCCAGCTGCTCAGGAGGCTGAGGCAGGAGAATGGCATGAACCCGGGAGGCGGAGCTTGCAGTGAGCCGAGATTGCGCCACTGCACTCCAGCCTGGGCAACAGAGCGAGACTCTGTCTCAAAAAACAAACAAACAAACAAAAAATTAGCCAGACATGGTGATGTGTGTCTGTAGTCCCATCTCCTCAAGAGGCTGAGGTAGGAGAATTGCTTGAACCCAGGAGGTGGAGGTTGCAGTGAGCCAAGGTCCCACCACTGCACCCCAGCTTGTGCAACAAAGTGAGACTCCATCTCAAAATAATAGTCATAATAAATAAAGAATAAAAATAAAAAATAGAATTCACAGCAAATACTTTTATTTTGTCCACCTGCTGTAACTGAAATGGCAAAGGACTTCCTAAGGCAGGGCTGTTCTCAAATCCATAGTCTAGTTGTACAGACAATATCTGAACTTGAATAAGTCCCTTACAATGTTTGGACTTTACCTCTCAATACATAAATAGAGGTAGTAATATGTCATCTGGACAATACAGGCAATAATAGCCATCCAAAGATTAATAACAGGATTATTGCAAGGATTAAATAATGTGATGTGAATACATCCATAAACTGTGAAATGTGATATATTGTTGACGACATTAGTAACATACCTTTTTGTTCATCATTTTCTCATAGGGCAGAAATGGATACAGCATCTAAAACTCTCTTGATCATAAGGAATAATAGTCATTCGGCAATTTCCATAAGAAGAAAAATTCATGACATAGACTATTAGTGAAATGAGGTACCAGTATATAAACTTTTCTTCTCAAAACAACCGTCTTAGGTACATACAGTAGTTCCCCTTTTTCTGCAGTTTCACTTTCCATGGTTTCAGTTACCTAACGTCAACCATGGTCTGAAAATATTACAGTATTTAGAGAGAGACAGAGACCACATTCATGTAACTTTTATTACAGTATATTGTTATAATTGTTCTACTTTATTATTAGTGAGTGTTGTCAACCTTTTACTTTGCCTAATTTATAAATTAAACTTTATCTTAGGTATGTATGCATAGTATAGGGCTTGGTACTATCTGTGGTTTCAGGTATCCACTGGGGATCTTGGGACATATACCCTACTGATAAGGGGGACTACTGTATCACTGTTTATCACCATTTTACAGATCAGGAAACTGAGGTCACACAGCTGGCAAGTGGTAGAGTTGAGACTCAAGCCTTTTCTGGTGCCAAAGCTCCAATCTGTGCTCTTAAGCACAAATGAGCCTGATGACAAATTCTCAGACTGTGACTGAATGAGTGAGAGATGCCAGTTCTTAAACAAACACTGGGGAAAAGTTACCAGTGCAAATGGGGATTAGAAAGGAATCGTTCTTTTCCCTCCTGGATGTTTACACGGGTGGTTCACCCCATTCATGGGCAGGAAAACACAGGAAATCTGGGCTGTGAGTTGTTGGGATCTAAGGGAGCCCATGATTGACTCATGTGTTGTTTCTATACTATGCTTGCCAATTATATTTTTAAACAGCAGCTACTGTTATATACTTCTTTTTCCCTCTCAGGAGTTCACAAACAAGTTTTTAATTTTAAGGTCAAATTGGAGGTCACTCTCAAGGTATGGGAAATTCCATTCCCATGGCTGCGTCTGGACACAATTTCTTTCTCCCGCAGGGCATTGTGGAATGTAGTATCACAGACTGACAGGCAACGTGAGACACAGAACAAGGCTGCAGAAATGCACTTGGTGGGGAACATTTTTCTTCTATTTCAATATTAAAATGGGAAAGTAGAAAATCTGGAAAATAAAAAGTGCTGTCTCTACAAACGTTTGGGGTAGAAAGAAGCATCTCACTTTCACTTACAAAATTAGCTCTTTACTTTCTCAGACGTTATTAAATCTATTATAACCTTTCATCAGCAAATAGTCATGGGAGACTCTGAGTAACACTTGTCCTAGAAAAAGGCATGAAGACACCTGGCTTCTCCAGCTTTATTAGCTCAGCTAGTATTGATGATGATGAAATTAATTCAGATTATTGATATCTTGGCAACAGGAATGTCACCTGAGTATTTTATAAAAAGATGTAGAGGTATACAAATTCTTTCTAACTTCCTGGGAAAAGCAGGGACTAATCAATGCCACCCGATGTTCATCATAACTCTTATAAAGTAACACTCCTGACTTCTGCATAAAGAATTGTCCATTAGCTCAGCGGCCAGGTATCTAGGCAGGGCCAGTGCTCTAATCAGCAGCTTGTACTCTAATTATGGGCTTCTTTGAATACCCGTGATACCTTGTTTAAACTGCTGTCCCCTCTTCGCTTCCATACTGAACGAAAGTTAACGATATAAGCATGCTTGTTGTTGGTTGAGGCATTCAGCCCTGGTAAATAACTCTCTTGATTTTTGCTTTGGGTTCACAGATCTGTGGTGTCATGCCTCGTATAGACATGACTAAGTGACTTTAAAAACCATGGTTGTTGAAATCTGACCCAGGCTAAAAAAAAAATACTTACCAAAAAAAAAAAAATAGCTCAGTGTTCTCTTTGTGAAATGCCAGCTCCAATCTGCATGGAGCCCATGGTAAATTACCCACCTGTTTTCACTTACACAACATTAAAAAACACTTATACATCATTACATTCTTATATCATATTACTGAAAATGAATGCTAACACGATATGAGATAAACAGTGCTAATGAGGTAGAAGGTGGCTCCTATGCTCTCCTGATAGGATGACTATGGCCCTGATCAACTTTTGGTCATTGTATGAGACTCTTTGAATCTTGTTATCTTGACAAAGGGTAGAAAGAGGCTTTTGTTTCCAGCACCTGCTGTTTCTCCACATACTTGGACTACTTCTCAACAAAGTTAAGCTGAATCACTGCAAGACACTGAAACTTTATTAACTCATTGGAAATCAGGTTGATATTTTTTTGTGGACAATGTAGAAATACAGTTACTATGAACACACGAATGCCTTTTTTTTTTAATTTTAAAAGTGTAATTAGGATGTGGCCAGAATATTTATTTCTAATGGGAATAGCTTCTGTTTAGGCTAATAGAATATTCTCAAAACATTCTTGGATTGGGACCATCTTCAGAAAACTAATAGCAGGCCACACTGTACTTTCAACAGTAATTGTCAGCTGCACAAACAAAATCCATACTTTCCTTAAGAGAAAATTATACAATTACCATGGGAACAAAAGCCTCATTTTGTTTAATTTGCTTCATGTTTACCAAAACGTATTGGTTATACCACCAGCTCCACCATCCCCCAACCAAACCCCATGAAAAAATATATTAGAGGACCATCAGAGTTCTGTTTCAGTAAGCTTTGTTTAAACAAGTGCTTTGGTGTGTTTTTTCACTGTCGGAGTAGGTTGCAGGAAGCATGGGTGACTGACCACGAAACATCGTGCCTTGTCTTAGGACTAAGATTCCACCAGATGGCTGGGAAGATGGTCTGCAGGTCCACAGGCTGTAGAAAGAGCAGGATGGCCCTGGCAGATAGGTAGGTTCTGCCTCCTTGAGATATGTATATATATGTATACGTATGTGTGTATGTGTGTGTATATATATGTGTGTGTGTATATATATATGTGTGTGTGTATATATATGTGTGTGTGTGTATATATATATGTTTGTGTGTGCATGTGTGTCTGCGTGTGTGTGAGTGTGCTTGAATCCTATTTTCTTCTTTGAGGGAGCCCCCAAAAATTCATCACCACAGTATCAAGGATTAGAGCAACTGATGAAATTTTGGACTTATTTCATGTTGTTTCTAATTAAAGTGGCCATAGGAATCTCCAGAAGTTATCTGAGAATTAAAAGAAAGTCACTACAAGGTGTAAGCCTCCAGAAGGTTGCAAGTTAGCCTTTACAACACCCTAAATTCCATGATCACTTCCTCTAAAAAGTGCTAGCAGATCCTTTGGTGAGTTCCATCAGGATGGGCTGTTCACGCATTTATGAAAGCATTTACTTGATTCTGCCTAAAATTATGGATTTTTATGTATCCTTCTTACCCACTAGACTATTTATTATGTGCCTACAAAATGTAGGTCAGTGCTAGGTACCCATTAAATATTGGTGGCTGTTGACTGGTGATTCCCTGAAAAAATACCAAAATAACCCATGATCAAGCAAAGCTGAGTCTTAGTAGCATCTCTGAGCAGGAAGGACAAAAGTGAGAAGCATATGAGGTTTTGGGGGTCAGGGGAGTTATGTGGGTGTATTGACATGGAGGGGATTGGCTGGGGAGGGTGATCTAATTGCAGTTGGGCAGGCTTGGGGATGTAATCATTTAGGATTACATAGACGGTAAGAATTTCTAGGACAATATTGAGTAAATATTTGTTTGATGAACCCTGAGAATGAGGTACTTACTCTAATAAGGGCTAATTGAGGAGGCTAGTAGTCTATCATCTGGGGGAAAAAAAGGATTTTGGAGAAATACTTGAAAGAAACAGTAAAATTACTGACAACTTTGTCTTCCTAGGCAAGAATTTCCAGGAATAGTAAAGTCAGGTTAATTTAGACAGTGAGCTTGTGATATCAGATGGTTTAAGCTCTCTCTATATATTTGGAAGATTGCACTTAGAGTTGATTTTTCTTCTTTTTTTTCTAACTTTAAAATTTTGGTTTCACCAAACTATAGAGGCTTAGCTCCTTAAAAGAAAAAAAAAAAAAGCAAACATCATAATGATAGTCAAAAGAAGATACTTTCTTTCTCTAAACTTAGATTTTCTAGAAGAAAACAAGATGACAGAATATAAATGTGAGATAGAAAATAGGAACAATGAGGAGAAAAGAACAATAAAATGGGCCACGTTTGGGGTCATTGTCCTAAAAATGTCCTTGATTATGTCAATTTAAATAATATTATGACTTTTTCCACAAGGAAGTAGTACTAATTGAACCACCAACTTAAAAATGAATAGCAGAGAACATTAAAAGGTCTACATAAAGTATCATAAAGAAATTCAGGGAGTGGCAAAGCAAACAAACAACTAAACAACCCAACTCTACATATGTACCACTTTGGGAGTCTTCTTGTTTGGAAGTGACTAAGGGCTGGCTTATAGTAAGGACTGAGTTAATGATTAATAAATAATTGGTTTTTGAAGCATGGACTTCATGTCAATACATGAAGCATGACTTAAGTCAATACAAATCACATTTGATGCTTAGAAATGCCACGTAATGCTTCTGAAAGGATTTGTTGCAAGTCTATAGGGAGTACATGCAATTATGTGAGGTGTTGCATGGAGAAGAAAGGCAAAGACATTGTTCCTTTTCTTCTCCGGGTCTGGCAGTCAGTGTAAAAATTAGAATTTCCAATGTTATAGGATCAGTTAGGCCAGGAAAGGCCTGACTAGGAGTTTGGTTAAAATTGATTTCAGTGTGATCCCAGCACTTTGGGAGGCCAAAGTGGGTGAATCACCTGAGATCAGGAGTTCGAGACCAGCCTGACCAACATGGTGATACCCCGACTCCACTAAAATTACAAAAATTAGCTGGGCGTAGTGGTGGGCACCTGTAATCCCAGCTACTTAGGAGGCTGAGGCAGGAGAATTGCTTGAACCTGGGAGGTGGAGGTTGCAGTGAGCTGATATCCTGCCTTTACACTCCAGCCTGGGCAACAGAGCGAGACTCTGTCTCAAAAACAAAAAACAAAAAACTGATTTCAGAAAGGCTCACAGGGACTGAACAGCAAGGGGTCATAGGTAGAAGTAGGAACCGGGCACTTCATTCTAAAGAGTAAGACTGGAAGGATCTTGGAGGTAGTTCAGGCAGGGGAAACCAGTAGTAGTGAGATTGGACCAGGCAAATAGACCAGCCCTGAGATGTGGGGAAGAAGCACACAGAGAAGGTCATTGGACAATGGAGATCATGATCCCAAAGCCAAGGGTTTTAGGAACCAGGAAATCAGGAATAGAAGAAAGAGGGATAAATAAAAGCTTAGAAATATAGGTAAGCAGAGACTAGAAAATGAGGTTTGGAGCTTAGGCAGCATCTGTTCAGAAGCCTTGGGGTCCCATCATCAGAGTTGTCTGAATCTGCAACTTCAGGGAGAAGTTGGAGCTCCTTGCATGTTTCTTTCTGTGGGGCAGGAGCTGGAGACAAAGGTTCTCAGGAAAGTTTTGTATCAGACAAATCCTCCAGGAGAACAGCTCCCTGGTTCCCATTGGATTTGTTTGGCCCTGCCCCTCCATATCATAGTTTGGATTCTCCAAGAAGCAGGTGCTGGGATAGAGTTAGAAGTGTGAATGGTTTATTGTGGAATAATACCCAAGAAAGGCAAAGGGGAGGGAGCAGGATTGGGCAGGAGGACCCATTGGTTCGTGGACAACAATTCTCTGCCAACCCACAGGGGAGCTCCAGAGCAAAAAGATTGACCATTAGAAGAGTTCCACATTGGGCTGAAGTGACCAGGCCCTTGCAGTGAGGCTTCACTCAGTCATTAGCTGGAGGCCTCTTCAAAAGCTGAGGTAGATCCTCAAGGTGCTACCATTTTGAAGCTGTCAGCTAACCACACTCATTAATAATGCAAGTCTTTCTAGAAGGTGCATCTGAGTAGCATGTCTGCCACAGTCCTCTCCTTGCACCACATGGATACTCTTTCAAGGAGTAGAACCTCCAGGGTTCTGGTGGGCCCCTATTCCTAATGGGAAACTTAAGGGAGGGAGGTTTATGGGATGCACCCACTGCTGCAGTCTGCCTCAAGGCCATGACTATACTCATGGCATCCCTCACTTGCAGATAAGTCCTCTCTCCCTTATAAAATTCCCTTCACCTTCAGCTACTATCCCTGCTGATTCCATGTGGCTTACATGGTGGTTTGACCAAACCCTCATACCTAAGTGGTCTGAGCCTCCTGTAATCATGCCATCTTCAGGCCAAGGTAACTGCACTTATTCAGTTATAGTTGCAATTGAACAAGGAAGTACCAAGAAGCACCCAGGCGGGCCACCTGAGTTTCACACACACATCCATCCAATCCCATTGTGTAACACTAGTCCCACTTTTCCTACTGATTGGAGTCAGTTATCCCTCACAGAATGGTGACTCCTCTTCTTGCCTACTGACCCCTGGACACAAGGAAGCCAAAGTGCCCAGGCAACAATCATGGACTTTTGTTTTGTTCCCTGGTAAGAGCAGACTTCTTTGGAAATAAGAGTCTCCAACTCAACAGAGCCTCTGGTTGCAGGGCAGAAAGGACAAGTTCATCCCATGGGTCATTGGAATTGATGCTAGGTGGGGCCACTCCTGCTTTAATTCCTGGATTTCAGACCCGTGTATTCTTCCAGGCCCTCGTATTCTTCCTAGTGGGGAGACTGGGCCATTTAAAGTTTCTCATTTAGTTCATATACCATGCTCTGGAGGATGGGGCCTCATTCTCACGAGTTATTACCACCATGATGGCATTTCACTTGCACCTTCGGCCCACCATGACAACAGCTATCTGGCCAGTAGCTTCTGAGTAGCACAGTGATGGCACCACTTGTGGCTCCCATTGTTATGGGCCCACTCCTGTAACTCTATTGGTGTAATGGGTTGAGGGCTGAGAAGGGACTAGCACGGAGGTGGGTAAGCTGTCTGCTCATTTCTGAAGTTTGCCACCTGGAGAATATTGTGACGCACTCCAAACCTCAAACAGTCTACAGCCGGAGACTGTCTGCCCATCATGCTTCTTGAAACTGGGTAGCGAGTCCTGCCTTGAAGGGTTGTCTGAGCAGCTCTGTCAGCCACACCAGGGATGGCCTGGCTGTATCATACACGCACAGAATGATAGGAAAAATTGGAACACCCATCAAGATAGAAGAAATTTGTTTGCTTTTGCATAAACTTAATAAAGAAAGAAATGGAGAAAAATTTTTAGATGTAGTTTTTAAATGAATAAACAAGAGTTTTGCTTTTTCTCTGTGTTGTAAATTAATTTGTCATAATAAATAGAAGTCAGAAATCCTTACTTCAATCCACAATGCTCTCTCCTCCCTAACTTTCTATGTGGGATAGGTACTTACAATTTTATACCCTTGACAAAAGATTGTTTATATTCATTCATCTAATTTGAGGAATAGGAGAAGGAGACAGGGTCATCAGGACAGGAACTAATATTTCTTACTAGGGACTTCACATCATACTTTTGTTTATTTCTCATATCAATACTGTAGATGTATTAATACATGCTATACATGTACATTCTGTAGATGGAGAAAATAAGGCCAAGGAACATGAAGTTACTACCTCGTCCTATAAAATTTAGTTTAGTTTTCTTCTTCAATAGGTTAAATCTGAATCCTCTATCTCTCTATGATCACATAACACCCTACTTATTTCTAGTTTAGCTTTTGGCATGTTATATTAAAGTTATTTGTGTGCTTTTCCATCCCACTAGTTAGGGAGCTCCTTGTGGTAGCAACTGTCTCCCCAATGCCTAATATGTCTGGCACATGGTAAAAAAGTGACTATGCTAAGATTTGGACCCAGAATTTTATGCTACAAAGCCGCTGCTTCTCTCTCTGCTCTGGTATTTTCTTTTAGGGGTATATGTATGAATATGTATGCATGTATATGCACTTATGAGTACACATGAATAATGGTGTCTGGATGTCTATAGACAGATAAAATTGTGTATGTATGTCTATAGATACAGATATATAGAAGAAGAACAGAAAATGACAGGCTCCAGACAGGTGACAGAAAAGGGGGCAGGTGTCTTTAGCATTTGTTGAGGTGGGCTTGTTACTTTCACCTTCCCAAACATGGGCTTTGCCAGTCAATGTCATTGACATTTGGCTTTGCCTGTGGATAGCAGCAGCTATCCCTGGCTCATCTCTTGGTGTAATGTGCTGAGGGCTGAGAAGGGACTAGCACGTGGGTGGGCATGCTGTCTGCTCATTTCTGAAGTTTGCCTCCTGGTTGTCACTCTTACATCTTTGAGCTGCCCGTAAGCTCCCAGGGAGGCTAAGCAATGGTAGCTTAATTACAGAGGCTGTTATTTACTAGGGCCTCAGCTGAATCCATCAAACTAACTTCACTTTAACCTGAGCCAGATTTGATTATAAAGCCTATTTATCGAGTGTTTCCCCCTTTGGCTGTGTGTGTTTTGATTTAGGTACACAGACTTACCTATTTGAAAAGTAGCTCTGTTCTGACACATTTTATATTTTTAAAGTAATATTGCATGTAACATAATTTTTGGGGAAAATACACTTTCAACACAAACAAACAAACAATAAGAAAAAGGCCTTTGAATTTAGAATAATGGATACCTGCAAGGCAGCAACTTGCTTGAGAGATTTTGCTCAAGTAACTTATAACTATCAGTAGAAACCCCCAGGGATTTACGGCTGTTTTTGCAGAAGCTGTTTGCAGTGGAATAAACAGACAAGTGCTCTATATATCATTTTAAGTAAGACAAATAAAGCTCTGTTTCCACCTTACAACGATGTCATTGTCAGTTATATAAAAATAATTCTGTGTGACTTTTTATGAATTCTTCCCCTGTGCAGAAACACAATGGCCTAATTTTCCACTCCCTGTATTATAAATAAATGGCCTTCTTCAGCAATCTCAGGTCCATCCAAACTATCTCATCCTGAGCAAAGGGCATCTTTCCTACCACTAAGTGCTCACCTGTGGAAAGTGGGAGTCATTGTCCACCTTTGGACATTTGGGGTACTCCAATTTTCTTACCTGCTACCTTCCCACGGCAGCCAATGGCAGATCTGTAAAACAAGCTCTAAGGCCATGACAGGTGCAGAGAGAAACTGAGCCATCCATGGACTTGCCCCTTGTTTAAAATACAAGAGAAATAGAATCACCAATTAATCAGCGTAGATAACTTAAATATAAAAAATGTGTTTTGTTTGTTCAAGTTTTTATCTGGGATTGGTTTACATGGAGAGAAGCAAGAACTGGCACAACAACTTCAAGTTATTTTGAAAAATAGAGGAAAAGCATTGATTCACAATTTGAATTTTTTAAAAGAAAGAAGCAATATGCCTATTCATCGCTTTCATTCTCTTTTAAAAACCACTTTAGTAGCTTTGTTGAGGTATAGTTGACATGTAAAAAACTGCACATATTTAAAGTATACAATTTCATAAGTTTTGACATATGCAAATAACTGTGAACCCATCACTGTAGTCAAGATGAGGGACATATCCATCGCCCCTAAAAGTTCTTCGTGTCCCTTTGTAATCTCTTCTTTCCACTCATTCTTGACTACAACACCCGTCCGCCCCAGTCCCCAGACAACTCATCAATTGGCCTTCTGTCACTATCAATTTGTTTGCATTTTCTAGAATTTTACATAATTGGAATCATATAGTAGGTTGAGATTAACATATCGATCAACTTGGGGTAAAGTGACATCTTAAAATATTGTGCTTTCTGATGCAGAACAAAATAGATCTCTCCATTGAGTTAGATCTTCTTTACATTTTTTTCTGCATTCTTCTGTATGGGTGTACAGGTCTTTACATCTTTTGTCAGACCAGTCCTTTAATTATAAATTTAAACATCAGACCTGTAATTATAAATTGTAAGAACGTAATAATTCTTGATGTTGTTGTAAGTTGTAATTTTAAAGCTTCAGTTTCCAATAGGTTCTTTCTAGTATATAGAAACGCAATTTATTTTTGTATATTCATGTTTAATCCTTTAACCTTGCTAAGCTTACTTATTAGATCTAGTAGCTTTATTGCACATCCTATTAGATTTCCTGCAGAGCCCATCACGTCCTCTAAGAAGAAAGACAGTTTGATTTTTCCTTTCTAATCTGGATGCCTTTTATTCCTTTCTATTGCTTGCTTTGAACTATCTAGAACCTCCAGAATGTTAAATAGACTGGGTTGGAGAAGACATTATGAACTTTGTGAGTTTAGGGGGAGACATTCAGTCTTTCCCTATTAAGCATGAGATAAATATCCTTAATCAGGTTGAGAAATTCACTTTTATTCTTGTTTTGCTGAGTATTGTTTATCAGGGATGAATAATCCTGGATGTTCTTTTTCTTTTTTACTTTGTTAATAGAGTGACTTAGATAGAGTGATTTTCAAATGTTAAACCCATCCTTCATTCCTTAGATAAGCCTGTTTGGTCATATGTACTGTCTTTTTTACATATTGTTTGATTAAATTGGCTAAAATTTTGTTTAGAATTTTTGCATGTATATTCATGAAGTATATCAGTGTACAGTTTCTTTTCTTATGATATCTTTGGTTTTGTTATCAGAATAAAGTCAGTCTCATTAAATGAAATGGGCAATATTCTCTGCTTTTTAATATTCTGGAAGAAAAAATAATATTATTTCTGTTTTGAATGTTTGGTAGAAGTCAGTAGTGAAGTCACCTGGATCTGAAGTTTTCTTTGTGGATGTTTTTAAAAATACAAATACAATTTTGTTAGTGTATAGACAGATTTTTAAGTTACCTATTTCTTCTTGAATGATGTTTGGTATTTTGTGTCTTTCAAGTAAATGTGGCTATTTTCTTTAAAGTTATCAAATTTATTGGCATAAACTTATATATAATGTTTCCTTCATATTTGTAGACTGTCTAGTAGTGCCACCTCTTTCAATCTTTATATTGATAATTTGTGTGTTCTCTCTATTTTGAAAATCAATCTAGCTGGAGGGTTATCAATTTTATTGATCTTAAAGACAAACTTTTGGCTTCATATTTTCTCTATTGATTTTCTATTTCCTTATGCACTGCTGTCCACAGTGAGCTTTATGATTTTCTTTCTTCTACTTACTTTGAGTATAATTTAGTCACATTTTTCTATTTCTTAAGGTAAAAACGGTGGTCAAATATTTTTGTACCCCCCTGTCTTCAAAAACTTTAATTATACATATATTAGGCTGCCAGTAGTTCTTGAACAAATCATTGGTACTCTGTTCATTTTTTGAAATTATCTTTTCTTTTTTTGATTTTTTAAATGTTTCTCAGATTCACTAATCTTTTCTTCTTCACTGTCTAATCTGAAGTTAATCTCATTTGATGTATTTTTATTCCCACATATTGTACTTTTCATCTCTAATAGGTTGATTTGGTTATTATTTTATCTCTCCATTGTCTCTCCTTAACCTTTTAAATATATGGAATACGGTCTTTAAAACTGCTTTAATTGTCGTCATCTGCAAATTCCAACATTTCTGTCAGTTCAGAGTCTCTCTCAATTGATTAATCTAGCCCTTAATAATGATTCATATTTTCCTGCATCTCTGCATGACTGGTAATTTTCTATTGGATGCCAGATATTGTGAATTTTATCTCTTTGAATAAGAGATTATTTAAATTCCTAAAAATATTATTGATATTTGTTCTAGGATGTGGTTAAGTTGCTTAGAAAAAGTTAATCCTCTCAGATCTTGATTTTCAGATTTGTTAGCTAAGGAGAGAGTTGTACTCAATCTAGGACTAACCAGTCCTCACCACCCAGGCAAGACTTTTCTGAGTACTCTACCCATTGTCTTGTGAATCTGGAGGTTTTCCAGCCTGGCTGCAGGATCCGGGGCACTACTTCCAGCCCTTGTGAGCTCTGGGCACTGTTACCTCTAATCCTTTCAAGTTCATTTCCCCAGCTACCAGCAGACTCCTTATGTGTTTGTAATGATCGGTACTCAGCTGGATACTCAAGGCGGACCCTCTACAGATCTCCAGGCCTCTCTCTGCTCAGCTTTCTCCTGTTTGTTACTCTATCCTGGGAACTTAGATTTATTGGTCTTCCTGGTCTCTCAGCTGCCTCTTTTCAATTTAGGGAATCTGCAGAACTCTACCACAATTCTTCCCTCTGCTGTGGCCCTGAAACTCTCTCAAGACAATAAGCTGAGGCTATCTCAGGGCTCATTGTTTGCCATCTCTCAAAGATACTGTCTTTTTTGACTGATGTAAAGTGTTTTACAAACTAACATTTAGTGTATTTTGTCTCTGTTTGGGTTGTTTCAGGGTAGAATAAATCTTGGTTACTCATCTTGTTCAGAAATGTAAATCCAATGTGTTTTTTTTCCTTTTGCTATTTTTTTTTCTGCCTATGTGTGCTGTGTGAATACAAAAACTTTAGCACTGTTGCAGTCCCATGGTCATGCCCAATATCCTGCCTATGGGAAGGGGAGGAAGCTGAGAGGTTAATTAGAAGGAAGATTTGCTTCAAGTGGTGCCATTGCAGCATCCTGGAGGGTCACATAGGCTTTCTCCTCAGTAATCACCCATCATTCACCTGTTTAGTAGTTCTTCCAAGATGTGAAATGTCAATCTGCCATCTAAGTGACTCCTGCAAAACAAGTGACCCTGCATGAAGCGGTGATCATGAAAACCAATCACAGCAAATGGCCCATCTACACAGACCTGGAATAACAGACTTACAGAGCTCATGTGTGGACTGGAGTTGATGTTTGAAATAGTTTCTAACCAATCTTGCATAAATCTCATTCCTGCTACTTTTCTCCTTGTCAACTTTGTATGAAAGAATGAAGGAAGGAAGCAGAGAAGAAATACAGGAAGAAAGGAAAGAAGATAAGGAAGGAAAGAGGGGAAGGAGGGAGAATGAAGCTGCTGTTATATCCAGAGAGGTAAAGAGGAATGAGAGAGCATTAAACAAATTCGTGGAGAACCTTACCTGGGTCCGATGGCCACCAAGTGGATTAGGAATTATTTTTACCTATATTTGCCTCTTTGCTTACATATAAATAGCAGACCATATATGACTATAGTATACGATGTATAAAACTATTACTGAGATCAACTTGTTATGGTACTTAAAATACCTTATGGATGTAAAAACTCTGAACTTTGAATTCATTGACTCAATATTGCCTACTTGCCCTGTCCATTCTGAAAATTCTAGAATTTAAAATCAGGGCTGGGGGGAAGGTAAAAGTTAAAGAGGCTCTAAAAAATAATTACTTCTTACCACAAGTAGATTGATCACTTGACAAACAATCCCAGGGTAAGAAATGAAAAAACAAAACTTCATACCAAAGTGATTTGTTTCTATCATCCAACATACTTCTCAGCCACTGCCTTTCACAACTGATTGTGATCCTGAATTACAATCAATAAATCCATGTGGTAATTTTGTCTCAAGTAATCACAAAATGTAAACCCATCTGTGCACTCATGTCTGGTATGACGTTTTATTACGGTTTATCAACATCTTCATCTGTGAGTGGTGTGATGCAGGGGTTCTCAACTGAACACTTTTGGTGTGTTGGACAAGATAATCCTGTGTGTGGCAGGGTGATCACATTGTTGGATAATTAGAGATATCCTGGCCTCCACTTTCTTGATGCCAGTGGCACTCCAGCAGTGGGGATTATAAAAAATATCTCCAGTTATTGACCAATGTCTCCTTGGGAGGGGGGAGCAAAACTGCCACAGCTGAGAACCACTGATGTAATGGAACAAACAGGCCTGTGATACCAGAGTATGAGTAAGAATTCTCTCACATGCTTGTTGCAGAAACTTGAGTAGATTACTGATCCTCTTTAACCATTAGTTTCTGTGAAAATTAAATGAGATCAGGTATAAAAAGTGAATAGCAAACTCTGTGTGTGGCTCATCATAGAAACTCAACAATTTGAATTTCCCTTCCCCCATTCTGTATGCATTCATCTAAGACAGTAATGGTAGATTTAGATTATAAACTTGTGGAAGACAGAAAGCATCTAGCATGGTGCCTAAGTGCTTAACAAATACTTTTAGTGATGATATGTACATTTGCTAAAGATAATTCTAATGCCTTCTTGATTCTCAATACTGTATGGAGACATGCCTATTTTCTTATCAATTTAAAGAAGGTTTTCATACAACTCTTTCACTTTCTCTTGCAAAGTTGAAAGGAAGAATTGATATTCAGAGTTCACAAAAATATAGTGTAGCTGTTTGATAACAGTGCTCTGTAAGAAACAGAAAACCAAAAGAAAATTATATAACAAGAGAATGTGCATGGCATGGTTTTAAACATTAACTCCTTCTTTTGAAAGTGTAGTAAGAACGTGTAATTGATATTGTATCCAGCCTGTTCAAAGGGATGCTTTCCAGATACTATGATTTTCCTTTATATTCTGTGCTATCTGTTTTGACTTTATAACCATTATGAATAGCTATTAGTAAGAAAGAAGATGTCTCAGGTATTAAAATGATTGGTAGAAAGTACAATGATTTCTTCTTGCTGAGCATATTTTTACTACGAGTTAATACCAATTCAAATGTGATGCCAATTCTCACAGCTTTAGTTATCATGGAGAAATTTGCAGCCATCTCTGGATATGAGTAAAAAACATTTTTAGTCAGAAATTTCACTCTTAACTGGAGAGCATAATGTGGCAATATTCACTTTGGAGAATTTTAGTAGGTGGCAAAAAATGAGATCTATTTAGATATTAAGAGGAGCACAGGCCTGTATAACGTGGTTAAGAATAATTGGGATCCAATTATTCAAAGCTTCAAAGAGGACTTTGACAAGTGGAATTCCCTAAATTTACATTCGTGGGGTAAAGCTGGTATGGTAAAATGATTCCAGCACCATAGTTTAATTTCCTGCCTGCCTTGGTCCCTCTGGGAGATACTTTTCAGTAAACTGGAGAAATTTATTTCTGCATTTACATGAAAAAAATGAAAGGCAAAACTGAGTACTTCTGAAGGAAGTGCTAAGTTGGAGCCAGGAGAGAGAGAGAGAGAGAAAGAGAGAGAAAGAGACAGAGAGAGAGAGAGAGACTTGGTAAATTCCAGAGACCATTTTCTGTAGCATATAAATTTTTTTGTAAGTGGCTTATAGCAATAAACTTTTATTTTCCCATGCGGTGGCTTTGTAATGTGTTGACTCGGCTAAGCTGAACTACATTTCCCAGAATTCCGTTCCCTGCATGTTCCTGGTTAGGATGGGCATAGGAACAACTTGTGCAAGATCTGGAAGGTGGAAGTGGAGCGGAGCCGTGTTTATCCTTGAAAGGGCCGTGGAGGCTGGACTCTGTTGCGGCTCACACATATTTTCACAGATCTGCTCGCTCACTATACTGACTGGGTCCAAAGCTCCGGTCCCTGGAATTGCTTCCTTCAGCTTTACAAAGCCTGGTCCAGGAGTGAGCGGGGCTCTGCAGCAAGAACACCAGCCTCTCTTCAGAGCAGCCTCGGCCACAAGGGTGGAGGCTTAGAGATGGGATGGAAAGGGGCCAATGTGGCTTTCAGGGACAGACAGATGCACACTCCCGTGGGGTCCTTATGAGTTTCAGTTTTCCCTGCTCTCCCCGACTTCCTGCCCATCTTCGGATCCTGACCAGCTGTCTTGTGACTTCAGGTTCAGCATCCCTCCTAAGAAACAGACAAACAGAACTCCCTTATCAGTGTCCGTAATTGTATAAGATTCGATCCCGATGTTTAAATTGATACATAATAATTATACATATTTATGGGGTCCGTGTGATATTCTGATACCGGCATACAATGTATAAATGATCAAATCTGGGCAACCAGAATATCCATCACCTCAAACATTTATTATTCCTTTTTGTTGAGAACATTACAAATCTTTTCTAGCTATTTTGAAATGTACAATAAATTGTTGATAACTGTAGTCATCCTACTGTGCTATCGAACACGAACTTATTTAATCTCTCTAACTATGTTTGTACCCATTAACCAACCTCTTTTCATGCCCACCTCCCACCCTTCCCAGCCTCAGTAGCCACCATTCTACTTGCTACTTCCATGAGATCAACTTTTTTTTAAATCTCCTACATGTAAGAGAGAACATGTGATATGGTTTATTTCTCTTAATGTATTACTTTTAAAATTCTAAAACATTTTCTCTATTTAGAAGACTCATCAGACTGTAGCAACGTCCAGTTGTACATTTCAACCACTTTCACTATCCGGGCAATTTACCATAGATAAATCAGTTATCCATCAGATTGTTGGTTGTTGAGCTGCTTGGAATGATTAAATTGATTTGAATTATCTAAAAAACATGAATACAAGCAAGTTAGCATATATAAAGAGGAGGAGTAAAGGAGCTACTACTATCATTTATTTATACTAGTTGCTGCCCAGGTAGTCTTCTAAGTACTTTAAATATGCTATCTTATTAAAATTCCCATTCTATATATAAGAAAACTGATATTTGGAAAGATTAAAGCACCCTCCTTACCTCACACAACTGGCATGTGCTTGAGTCAAAAATGAGAAAGAGGTTCTGTCTGATGCCTAGGTTTTTAATGCAGACCATCATAACTATTCATTAAGTCATGTTGGTATAAATAACTTAGTTGGATGGACTCGTGTAGCTACATTTAAAAACTATTGGGGAAATATCAGGATTAATATAGAGGGGTTACAAGTACAGATTTTATTTTATCATTGTTTAAAAAAACTACCATTTAATAAGCATATGTTATTTAATTCTCACAACAATTCCTTGAAGTAGGAATTTACATACCACTTTACAGATGGGGAATCTGAAAATTACAGGGTTTAAACATTGACCCCAAGTCACACAACCAGAAGGGACGGAGCCAGGGTCCCAGTGTGAGCAGCCTGGCTTCGTAGCCCATCTCTTTCCAGGGAGTTTTCATTGCCTCACACATTCCAGGAGGAGTGGAGATTGTGGCAAACCCATCGTGTATCTTTCCTCCCTATCCCCATCCCTCTCTTTGGTTCAATCGCCAAGAAAGGAATGGCCATGAGAGGAAAAGTAGAAAAGCGGGCAGGAGCCAGCCTGTGGCTGCAACATGTGGGCAGGGCCACTGGCTGATTGTGTGAATGCATGTACATTACATAAGCCTCAGGATGGTTTCCGCTGGGGAGTTCATTTTCTTATTCTCTCCATATCTCTGGTGTAGCCTTCCTGAAATACTGCATCTTCCATGGTTCCACCTAGGCTTGGGCCCTTGGGCACTGAGCATTGAGTCCTCACACCTGACTGGGGGCAACTGTCCTGAGAAGTCTCACTCTGGAGGTGGCTCTGCTCATTCATTCAGGAATGTTCCCAGGCCTTTGAAGGAATAAGAAAAGATAGGTTTTAATCAAGGGGGATTAAAATTAGGTCCAGTCTCTAGTTCTTATAGTGGGATTTGTTGTTCTGTTTGTATTTGTTGGTTTTATTTTTTGAAGATGATGCTCCACCAGCCAGCCTCATCATTACTCACTCTATACCTAAACTCAGAGTTTCTTTAGTAAACTTGGAGACTGAATGACAGAGTTAGAATGAATGGGAGACACCCATACTAGGCTAGGTCTCTTTTGCTGTTTAGGAAACTCGAGGATGGGTAATTGAACTGACTAGCAAAGCAGCTACAGCAGGGGCCACACCAGCACTATTTTCTCTCTCTCGGGCTCCACAGCCTGGCCTCGCAGGTTCCACTGATACTCAGCACGCCTGGGCCTGGGCTTTCCCTGTGGCAGGTGCCCAGCTGAGGCCTATGTTCCTGAGGTATATTCCAGAAAATAATTTTTAATGTTCATTTTTATTTTAAGACACTTTGCAGCATTTAGTAAAAATCTATACATATATATGTAGAAAATGTATCCTTCATCTTAATATTTAAAGAGGAAAAAAATCAAATAGTCTGTTCTGACCTCCCTGAGGAATGGGATTTGACAGAATTGAGCAATCTCTGTACTGTCAGAACTGATAGTCAAGGTCTCTCATGTATAACCATGTATCTCTCTTACATAACCATTTATTGATGTCTCTTTTTTGTCTTTTTTTTAAATTGAGATATAATTCACATAACATAAAATTCACCTTTTTAAAAAAGTGTCCACTTCAGTGTTTTTTAGTATGTTCACAGAGGTGTGTAACCATCTCCACTTCCTTGTTCCAGAACATCTTCATTACCCGCAAAATAAACCCTATGTCCATTTGTAGTCATTCTTATTCCACTCTCTCCCAAGACCCTGGCAACACCAGTCTACTTTCTGTCTACAGATTTGCCAATTCTAGATGTTCTATATAAATGAAGTTGTATAATGTGTGGCCATTGTAACTGTATTCTTTACAGAGAACGATTTTTTTTTTTTTTTTTTTTGAGACAGAGTTTTGCTCTTGTTGCCCAGGCTGGAGTGCAATGGAGCGATCTTGGCTCACGGCAACCTCTGCCTCCTGGGTTCAAGCGATTCTCTTGCCTCAGCCTCCCGAGTAGCTGGGATTACAGGCATGCACCACCATGCCAGGCTAATTTTGTATTTTTAGTAGAGGCAGGGTTTCTCCATGTTGGTCAGGCTGGTCTCGAACTCCTGACCTCAGGTGATCACCCGCCTCGGCCTCCCAAAGTGCTGGAATTACAGACGTGAGCCACTGTGCCGGTCTTAGCATGACATTTTTAATACTCATCCTGTTGTAACATTTATCAATACTTCATTAGTCTATCTATCTGTCTTCTCTCTATCTGCTATTTTTTAAACAGGTTTATTAAGATATAATTTCATACCATTTAATTTATTAGTTTAAAGTGTACAATTTAATGGCTTTTAGTGTGTTCACAGACACATCACCATAGTCAATTTTAGAATATTTTCCATCACCTACAAAAGAAAGCCCACACTATGTAGCTATTATCCCATTATCTGTTACCTCCTCTGGTCCCCACCCCCTCCATCCCACCCCTCCACTCTAGGCAACCACTAAGGTACTTTCTGTTTTATAGATTTTTCTGTTCTGGACTTACATGTGAATGGAATCATATAGTATGTGGTCTTTTGTCATTGGCCTCTGTCACTTAATATAATGTTTTCAAGGTTCATCTATGTTGTAGGATGTATCCGTACTTCATTCCTGTTTATGGCTGAATAATATTCCCTTCTATGGACATACTGCATTTTGTTTATCCCCTACTTAAGTGGTGGACATCTGAATTGTTTCCTTTTTTGACTGATATGAATCATGCCACTATAAGTGTTCATATGGAAGTTTTTGTATAGACATGTTTTCATTTCTCTTGGGTTTATACCTAGGAGTGGAATTGCTGCATTGATAAACATACATGAGAAACATACAGTTTAAAATTTTGAAGAGCTGTCAAAATGTTTTCCAAAGCAGCTGCATCATTTTACATTCCCACCAGCAATGTATTAGGGCTACAATTTCTCCACATCCTAGCCAACACTCAGCATTGTCTGTCTTTTTTATTATAGCCATGTAGTGAGTGTGAATTGTGGTTTTGATTTGTATTTCCTTAATGGCTAATGATGTTGAGCATTTTTTCATGGGCTTAATTGGGCATTTATATATCTTCTTTGAAGAAATGTCTATTCAAATATCATAATTTACTTGGCTTATTTGTTGTTTTTTGTGCTGAATTGTTAAAGTTCTTTATGTATTCTGCATACTAGTCCTTTTTCAGATAGATGATTTGCAAATATATTCTGCTATTCTGTGGATTGTCTTTTTACTTTCTAATTGATGTCTTTTAAAATATGATAGTTTTAAATTTTGATGAAATCCAATGTAATTATATATTTTTTGTGACTTATACTTTTGGTGTCATGTCTAAGAAACCCTTGCCTAATCCAAGGTTACAAAGAACTATGCCCATGTTTTTTTCTAAGAATTTTATAGTTTTAGCTCTTATATCTAGGCTTTTGAACTATTTTAGTTTTCATATGTGATGTGAGGTAGGGCTCCAAATTTATTCTTTTGTATATGGATATCTAGTTGTCCCAGGACCAGTTGTTGAAAAGACTATATACTATCCCCCATTGAATTGACTTGGCACGTTTATTGAAAATCTATTGACCATTAATGTAAGAGCCTATTTCTGAATTTTCTATTCTGATCCATGATTTATATCATTGTGACAGTATCATACTATCTTTATTGGTGTAAGTGTATAGTAATTTTTGAAATAGGAAAGTATGAGTTCTTTAGCTTTGTTCTTCCTTCTCAAGGTTGTTTTGGCTATTTAGGGTCCCTTACATTTCCATATGAATTTTAGGACAAGCTGATCAAATTTTTTTAAAGGCAGCTGAAATTTTGAAAGTGATTGCAACCAATCGCTAGATTAATTTGGGAAGTATTGCCATCTTAACAACAAGTCTTCCAGTCAATGAACATGGGATGTCCTTCCATTTATTTAGGTCTTCTTTAATTTTGTTTGTTTGTTTATTTGTTCATTTTTAGAGGGATGGAGTCTTGCTCTGTCACCCAGGCTGGAGTGCAATGGCGTGATCATAGTTCACTGCAGCCTCGAACTCCCAGGCTCAAGTGATCCTTCAACTTCAGCCTCCTGAGTAGCTGGGACTAAACATTTGCACCACCACAGTGGGCTAATTTTTTAAATTACCTTTTTAGAGACAAGGTCTCACTATGTTGCTCAGACTAGTCTTGAACTTCTAGCTATCCTCACACCTCAGCCTTCCAAGTAGCTGGGATTGCAGGTGCAAGCCACTGCACCCGGCTTCTAATTTTTTTCACTGGTATTTTGTAATTTTCAGTGTATTAGTCTTTCCCTTCTTTTGTCAAATTTACTCCTAAGTTCTTATTTTTGATGATATTGTACATGAAATTGTTTTCTTAATTTCATTTTCAGATTGTTCATTTAGATGTCTCATTCTAATGAGACAGACTTTCTGCTTCACCACCCCCAACTGTCAGTTTTCTGTAGTATCATAGATGCAAATAACGAGGGAATGGAATTATTCCTTAGTGTAATCATTTATACCTTTCTCTTCTGTAGATTTTTCCCCCCAGTACTTAAAACTATTAATGAAAGTGGCAGGTTTAAATTTCATAATCTTTTCCATTTCCCTGCCCTTTTTAAGGTAGAAGTGGTAATAAACAACAACGTGTTCTGCAAGCATCCTAAGTCATTACCCTAAAGGCCTTGTGGTAGAGAAAAAAGAATGACACCTTTTCCCCAAAGCATATTACGAAAATGTTCTCACTGCAGTGCAAAGATTATTAACCACTGAGACAAGCTGCTTTCTTCCTTAGAATTTGCTTGAAAGATTCAGAATTGATGGGAAGAAATCCAAGGCCCAAGGTCACCTATGTTGTTGCCTCTTTAAGTCTCTCTCTCCAAAAGAACTGCTCCCGGAATTTTATTTAGTGAAAATTCTGCTTCCTGCTAGTCCTGCCCATTACTTTAACTCAGCAAGAATATGTGCTCCTTGTGGTTTATTGCAAGTATTCACTGTTTATAACTTTGGTAGGGTAAATAATAACCACTTTGCTTAGGTTTAGGGCAATGGCTTATTTGGCCCTGGGAACAGCTTTATAGAATTATTTTATAACAGTTTTATAGCACAGTTTCTGTAGTTGTGGTATAACTACAAGATCTTGGAATAGAAATCAGAAGATATGGTTTCAAAGTAGCCCTGCAGAGCAAAAGCACATGCAAACACAGAAGAAGAAAGAAAATACTATGCTTGCACATATGCACACACATGCGCATACACACCAAGAAACAGCTACATTTTACAAAACCCTCCCTTGAAACTGCATCCCTCCTGTAGCTACCATTCAGTTTTTCCCTTTTCCTCTATTAGACTTCTCAAGAGTGAGCTAGCTCTCTCTCTCTCTACTTCAACTTCATCTCCCAAATATTCCTAAACCCAGAGCACTCTGGTTTCTACCATTACCTCCATGAAAGTGACCTAGATAAAGTTACCAGTGACCTCCTGCTTGCAAAAGCTAATGGGCACTTTTCAGCCCTTATCTCACTGGACCATACATGAGATTGTAAACTATTTCCTTCTTTTTAAAGTTCTTTATTCCTTTCTGTTTTCTGAAACAACACATTCTTTGGGTTCTTGTTGTATCTCTCCAATCATTCCTTAATGAACTCCTTTCCCTGTGCTCATTATTTTTTCATTAATCTCCATGTGTCCTTTTCGTGATGTTCAGACTTTAAATCCATGGCTCTAGGCTTAAGGCTTATAAATCCAACTATCTATATAATCTCTCCAAGTTGACATCCATAGGCACCTCAAACTCTACGTGAACTTTGGGAGTCAGACCCCTCCTTCTCTCTCAAATTCACTATCTCAGTGAATGACATCATCACTTTCCCAGCCAAGTCATAGCTTTTCTCCTTCTCCTTTCTGTCCTCCAATAAAAATTTATTTCTAATTAATTCTTCTTCACAAACAACTTTCAGATCCATTCTCCCCATTAACATTTCCCCTGTCTGGGTAAGGCTGCCATTGTCTTTCTGGCCAGTGTTTCCTAGTAGCCTCCTAACTCATGTCCACATTAGCACTGTTACAGCCTATAACACATTCTCCAATGGCAGTGAGAGAGTGCTCCTTCTAAACCACACACCTGGCTAGGTCTATCCTTGCTTAACACACTCAAAGGCTTTCCTTTGGATTTAATATTTACTCTAAATGCCTTAATTTGGCTTATAAAGCCTTCATGTTTGCTTTTTCAGCTTTACTTCTCACATCTCCATAATTTTGCACCCTCTGCACCCACCAGTTGAAATCTGTCCAGATCTTCACACTCACAGTCCTTGTCTTTACCTTCAGATTCCTGTATCTGCTCTACCCCCTGCCTAAAATACTGTAAGCCCTCCTTCTCCACATTCTCCCAGACTTTACTGAGACACCTTTCCCCTAGCTTAATTATGTCTTCCTTTATAAAGCTTTCCCTGAATCCACTATCCCAAGTCTAGGCTGTCTATTGCTCCCCTGTGATCTTATGACACACCCTGATTTATAACGACTGTGGCATTTTTCACACTGTTTGCCCACTCAGCCTGTTTCCACACTGTCTGCTACACAAGACTATAAGCTGATTGAAGGAAGGGATTATGACTTATGTAAGATTGTATGCTAAAGACCTGGCACACAGTGGACCTCAAAAGTTTTCTGAATGAATAAAGGAGTACATAGATGACAGTTCATGGGCTCATTGCAAAATGTCTTTGAGTCCCACTGTTTTTACCCACGTAAATGACCTCAAGAATCCTTCCTCAGAGGGAGGGTTCTCTTGAGAATTTAATGAAATAAAGAATGTGAAACACACTGTTCAATTTCTGGCACAATGTACATGCTTCATAAATGTTCTTGCAAGCCAAGTCTGAGTCTCTTCCATTTTAAGTATAGCTTAGTCACAAATGAATGGTTTACACTGAAACATTTTTTAGAACTCTTCCTGTAAACTCAAAGCTGACTTCTTTAAAAGTCAGATCATGTTCTTTTGGTGGTGGTGGTCAGAATTCTGAGGCTCCAAAGTAGAGCCCTAGACATTTAACATGAACTGTATAGATGACTTTTATATCAGACATGAATTTTAAACACCTATATATATTCAGAGCAGGGCAGAAAGAAGCAATCCCTGGGGCAATACAATGGGACATTCTTTTGAAAAGACTTTTGGGTACCACCAGACCAGACACTGAAATGAATTACAAGCCATTTATTCATTTGTTTAGAGTCATTGAAATGCTCTACTCTAAATTTCTCCCTTGTCCATCATTTCAATTAAGTGAGTAAACCATTTCTCTGGGTGCTATTTTAATGGAATCTATTGTCCTTTTCATCTACAGCTTTTATTTGCCTATATATCTCCAAAATAGGTTCTTAACATTTTGGGAGGGTTGTAAGAATGGGGAGAAATACTATTACTTAATTTTTCTTAAGTAGGTTTAATAGACTACATGCATACCTCAGAGATATTGTGGGTTTGGTTCCAGACCACTGCAATAAAACTAATATTGCAATAAAGTGAGTCACATGATTTTTTTTGTTTCCCAGTGAATATAAAAGTTATGTTTACACTATAGAGTAATCCATTAAGTATGCAATAGCAGTATGTCTAAAAAACAACGTAAATACTTTAATTTAAAGATACTTTATTCTAAAAAATTCTCAGAATCATCTCAGCCTTCAGTGAGTCATAATTCTTTTGCTGGTGGAGGGTCTCGCCTCAATGTTGATGGTTGTTGACTGATCAGGGCGGTCGGTGCTGAAAGTTAGGGTAGCTGTAGCAATTTCTTAAAATAAGGCAGCAAAGAAGTTTGCCACATTGCTTCACTTTTCCTTTCGTGAAAGATTTATCTATAGCATGTGATTGTGTTTGACAGCATTTTACCCACAGTAGGACTTCCTTCAAAATTGGAGTCAATCCTCTTGAATCCTACCACCTGCTGCTTTATCAGCTAAGTTTATGTAATATTCTGAATTGTTTATTGTCATTTCAACAATGTTCACAGCATCTTCATCAGGAGTAGATTCCATCTCAAGAAACTACCTTCTTTGCTCATCTGTAAGAAGCAACTTCTCTTCTGTTGAAGTTTTATTATGAAAGTGCAGTGATTCAGTCACATCTACTGGCTCTACTTTTAGTTCTAGTTCTCTTGCTATTTCCACCAGATCTGGAGTTCCTTCTTCCAGTGATGTCTTGAACCCCTCAAATTCATCCCTCAGGATTGGATTCAACTTCTTCCAAACTCTTATTAATGTTGATATTTTGATGCCTCTCACGTTTAGGCTCTTAATGACATCTAGAATGGCAAATCCTTTCCAGGAGGTTTTCAATGTACTTTGCCAAGATCCATCAGAGAAATTACTAACTATGGCAGCTATAGTCTTATCAAATGTATTTCTTAAATAATAGGACTTGAAAGTTGAAATTACTCCTTGATCCACGGGCTACAGAATGGATGTTGTGTTAGCAGGCATGAAAACAACAATAAGTTCCTTGTACATTTCCACAGAGCTCCTGAGTAACTAGGTGCATTGTCAGTGAGCAATATATTTTGAAAGGAATCTTTTTTTCTGAACAGTAGGTCTCAACAGTAGGGCTTAAAATATTCAGTAAACCATACTATAAACAAATGTGCTGCCATTCAGGCTTTGTTGTTCCTTTTTCTAGAGAAGAGGCATAGTAGATTTAGATAATTCTTAAGAGCCCTGGAATTTTTGGAATGGTAAATGGCTTCAAATTGAAGTAAAAGTAACCGGCTGCATTAAGCTTTAACAAAGGAGTCAGTCTATCCTTTGAAGCTTTGAAGCCAGGCACTTTCTTCTCCTCTCTAGTTATAAAAGTCCTAGATGACATATTTTTCCAATAGAAGGCTATTTTTGTCTACATTGAAAATCTGTTGTTTAGTATAGCCAACTTCACCAATTACCTTAGCTAGGCTTTCTGGAGAATCTACTGCAGCTTCTACATCAATATTTGCTGACTCACCTTGTACTTCTATGTTATAAAGATGGATTCTTTTTTTAAACCTCATGAACCAGCCTTTGTCAGCTTCAGACTTTTCTTTTGCAGCTTCCTCACCACTATCAGCCTTCATAGACTTGAAGAGAGTTAGGACTTTGCTCTGGCTTAGGCCTTGACTTATGAAAAAGCTATAGCTGGTTTGATCTTCTACCCCCTCAAACTTTCTCCATATCAGCAATAAAGTTGTTTCTTTTTCTTATCATTCATGTGTTCATTGGAGTAGCACTTTCTTTTCATTTGTGTATTCACTTTTAATTTCCTTCAGGAACCTTTCCTTTGCATTACAACTTGGCTAACTTTTGGCTCAAGAGGCCTAGCTTTCAGCCTATCTTGGCTTTCTCCATTTCTTCCTCCCTAAGCTTAATCATTTGTAGCTTTTGACTTAAAGTGAGAGCCATGCAACTCTTCCTTTCACTTGAACACTTCGAGGCCATTGTAAGGTTATGAATTGGATTAATTTCAATATTGTAGTGTCTCAGGAGGTACAAGGGAGAGGAAGATACACAGGGGAATGGCTAGTAGGCAAAGTAGTTGGAACACGCACAACGTTTATTAAGTTTGCCATCATAAGTTTGCCCAAAACTATTACAGTAATAACATCAAAGATCACTAATCACAGATCACCATAAAATACATAATAATAATGAAAATAATTTGAAATATTGCAAGAATTAGAAAAATATGACATAGAGACATAAAGTGAGAACATGCCATTAGAGAAATGATGCCAATGGACTTACTTGACACAGTGTTGCCACAAACCTTCGATTTGTAAAAACTGTGAAGCATAATAATGCAAAGTATTCACACAATAAAATGAGGTATGCCTGTATTTGGTATAAGGAACTTTCTTTTGTGGGAATCTAAATTTAGTTATAAATTTTATTCACCCTCTACCCCTTCCTTCACTCCCCTGACACCCAACCCTCAGCTTTCTGTATTATCTCCACCTCAGAGGCCAACATATAAAGTGAGACTACTAAAGATGTTAGAAGAACTCTACAAGGCATTGTGTTTGTTTATTGGAAATATGCCCTCTATAGGACAATGCACTGGGTAGGTTAGGGGAATGTTTACAAAAATATGGTACATCTAACATACAACAGGAGGTTATTTACCATTGAAATCATGCTTTCCAAATATTTTTCCTAGGATAATAAATTAGAAAAATAATAGAAAAGAAAAGCTGGATATTTTAAATAAAATTATGTAACATAACATACAGATATACATGTAAAAAAGATGATGGGGAAATATATTATTGTCCGTGGCATTACTGATATTTTATTTCTCTTTTAAAAATTATTTTCTGGGTTTTTTAAAGCTTTGGTCATGAACCCATGGTGCTTTATAGTCAGAAAAATTACTCAACAAAAATCAACAGCGAAATGAGTTTAGAAGCAATCCCACGTGCGTTTATTGAGTACCTATACTATTCATAGTACTGTACTCAGGTCTGCAGTAGGCAGATGAGATCACACATGGGTTCTACCTTGCAATCTAGAAAGACAGGCACATTGTTGAGAGGCAGCAATGTAAAAGACAGAGGCTTAAGCCTTAAGAATTGCTCACCTGAATCAGACCTGTGAGTCCTGGGAGCTGCTGGTGTTTGCAGAGGTTCTAGGTGGGTAGGAGAAGTCAGTTTGCAACCGGGTATCACATGGCTCCGGACCCCGCAACACCTGGATTTTCCCTAACAATAGAGTCTCACAGTTGACTTGCTTTTAGAACACAAGAGGGAGTGGTAATTTTGAGCTACTGTGGTCTGGAAGGTTTCCGGGGTGAAGCCCGTGTGTGAGACCATCATTTCTTAGTTTGCATGGAAAAAAAATTTGCCCTGACTGGATAGAGCTTTCTTCCTTTTTAGGAATATATTAAATATATTACTAAATACTAATGATAATTACTGCATGGACTCTTTCTCATATCTGTAGCATTTATATTTAAAGAAGCACTGCTGAGGCAGGAGCACTTTCCCAACCTGTTATACAGCCAAGGAGTGTTAGAGCTGAGATGTGAACCAGCATTGCCTCCAATCCTCATTCCAATATGTTCATATCCTTTGTACTCTTCCCCTATTCTTTTCTAAAGAAGGAAAAGAGTATCTCTCTCAAAAGTGTGCTCTGTTTTTCCTGGCCTGCTTTGTAACTTTCCCAGTGTTCTAAAGGCAAACTTTTTCAAATATAAAGTGTCCCAGGTTAACCATTTTGTCCTGTACCAATAAACAAAATGACTTTGACCCTCAGTGCTAAGTGCACAAATAGAAGAGGACACAATTGAGATAGAGCATGATGGTGATCCTACAGCCTTTCACTCTGTGTGTGTGCGTGCACGTGTGCAGCGACAATCTTAAAACTGGATTTGGAAAAAACAAATCAGAAACAATTAAAATGGGTCTTATGGATAGCTGATTCTCCCATCTTTCTTCTCTGAAACCCTTCCAGGCACCAACTTGTAACCGTGCTTAACGGCATGTATCTGGTTGGAAAAACCTCTAAAGGAAGGGAAAGGAAAAATACACGAGCCCGCAACTGGCTGGATTGAAACTGTGATCAGGGACTAATCTGTGTTACCTCACTAGAAGCCTGAGTTGAAATGATGTGGCAGGGGACGAATAAATAACCCTCTCTGTAAAGAGGAGGCTGGTAGGAACGGAAAGAGGAAGAGAGAAAAGAAATGGAGGAGTTCACAGCAAAGAGGTCAGAAATAAGTCTGAAACGGGAATGTTGGAAGGAAATAGAGAGGAGGAATTCATTTACTTAATTCTCTTCTCCCACCCCTCCCTGCAAAACGGGAATTCTGTTAGAATGAAAGAAAAAGAAAGCAGATGACCTATTAAGAGCTGTGAAGTTCAGGAGCTCCTCTATTAGGATGTGGTGTTGCTGTGCTGGGGTTTTTTACTCTCCATGCTCTCTGTAGCTTGGGGGCATGTCACACACTTGTGAGAACTTTACCGGAGTGTTGATGCAATATTGTGTCAGTAACTGAGTGATTTGTTTTTCCTCTGGACATTGATTGAAGAAATTCTTATTACATTTTATGGCTTGCTTGGCCTTCGTATGAGAGTCAAGACATAAATTGGACCATAAATTGGCATCTGTCAGAATCTACATCGGAATGACACCAAATACATGTCATCGGGCTTGTGTTCCAGCTAACAGCAGGAATCCACTGGTGCTTGTCATCCTGATCAAATGTTCACCTCACTCCCTTTTCCAGCTCATGCCTCTACTTTGAGGAAAATACAGTAAAGACCCTGGCAAATTTGCGTTTTGATTCAGCAGCATTATACAGCAAAAAGAATACTGGGGGATTTAATTGATTTGCTCCAAGTTAAGTCTCCACTGTCAGTATCAGAGGTAGGATGCATATAAATAAAAATAGATGCAAAGAAAGAAATATATAGTTATGCAAAAAGGACAAGAAGGTATACATAACAGATATATTTATCCCACAAGTAAAGCCGAGACTTGATGATTCATGAGTAGCAGAGATATGGTTGAGTTACACAGATTTGTTCTCTGGAGTAAGATAAACTTGTCATTTCAGCTGCTACCATTATGGACTCTGAGCAGAAAATCAAATATTTTCAAGAGTTGGCTTATATTATCAATGAACACATATGACCATGTGAGTTAATTGAAAAATTCAGATGATTTTACCAGATATAAATATATATTATCATTTGGATAAAACTAAGATCTAATAACTTATGAAAGAAAAATTATATTTTTATAATCAGGAAGTAAATTTTTTATGTTAATAAATTCACTTTTTAATAATTTTCATAATTTGTGACCACGATGTGGTCTAGACTTGATATAAAATGCCACACTTAGAAGGTATCTTTTTTAGTCAATAATTCACAAAAATTGTTAAGGCATATTTGCTTAATTGAAAACCTTAATAAAATCATAGTGATAATAAAAAGAAGATTTTATCAAAATATTTCTTCCAAAAGGAGCTTTACATCCAGATAGTTTTATGGATGAGTTCTTTTAATTTTTCAAACACTGGACAAGAAAAACATGGAGGACTTCTCAAATCTGGTTTATAATACTAACATTAAAACCTCCTCTCCCCGCAAAAAATCACAACCACACCACCCCACAAAGTTATCTCATTTATGACAACAGATACAAAAATCCTAAATAAAATATTAGTTTTACCTCATCAGAAAATAAAGATTAAAATACCACTATTAATGAAAATGGTTGTAAGTGAGACACACTTTAGATATATCAAATAATCAAATGGAAGAATCCTTGCACCAATGACTATAGAAAGAAACACATGTTTAATTCACCATCAGTTGCTGATTTAAAAAAATGCCTTAGAAACTAGGACTAAATAAATACTTTTTGAAAAGGATAACAAATATTGTTTTGATTTGTTAATTATTTCTGTTTTGAATGAGTTGTATATGTAAACGGTACAAAATTCAAAAGGTACAAAGGCTTATTTGCTGAGTATACTCCCACATTTCTGCCTTATCAATCAAACCCCTTCCCAGATACAGCCACTCTTACTGGTTTCTGGTTACCCTTCCAGAGATATTATAGGTGCACACAAATAAATACGTACATATAGAGCCTGTTTATTAAACATCCAACATCATGCCTAATAAAATCATACAGTTTTAAGTACAATAAAAATATTCATTCCTTTTAATATTTTTCTGACATTTCTTGGCATTGCAGTAAGATGTAAAGCAAAATTAAGAATGTACATTGATTGAAAAGAGATTATCACTTTTTTTTTGCAAATTATATACTAAAACACCCTTTTTGAAAACCATACAGAATAAACTGCCAAATTATTAAAACTACTAAGAGGATTTATAAAGTACCTGGAATCAAGATAAATATATAAAGCCTCTATATAAGAATATAATGAAAAATAGAAATTCCCATCACTATAATAAGCAAAAGAGAAAAGATGAATGACCTAGTAATTAAATTAACAAGAAATATAAGGCCTGAAGGTACAACAATTTACTCCTTTTCTGGGAATCAAAAAAGAGAGACATGACATCTGCAAGAAGAAGCTTGAAAGTCTACAGTTGTCCATATTTTCCTAAATTAATTTACAAACTTAACAAAATTATAGTCAAAATATCAATGGTAAATTATTCCTTATCATTTGACAAAATGATTCCATAGTTCATCTGAAAGAATTAAAATTTAAGAATAGCCAATATAGGTGGGGCATGGTGGCTCACGCCTGTAATCCCAGCACTTTGGGAGGCCAAGGCGGGTGGATAACTTGAGATCAGGAGTTTGAGACCAGCCAGGCCAACATGGTGAAACCCTATCTCTACTAAAAAATACAAAAATTAGCTGGACGTGGTGGCACACACCTGTAATCCCAGCTACTTGGGAGGCCAAGGTATGCACAGGGAAGAACAAGGAGAATTTCCTAGCATTTAGCCAGACAGATTGCTATAAAATTATAATGGATGGAGAGGTTGAAGATACCAGGAAAAGAGTAGCTGAAGTATTGATACATGACAGATGTGAAAGAAGTGACAGTATGTGGAGGCTCATCAGTAAAGAAAAAGCTGACAAGAGGTTCTGATGAAGACTTCTAAGAAGATTCACAATTATTTGTCATTCTTGTGTCTTGCTGTGGCCCATCCAGTCAGCTATTCTGTTCTGTGCTCTCATCCCCATAGTGGTCAGCACGTCTCTTCAGATTCAATCTCCCACTGCTCCTTCCTGTTTGGGGTGCTCTCTGGAAACCTTGCCTCACAGCTAACAAATGCCCCGTCTCTTCAAACTCCTCATTCAATATCCTATTCTCCTCCCCACCCACATTATAGTAAAGACTTTTACAATCCTGCATATTAAGAATTAAAGACGGAGGTGACTGTAAAGAGGGCAAATGCATATTGGAAGTTGCATTTCCGACTCTCACTTTAAGCTTTCCAAATACCAGAGTTTGTTGTGCCTTTCTATTCAGTCCCCAGAAAGTCATCAGGTAGATACAGCAACAGTTCAGGCTCTGATGGAATCCCTGCTGAAACCATCAAACTAAAAAATGGGAACTCATGTTACAGTTTCACTCTCACTTAGAGATTTCTTTTTTTTTTTTTTTTTTTTCAGGTTTTGGCCTTTATTTTTTTTTTTTTTTTATTTTTATTTTTATTATACTCTAAGTTTTAGGGTACATGTGCACATTGTGCAGGTTAGTTACATATCTATACATGTGCCATGCTGGTGCGCTGCACCCACTAATGTGTCATCTAGCATTAGGTATATCTCCCAATGCTATCCCTCCCCCCTCCCCCGACCCCACCACAGTCCCCAGAGTGTGATATTCCCCTTCCTGTGTCCATGTGATCTCATTGTTCAATTCCCACCTATGAGTGAGAATATGCGGTGTTTGGTTTTTTGTTCTTGCGATAGTTTACTGAGAATGATGGTTTCCAATTTCATCCATGTCCCTACAAAGGATATGAACTCATCATTTTTTATGGCTGCATAGTATTCCATGGTGTATATGTGCCACATTTTCTTAATCCAGTCTATCATTGTTGGACATTTGGGTTGGTTCCAAGTCTTTGCTATTGTGAATAGTGCCGCAATAAACATACGTGTGCATGTGTCTTTATAGCAGCATGATTTATACTCATTTGGGTATATACCCAGTAATGGGATGGCTGGGTCAAATGGTATTTCTAGTTCTAGATCCCTGAGGAATCGCCACACTGACTTCCACAATGGTTGAACTAGTTTACAGTCCCACCAACAGTGTAAAAGTGTTCCTATTTCTCCGCATCCTCTCCAGCACCTGTTGTTTCCTGACTTTTTAATGATTGCCATTCTAACTGGTGTGAGATGATATCTCATAGTGGTTTTGATTTGCATTTCTCTGATGGCCAGTGATGATGAGCATTTCCTCATGTGTTTTTTGGCTGCATAAATGTCTTCTTTTGAGAAGTGTCTGTTCATGTCCTTCGCCCACTTTTTGATGGGGTTGTTTGTTTTTTTCTTGTAAATTTGTTTGAGTTCATTGTAGATTCTGGATATTAGCCCTTTGTCAGATGAGTAGGTTGCGAAAATTTTCTCCCATGTTGTAGGTTGCCTGTTCACTCTGATGGTAGTTTCTTTTGCTGTGCAGAAGCTCTTTAGTTTAATTAGATCCCATTTGTCAATTTTGTCTTTTGTTGCCATTGCTTTTGGTGTTTTGGACATGAAGTCCTTGCCCACGCCTATGTCCTGAATGGTAATGCCTAGGTTTTCTTCTAGGGTTTTTATGGTTTTAGGTTTAACGTTTAAATCTTTAATCCATCTTGAATTGATTTTTGTATAAGGTGTAAGGAAGGGATCCAGTTTCAGCTTTCTACATATGGCTAGCCAGTTTTCCCAGCACCATTTATTAAATAGGGAATCCTTTCCCCATTGCTTGTTTTTCTCAGGTTTGTCAAAGATCAGATAGTTGTAGATATGCGGCATTATTTCTGAGGGCTCTGTTCTGTTCCATTGATCTATATCTCTGTTTTGGTACCAGTACCATGCTGTTTTGGTTACTGTAGCCTTGTAGTATAGTTTGAAGTCAGGTAGTGTGATGCCTCCAGCTTTGTTCTTTTGGCTTAGGATTGACTTGGCAATGCGGGCTCTTTTTTGGTTCCATATGAACTTTAAAGTAGTTTTTTCCAATTCTGTGAAGAAAGTCATTGGTAGCTTGATGGGGATGGCATTGAATCTGTAAATTACCTTGGGCAGTATGGCCATTTTCACGATATTGATTCTTCCTACCCATGAGCATGGAATGTTCTTCCATTTGTTTGTCTCCTCTTTTATTTCCTTGAGCAGTGGTTTGTAGTTCTCCTTGAAGAGGTCCTTCACATCCCTTGTAAGTTGGATTCCTAGGTATTTTATTCTCTTTGAAGCAATTGTGAATGGGAGTTCACCCATGATTTGGCTCTCTGTTTGTCTGTTGTTGGTGTATAAGAATGCTTGTGATTTTTGTACATTGATTTTGTATCCTGAGACTTTGCTGAAGTTGCTTATCAGCTTAAGGAGATTTTGGGCTGAGACGATGGGGTTTTCTAGATAAACAATCATGTCGTCTGCAAACAGGGACAATTTGACTTCCTCTTTTCCTAATTGAATACCCTTTATTTCCTTCTCCTGCCTGATTGCCCTGGCCAGAACTTCCAACACTATGTTGAATAGGAGCGGTGAGAGAGGGCATCCCTGTCTTGTGCCAGTTTTCAAAGGGAATGCTTCCAGTTTTTGCCCATTCAGTATGATATTGGCTGTGGGTTTGTCATAGATAGCTCTTATTATTTTGAAATACGTCCCATCAATACCTAATTTATTGAGAGTTTTTAGCATGAAGGGTTGTTGAATTTTGTCAAAGGCTTTTTCTGCATCTATTGAGATAATCATGTGGTTTTTGTCTTTGGCTCTGTTTATATGCTGGATTACATTTATTGATTTGCGTATATTGAACCAGCCTTGCATCCCAGGGATGAAGCCCACTTAGAGATTTCTAACGATGGAGAAATTCTAGATGACATCAAGGTGGCTGTGATCATGACAAATTTTAGTTCAAGAGAGAGGAGTCTGACTTAAATTTATACTGCTTCATTTTTTTTTCTATAGAAAAATCCTTGAGAATCTCCTTGAGCCATTTTCTTCGTGTTACTGAAGAGATCTTTCCATAATCTCAGTTTGGTTGTACTCGATAAAGAGGCTCTACCGACATGATTTACAGTTCATAAACGTATTTAATGAATGAGAAACCTTCTGAACAATTCTTATTACGCATGTTTATTTCCCAAGTTTGCCCCCTCCCCCGCCCCTAGATACTCATTTCTTCCTTCAAAGTGTTCCTGTTTGAAAATATTTTGTTAAGTTTCCTCTGGGAATAACAGAGCTATCAACCAAAACTGTATCACTGATCAAACACGGTTTTCAAAATTAGTCTTCACAGTGATTCATCTGAGCACTTTTAAAATTTCCTGATAGAGTAAAGCAATTTTCTAAGTGCAGAATAGGGTTTGATTTTCAACTATCTTCAGTGCAGAGCTAAGTTTGATATTCAAAATGCTAGACGGACAGACAGAAGCTGGAAAACAGGACAAATTGGGTAGGTGAATAGAGACAAATGATCTTAATAAGAAACCTGTTATATAAATATATAAAAATATACATATCTACATGCAAACACGCATATACCATAAGACACATACTTATATCTTGATGGGAAAATGATACATTTCAGGGCTGTTTATTACTACAATTACTAATAACTGAGTACTTTGATTGGGTTGTGAACTATGCTAAATAAATAATTTATACCATTAGATTCTCACAACAATCTATGAGGTAGGTATTATTTGCCTTTTTGGTAGTTAAAAAATAAGGCTTAGAGGGTTTAAATAAGCTCACAGGGGAAGTAAATGGCAGAAAGGACACTTAAGCTCAGACTTTTCTGGCTCCAACCTCCACTTCTTAGTTTTATTCCTGCTTATGAAACAAAAAAGGGGGATTCACCAGTCATGGTGAATTTATGGTATGGTCTTGATGAAAGAGAGTCAAGAAGAAAAGGAAGAAGCCTGGATTCAGCATGCTTGAGATAGATGGAGAATGGGAATAGGTTCTAGGTCAGTGATTCCCAATTTTTAGTGTCAAGAACATTCTTCTGGGAAAGTTTTAAAATGCTGATTCCAGAATATCTTACTGACACCCACAGCACCATTTGGAAATTCGAGGTGGGTCCCAGAATCTATATCTTTTACAAGTATCCCAGGTGATTCTGAGGCAAGCAGTCCATAGACCAGTCTATGAGAAACAGTGCTCCAAGCTATGGACCCAAGAGAAGAGACTGTGCAAACCCAGAGTTAAAGACTCCATGAGCAGATTAACTGGCCATGGAACTTGCTCTCCTGGCAATATATTTGGACAAAGAGAGGGAAAAACTGAACCAAACTTTGTGTCTCCGGAGATTAAAAGAAGTACCAGAAGCAAATCTCATCCCCGTCTTGGAGGTAAGAAATGGGAAAGACCAGCTAGAACAACTGTAATAGCAAAGCTCAGAATTGAGGGGAAACTGACCTGGATTGTTTGTAATTACCATCACCTTGCAATTTGTTGGGCCTGAGCTATCTGTGTTTTCTGGATGATATTAGAAAGGACGGAAGAAGGAAGGATGAGGAAATCTTTAACAGAGAAATACCATCCCTACTTTTTATTCACCTTTGATATAGGCACTCTGTAAATATTTACTGACTACCAACTCTGCCCTAGAGTCTTTGGTAGGACTAGTACATAAACTGAAAATTAGATGTGATTCCTCTCCTTAAAGAATTGAGAACTTTAAGGAGAGAAAACATTTAGAAATCCTTGTAGCTGAACATGATAATTGCTATGTGTGTTTTGGAGGCACAGAAGAGGAAAGATTATTTTCGGAGGAGATTGGGAAGTACTCCCCTTGAGCTAGATCTGGAAAGGTAAAGGTAATCGTGGGATATGAGGCTGCCGATGGACATGCATGGGCCAGATATTGAGGAACATTGGTGGACTCTCCTATGGCCCAAGTATTCGGTGTTCGGGGACACTGAATACTTCCCTGGACAGTTTCAGGGCATCTGTGAATCCACCCAAATTTAGTATAAATGTTGGTACTTATGTGTACTTTTCTGAGAAGTTCATATATATTGTCAAAATTCCAAGGAATCTTCATTCCAAAGAAAGGTTTTTTAAAAGTTATTTTAAAAAGGGTAGACAATAGAGATCTTTAAGCCAAGAAATAATATCTTATTACCTTTTGGAGCTATAACCTGGGCTGTAGGGTGGAGAATAAATAAAGGAAAAGGCCAATGACAGGGGAACACCCTAGGGGATTGTTGCAGTGATGGAGGTGGGAGATGAAAAGGGTTGCACTCAGGTGGCAGCAGTGGAGACAGACAGGAAGAAATGACTTGAGAGCCATGTCTCTGTCTTGGGACTAAGTTAGTATGGTGAATGATGGAGAGCAAGTAGTCAAGGATGAGTTCCACATCTCTTGCTTTCAAGGCGGAGTAGAAGCCAGGAGCCGTGGCTCACACCTGTAATCCTAACACTTTGGGAAGTTAAGGTGGGTGGATCACTTGAGTCCAGGAGTTCAAGACCAGCCTGGGCAACATGGCAAAACCCCAACTCTACAGAAAATACAAACATTAGCCAGGTGTAGTGGCGTGCACCTGTAATCCCAGCTACTTGGGAGGCTGAGGGGGGAGCATGGCTTGAGCCCAGGAGGTGGAGGTTGCCGTGAGCCGAGATCACACCACTGCACTCCAGCCTGGGTGACAGAGCCAGATCCTATCCCAAAAATAAATAAATAAATGTTAAAAGACTGAGTGGAAAATTGTTTGGCAAAAGAGAACATCTAGGCTTCATTCGATAGACAATACTAAGCACTGAACTCCATTTTGTTCCAGAAATTGTGTAATAGAGTAAATTAACAATAAAGGAGGATGAAGATGAGGGTGAAGATGAACTGAAAAAGGAGGAGGAAGAGAGGAGAAGGAAAAGAAGGAGGAGGAGAACAACAACAAGAGGAAGAGGAAGAAGAAGAGAAGGAGGAGGAAAGAGAAATATCATCCTCTCCCAAGACACTTTTGGGGTGTAGGCAGATCACATAGTGTCTTATAGGCCACTGTAAAACATGCCAGTTCTCTAGGTGAAATTGGGAGCCATTAAATGGTTTAAACAGAGGATTGCCATGATCTGACTTACATTTTAAAAAGATCACTCTGACTGTTCTGTATAAGGTAAACCGTAAATGGATGAGGTTTGGAAGCCGAGAAACCAACTATAAAATTATTGCAGTGATTCTGGTGAAGCAGAATGATGGTTAGGACTAGGCTGGTTTTATTTTATTTTTTTCTTTCTTTCTTTTTTTTTGGAGATGGAGTTTCACTCTTTGTTGCCCACGCTGGAGTGCAGTGGTGCGATCTCGGCTCACTGAAACCTCCGCCTCCCGGGTTCAAGTGATTCTCCTGTCTCAGCCTCCTGAGTAGCTGGGATTACAGGCATGTGCCACCACGGCCAGCTAATTTTTGTATTTTTAGTAGAGATGGGGTTTCACCATGTTGGCCAGGCTGGTCTCGAACTCCTGACCTCAGGTGATCCGCCCACCTCAGCCTCCCAAAGTGCTGGGATTACAGGCGTGAGCCACCGCACCTGGCCAGGACTAGGCTGGTTTTATAGGGAGGTATGATAAGGGATCAGATTCTGAATACATTTTGAAGATGGAGCTAACAGGACTTGCCAATAGATTGGATTGCAGTGTGGGAGAGGGAGTCAAGAAAGACTCACAGGTTTTTGGCCGAACAACTGGGAGGATGGAGTTACCATCAGCTGAGAGATAGAAGGCTGTGGGAGGACCAGGACTGTGGGTAGGAAGTCACTTAGTTTGGGGGTGTTAAATTTGAGATATCTTCTTGCCATCTAATTGGCGATACCAAGGAGGTAATTAAGTATATGCATTTGTAATTCATTAAAGAGGCCTGGACTGAGGCTATAAATTGGGGAGTTTGTCAGGATATAGGCCATAGGGCTGGTTGACATCATAGAGATGTCAGGAAGAAAGGAAAGAGGACCAAAGACTGGGGCACTCCTATTTTAAGGACGTGAAGAGAAGAGAGGAATTGTTCTTCCAATATTCCCCTTACTCACATTTTTTCCCAATATTTTTATCAGTGTAGTACCTAAGATCAGGGGCTTTGGAATAAGAAGCCAAAGTTCAACTCCTAACTCCATAACCTAATAATTGCTCTATGAGTTTGGTCAAGTTGTTTCATCCTTATTCCTCGGTTTTCTCATTTTCAAAATGGAAATAATGAAGTACCTATTTTGTAGGTTTGTTGTGAGGTTAAATGATATAATATATTTAAAATATTCAGCACGGTTCTTGGCACATAGTAAACACTCAACAATTGCTACCTGCTTTTGTTTTTTTGTTTTGAGAGAGGGTCGTGCTCTTGCTCTCCAGGCTGCAGTGCAGTAGCATGATCATGGCTCTCTGCAGCCTCAACCTTCCAGGTTCAAGCAATCTTCCCACCTCAACCTCCTGGGTAGCTGAGATCACAGGTGCACACCACCACACCTGACAAATTTTATTTTATTTCTTTTTTTATTTTTAGTAGAGACAAGATCTTGCTTTGTTGCTCACGCTGGTCTTGAATTCCTGGGCTCAAGCAATCTTCCCGCCTTGGCCTCCCTAGTAGCTGGAGTTATAGTCATGAGCCACTGCACCTGGTTGCTTTTATCTTTCTTTAAAAACATCCATTCTTTGAGCTAGAGTCCAAGTACTGAGCATGCTAAGAATCACAAATAACATGAGCACCTGATCATGGAGCTCAGCCTGAGTCCTAGTGCAGCCAACTGAGTTACTCTGTGGAACACTTGCCCGGGCCACAGCTCAACTTCTAAACCCCTGCCCCATTCTCCATCCCACCTCCCCTCAACCCAGGGTATTCATCATGTCCCATGGCACTTGATGCCAGAAATTTGGTTTGTTGTAGTTATGACCTTGAAGACAGTTTGCTACCAAAGACCCACATTCTAAATGCTTTGTGGAAGTATTCTGCTGCCCAGGATAGCAGTGTAAAATACAAAGGCTCAAAATCAGAACTAGATTTTCTGTGGCAATGATTGATTGAGATACAACCTTCAGAGCCTACCAACATGGGTCCAAGTTCTTCCTAATGGCCTCTTCTCTACATAAATCTGGGCAGCGTAGAAGAATTGCTATTGCATTGTGAAATTCAAGAGGCAAAATCTCTATAAAGTTTGTAACTATATAGCATATAACATACAGCCACCCCTATGCTTCATCATAAAAATAATATATGCATGTAAATTAAAAATGATGACAAGAAAAGAAATATTGGAAAAATATAATTAAAAATACTGTAACAGCTGACAGATTAGTGACTTAGAAAAAAAAATGCAGCTACAAGAAGATAGTTCTGAAAATAATGAAGCAACCGAGAATGAAGTTAATGAGATTGAGAAAATGAAAAAGGAGAATTTACAGTACTATCACACACACAAAAAAATCAAAATATGGGCTTCAGTCTGATGTATCCCTATAAAACAGAAGTGCATCTAGCCCACTTCCTTTCATCAAGGTACTGAATGGTTTGGTGTCCTCCACTCATCCAGAAAACAGGTTGAGTGAAAGAGCCGACTTGTTAGACACATCAGTAATTCTCAAAGCTCAAGCTGTCTTTATACCCACCTGTGGTTCAGAAGCAACTTCTAAGCCATAAATGAGACAAACAAAGTGAAAATACAAGGCAACAAGAAAAAGTCTATGTGTTCGCCAAGTGTTTCTCTCCTAACTACATGGCTCAGAACCGGGAGTGGGAATTCTGTAAATCTTGATGACAATGTGCTGTTTTACTGTTGTGCATTATTTTAAAGACCTAATCCTATATTGTGAAATGTAGGTAGGCTGGCAGTCTTTAAAATACATTTGCAAAGAGAACTAAAAGCAAGCTATGAAATGATCATTTTAAAAAAAGAAATCCCCTTAATTTGTAGAAGGAAATGCAAACCAAAACCTCAAGTAATTTTTCATATAACCTATATTTCCTGAAAGCTATCATTAATTCACATGTTTAACAATATTTACAGAGACTCTACTGTTTTTCATCACTGTTCTAGGCACAGGAATATGAAGAGGACTATAACATAGACTAGACTCTCCCCTGAGGGATCTTGCACTTTCAGCTTGGAGTGGGACACGTACATGATCACAGTGCAATACGACAGAAGCAGCATAGAGGCATGTTCAAGGTACCCTAGGGGTACTGAGGTGGGAGCACCAAGCCTTCACAACAGAAGGGTCCTTAAGCTGGTCTTAAGCAGGTGAAAAAGACCAAAGGAAACCACTGGCTATTGCTGGCAAAGGAGGCTGCTCACGAAGGCAAGAGAAATCATAGATTTTCTAGGGCCAGAACATCTTTGGCTTGGCTCAGGGGTAATCATGGAGAAGGGAGTAGCAGCAGAGAAAGCTGGAGACCCAGGCATGAATCAGGCCATGAAGGACAATGTGTACCTGCTAAGATGTTCTGAGTGTATCCAGAATGTGAGAAAGCACCTTAGAACAAGGTAGAGGAATGACGTGAACATACTGAAATGCTAGAAAGATTATTCTGGCTGAAGTGTGAAAAATGGTTTGGAGGGAGTCTTAATGGGATTAAGAAGATAATCCCTCATTATTAATGAGATGAGGGATGGCAAAGCCTTAAATTAAACCAATAGCAGGGATGATCAAAAAAAAAGGAGGGGTACAAATTGAGAGCTATTTAGAGAGTTGATTCAAGCTGTGGAGTCTAATTATAATGAAAGTTGAGCAAACTGGGCTTGTAGGCTTATAGGGAGTAGGTAGTTGGTGACCTTATTTATGAAGATAAAAAGAGTTCAGGGGAAGGAGGAGGTTTACGGTGCCAAGGAATGAGTTTGGTTTTTTACCATTTATTTCAAGATGACATATGAATGAAGAGGCAAAATACTTATTTATGAAGTCTGTGAGAAAGATCTGGACCCAAGCTATGGATTTGGTGGGATTTAACATAGTGACATGTAATTAAACCATAGGACTGGATGAGGTTGTTCTCATAGTTCATGAAGCATGAGAAGAATAAGGGCTGAGAACACAAATATGGAAGTACCATTTAAGGGACCAGTGGAAAAAGAGGAATCTTCAAAGTGGATTGAGAGAGTAGTAAAGCAATAGGAAGAATTTAGAAGACAGTGGGTCCTTAGAAGCCAAGGTTAGTCCTGATCAGTAACATCAGGGTTCATTTCATCCATTGAGATTGGCAGCCAGGAAGTCAGTAGTAACTCATCTGGGAAGTTTCTGTGATGGGTTAGGGAGGTGAAGACAGAATGTGTAGATGGTTTTTTAAATAAGGTTGTTCTGAAGAAATGGTGAGAGAGCATGATAACTTGAAGGCAAATCAGGGTATAGTTATTTTGGTTTTACATGTTTTCAAATAGTTTTTCTTTTAAAATGGAAGACATTTGCCGAGTGTATAAGGTGAAGGAATGGAACTAGCAGAAATAGAGCAGTTAAAAATAATGAAAACAAACAACAAAAAAAGAGACAGCCATGGAAACATCCCAGAGAAAAGGGAGGGATGGGATTCGTTGCATGAATGACAACAAGAGTCTTGATGAGTACAAAAAGAACACTTCTTACCCACAGTCATGGAAGAAGATGGGAAGAAATCGACCAGTGATGTAGTTCCAGATATTTTGAGTAAAGCTTTCTAAGCTTCAGTTTACTTTTTAAAGAAATGTGAACAGTAATTATTACTATCTCATAGGGAGGAATGAGATAGTTATGATTATTATTTCTATAGGCATGACTGTGAGAATGAAACGAAATAAAGCAAATAAAATACTTAGCACCAATAGTTATGTATATTAAGCTATGGGTAGTGTTGTTAAAATTCGGTATCCATTTTTTCCCTGTCTTCTTATGATCTGGACTTTCTTATCACTGCCACCATTAACACCCCCACCAATGCCACAACCACTTCTCCAGGATTAATCCTGCACAACCTATGAAGTGAAGCTCAAGTTAGACATCTTTTGTGAAGATGCCTTCAACCAGTCCAGTCCAAAGATATATTGAGCTCTTAATACATTGAAGTTCCATGTCACACAAATTCACACTTAAATTGCCCCATCTATAAAATGATGGATTTAGTCAGAATAGGTTAAGTTATGCTGTGGTAACAAACAATCCTAAAATCTCAGTGGCCTGGCACAATAAAATTGTTTTTCTTGCTCATGCAAAAGCTCCTAGAGATGCCTAGGACAGTCCTCCATTCTCCATAGTTTTTTATTCAGGCTTTCTGCTTTTTCACCATGAAACCACCTTCATAATTGCAACACCAGGAAAAGAAGGGAAGTAAAGATCATGCTCTGGCTCTTAAATGCTTCCATCCATGTATCACACACATCCCTCTCATTCACATTTTCTGGCCAAAGCAAGTCATATAATCTATCTAAAGCCCAAGGGGTTGAAAAATGCAATTTTTTCAGGTACTCAGAAAGAGAGGGCAACCAGAAATATTGACGCATAGCCGATACACCTACTGCAAGAAAACAGAATTAGATAGACCTTAAAGTCCTTCCAGATCTACTATTCCAATTATTTCATTCTTCTTCAGTAAGGTTGCAAAATCCTTGAGTACAGGGCCTATGTCAAATACATCTCATTTCTCCTTCATAACATATAGCTCAAGGTTAGGCACAGGAGAGCCACTCAACAGGTAACCGAATAACTGAGGCTATAGGGATTTTTTTTTTTTTTTTTTTTGAGACAGAGTCTTGCTCTGTTGCCCAGGCTGGAGTACAGTGGTGTGATCTCAGCTCATCACAACTTCTGCCTCCTGAGTTCAAGCGATTCTCCTGCCTCAGCCTCCCAAGTAGCTGGGACTACAGGCACATGCCACCACGCCCAGCTAATTTTTTATATTTTTAATAGAGACAGGGTTTCACCGTGTTAGCCAGAATGGTCTAGCCAGGATGGTCTCGATCTCCTGACCTCATGATCTGCCCACCTTGGCCTCCCAAAGTGCTGGGATTATAGGCGTGAGCCACTGCATCCGGCTGGGATTTAAGGATAAAATGGATCATTAACTTACTTGTATTTATTGTAGATCCTCTGTGTCCAAAGAATATATATTAGTTTCTTTGAGAGAAAATAAGAAATGCAGTCCCTGTCTTTAAAAAAAAAATTATTCTCTAATTGGGTAACCCAATTATGTACATTTTTGAAGTCAGTAAGTGACATGTGCATATGGGCAATATTACTGGAATACCCTTGAAGGTGGCAAGAAGATGTGCATTGTGGATACTAGTTTTTCCAAGCCACTGACATGTCACTTGAGACAAATGTGAGCTCATTTAGGGTACTGTGGCTCTTGTGACATACAGCTTTAGGTTTATTGCTGTAAAATGCAATTTGCTACCTCAAATTTGCCTTGGCTAAGGATTAAGCCAGAGGATGAGCTCATTAATAAAGTCAGAGGCTAAGGGGAGTGGCTGGTCCTGGGAGCATGAGTTTCAAAAGGGTCACAGTGAAAATGTCCCTTCTTTCTTGTAATTGAAGTTGTCTAATTGAAAGGAAGGGGTTTATTTGTTGGCGAAGAAGAAAAGTCGTCAGTGAAATTTTCAAACTTACCACTGTAACATCTTTTATTTATTTATTTATTTATTTATTTAGAGACAGAGTCTCACTCTGTCGTCCAGGCTGGAGTGCAATGGCACCATCTCAACTTACCGCAACCTCTGCCTCCTGGGTTCAAGAGATTCTCCTGTCTCAGCCTCCTGAGTAGCTGGGATTACAGGCGCCTGCCACCACGTCTGGCTACTTTTTGTATTTTTAGTAGAGATGGGGTTTTGCCATGTTGGCCAGGCTGGTCACGAACTCCTGACTCAGTGATCCACCTGCCTTGACCTCCCAAAGTGCTGGGATTACAGGCATGAGCCAGCACACCCAGCCTGTAATATCTTTTGTTTGTAAAATGCCAAATAAAGAGAAATAAACTCTAGAACTATCTTGAAAGGCTGTGTGAAGGGACAGAGAATATGTGCTTTTATGCATGACAATGAAAGGTGGGCCATTTTGGGAAAAAGAAAGCTAAATTCTATCTGGGATAGTCATCTGTTTGTTGGATTGAGAACTGCAAGAGGGTCTGAGAGTCATGGTTCCAAAGATCTGCTGCAGGACCAGAGGACATCATCCTAAAGGAACCTGAAAAAATGAAAACCAAAAGCTGGACTTTACCCTATCTATTCATCTCTGAAATACTCTGTGCAACTCGCTGCCTTCTCTCTAGAAAGAAACAGTGGTGGAGAGGTCTCTAGGATAAGTAAGGACATGCACCTGATAGATAGATGTGCTCTATGGAAGGCCTGACTAAAATGATCCAGATTGGTCAGATGGTGAATCAAGAGGTCAGAAAGGATATAACCTAAGTCTGAAAATCATTCCAGGAGACAGTAAAGCATAAGATCTGTATTATGGAAAAAAAAAATCAAAGAAGGTTGGCTTTATGTAACCTGTTTTCTGATCTCTATCTCCCTAAATTATAAGGTTGTAAAGACAGAAAGAGAGTCTTACTCAACTTTTCATCCTCAACACATGGCCCAGGAAAATGGTAGGTGCTTACTACCATGGAAAATGGTAGGTGCTTACTAAGTATCTGTAGAATGAATGAATTAATGAACAAACCAATGGACAATCTTGCTCCAAGCAATATGCTAAAGTGGGAAAAGCAATGCCTCAGAAGGCCTGATTTGGGTGTGAACTGTCATACAAACTATCTAGCTACCTTCCACAAGTCCCTTAACCTCTTGTAACTTCAGTTCCCTTATCTGTGATGAGGGGAGACAGGCCCAGGTAATCTTTGATGTGACTTCATGACCTGTTATCAGGAGTACCTCCATGAATAGGTCCCTAGGCTTTTAGATAGGAAACACGGGATATTCATGGGAAGGTTGACATTAGGGACAAACTGTAACCTCTACCGAGGTAGAGAATTGAACCAACTGGATAATCCATTGTTGAGCCTGGATGGTAATTCATTTTGTTCCCTAACTATTTGCTATTTGAGCACAGAGATCCAAGTTTCATTCACAGTTTGAATGTCCAGTAACTAGCTCAGTGCGTTTGATGAACAAATCTGTTTATATGTTACATTAAACTTAATTATATCATTATGTCCTTAACTTTACTTTCTTCAAATGTAATATGCAGGGGAGCTATTTCTCCAATTTTCCTCACCTACTCCAACAAACAAACAAACAAACAACAAAAACCCCATGAGTAGAAAATAAGCCAGCTAATCTTCCCTCCTCTTAGCCATAAGACAGTGTTTATCAACCACCTGAAATAAGAATCATCTGGGATGCACTGTATATTAAAATGCAGATCCCTAGGTATCATCCAGAATTATTGAATCAGAAGTCTCAGAAGTCAGCCCAGAATTCAGGATTTTAACAAGTTCCCCAAAGAGCATCTCCTGAGACCCCTCTTTTTGGGCAAATGATGAGAAGGAAACAGTAGCATTAGGCAATAAAGTGATGCTGCGGAAGGATCTAGATTATCTCAAGGTAAACCCACATTTTACCACTGCAGGATGTTGCAAGTTATAATGGAGACATCTCAAGATAGCATCAAGGTGCCACTGCTGGGCCTCTTTCCAGGCCTCTTTTCCTTTCCTAGTTTCAGGTGCTGTGATCTAGTGTCTAGAAAGAGAGGAGTGACTGAACTGCCAGGATCTAGGGAGATTGAACACAGACAAGCAACATAAACTGCTACAAGTGGAAATGAAACAATATTTATGTGGCTCAGAGTCGTTCATGGGAAAGGGGGCCTCTTTTTCATCTCTCTGCCATGACAGAAAGAGTTTCACAGCCAGGGGCACCTGGAGTCAACTGTAAATTGTTTCCCTTGTTGTCATTTTGAAATACGCAGAATGGAGGAGTGGAGATGGGAAAACCTATCTTTATCATACAGGGGTCAGCAGCAGCATTTTTCCTCTCCCTGTTTCTTCTCATCATGCTAACATCCTCTCCAGGGACCACCTGGAGGGTGAAAAACGTTCACTTTACTCATTGAATTCTCTTGAAGTTAATTTGGTTTTACATAAATGCCCTAGCAAGGGTCTGGGCCCAGGTGTGTGTTTGCTTCATCTTTGCCATCATTAGAGGATGCTTCTGTCCATTGCTCATTCATCTTCATACCCTTCCCCACGGGTGGATTTAATTCCCAGTTTTTAGAAAATACAGTTCCATTCAAGGGACATATATTATGCAAGGCACTCTTCTAGACACTGAAGGGGATCTAAAAGTTGAAAAGAACCTAATCTAGCTGCTCGTAATTTGGTATGAAGTCACAGAAATAACTTTAATTGGGGTAGATGCAAACCCTGATTGATTTCAACTAGCGGAATTTGGAAAGAATTTTTAGAGTTGAACCTTAAAAGCTACGTGCAAAGAACACAACTGGAGTTGTCCATAGCATATGGTAATAGCCAGGCCCTGGAAACCCTAGGCAATCACTGGGGGGCACCCAGACATGGTCACAAAATGATACCCTCCGACACTGAAGCAGCAACAATCACAGAGATTCACCCTTTACAGAAGTTACCTATGACCTGTGGTTGTAAAACAGGGCATCTCTTAAATTATATCTAGATCAGAAATGCCTCTCAAATCAACTTTAAAAAATCATGGTATCCTCCTAATCTCATTAAGTTGACTAAAGGATAATGGGAGTAAATTATGGTCTTATAAATGTTAACTCTGATGTCATAAAATAACTGTAGGCATCTGCCCAGACTCTGGCAAAGCTGGAAAAAGGGAATGAAATTTTTTCAGGTTTCATTTTAGGCAGTTATTCAAGAAAAGTCTCTAAAATCATTTACATAACTTGTTGAACTCAACAAAAATAATTCTTAAGAACTCCAAAATCTCTTCTAATGATAGGTTTAATTAGAAATTAAAAAAAATAAAAAAATAATAATAATAATTAGAAATTAAGTTTATGTTCTTGTTTCTCTCAATGTCATAATTCAATGTGGTAAAATTATATATATATATATTTGTTCAAAGTTATAAAGGTACAGGATATCAAATATAGAGAGGTATTATATACAGGTATTACCTATAGATATTCCAGATATTTTCTAGTATATTCCAGATGTATATGTTTTCCAGAACTATTTGAGTATACAGTATAAATCTTTACTTTCGTATATTTTTTGTTTCTTCCCAGTGGATTGCTACAGCTCAATTTCTTATATCACATTAGTTCTACAAGACAAGGGAGTTTCTATCTTTTTCTAACTCCTAGACAGGCCAAAAAAAAAAAATTGCCTAAAGACAAAGAAATTCAGAGTTAAGATTAAAATTCATTACTTAACTCGCTCAGTGGTGCCCTGCAGGGATCTCAGAGCAGTGGGTGGTCTCTCATCCCATATGTGCAGAAACTGTGATGTGAAAGCCGATGTCTAGATGGCATTTTAGGCTTCATTTTGACTTTGTTCATTTGAGCAAGTCTGGCACTTCATCTCAGTGTTATGTGTTCAAAGGGCACTATTCACAATAGCAAAGACTTGGAGCCAACCCAAATGCTCATCAATAATAGACCGGATAAAGAAAATGTGGCACATATACACCATGGAATACTATGCAGCCATAAAAAAGGATGAGTTCAGGTCCTTTGCAGGGACGTGGATGAAGCTGGAAACCATCATTCTCAGCAAACTAACACAGGAACAGAAAACCAAACACCGCATGTTCTCACTCATAGGTGGGAGGTGAACAATGAGAACACATGGACACAGGGAGGGGAACATCACACACCAGGGCCTGTCACGGTAGGGGAGGGATAGCATTAGGAGAAATACCTAATGTAGATGACGGGTTGATGGGTGCAGTAAACCACCATGGCACATGTATACCTATGTAACAAACCTGCATGTTCTGCACACGTATCCCAGAACTTAAAGCATAATTTTAAAAAATTGAAAAAAAAAAAACAAAGAGCGTTGGTAGTGGATGTGTCTCTTTCTTTTCTTTTCCTTTCCTTTCTTTTCTTTTCTCTTTCTTTCTTTTTCTTTCTTTCCTTTCTTTCTTTTCTTTTCTTTCCTTTCTTCCTTTCTGTCTTTTTTTCTGTCTGTCTGTCTATCTCTCTTCCTCCTTAACAAGCATTTGATGCTGCTCCTGGGAGAACTAATGAAATTGCTTTGGGGACTTGAACAACAGCCCTGTATGTGCTGCATAAATTTCTTTTAGCTGCAGGTAAACCAAAAGTTATGTTAAGTGAGAAAGAAAAGGTAACAGCTGCTGAATTCTTTTTGCTAGCCCAAGGAGACTTGATACTGCATGTTACAAGCTGATTGGCAAAATCTTAACCTCCTCTGACCTGTAAAAATAAGAAGCAAAAAATCCTAAGGCTTTTTGCAGGAGTACCATTTCTTTCATAGTTCAAAAAAAATGTTGGGGGGTAATTTCTTTTTTTTTCCCTGCTATTTTCCAGGAGAATGGTCTGGTAGTAAAAGAATAAATTGAAAGGAACTCAGGTAGAAAAGGCCTGAATACTGGAATGTAATTTTACAAGACTCGTTTCCTTTACTCTGTGTTTTTCTCCTTGAAAGAGATAACTCGATTTTATACTTTACTGTCTTATTAACAGAATGCATTTTGGAACCCTGCCACTGCTAACAGTATCAGAAGGATTTAAGGCTGCTGAAATACATTTGAAAATTTAATTCTGCTGACTTCAGCTTGGATCTGGAGTAAAATCTAAACGTAGATTAAGTGTTTAGCACTGTGTATTGCGATTGGTGCTCCTGGTCATAAATACTCATGTCTATTTCTGTTTTAGACAGCTCTCCGTAGGTTTCCTACTCGGTACGGTACACAATGTTTGCTTCCCAAATGAGGTTATTCTCTATAAGGCTACCCCTTATATAACTCTTTTTATAGACTCAAGCCTCTGCTCTGTTGTGCAATTCATTATAAACTCCCTTGTGCGCTTTGTGATAACAAATGCTGGGTTCCTGAGAAGAGCCTTCTAGAGAGGGAAGCCTCTATTTCCTTCCAGACAATGTTTAATCTCATAGCAGCACTGACTAATAAAAGCAAAAGATCAATACAAAGCTGTATTGCTAGGATGAAAATTTACTAACATAGTCATTCATATCACAGGAACATCTGGTTAAAGCTTCAGGGCTCCCTTACTTTCTTAGTTATGATTTTATGGGTCTCTCCAGGCTCCTTTTTAGGATTTTAGCAGGCATTTATAGCAGGCTGGACATTTTAATCTTTTTAATGTGGTTATCTGATCCACACTTGGCTTTCTAACACTGACTGGTCATCTTCTCCACTCCTCGCTTATTGCACTTGAATCAAGTTATGATAAGCTCATACTGTAATAGCCCCTAGTCCTAAACGGGTCTAACTTCATGTAAGTGGCCTCCTGAGCTGCTATTTATGGTCATTTCTGTGAGGCACTGTCTTTAAAACCTTGGCATTTAGTGCCTTCTTCCTATCCCCATGACTTGGAATACATAAAGACTATTATAAATCACATAGCCAGGCCTGCAGGTATACTTTTTGCTAGAAGAGATTTCTGAGGCCTGAGGGGCAGGCCGAGGAGTCCTGGTTTACAGGCCTGAACCAGACGGACATGTATGAGGTTGACAAGATGGCTTGGTGGCCCAGCATGATCCCCACCTATGGTCTTCAATGTGGTGGCTTGGTGCAGAATTTTTGGTGGTTGAATTTGCTTGTTTGTGGTGTGTGAATCAGAATTCAGTCCCTTCTGGAGACCCATTGGTTTGAAAGTGGTAGGTAGACAGAATACTAAAATTCACAAGAGAATTCAAGTAAAATACCTGAGGTAGAGAAAGTAAATGTAAGTATAGTTTTACGTCTAATATTTCAACAAACCTAGCCATTATGATACGCAGGGACAGTAAGGGTACCGGTATTGATGGTACCTACTGTGAGAAAATTTCTCCACATATGTTAGATGTAATTTAATTTTACATTTATCTGAGGTAGATATTATCTGAACTAGGACTTGTTTACTGAACACTTACTGTAAAATAACCCCCGGGCCACATACTTAGTACATTTATATTTCATTGGCTCCTCATAACAATTCAGAGAGGTAGGTACTATTATTATTATTATTATTATTATTTTTGAGATGGAGTCTTGCTCTGTTGCCCCAGCTGGAGTGCAGTGGCGCAATCTCGGCTCACTGCAAGCTCCGCCACCTGGGTTCACACCATTCTCCTGCCTCAGCCTCCCGAGTAGCTGGGACTATAGGCGCCTGCCAGCACACCTGGCTAATTTTTTGCATTTTTAGTAGAGGCGGGGTTTCACCGTGTTGGCCAGGATGGTCTCGATCTCCTGACCTCGTGATCCACCCACCTCGGCCTCCCAAAGTGCTGGGATTACAGGTGTGAGCCACCGCACCTGGCCAGAGGTAGGTACTATTATTATCTTCATTTGGCAAGTTCAGAAACTGCGTCTCAGAGGGATTAAGGAACATTCTTGAGTGAAACAGCCAGCCAAGGGCAGCATGGGAGTCAAGCCTCAGTGTGTCTGACTTCACAGTCTTTGCACATGATAAACAGCGTGACTACAATGACTAGAAAAACACATAAATAGATGTAAGTTATTATTCTAATGTCTTATAAAATTCCTTTGCTATTTTACAGTAAAGCCAAGTCATCTACTTCTGTTGAAACTAAGCGTGTCAGACCCATCTCAGAAGATATGAGTTACCACAGATCTTCAGATAAAAGAAACAACACGTTAATTCACTTAATAACACATTCTTCAGAGGAGGAAATTGAAATACAGTTTTAACTTGATTACTTTGTTCTTTCTTAACTGGGCAAAACCAGACACACAGAGTTCCCCCTCTCTCTCCTTCTTCCAGGATGCCTTGGACAGGCTGTGCACAGACCACCTTCTCCCCCAGTTCCTAAGGGTCAAATAAAATGGAGAGACTATTCACTGCAGATACGGAGGCTTTGTCATGCGTCAGTTCTCAAAATTGGCTGCCTGGCACAGAAGATGATTTAAGTAAAACTGAACTAATTTTCAAAACTGAAACTTAAGCTGTTGAGCAACATGAGCCAAGTGCCATTTGTCTTGGACACCCCAACACTTTCTTGGCTCCTATTAGCAACTCAAATGTTCCCTGGTCACATTAATTAGCTCAATTGTCCTAGACAGGAAGGATGGAGGGAAGGCACAGGGCTCCAGCAGCCCAGGCTGTGGCAAACTTGGACTCTCAGAGACATTTCCCAGCATCGTTCTGAGGACTATTAGGGATCAGAAACACTCTGAGGCTGGTCGCCTACACAGAGCAAAATTGTCCCCATAGGATAACCCAGCAGCCTGCTGTGACATAGACTTTTGAGGACAAAGAGGTACAGAGAAGGCCAGCATGGGCAGAGCTCCTGGACAGAGACTTAAGAATATTTAGTGAAAGGAGAGCACTCCTCTTAGCTCTAAACCTCACACATCCCCCGTCGCTGCCCAGGCATTTGGGTGATGACACATCCCCCTTGGGACACAGCCCAATCTCCCTGACAGCTGTGCCCAGAAGGCCATCAGAGGCAGGCCCTGGCAGCTGACAAGCCTCTGTTCAGCCAGCTCTGGCCTTGAGGTACCTTTCAATGCCAAAGAGAGGAATGCAAGGATCAAATTTCTGAGCACTAGAACTTGACCATGACTTCCAAAAACTGAGTCACAAGAACACACGTATCACACAAAGGACTTTCTTACTATCCAACAAACACATATGTCCCCATTCCTTTTCTGTTGGAAGAAGAAATAGAGAAAAACCAGCCCTGAGTTCCTCCTGGGACTGGAAGTGTGCCTATTTCTTCCCTTTTCTGCAGCCACACTAAGGGATTGTGTCAACATTGTAAAGCCATCCATATTGAAAATGGTTACATGGAAATATTTTTGTAACCTATTATTACTATTAATACTCTGGTTTCTCTTCAGATTGTATAAATCTTTCAGCTCATTATTATTATTATTTGGAGGAAAGGGGAAGCTAGTGGTAAGTAGGAGGCACCGAGTAAATACCTCCAAGAGGGCTATAAGTTTTTGCGTTTAGCAACGGAAGTGATGTCTGAGAGAGTCAGATCCCAGTAATATGCAACAAGCATCATGGAGCTCCAAGTGTGTTTCTTGTAATTTTTGTCATTGCAAGGAAGCTGCAGTATGTCTTGGAGTCAAAAAGTCCTGGGCTCTAATTTTAGCTATAACATTTAACAGTGAGCATGTCTATGGACAAGTAAAGTTTACATTTCCTTAGCCTAAACTGACTCACCAGTAAAATGGGAATGATAAAGCCAACTGCGCAGGCTTGTTTTGCAAAGACTAAATGAGATAATGCAGGTAAATTTGCTAGCACATGTAAATGCTCCCTCAGTGGGGGTTTTCATAATTAATAAGATTAACATGTTGTGTTCACAATGCTGATGCATGTTTGAAGTTCTCATCTTTTGCCTCTTAGGGGGAAGCTCATGCCACAGGACCTCTTCAAGAGCTGGAGACAAAAAGCCCCCTGTTCTGAGAATTGTTGAAAGGTTTCTTTCCCTTTCCCAGATTCTTTGCTCCTCGGTGCCCTGTCAAAACATCTGGCCCCTTTTGTCCTCAGCTTTCCCTGTGCTATTAAAGCCAGTCCTCATCACGAGCCACTTCCTGTGGACCTAAACATTTTTTTTATTATGCACCTTAACACTTCAAGATGATTAGAGCTGAAAGGGTAAGAACAAAAAATGAAGGTTGAGCCTTTCTTTTCCAGCAGCTAATTTGATTCCAACAGCACTTGAAAGAAAGAAAGAAAGAAGCTCAAATGTTATGTTTTCATCTGCTAAGAATGAAGAAAGCATTATTTTTAAAAATTCCCCTCTCTAGCTTGAGATTAAGAGTATAATAAAAGAGGTTAGTGTCTGGCAAAATATTCTCAGTGGACTAATGTGGTCATTCCTTTATCCAGAGTATTCTTCCAGCCAGGTGCAGGCAACATTATTATACAAACTCTGGTTTGTCTTCTTGCTAGGAGAACAGAGGGATTTGTCAGGAATTCAGGGTCCTAGAGCAAAAGTGCATTGCTTCTTTCCCACAGCCAACCCTGGTAGTTCCTCCAAGATAAATTGCTTGAAGTAAAACTCTCAGTAAAGAGTATGTCTGAATGGGGACCCTAAGAAATTTCAGGAGGCTTTTTTTTTTTTTTTTGGTCTACACTGACTATCCTTTGCTGTGGATTAGGCCACTGCTTATTACAAATTCAAATCCTATCTATATATTGTTCATGGTTCCTTTGTGTCATCAGGAAATTAAAGTTTGCAGCTGGTCCCTTCATCTTGGCTAATCATGCGGACATAAAGTCCTTAAAGGCCCTCGGAGTGGCCCCTGCGGGGGCCCCACTCAACACTTCTCTTCAGCTAGACATTGTTTTTCAGCTGTGTTTTCATCCTTTGCCCCGCGGTATTAAGCTCCCGCTGCTTTTAGCCCCAGCATCAGACTGTCATGCGTCATTTTATCATGGCCAGTCCAACACCTACAGGAAACCATGCCCTCATGCCGAGTCCTGCAACCGGCTGGAAGTCCTTCAGAGGGTGGCAGGGCTTTCTCCAGTGTCCTGGGATGGCCGTTGCATCCTGAAGACCCCCATGGGTACCCAGATGGAGCAGAGTGGGTCCCTCACAGCAGTGGCCTTGTTAGGGGTCTCAAGTCACACTTGCTCAGAGTCGAAGGACGTGAATTGTTTGGACCTGTTAGGGAAGGCCTGGGCTATAAACGGGAAGCTGCCAATTTGCCAGCTCCTCGAAAATTGATCTGACGTGTTACAAAATCCTAAGTCTCCTCTCAGGGATCTTTTAATATCCGGCAGAGTTTACACCTGGTTTCTGTGATTCCTTGAATTAATTGAATTCTCATTAGAATACTTCCTGCTTTTCCCTTCCCACACTTAACCATCTATGACCCAAAGTTCACAGGGGAGTGACAGGACGAGAGCAAATCAGTCTCCCTGGTGTCCTTGTTTCATTTCCCACACCAGCCTGTGCGCTCACCTCCTCCCTGAGCGACTCCAGCCAGGCCATTCTTTTAGGGCAATTGAGAAGCCTTCCACTCGTCTCTCTCCTAGAAGTTACATTTATTACCTTCTTCCAAGCATTCCATCATTTGTGTTGTCTTACACATTGTGTTGAGTCTAGTGTTCTTTACTTTCTAGCACATTCAGTAATACATCTCTTCTTTTCCAATGACCGTATTTTCTTTGCCATCTCACTCGTTTTGGACACTATCTATGATTAATACATTGAAAATTGTGGGTATATTTGTGGTGCACATTATCATAAACATGCATTGTCCAGGAGCCTAGAAAATGCTAGGCTCTTAAAAGTTTTTTCTGCACTATGTATGTACAGTACATCCACTGTACATGCATTTTAAGACACAATCTTTCCTTATGTTTACCATCTGGGACCATTCAGTGATGTAAACCATTTTACATATCTCCCACAAAGTTGTAACTATTTTATTATGTTGAGGCTAATTCATTCTTACAGAGATCTAGTTTCATTTCTGATCTGCCTTGGAATTTTATCCTGTTTACACCAGGCATAGTCTCATAGTGACATCACTCTGGCTAGAATATGGAAGATTGTTTATGGTAGAAGAATGCTACATCAAGTAATCATCAGCTCTGTAAGGCAGAAAGGTCCAGAAAGGGAGACACCAAAGATGGACAGTAAGATTTCTTTTTGACTTGGTAAAAACACACTCATTTTTCAGCTCAAGTGTTACCTCTTCTCTGCCTCTTGTGACATCCCTCTCTCCACCACCCATAACTCTTGTGTCCTTGTCCTCTAGCAGAACACCAGTATGGTTTAATAAACAAAATTATTAACACATCTGCATTACTAGTAGATGATAGCTGCCTTGGGTTAGAGCCCATATCTAACTCAGAATTATATTACCTTCACGTAGGAGAGTGGCTATAGGTTAAATGAAGAATGAATGAATGAATGAAGGAAGGAATGAATGAACAAATGAATGAATGAATGAACGAACAAATGAATGAGTTTTATTCCAAACTAAGATATGACCCTCTCTAACACCAGGTTAGAGGCCAGGAAGAAAACTGTAATTTCAGCAAGCCTTTCTTTTTCTACCTCCACCCTTCACAACTACGTGTTCTCCAAGCTCACGACTCTCTTCCCAACCACACTGGCTCTCACAAAACCCTTCTTTTTCACCTTATTTTCTCCTTTTCATTTTTCATTTTCTGGTCTCAGCATAAGTGTTGCTTCCTCAAGAAATTTTTCTTTGATTCCCGAAAATAAGTTTGTTCTCTTTGGTTTTTACACACTCCCGTGTTCCAGTGTATCCCAGAAACATCACACTTGGAATCTTTGGGACTTGAGGGGCAGGGAGAGAAGAATGTGAGTCCTCAATGAGACAGGGCCAGAGAGAGGAAGGAGGGGGAGTGAAGAGGCTTCAATGGGCATGTTCAGTTCCTTCTCCCGGCTGCTCAGTTTGTTCCGCTCTTGGGAGAAGTGTGAGCAGTGGGGAGAAAAGCCAGAGAAGAGCCTATGGATCCCTCCTGCAGGGTGGGAATCCCCTCCTCTTTTCTGTGTTCTTCCCACCCCCTGCTCCATGCAGTTGCCTATTTAAAGTATCAGTGCAGGAAGTATTTCTTGTTCCCTACTCTACCTCTGACCTTAGAAAAGTGCTTATATCATCGGGGTAGATTTATTTTAGATTTAAGAAAAGAAGATAGAAAGGATTGCATTCAATATGACTTGAGCAAAATTAAAGCAATACAGTCCTGTCTACCACACACATACACACACACCAATACCTATAGGAGACCACGTTCTTATGCTTTAGATTCCAGTTTAGACACAGAAAGCTGCCATCTCAGGCTACAGTTTCCTAGAGGGAGAAGAACTAAACTATTTAATGTTTTCACTAATAAGTTCAAAGTTACTGGTGGTTTCAAAGCTTCTACCATCAATTCTAACTTATTTCTACATCTCTTTCTACTATTAATATTTATTTCTTATTTTAACAAACACCTTTTGAGCTCTCATTGAATGCAAGATGTGTGCTAGGAATAGTCATGTGCACTACACAGTTTTTACTCTTGAGAAGTATGTTGAGCTGGAAACCATCATTCTCAGCAAACTAACACAGGAACAGAAAACCAAACACTGCATGTTCTCACTCATAAGTGGGAGTTGAGCAATGAGAACACATGGACACAAGGAGGGGAACATCACACACTGGGGCCTGTCGGGGAGTTGTGGGGCAAGGTGGGGGAGAGCATTACGACAAATACCTAATGCATGATGGGCTTAAAACCTAGATGACGGGCTGATAGGTTCAGCAAACCACCATGGCAGATGTATACCTATGTAACAAATCTGCATGTTCTGCACATGCATTCCAGAACTTAAAGTAAAATAAAAAAAAATATGTTACCTAGTGAGGAGGACAGACAAGGGAACAGGCAATTATAATAAGGTGCAGTTAGTATTCAGTGGAGCAAATGAGACCAGAGTGACCCAGAATCTGTAAGGCCTGAGACAGCTTCCCAAAGAAGGAGAAACTTAGGCTGACAAAGGTTGAAAAGCATAAGCCAGAAGTTGGAGGAAAGGAGTTTCAGGCAGATGGAATGGCACCTGCAAATGCCCAGAAGGGGAGAAAAGAACATGGAAGGTAACACTGAGATTCTCAGGGTACAGGTCTGGTCTACCAAGGGGGTATGGGACCGTCTTCCCTGCCCTAGTGTAGAAGAAGGCAGCACAGCTGATTTAATCCCTGCTTGGGATCCCTGTGGAGTCCTTTGAACTGTTAGAGCAAGTCCTTCCTTATCCTAACAAATTGGTATAAGCTCTCTTCAGTTGGAGACCCAAAGGAGCCTGCTGCTCCAATAGCTGGAAAGTTAAACACAGGGGCAGGCAGTGCAGGTTCCCTAGGCCTGCTTTAAATAAACATTTGTGGCATGTGACAGTCCTGTCTTTCGAAGACTTCTCACACAGAGGCCTGGCCTTTCCATTGTCTCCTGGCCCTCTTTTCTTCTATTAAACTTTCTTATCATTTTTCTTATTTTCTCTGAATTACGTATTTGTAGCAGACACCATTGGCCTCCCAGGCAACCACAGTTCTCTACTTTCCTTCTTACCAGACCTCCTTGGAGCTGGCCTGGCCTTCACAGAAGGCTGAGACCTCCCCGTCCCAAGGGGGTGTATCTCAAAGTATCTAAGTCCTTGTGGATCTAAACCAAGTGATGGTGATGCAATTCTCTCCAATTAGACCTGAGGGAGGTCTGTTGGGTTTTCTTGAGAAAGGATACAAGACAGAGAAGTTTCTATTCTTTCATCTGAATGTTGCTGCCTGCCTATAATACCTGTGGCCATCATTTTGGGCCCAGAAGGGGAACCAGCCTAGGAAGAAAGCATACTGTGGAGAAGAGGGCAAAGTAGAAGAAGGAGAGAACCTTAGTCCTTCAAGCTGTAGTTGAACCAACCAGCCCTGAAACCATCCTGCCTCTGGACTTGTCATTATTTGTTGAAGCCACTTCTAGTTCATTTGTCTGGCATGGGCATCTGTTAGCATCCTATCTGATATACTGGGCCACAGGTCATCTGACCCAAACCCTCTAATTTTTGTTTTGTTTTGTTTTGTGGTTTTTGTTTTTGTTTGAGACAAAGTCTCACTCTGTTGACCAGGCTGGAGTGCAGTGGCACAATCATGGCTCACTATAGCCTCGACCTCCCTAGGCTCAATCCATCCTCCCACCTCAGCCTACAGATTAGCTAGGACTACAGGCATGCACCACCATGCTTGGATAATTTTTGTAATTTTTGTAGAGATGAGGTATTGCTATGTTACCTAGGGTGGTCTTGAACTCCTTGGTTCAAGTGATTCACCCACCTCAGCCTCCTAAAGTGCTGGGATTACAGGCATAAGTGACTGCACCCCACCAAACCTTCCATTTTAAAAACAAGGGAACTGAGATCCCAGGGGGAGTGAAGGGATTTATCCTTGGCACATGGATATGGAGCTATGAGCAGAATGCTCTAACTTCACATTCAGACTATTTTTCACCACATTGTCCTATGTTTATCCCTGGAGTGGATGGCTGCTAGTTTTCCTGGCCTCTAAGAAAAATTTCCATAAGTACTGATGGAGACCTACCAACTTTGCCCCAAAAAAGACAAGATAAGGCAATAGAAGAAGATATTTTTAGTTAACTAAGCCATTCACTATCTCTCTAATTGGGTAAACAGAAATGTTTATTTCCCCACTTTTTAAGAATATTATTCTGTCTTCTGATACCATTTATTCATTGCGCATCTACTTTGCTAGGTCCTAGAAATAATATGGTAAGTAAAGCAGATTTTATCTTTGCCTCATGAGCCTACATTCTAAACATAACCATTCTCTTTCTGCTTCTGCAAAGTTGAACCTTCATCTTGCAAAGGGAGAGGGATCTCACAGTCAGCAAACAGAAATGAAGAAGGAAAGGACCTACAGCTGGGAAAATAGAGCAAAGTCTATTCGGTCTGAGCCAGCCAGCTGAGTGGGGAGACAAGAAGGCTAAAGTGCTGGTCCCCTCTGATGTGGCTTTGTCCCTACGGAACATGGGTAGAGGAGATTTGAAAGCAGCCTTTCCCTGCCAGGGTTTTGTTTGCTCCTCTGGGACAGGGACAATTTAGCTCCGTTTTGAAGCATTTGGGAAGTAAAGCAGCCTTTAGCATAGCTGGGAAGAGACGTGCCCCTAACTGTAGAAGATGAGGATAGATTGAGTGCCAATGGCAGAATCCCAAGGGAATTATTATAAGAGGCTCCAAGTTAAAGGTAAACAAGTTAAAATTTATATTTGGGAACTGGTTCCCTTGAGACTTCAGATTGCCCTGCAACCCCATTCATGGGGGAAGTATGTCCTAAGGCATCCAGGAAACTCACATTCCCCTCCTCTGCTGGTCCCAAAGGACTGGGTACTGCCAGAGCATTGGTTGAGACCATCTGAGTCTCAAAATCTGCTAAACAAAAGACTGTCTTTGAAAATTAACAGAGGTTTTTCTTTTGGCTGAATCTGGTCTCTTGATAATTCAGAAATTTAATACAGCCATCTTGGGCCTTTTTTTCTGAGAAATAAGAGGAGACATCTACCTAGACCAAAACCTAGAGAAAGGTAACACATTATTCCAGCTCCAGGATACTATAAATGGTATATTTATAGCATCCTCTGATCCTAAGCTAATGTTTTGGTAGGGTCTAAATTAAATGAAAACAAACACTAAGAGGAGCCTTACCAAGGAAGAGAAGTCACTGAAGAGAAGCTGAGATACAGATGGGGGTGATGCAGTTCACCCGCCTCACTTTGTAGATGGGTACCAAGTGTATGGCAGTGGACAGCAGGTGCGGCTGCGTGTTGTAGAGGCCAAGAGGGAAGACCCAGACAACTTGACCACAAACTAGCTTTGTGACCTAGACATGGTCCCTAGCCTCGCTACCTTTCAGTTTCATCATTTCTAAAGTGAAGTGACAATTATCTCTGTCTCATAGACTTGTTACAAGGGTTAAATGAGTTAATGCACAGAAAGCACTTAAACCAAAGCTGGGCATGTAGTAAGCACAGCAGAACTGTTAGTGTTGAGGGATAAGATCATTTTTCGAACCAGCTGATGGTCATCTTCTCTTCCTGCCACTGTTTCTGCAGGTCACTGTCCTTCTGTGGCACTATAGAGGCCTCCCTTCAGAATTGTGGGGTCAGGGGATTTGCCTCAATTTCTTGCTCCCTGGAACAGCTTTGATCTTGGTATCTGGAGAAGATGAAGTTATCAGTCATGCTGGAAGAAGGCACACTTCCTGACCGCTGGGAGGCACTCAATAAATATTTGTTGAATGGACCAGGCACCACCCTGTTAGAACAAGAACAGAAATTGCTGATACCAGAACAAAGAAAAAGAAATTATTTGATGCTCAAATTTCGTAAACCAAGATAGCCAGGGATCCTCTTCAACTCTCATAATTAAGTATGTTATCCAATCACTTATGAAAGGGCAAGGAAGAGGGTAATAGGAAGAGTAGGGAAGCAGGTTTAGGAATGTCTTGGAAGGATGAAAAAAGTGGAAGCTATCAGAAATTGAGTATTTATGTGCCATGCAATGATCTAGGCATATTACATTATTTTAATTCTGACACCAATCTTACCAGGTATGATTATCCATATCATAGGGAGGCAAGTAGCTTGTCTAAGGTTGCTCTGTGGTGAATCCTTCATGGACTAGGATGCAGGCCCATGTATTTGACTTCAAAGCCCCTAAGCTGTCTGCTGCACCTAGCCAACAGAGTTTCTCTTGTTTCTTCAGCATAAAGTAGAATATTGAGCTGAGTGTTCCAGCTGCTTCACAACTGGACAGGATAACAAAGGCACTGAGTGTATTCTTCCTTTTTTTCTTAAGTATTGAATTAGGACTTCTCCAAACCAGGATTTCTTCCCCCCTCCCCTTATAGCACTGCCCCAGTTCCCAGCTCTCACAGGTCCACCTGCTCCAGCTCAGCGGTTTGCGCCAGCACTTACGCTTCTCAACCATCATTTTTGGAAGCCGTGAAAAAAACAAGCACCAAGTGCATGTTTAACCTGCAGGGTCTCCTTGGGTTCTGAGGCATGCTCAGGGTTTCCTCTGGATTCTGCTAATTCTGTGACAGCTGCTGATTAATAAAACCAATCCCATCTCCCCCTCCTCAATGCCATTGGCTGGAGAACTTGTGGCAAGGCTAAGGGTGAAAGGTCATCTAAGGGTAGTTACCAACTTTAAGGTCTAGTTCAGCTTCTCATCTACCAAGAAATATCATGGTCAGTTAGTATGTGCAAAGCTTCCTAAAAACATAGTGATCAGTCTTAAGCTTCCCCCAAGTACCTTTCAGCCATTCCCTCCCATGGTGGCACTATCTAAAACCAGGCTCCTAATTCCTAAATCAGGCTTCTAAAACCGGGAGACTGATTTATACTTGGTTCTCTTGTGACATCCTTTAAAAAGGCATCAATCATTTAGTGTTCTGCTCTTTGGATTTCCCTAAATGCTGTACAGACACAATGTGACTCAATCCAAGATGAGCAACAGCTGTCCTCAGGGCATACAAGCTCCTTATTCAGCTGGGGCTAGTGCTCCAAGCTGATAGGAGCTTGGAGTCGGAGGAGGAGAATCACTCCCACTCTGAGCAGCAGTAGGACATTGGAAAGCCCCCGCCCCCCTGACCACCAAATACTTGCCATTGGCTGAGTTAGTAGCATTTCTTCCTTTGTTTTACAATTATAATCCATTTATGTTACATAGATGGAAAGAGGGTTAAGGGCATTATCCTTTGAAATGCAATGCTTAACATCAAATATTGGATAGGGATAATTTGGTAAATTTATCTTTTTCAGCTTTAATTGCCCCTCTGGTATGATTCCTATAGGACAAAGGAATCTTAAGTAGTCACTCTGCCTTTATGGGCCCCTTTTATCTCAGAACACAACATTACACATGGTGCCCTGTCTCCTGCAGAGGGTCATGGTGAACACCCAGCGCTTGGCTTGGCCCTGCTCCTTCTGCATGTCATTATCAGAATTCTGGCCGCCAGATTCCATCTGCTGCTTACACTTAAGTTTTCACATCCAGTCTCTTCGCCTCTTTACGTTTTGCTAAGCATATGTTTGTCCTGCCTTTGGGGGAATATTTAGGTGTAATTTATAGAAAGCTACAATAGCAAGAACTATGTTGGCAACTCTCTACATAGTGTTGAGAAAATTTACCCTATTACATCAGAATTGTGGTTATTTTACACACTGTCAACACCCATGCTTAGCTTCTAATGGACAATTTTCTTCCTTCAAGCTGGGATAAACTCTCCCAAACTCTCACTGGGGCATCATTCTTTACTTGTCTTCCTTTCTTGCTGCTCTCCTCCTGTAATGATTGGGTTTATACCAGATACACAGACTTATCTGCTCATTTAAGGCCACTTCTTAATTCCCTTCACAATGTATCTTTTTTTCACAACCTTCACCTATTATTTCCAAAGGGAGTCCCCCCTTACCGAAGCCATGGCAGGCTTCTTCTCCACTGCATTCCAAGATGAGACTGTCGAATTTGGCCTCACTCGATATCTCTTAACTTTTGCCCTTGGCATCCAGACAACTCTTCGATTCTCAGGATGCTTGCTGCTGAACTTCCTGTCTATATAAATGCGCTCGGGGAGCCTCTTGCTCCTCTAGCCTGTTTCTTCCTCCTCCCAGAGCTTCCCTTTCCCTTTCCATGCCAAGCAATTATTCTTATTAATTATTCCAGCTAGCAGTAATTATCAGCAGTACATGCCCCAAGCCACATTAATAACAGAAATCTCTAGGACACTGAGCAATCAGCTGGGAGGCCCCCTCCGCCTTTTGATTTGCCTGGCGCTGCAGCTTGTGCTCTCTGCTCCCAGCGCCCCTCCCACCGTGCCTCTGCTTTGCTCTTACTGGTCCCCAGTTGTTGCATTCTCCAGCCCTGTTTGATGGTGTGATAAAACAGGGGCAGCGTCATCTAGACCTGTGTGTTAGCTATGGCGGCGTGGGAGGCATCTGACCCCTGGCGCGCTTGAAAGCTGTCCTTAAGCAGACTTTGACATTGGGTCCTCACCACCCCTGAACACTCTATTAATCCCTCAACCCTTATTTGCAAGGGTTTTTAATTTGTGTATGTTCTCACCCATTGCTCATTTGTCTTGGCTGTCATATGTAAATAGTTTAAAACCTTAATGGCAGGTCATTGATGTATTTAAAATAATGCTCTTATTTTATTGGAAAATTTTAAAAATCAATTTGGTTTACAGACACATTTGGGAAAATTAAATGATTAAGCACTTTCTTTTATCTCTACTTGGAAAATTGCATTCATGATAGTCTTCTGCAAATTGGTGAACCAGCCTGATACACTAAAATATTTGAACAAAAAAGCAGATGGCTAGGAACAGAGAAGAATAGACAGAACCAGTTTAGACCAGCAAGTCTTTCTTCCCAAAGTAACTTTATGTATTAAAACGCATGTGCATGCTTGAGAAGTGAGACGTAGTATTTTGCTAACTAGCTCCTCACAGTGACTTGGAAATCTGCCTGTTGGAACCTTCTTTTATTAGTGCAAAACAACAAAGTTTGAAACACTTGGATATAGTGTCAACTCTGACTTACTACAATTGCAAACCATCAGCAAGTTTTCAGGGAGGGTGCAAAGCAAGGTGCTAATTTGCAGATGTTATAGCAAAGATCTTATTACCAAACCACTACAGACCACATGTGGCAATGGTAAGAATCAGGTGGAAAAGAGAAAAACACTTTCAGCATAGTCAAATAGTGTTTTTATCAGTTTTTGCCAAGTGACAACAAAAAAGCTAGTTTTTAGTTTTTTGGCTTTTAGACAGGGTGGGACAAGTTGGCATATGTGAAGCAATCTGAAAAACATACAATTTTAAAAGTGACACGATCTCACTTAAAAACACTTTGAAGAGCAAAAGTAATAGGAAGTGTGCCTTATTCTGACACTGTGCATACTGGCTTCCAGCATGAAATACCAATGCATAATTGTTGAGGCCAGTAGTAAAAATTCAGTCCTTTGCAAATTTATTTAATTTAAATAAGCTTCCCCAACATTGGGGGACTGTGTTCTCTCAGTGTGCTTCATTAGTGTAGCTTACACCACAAAACTGGCTGTATTGAGAAAGATTGCACCATTATCAAATAATTAGGAATGCCTTAGCAGGTGCATACACTTACCTTAGTAATTAAACCCTTGTTAAAACACCAAAATCCAGAGACTTTAAATGGTTACATGATCCCAAAGGAGGTAGCCTAGAAAGTGATTCTATAAGGTAGTGTCATTTGGGAACAGGGATATTGAGCAGAGTCTCTTTTTCTCTTGGGATGCTTACCAAGCACATCTGTGCACATCATGAGATGCAATAAAAATTGCAATGACAATGCTAGACAAACACCCACTGCACAAGATGCTGGACAGCCCCAGCGCCATCCCGCTTGGAAGCAGATACTGTGTAACTGGGCTTTGTGCTGCCATTGTTTCAAGCAAGGAGCATGAGACAAAGAGAAATAAAAATGAGAGTCTCTGAAATAAGTACTCAGCTTCCTCTCTTTACTTTAGGGAGAAAAACGCAGCTAATCCCAATTTCTCATCAAATGCCTTCCTAAAACTTGACTGTAAGTTTTTCTTTGACAAAAGGCAAAGATTGGATAGATTTCCTCCCCCAGTGGCATTTGAAATACAGGCCCTTGTAAATATGACAAGCGGCCACCAATAAGACAACATGCAAGGGCGGTTCCTTAACATCTTGCTACCGGGAGTGTTAGAGTGATCTATAAAATTACAAATTAGATCCATTTACTGGGGTCTGGTTGCTTATGCAGGAGCTCCTCTTCCATATAGAAATATAATTGTGATAAATCTGGACCCAACAGCCATGGGGCATTCTGAAGATGATATCTAGGGGTTGCCATGACAACTCCCTAGAATTCCTGCTGTCTTTTCATGGTGGAGTTCCTAGGTAAAGCCTGGAAGGTATCTGAAATAAATCATCAAAAGGTAGGACAGCTGGAAATTGTCCATGGAAGAAATCCAAGTATATGAGTCCATACGTCCTGTGGTAAGGAGGTTGTCACTTGAGGACAAATTTCCATCACTTTGTAGAATTTAGACTGAATATTTCAAGCAATAAGATTTTTATGGAACTCACTGTTCCTAAGGCTGAGGTATTATGGTATTTAGACTAATGGTATCTGCCAACCACTGAGGTAATCGCTTCCTGGGAGCCAAACATCTCACATTCCTGGGATATGCACACGCCTCAGAAGCTCTGTGGCCCAAACCACGCAGCAAAAAAAAAAAAAAAGTTGTCCACCCATAAACAGCAACTCACCCTCTTGTGTAATTTTCTTAAGAGCAGAGTCCACCCTGCCGTCTGGAAGGGTGCCGTCTGGAATGTCAGGCATTCAATATATGATCAATTAATTTCCTTTTCCTTCTGTCCACCCCATAAAAATATAAAACATGATATAAATGCAAGTCTCATTGCATTATTATTCAATTCTAGAATCTGAAGGCCATCAGGCATTGCACCATTACTTGGGCAGACCAACACTTCCAGTTCAATTTTTACTGTGCAAAATAATGGAATTTTTCAAAGGGCAAGGGGAAGTGGTGGTTGCTATGTCATCAGAGACACAGATGTCATGTGATATTTTAAATGATAAACAGCTGAAACCAGAGTATTATTTGAATCATCCATATCTTCATGCCATAAACTTAGGAAGCTGGTGATTATGCCCCTATGCCCTGAAGTAAAAGAAAGTTTGGAGTAACAAAAAGAGCGTTACAGTCGTTTGAAATCATGCCCCAACTTCAGACCTGCCAAGGATATTTGTAACATGTTGTTCAATAAGTTAAGGCATTGTTTTCACCTGTAAAATAGCACATCCACTGGCACACATAAATCAAATTTGTTTGTATTTGTAAACTTTGTATTGAAATATAACACATTCAAAAAAGCAAGCAAGCAAGGCCAGGTGCAGTGGTTATGCCTGTAATCCTAGCACTTTGGGAGGCTGAGGCAGGTGGATCACTTGAGGTCAGGAGTTCAAGACCAGCCTGACCAACATGGTGAAACCCCATCTCTACTAAGAATACAAAATTAGCTGGGCTTGGTGGCACACGCCTGTAATCCCAGCTACCTGGGAGGCTGAGGCAGGAGAACTGCTTGAACTTGGGAGGCGGAGGTTGTAGTGAGCTGATATCATACCATTACACTCCAGCCTGGGCAACAAGAGCGAAATTCCATCTCAAAAAAAAAAAAAAAAAAAAAGGTAAGCAAATCAGAAGCGTATAGCATGGTGAATTTTTACAGATTATAATAATGTCCTATTTTAATATCATTTAAATATACTCTATTTATTAGAACGGGTTAATATTTTTGTCTCTGAATGTGTTATTAAAATTTTAGAGTGTGTGTCACAGAGTTTTTATTTCTTTTCCTTTTTACTGTATTAAGGACAGTAATTTTGACCACTTTTTTGGTGTACTGTTCTAAGAATTTTAACACATGTATCGATTCATGGAATCACCACCACAATCAGAATCAGGGTACAGAACAGTCATCACCCCAGAATTCTCCCTTGTGCTATCTCTTTGTAGCTGACTGCTGGCAACTGTTGATCTGTTCTGTCATGTAGTCTTGTCTTTTCAAGAATGTCATAATAAATAGAATCAGATAGCATGTTACCTTTTGAATCTAACGTCTTTAACTTTGTATAATGCTTTTGCAATTCATCCATCCTGTTGCATCTATGAATTGTTCATTTTTATTGTTGGATATGAATTTCATTGTATGAATGTAAACAATTCATTTATCCATTCACCCACTGGAAAACTTTCGAGATGTGTCCAGTATCGGATGACTATAAATAGAGCCATAAACATTTGTATGTACACTTTTGTGTGAATACAGGTTTTCATTTTGTTAGGGTAAATACATAGAAGTGGGATTGCTGGATCTAAACCATTTCTGTGATTCTATTAAATCTACCTAGCATTAGAGTCTACGTTATCTTCATCAGTAAACTATTTCCTTCTTGGGATAGGCTCTTCAGATTTTGGAGAAATGGAAATGGTCTCCTATGGTCCTCAGATCAGAAAATGAGATTTTAACAATTCAATGTTTTATTTTGTTTTTATCATTTCAGTAATTTTTTATTTTAGTTATTATAACCCTAAGAGACATATTTTTTAAATTCCCCAATTGAAAACACTCCTCTATATATTTGAAAGCAAAGTTGCAGATGTTATGATTACCCCCTATTTCAGCATCTGCCTCCTAAGAACCAAATATTCTCCTAACTACTATACCATTATCACATTCAAAAAAGGTAAGATTGATTTTAGGTTCTTGGGTATTTTTTTTTCCTTCACAACACTTTTAACTATTTCACTCTGCTCTCTTCTTGTTGCATGGTGTTGGATGTAATTTTTATTTTTGCTTCTCTGCAGATAAGGTGTTTTTTCCTCTGGCTTCTTTTGAGATTTCTTTCATTCCCATTGATTTTCTGAAATTTGTATATGATATGCCTAGGTTTTGTTTTGTTTTGTTTTGTTTTTGGTATTTATCCTGTTTGGTGTCCTCTAAGCTCCCTGCACCTGTGAATTGGTGTATGACATGAATTGGGGTGAATTCTTAGGCATTATTCTTTCAAATATTTTCACTGTTCCTTTCTCTCCTTCTTTTCCTTCTAGTATTCCCATTACACAAATGTCACACCTATTATAGTTGTTCCACAGTTCTTAGATATTCTATTCTTGGGTGGGTTTTTTCAGCCTTTTTTTCTCTTTGCTTTTCAGTTTTGTAAGTTTCTACTGTGATGGTCTCAAGCAATTCTTTCCTTGGCTGTGTTCACTCTACTAAGCATTCTTCATTTCTTTTGGTGTTTTGGGTTTCTAGCATTTCTATTTGATTCTTTCTTAATATTTCCATCTCCCTGCTTATATTTCCCATCTGTTCTTGCATGCTGTCTATGTTATCCATTAGAGCCCTTAGCACATTAATTATAGTTGTTTTAAATTCCAAGTTGGATAGTTCCAACATCCCTGTCATATCTGAACCTGGTTCTGATACTTTCTCTGTCTCTTCAAACTGTGTTTTTGTCTTTTAGTATGCCTTGTATTTTTTTGTAACAGCCGTACATGATGTCATGGGTAAAAGGAACTGCTGTAAATAGGCCTCTAATAGTACGGTGTTGAGGTGTGGAGGAAGGGGAAGAGTTCGCTGCCCTGTGAATAGGTCTCAGGTTCGTAGTGAGCTGGTATCTCCGTACTGCAAACTTCACATATGCTTCTCACACCCCGTGGCCCCATGCCCCCTTAGTTGGTCAGGGTGACTACAGTGGGCTACAGTTAGCCACTCCCTTTTTCCCATGTAGAAGGTTAGTTAGGGTCAACTTACCATTTTTCCAGCTCAGTTAGGCTCTGATAAAATCTTGGCAGGCTAGGTTCTGGTTAAATAGTTTCTCCTGAGGAAAGACCTTGTTAAGAAGAATAGAATGTTCTGGTATATTTCAAAACGGTTCTGGAAGTACCAGGGGATTTTTCCCTCATATTCACTGTGAGAACCTGCTGAAGCTCCTGGGTGTAAAACTCACAAAAGTGTGGGGATGTCTCTATGACCAGATCCCTCTGGAGTTTTTGGCTCTCAGACTTCTCCAGATTGAGCCTCCGGCAACTTGTCAATCATAGTTTAGGTTTTCCTGTCCAGCACTGGTTCCCATGGAGGTTTTTGCTCCTTGGTTTCTGTTATGGTAAGTTGTGCTTCTCTGTCTGTGGGTTTCTTGTCTGTCTTTTCAATTATAGGGGGCAGTGATTTGCCCTATAACCTCACTTGTCTGATGAATCTGAGAAGAGTTGTTTATTTTTCAGTTTGTTCAGCTTTTTACCTGTTGCTTGAACGGGGCTGCAATTGGGCTGGAATCAGGAAGTCCCTAAGATTGATTTAAATTGTCTATATGCAGTCCACATGCAAATTTCTCCAGTTATTCCAAAGTGATCTTTTATCATCTTCAAAAATCTGGGATCCAACAAAGTTTCATGTTTTGCATTTGGTTGTCATGTCTCCAGTTTCTTTTAATCTCAAACACTCACCTTCCCCATACTCTTTTTCTTTCTTTCTTTCTTTTTTTAATCTTTGAAGACATTGAAACTTTCAAAGAGTTCAGGCAAGTTGTGTTGTAGATTTGTTTTCTCATAACCTGGGTTAGACCCAGGTTATACATATGGCAAAAATATGACATAGGTAATACTATATGCTTCTCATTGCATCATATAAGGAGGAACATACTGACCATTTTGCCTTTATTTGTGATGCTAAATTTGATACTTTCTATCCACAAGATCTGTCCATTATAAAAATACGTTTTTACTTTTGTAACTAATAGATAATCTGTGGTGATACTATGTGTAGGTGTGAATAATCTATTTCCTAACAACCTAATAGTTTTAGCATCTATTGGCAATATTTGCTTAAAATCACTTATTACATTACAAAATGGTGATTTTCTTTTTTTTTATTTTTTTGAGACAGAGTCTTGCTCTGTCGCCCTGGCTGGAGTGCAGTGATGCGATCTTGGCTCACTGCAATCTCCGCCTCCCTGGTTCAAGCAATTCTCCTGTCTTAGCCTCCCAAGTAGCTGGAACTACAGACAGGCGCCTGCCACCACACGTGGCTAATTTTTTTTGTATTTTTAGTAGAGACGGAGTTTCACCATATTGATCAGGCTGGTCTTGAACTCCTGACCTCAGGTGATCCACCTGCCTCGGCCTCTCAAGATTTCCTAATTCTATCTTTCTCTCATATTTTATTGTAAAGAATGTCTGCCCCCTTCTTTTGTGTGAGCTCTGTCTCTCTGTCACTCTCTCCCTTTCTCATATCATCATGGATCAAGGACTCTCCCTGTTTTATTTACTTATTATTATCATTTTTGTTGCTCAACTGTCTCCAATTCAGACAACAAAGATCCCTTCAAGCCAGTTCTTGTGGCTTCCTGTGTCCTTTTGATGTGATCCCATTAATCTTTGAACACTTTTTTGCTTTCTGGCACAATAAGACATACCAGGTTCACTTTGTACTTTCTCTGCCCCAGCTTTGGAATCAGCCAAGGCTGAAATATTATTTAGAAACCAAGATCTGGGGCACTGATGATGTCATTTTTGGACACAATGATCAGGCAGTTTGCCCTACAACTGTAGAAGACTAAACCCATGTATCCTAGAGCACTTAACCACTCTCTTTTTTCTATAACCTTCTGTAGTCCCTCTTAATCTACTTCACAGTCCATTTTTCCTCTGTTCAGCCCCAAAATGTCAGCATGCTCCCAAGGATATATTCCTCAGTTGCCTGGGTCTATTCTTATGACACTTGCCCCTGGTGACTATCTCCATACCCAAGGCTTCAGGTTATCACCTACAGATTAATAATTCCCACATCTTCATCTCTGATACAGAAATCTGCTAAACCGACCCTTATTTCCACCTTATCTCCAGAACACCTACACTTGGATGACCTCCAAATATATCAGTCACTATATCCAAAGTGGACTCACCATTTTTTTCTTGAAAACCTGCTTTCTATATTCTAATTGACATCATCCACTCAGTTATGCCAGAAAAACAGAACTTTCCCTGAATGCCTCTTTATATACACTGCTGATATCTTGAAAGTCGCCCAGGCTGGAGTGCAGTGGTGTGATCTCAGCTCACTGCAGCCTCCACCTTCCAGGTTCCAGCGATTCTCCTGCCTCAGCCTCTTGACTAACTAGGATTACAGGCATGCGCCATCACGCCCGACTATTTTTTGTATTGTTAGTAAAGACGGGGTTTCACCACATTGGCCATGCTGGTCTCGAACTCCTGACCTCAAGTGATCTGCCCGCCTTGGCCTCCCAAAGTGCTGGGATTACAGGCATGAGCCACCATGCCCGGCCCCATCTTAATCCCTCTCAAATATTCTCCCTCTCAGCCTCCTCCTGCCATCTCTGGCTTCCCTCATTTCCTGTACAGCCTACTGGTCTCCTAGCACTCATCCAACTCCCCTAACCTCTCACTCCCATGTCAGCCCCTCTGTTATCCACAGAGCTGCTGTGGGGAGGTCTCTAAAATGCAAATCTAATTATGTCACTGCTCTGCTGAAAATTCTTCGGTTTTCTCTGTCAAACAAAGTTCAAAATTCTTAGCCAAGATCTTCCAAGTGTCTGACTGCCAGCCTCATCATCTTCTACAGCAGCGGTCCCCAACATTTTTGGCACCAGGGACCAATTTTGAGGAAGACAATTTTTCCATGGAGCAGGGTGTGGGAATGGTGTGTGGTGAGGGGATGGGGGATGATATGGTTTTAGGATGAAACCGTTCCACCTCAGATCATCAGGCATTAGATTCTCACAAGGAGCTTGAAACCTAGGTCCCTCACATGCGTGGTTCACAATAGAGTTCGTGCTCCTATGAGAATCTAATGCTACTGCTGATCTGACGGGAGACAGAGCTCAGGTGGTCATGCTGACTCACCCACCGCTCACCTCCTGCTGTGCGGCCCAGTTCCTAACAGGCCACGGACTGGTACCTGTCCATGACCCAGGGGTTGGGGACCTGTTTTCTACAGGAAACTTTTCTTCTACCTCTACAGAATTATTTTCAATATTGTGCCATCCCATAAGCTCCTGCTATTCATAGAATTTCCTCCTTGACTCTCACCCTACTCCCCTGTTTATGTAGCTAATTCTTGATGAGATCATGTCACACAATTATGTCACACAATCCAAGACCTTCTAGTGGATTCCCCATGCACTCTGAGTAAACGCAAATCTATTATCCAGCCTGCATGTCCTGTCTTCCTGTGAGACCTCATTTCACACCCTAATGGCACCTTGCCCTCTCTGTTTCCATGCACTGGTGTTCTTTCTAGTCCTCGGTCACACGCAGCCTTATCTGTCTGGTATTTGGAAAAGCTGTTTCCAGGGCCTGGGTTCTTCTTGCTGATCTTCACATTATTATCATGGCTTCTCATTATCAATCAGATCTCAGTTCAAATTTTATGTCTCAAAGAGGCCTTGTTAGGTACCTTAAATCCTTCTAGTCACGTCTCAGCTTCCTCCTGCTTTCCCTGGCTTCCCCCATTTCCTGTACAGCCTACTGGTCTCTAACTGACCTGAGTTTGAAAGCCTCTGCCACCTACAGGCTGTGTGACCCTGAGGAAAATGAGCCACAGAGAGGCTCACTTCCTCATCTATAAAGTGGGAGTGATAATGCCTCCCTCACAAAATTGTTGTGAGTCGTAAATGAGACTATTGCTTGATTCTCAGTGTTTAAAACGTCTAAACAGTAGGTGTTTTTTAAATGGTAGCTGCAAATATTTTCATTTTGTTGCACACCATTGGCAATATTGTTAGCACGACTTCCATTGTGTGATGTCTGTGGTCCAAAATGCCTCAAAAGAGCTTTATTTCCTATAGCACTAAGCAAACAAAACGAAAAAACAGAAAACATTAAAATAATTTTGTAGCCAGGCGCAGTGGCTCACGCCTGTAATCCCAGCTCCTTGGGAGGCCGAGGAGGGCAGATCACAAGGTCAAGAGATTGAGACCATCCTGGCCAACATGGTGAAACCCCATCTCTACTAAAAATACAAAAATTAGTTAGGCGTGGTGGTGTGTGCCTGTATTCCCAGCTACTTGGGAGGCTGAGGCAGGAGAATCGCTTGAACCCAGGAGGCAGAGGTTGTAGTGAGCTGAGATCGTGCCACTGCACTCCAGCCTGGGTGACAGTGGGAGACACCACCTCAGAAAAAAAGAAAAACAAAACAAAACAGAATTTTGTAGTCTAGCTCTAAATTTTCCAGAATTATCTTCAACTGCTCTCCCTCACAAACTGTATTTCAGCCAGTCTGGACTTTTTTGGAGGTCTCTTGCCTCTGTCTTCATTTGCATATAACATGGAGCCTTGTAGAAGTTCTATTCATCTTTTATTTTCTTTCTTATCTCCCTTTCTTAACCTCTCAGATTAAACCTTACATGGTCACCAATATTGGAAATGTGTCTTCTGAACTGCCAAATTTATCATCTTCAGTGTCAGAGGAAACTCAAGTTCAATCTGTCTGGAACAGAACATATGATCTTTCCCAAGCAATCTGATTCCTTCTTCTGTGTTACAAGTCTTAGCGAAGATACCACCATCCACTTGAAACCGTAGTCAGAAATCTAAGTGTTAATTGAGGCTTCTCTTCTGCCACCTGGTAATCATTTGCCGAGTCTTGATGAGTTCACCTCCTAAGGCTCACCTTCTATATTGCCTGTTAAATGTTTTGTTTCTCTAAATTCATCACCTCCACTCCCCTATTACTGTTTCATTTGGTTTGTTTGTTTGTTTGTTTTGAGACGGAGTCTTGCTTTGTCGCCCAGCTGGAGTGCAGTGGCATGGATCTCAGCCTCCCAGGTTCAAGCAATTCTGGTGCCTCAGCCTCCCGGTAGCTGGGATTATAGGTGTGCACCACCATGCCCAGCTAATTTTTTTATTTTTAGTAGAGACAGGGTTTCACCATATTGCCCAGGCTGGTCTTGAACTCCTGACCTCAAGCAATCCACCCACCTTGGCCTCCCAAAGTGCTGGGATTACAGGCCTGAGTCACTGTACCAGGCCATCCCCTATTACTGTTGATCTGCATCAGACATTCACCATCTCTTTCTCCACCACGGCAAAGACTTACCCCAGGGCTCTTTGCCAGGCTTTCCCAGGCCACTCGCCTGCAACGTGATGGTTCTGGAATGGACCTTTGGCCATCTCCCTCTGCCTTCCTGCTCCACACCCGTCAGTGGCTCATCTTCAGAACCAACCCTGTGCTCCTTAGCATGGCACACAAAGCAATTGCTCTCTGTCTCTCACCTGTTCTCAAAACACGTACTTGTTCCCCACAAAGCACACCCAAGCCATACCGTTCACGTTATATCTTCTGCCTAGATGTCTGCCCCACTCCTTTTTCACATAAATAATTCACCTCAAGAAAAAAGCTTACTCATTTTCCCTTATTATAAAGGCAAAATATTTTAAGTTTAAAGAAAACAGAAGATTCAGATAAGCAAAATGAAGAACATAAACAATCTTCCATTATATTGCCACCCAGAGATGAGCAGTACTGACATTTTTTTCTATACTTACATAAAGTTTTTATAAAAATGGAAATATGCCCTATTATTTTATAACATAATCGTTTTTACTTAATCATAATTATGAATAATTTCCTGTGTCATTTAATATCATCCTTCACTATTACGCGGCATTGGGTACATAGAAGTCTATTGTGTGGCAGTGCCGTGACTTATTTAATTGGTTCTCTATTTGTTTCTCTATTGTTGGATATTTATACTACTTCCAATTTTACATAGTTACAAATAATACTGTGATGAATATCCTTACTGATGAAATTGTTTGAACATGAATTTTAATTTCCTTTGTATATATTCTTAAAGATGTTTTTGCTGAATCAAAAGATATGCAACTCTCTAAGGATTTGATGCAAATTGCCAAATTGTTCTCAGAAAGGCCATAGTAATAACTAAATGAAATATCTTCCAATTTTGTGGGTGAAATCAAGATTTTGTTTTATTTTGCGTTTCTTATTAGTGAAGTTAAACATTTCCATATATTTGGTAATCATTTACTTCTCTTCTTTTGTGAATTGCCTTTTAGTGTTCTTTTCTCATTTTTCTTTTGGTGTATTTAACTTTTGCAAAGTAATCTGAAAAAAAATGTCATGGAACTAACTCTGTTATGCATGCTGAAAGTATTTTGCCAGATTATGGTTTGCCTTCCAATTCTATTTGTGGTGTTTTTTGAATGCCAGTAGCCATGCAGCCTAGCCACTACACTCTGGAACCAGACTGCCTGAGCGTAAATCTGAACTCCAACTCTTACAAGTTGTGTAGTCTTGGACAAGTTACTTAACCTCTCCGTGCCTCAGTTTTCTTATTGGTAATATGGAGGTAATAATAGTAGTTGCCGTATAGGATTGTTATGAGGATTAAATGAGCTAATATATGGACAGTGTCTAGAGCTTTGTTTGGCACATGTTAAGTGCTGCATTATAGTTAAGTTAAATCAACAATGGTTCAGCTTCAGAGTCTTCACAAAGCCACCACTGAATTCCTAATTGAGGGAAATCCTACACATCTGACCTTCTGTAGCATTTTTCTTAATACTACTGTTAATTTTATAATGATACATTTACATGCCAGTCTTCCTTAATAGCCTGGAAATTAATACCATGGTCAGGGATTATATCTTATTTATCATTATATTTCTAATGCACACCATATGCCTTCTTCAGTGCTCACAAAGTATCTGTGACCCACACTCTGGCTCTTAAGACCACACACAGCACATATCCTACATTCCTTTGAATTCTAACTGTAAGTGTACTTAGTTAGCTCTCCAATTAGATCATACATTTCTTATGGGCAAACACTTACACTCTTTTTTTTTCTACAAGACCAAGCTCTAAGTCTAAAATATATTAAGTGCTCAGTAAGTGGAAGATTACAAGAAGGAGAGGTTGGGAGGGAGGAAGGGGCAGATTTTTCCAAAATAAAAAAAGAGCAGTTTCAAATAAGTAGAAGTTATAAGCAGACACTTAGATCCTGTCTTGGAAGATCATGCCTCCAATTACTAAGTCTGGTCTAATCAAATGAATGGTCAATCCCGTGAACTACGTAGGAGACAAAAGCCTGAAACCCTGGTTCTAGCAAGCTGTGGACAGCCACTCACGTGTACATTGTTTTAAAGAACTACATTTTCATGATGGTTCATGACAACTCCCTCCTTCCTTCTTTGTGCAAGTGGTCCTCCCAGTGAATCCCAAGAGGACCCTTGAGCCTGAGGGTCTATGAATGGGTCATAGAGAAACCTGGTTGAAAGGCCGAGGTATGCAGTGATCTGGAGCATTTATTACATTTGAGATCTCAACCCCATCCCTGGCCTGAGACAAAATAGGCGTCAAGGCAGACATCTGTGTCTCTATTATTTAAAATATCTTGTCTACATTCAAAGTGGTTTTAGAGTTGTGACAGCCAAATTGATTTTAAAAAAAACTTTTCATTTAAGTGATGCCATTTTTTATCCTTTTGACTGTCTTGGTAGCTAAACTTTATACATATGATCACAGGTCATGGTTATTTCTATAACCCATTTATTTACTCACTCATTTAACAAATTATTCAACAAATGTGTGTGCTAGTCCGTGAGAAGTACTAGCAATGAGGATACAAGGTAAAACAGGAAGGGATATCCCTGCTCTTGTGTTGTTAGAGTAAGTGAAGCAGACTGATAATGAAATCATTATTAGAATGTGCTTTTGTAATCATTTTGATAGAATTATGTTCTAGATACTATTGAAACACAGAGGAAATGAACATAATCATTTAGAATTGGGAAGAGGAGGTCATAGACAGTTTCAAGGAGGAGCTGAGGCTAGGCTGAATTTTGAGGGAACAGTCATTCATCCATTCAGTAAATATTGACTGACATGAATAAAAAAGACTACAATCCATCTAGGCACTGAGTTTATTTGTTAGCAGTGAACAAGGTTTCTAAACACATGGAACTAATTATTAAAATATCAAAAGGGGTCATGTAGAAAAAAATTTAAAAAGGTGATGTGATAAAGAGCGACAGGAGGGCCGAGCATGGTGGCTCATGCCTGTAAACCCAGCTCCTTGGGATGCTGAGGCAAGCAAATCACTTGAGGCCAGGAGTTTGAGTCCTGCCTAGGCAACATAACAAGACTCCACAAAAAAATAAAAATAAAATAATAAAAATCAGTCAGGCATGGCGGCATGTGCCTGTAGTCCTTGAGGCACATGAGTAGCCAAGGGGCTGCTCAGCAGGTGGAGGCAGAAGGATCTTTGAGCCCAGAAGTTTGAGGTTACAGAGAGCTATGATTGCGCCACTGCACTGCAGCCTGGGTGACAGAACAAGACCCTGTCTCCAAAAAAAAAAAAAAAAAAAAAAAAAAAGACAGGAATCAGGAAGGCCAGATCACTAATGGTCAGTGTGGTAGACAATTCAATTGGAAGCCAGACACCAACTAAACACATATAGCACAAGGTACTCTGCCCATCACCTAAGGCCCTGGACTGGGTTGGTGACTATGGGAATGGGAAGGAGGAAATAGAAGCAACAAAGACTGTGAAGGATTCAGCAAGGCTGCGTGTGTGGGTGGTGGAGATAGAGGCATGAATGGAAGGATGCTGATACAGCAAACAGAAACAGGAAAGCTGGGAGAAGAGACTGCTTTAAAGGAGCAAGTGTTGAGTGCTGGGAAGCAAACAGGGCCCAGTACATAAGAGGTATTCAGTAAATGTCAAATGAGTAAATGCGTAGATGGGTGCCTGGGTAGACAGGTGAATGGGTGGGCAGATGAGTGAATGGGTAGAGGATATGGTGGTGAGTGGTATAGGTAAATCAGAATATCTCCTTCACTTCCACCTATCTCGACCCACTGGGAAGCAAACCAAGCAAACTTGTATTTATTTCTTCATAGTTTCATCTCCTAGTAAACCACAGGCTCCTTAAGGGAAGTAATCATGTTGTTCCCCTAAGGCCTGGCACCATACCTGACCTCCTGGCTTTGTAGATGCAGACTTGTTGATTACATGCTCTAACTGCCATTCCTTCCTATCAGCCACAATTCGACTGCCTTTTTTCATGCCTGCTGATTATGGCTTTCCATGGGCAAGGTCAGGAAAGCTCTTGATTTTCACCCAAGATCCACCACTGATCCTTTCCTCCTTCACTGACAAGTCTTGCCTCACACCCACTGATTGACTCTCCCAGGCATAAGGACCTGGCTGTCAAAACTGGGAGTCTGGATTCATCACACAGCCTACATTCAGGGTAGAAGGAACCTATTTATAAATTGCCAATACATAACAATCTAAAGTGCACAAAAGATTAGGTCAGGATGAACATCAGTCTTATCGGAGATAGTAGCAGCCCCATGTAATTGGGCCAAATTGTGGTTTATTAAGCTAGCTTTTATCATAGTGACTTCTGGTAGTGCAGCTATAGTTAAGGGTCTGTCAGTTTTTCCATTATAAGACCCTGTTTCGGAGGCTTATAACTGCCAGGGAAATTCACTGCTGCCTGGAACTTGACACGTCAGGGTGCTCACAGCCTTTGGGTATGTTGAAAATACGAATAAAATAAAAATGACGGGGTTATTTCGTTGAGATATGTGGCCTCAGCTTGCTAGCCTATGAGGATTCTGTAACAAGCCGACCTTACCTAGGCCGTGGACAGTGGGCTGACATGACAGATAGTAACATTTTAACATTTTCCTCATTGTCATTATGCTCCATCTTGTCAGTAATCTTCTTGTTAAAGAGCACTCGTTGACATGATGAGCAATAATGGCCCCCTGGCAGCCATCATTGGCCATCACAGAGTAACTCAAGTTTCAGAAGTTCCTATATATCGTACGTAAATTGACGTATAAAAGGTTGCAGAAATATTTTTGATAGGGCAAAGATCGAATCAGAGGCTCCCCCTAATCAACTCCATGGATATGGCTCTAAGATCTGTAGATGTCCTACTGCTGTCACTGTTTTGGGCTTGGGTCTGTTTGGACAGTAATGAAGTGACTCTATTTTCTCGTAAGTTCTTTGCTTGCAATTATGTCACGTTACCAGCAGCTGATCTGTAGCACTTTGGTTGATTCCAAACTGTAGATTTTCCCATAGGAGAAATCATTAACATATCTTTCAACCCGTAAACTTAACCTACAATAAATATTAATCACGTTGAGAGTTAAGATGTAAGAAATGAGCACCTAAGTAAAACTTGGCACCTAAACAAGGTAACTGTTATGTACCCACTATTTAACCTTGAATCTTTCCAGGGTCTTCAGCATGTCATCTAAGAGGTCACTGTGGGGCAGTTGATGAAACATGGGCTATGACTTTAGATTCTAGGGTTTACAGATTTCCAATCAACCATCTACTAACTCTGTGACTGTGGGCCAGCTCCTGAGCGAATGAGGTCTCTGTTTCTCTTTCCTAATCTGTAAAATGGGAATGATAATAACATCCATTCCATAGGGTTATTATGGCATACGGTTATTAGGGAATAGGTGTCATTATCACGGAATAGGTTTTATTATCATTAATTAGGAAAATACATGCCAAGGGCTACAACATCAGGGCCAACCTCTTTGATGTTCCTTCTCATCATTAAAAAAAAATTTGAGCATGCACATCTCAATATATGTTTAAGATACTTCTGTGTTTATAAATTAAATCGTGTACTACTGGACTAAAACATTATGCACATTATAAAACATACACAAAAAAATTTTAAATGATTGGAGTAAATAATACTTAAAACATTTTTCATTTTGTTCTATTAATAATAAAGAACATATTTTTGCACTTGGGGAAATTATTACTATATTTAAATAACATTTTATATTACTACTTTGAACTAGTATTTTTATGAAAACAATGTGATTTAAATGATTCTTTTTTTTTAGAATCTTGCTTTAACACTGTGATGTAATTCATTTGAACGTCTGTTTCTACTTTCTTTTAGTGACCACTGCAGCTTAAAATACACTTCATAAGCTACGAATAGCTAAATGAAAGGCATAAATTTCTGGCTATACTTCTTAAAATCTTCAAACTATACAACACTTACGGAAAGACCTTTGTTGAAATTAAGTTACTAAATGTCCATCTTCTCTGGTTTCAGGCAGTTATTTTTGAAAATAATCACAGATCATCACATTTTACTGAACAGGTTCAAAGTACTCTGAATCGCTTCATTTGGAAGCTTTATAAATGAGTAAGAATATTTTGTTTCTAGACTTCTTTCTAGATTTAAACATTTTGGTAGGTAATAGATAACATTTTCAGCAAAAAAAGTCATAATGATGAAAGCATTTCTAACATCCTCTTTTAAAAATGTTTTTTCCATACTAGATATTTATTTTACAGAACACCTATTTTCTCTTTTATTGTTCAGTCACATTTATCTGCAAAGTATGGATTAAGTGTGCTGATTTTTTTCTCCCAAAACAACAGCTAGATAGCATATTACTGACAGTCACATTTTATCACAGAAAAGAAAAAAACCTCAGCAAATTTGGGACATTTTTTGTTGTTGTTGTTGTTGTTGTCAATAAAATGTGTAATTCATTATTACATTTAAAAACTTGTGTGAACCATTTCCAGGAGTTAATCTGAGAACCTCTGTGTGGTACCAAACATTTTCACAGTCATACCTATATGTATGAATATAGCCTTATATTGGTTCATGTAAACCACATATGTCAGGATAAACTAAAAATGAATGAATAAAGGAGGGGCCACTGCCCAAATGGAATTTCTGCGCTTCCTCAGGACCCCCTAATCTAGCCTAGGAATTGAGTGAGGATGCTAGCATAACCCCATACACTAAATATCAGTGATGCTCATTTTTCTCTATGTCATGTAAGAAATTACTTAAGTAGAATTTCAATCTTTTCTCCCCACATCTCAGTGGACTGTTTTGCTTATCCCTGGGATGTGCAGACTCCACTTCGGAGCTACTCGCTCAGCAGTCACTGGGACTTATGAGCATGCAACAATTGTTAGTAACTAATATTATCTTTCTAATATCCATCAGTTTCACAGGCCAGTGGGTGTGTATGCGTGCCCATCTGCATGCGTTGCTCAAAAATAACAAACTAGTTTCCATATCTCTGTAAAACTGGAAAATGCCTCTGTATTCTTTTCTTGTATTATTTCCTTGATTCTTAATAATGTCCCATGACCTTTCTACTTCTTATACAAAATTCCAGATATAGGTCATCAAAAATCTCTCTAAAACAGATGAGAAAAATAATGATCATTTTTCAGTGCACCTCAGCATGAATATTACATTGTACATTTTTAAACTGAGGGGCATGTGAGTCGTCCTATATCAATATGTGGGGAAGAAGGTTAATTGGCTCTTAAATATTCTTGCTTTCTTCTTTTCCTTCCCAAATACAGGATTTTTCTCAATCAATCGGACAACCATCTTCCTGGAGGTAGATTATAAAGTGTACTGAAGGAGTGTAAGGGTAAAAAGTCTAGGTAATATTCAGCTTGCTTTTGAAATTCAAAGTAAGTCAGACTAAAGCCTTACAAGTCAGGCTGTTGTCTCCAGAGCAGATTTTCTAAATTCCCTTGTCTCCCGGTGTCAGGTGAGCCTACTCCACATTAGTAAAAAATATAACATAGGGGAAGTCAAAGTAACAGCCTACCTTTTTTCTTGCTTGGGGCATGGTGGGAAGAGTAAGGGAGAGAGGAGGGGAGGTGGTGGAGAGCAACGATAGGGGAGAGGGAGGAGAGAACGGGGCACAACTTCATCAATGTGGATGCCCAGGTGCAGTGGGACCTTTGCACTTAGAATTTTAAGCCACCCTTGATTCCAACATGGCATGAAGTAGGGCCCAGAAATTGTTGAGCGTCTGGATCTACAAATGGCTGTGATCACTATGACAGGGTGGCTCTGTATCCAGGGCTGGAGAATGGACAGTAGCCTGCAGGGAGCCCAATAGAGTCCCAGCATGCACAGCAGGATCCTGAATACTAGCTGATTTAGGGGTCAAGTCAGCCAGGGGGAGTCACTAGGTTCTGAGAAAGCCAGGCCAGACCAATAAACCTTAAGATAGCCCAGCTGCATATTTTAAACACAAATGCCATGAGCTCAAGTGGTACACAATGGATAAGGAAAATCATTTGAGAGACCAGGGCAGGCATCCAAGATTCACTTTACAACCTGGACTTTTCCCCACTGCCCTGGGAGACCACATCCCTTTTCTCATACATCTAGCAGCATCTTGGGAGAGAAGTCATAGGGAGGGAATACATCCAAAAGACTGAGCATTTTCATCCAATAAGTCATTTACTTCAGTTTAGATTATTGGATCAAGCCTTAAACCAGATTGGACATTTGTTAATATCTTTCTCTCTAGCCAGAGGTATGTAGGAGTTTAAGTGGAATAGAAGCGTGGAGGGAGGAGATCACTCATAGGAGAAAGGTAAGTTAGTTACAGACAAAATCAAAATACGGTATTTCTTATGCATACCTGTATTGTAGTGGGAGCTAAACTTTGCAACACTGCTATGCATAGAAGGCAACGTCACTCCCACCAACTGTATAGTTGTAGAAGTTGAGTTTCATGTGTGCCAGTGCCTCTCTGAGTTATAAGCATGCAGAAAAACACTTCATTGCTATCATAATTACTGATTTGGGAGCTAGACTACTGATTTGGAGATAGAAAAACCAAGGCTCTTCCCCAATTAATGTAAGTGACAGGCCAATAATTTATTTCAATTTTGATCCTGTTGACTCACTTAAGTATCTGTTGGTCAATACCAAAAGATTTCAGTTGAATTTCTACTTATGGAGTCACTTTGGAAACTAAAGTATTGTACTTACAAAAATGAACCTAGAATACTGCTCCTTCCCTCTCACAGAGATATTTTAGAAATACCTGAAATCACATTTAAGAGAGTATTATGTGTTGTCACACAAGGGGGTGAGTTTAAACTTCGTTGTTGAGGATAAGACGCTAAAGAGGGCCAAGAAGAGGAATGAATGGACAGCCATGGAGTCTGGTCCCCACGCCTTTCGTCATCGTCACTATTAAGAATCTCAAGCCCTTAACGTTTTAGCATTAATTATTCATTAGAATTAGACATAGCTATGGAGTCATTTTAATGAGCTTTAATGGCAAATATCCAAAACATCAGGCCTCTCCCCTTCCATGTTACCTGAGGGGATTCTCTGCAGATCCTTCTATCTTCATCTGTAATAAAAATACCATTAACCCTTAATGCCCCTCGCAGGTTTGGTCAATGGCCTTTGTATGCCATATATGCTTCCTGAAGGGGTAAAGTGAGGAAGAGCAGAGATGCGAAAAAACTGGAAAGAAATGTAAAAGAAATAATTAGGCTTTCGAAGAGTGGAGACTCTAGTGATAGAACTACTTTGACTATGTCCTCTGCTGTGAAGGAAAAACCATGGAATTAAAAACTGTAGAAGAAGTTCTAGAAATGTGGGAAAGGTGAAATCTAATTAGGGGTTTTTTTCCTCTAAACTTTCAAAAACCAGAGTCTCTTTTATAAAATATATCTATTGTTGAATATTCACAGGTACAACTTTAGTACACATTTTCACGAACACATATACAAAGGAAGGGCACAGCCTACAAATGCCTGCTGAATGAATGAACTTCAGAAATAAAAAATAGAGGTGCCTTTTGTGCAAAGCTATAGAATTACATCAGTGATTAACATATGTTCCACTTTCATATGGACGCACCACCACTCTGCTATATTCCAGGCGACCACTGATCATTGAAAACACATGTACCTTGTGCACCTACTCTATCCTTTCTTTGTCTAAGCCCCTTCCTAGAAAAAATACAGAAGGTGGCAAAGTACATTAACTTCTGTGGGTCTGTCAGGACTCTTTAATAGTACATTTCCTATAAAGCACTATTTGGTCCCCAAAAGTTTAAATGAATTTGAATGCTTCTCCAAATACTCAGATTACTTTATGAAAATAACTTAGACACTGGGGAGAATTAGAGTGCTTGTTTGATTGTGTTTGGCCAGATTAAGTAGTTGGGAGAGCTTAGCAGAAATTGATATGGAAAGCCAAAGTCTAGAAGCTTTCTTTTTATATCTTGGTGTGACTGTAGTACTGGCAGGGAGTAAGGAACCAGAAGTTGTGGCTACAACTCTGTGGATGGCAATGAGGGAGATAACAATTTTAAAATAATGCTTGCCTTCCCAGGATCCGCATAGCATGCACAAATAGAACTTTGAGGGCCAATCAGAGTGCTAAAGAGGCAGATACCCTTCCAGTTGCCAGATGTCTGGCTATATAACTTTTTGGCACTTTGTGCAACCAAGAGGCAGATCTATGAATTGAATCTATAAACACTGCAGTTACCATCTGACAACTGTTCAGTGGCCTCAGTCCAGTTTCTAGTGGACAGGTGTTTGAATTACCAAAAGAAAAACCCACACACAATAAAACCCTCACTATTGGAGCTACTAATTGATATGCTTGTTGGAAGGCTCAGCAACAAGGCCAAGAATTGAATGGGCATGAAGACAGAAATGTTCCCCCTTCCTGGTGGTCCCTCTCATCTGAACTGGTAGCATTCGGGGAAGAGTTGAGGAGCGTTTTGCCTGGCCGTTGTGTGGGTCTGTGATTAGATGGCATTGGCTTCCACTGCTTTGAATTTGAGGCATTTCCTAAGCCCCTTAGTTAATGTTTAAAAATATTAAAGATTACAGAACTCCTTTCTGCTGTAATTGTTCAGCTTTCACAGCTTCTGTGGTGGTTTGACTGATTGGCCAACTGACAATGATTCACAATTTAGGTTTTGTTGATAACTCAGAATAAAGACTTCATGAATCATTGTTGATGTTTCTGTAAGGACAGTGGCAGGCAGGGCTGCACTAGCTATGAAGACCCACCCAGTTCCAGGCACCCTGAGCACATGTGTGTTCCCTCACACTACCTGAGACCCAACACTGGGCCTGATGGGCCCCACGTAGGATCAGAGAGAATGCAGGCATGTGCCAGACATTTAACAGTCCATGAGCACACCTGAATCTCTAAAACTGTATGTTTGCCCTTATGAGAAATTATAAGTAAAACGGAGGGTTAGTCATTTCATCCTGTAATCTGTGCTGTCTTTTCCAACAGAGCTTTGAAGAACAAAGAGACCTCACCACTCTTTGAAATAGGGGCCCAAAAAAGAGCAAGTTGTAATTTTAGTTATCAAATGAACTTCTCCCTTCCCAAGTTTCTAATTTAGTGTGCCTCTGAATCACAGTCAATAATGTATCTAACGCTGATAACAGCATTGGCATAAGAACACTTTTCACTTTGGTGGGGTTCCTGTTAGGTCCAGCAATTTTGAAAGCAATATTAATGATGACAAATGAGGAAGAAAGCTTTCCCTGTTAACTCTTTTCTTCAATGTCAATATTAGAGTTAGACTTGGGATAGGCTGTTTTTGTTGTTAAGTTTGCGTGAAGAAGAGCTGTGATGAATAAAAGACTTTGAATATGGGAATAGATACAACATTAAATATGGAAGTTTACTAAAATGGCATGCTTTGTCATCAGCTTTCCGTAAATGTAACACGTTTAGGATGTAGTGCTTTTTCCCGCCTTGGAAACTAGTCATTTAATTTACTGACAATGACAATATTGGCTTTAAAAAGAAATTGCATCAGAGAACGATGTATCAGTAAGCTGGAAATATTTCTAAGTGCCTAAGTGACTATGGATATATCTTTTTTGTACAGTAGCTAAAAAACTGACCAGTCTATTTCACCAAACTATCAATCTGAATGAATTTTATACTTTATTGAATTAATGGATAGTTCAGTGATTTCAGCCACTTACCCCATCGCATGCTGTTGAACTTGTGGTGAGCAGAGGCTGAGCTGGGGGATCAGGCCACGTGCAGAAGCTCTTCTGTTTATTTCACTGCTCTTTTTCACGCTGACAGCAGAGTCCAAATGCTGGGGAGGACAGTGGTGTGCACCCCAGTCTTCAGCACTGCTAAGCAGCATGTCACTAAGACATGTTCAGCAGAACATGCCATACATATTTTGGAAAGATGATCTTATCAGGAAAAATAAAATGTTTACAGGCCACATTTTTTTAAAATGTAAAATGAAATCATTTTATTAAGACTCAGGGAAAAAATGTAGTTTTAAAAATAGTTTTTCATTATAGAAAATTTTAAAATACCCAAGTAGAGAGAATAATATAATGAATGTCCCAGGTACTCCTCCCCCAACTGCCACATTTATCAACACAAACTCAGTCCTGGTTTATCTATATCTCATCACTACCCTTTTCCACCACATTTTTGAAGCAAATCCTAGAAGTCATATCATTTCATCTGAAAACATTTCAATATGTACCTCTGAAAAAAGGGACTCATCTTAAAAAACACCCATGAAATCACAGTAACACTTGTAAACATTAACAATAATTTTTAAATATTATCTCATTTCCAGTCAGTGTTCGTATTTCCCCACATATCTGGTACATTTTTTTTTTTTTTTTACAATTTAGTTCATTTGAATTACGATCCAAATAAGGGCCACATATTGCGATTGTTTGATTTGCCTCTCTTAATCTATAGGTTCTTGCTCCCTTGCTGTCTTTTTCTTCTTAAGTTTTTGTTGTTTTGTTGAAGAAGAGATTGGGTTTTGCCTATGGAGTTCCCCACTGTATTAGACCATTCTCGCACTGCTAATAAAGACATACCTGAGACTGGGTAATTTATAAAATAAAAGGTTTAATTGACTCACAGTTCATCATGGCTGGGAGGCCTCAGGAAACTTACAAGCATGGTGGAAGGGGAAGCAAACACAACCTTCTTCACCTGGCAGCAGCAAGGAGAAGTGCCGAGCAAAAGGGGGAAAAGCCCCTTATAAAACCACCAGATCTCATGTGAACTCACTCACTATCACGAGAACAGCAGCATGGGGGCAACTGTCCCCATGAGTCAGTTACCTCCCACCAGGTCCCTCCCCTGATGTGTGGGGATTATGGGAACTACAATTCAAGATGAGATTTGGGTGGGGTACAGCCAAACCATATCACCCACAGTCTGGATTTTGCTGGTGCCATTTAATATATGTCCTATAAACTGGCAATTACATCTGAGACTTGATCAGATCCGAGTGTGACATTTTGGCAACACTACTGTGTAGGCGGTGTTGCACACCTTCGTTTAGCGGGGCATAATATCTGGTTGACACTGTTTGTGATGTTAGCAGCAACCAGTGACAACTACCTAGATCCATTAGACTCTAATTCATTACAGGTTGCAAAATGATGCTATTTGAACTCTGTTATTCCTTCTTCATTTAGTTGCTGGAAAATGCCTATAAAGAGAAGCTTCTGCTCATCTACTATTGGGTTTTATTGAAGTACAGTTCATATATGAGAGGCAGGATTCATGCTTGATTCTTTCCTTTTATTTACCAATTTTCAAAATAAGGAGCTCATTCCCTAGCATGTTCCAAAGCTGACCAATGAGGTTTTTTCTAATTATCACTATGAAATCATGTGTTTAAACATGCCTGATACGTTTCTGTACATTTCCTTTTTCCTCTTACCGCCAATCAAATTTTCCCGTCTTTTGCCATTGGTAGTTTCTTCAAATTGGGTCCTGAGTCCTTTTGATATATTCCTGGATGTCATTGATAGCTCCAACATCATATTGGACATTTCTTGCCCAGACTTGGAATCCCCATTTCTCTAAAGAGTTCTGGTTGCTTTTGTTGGTTAAAAGGTTTTTAGAAATTGCAATTTTAAGTATTAGGTATGCTCTTGGCTCCTAGGTTCATCTTTATATTTTCTATTCTTTCAGTGAACAGAGCTAGAATATTTTTTCTATTCCATTTTTACTAGGATATATATATATATGTACTTTTTATAATAGAAAATATAGAAAATACAAAATATACAAGCAGAGAGAATAACCTCTCCCAGCTCCAAAAATTAACTTACACACATATGTACAAACACACATATATGTGCAAATTCTGTACACTTAGATACAAAAATTTGTATATGAAAATACATCATGAATTCATATTAAAATTATAATACTACAGTTCAAAATTAGAGCTCTAAGGTTTTTAACCTGAAAAATCACAATTTTCAATGGATCAACATAGTCACTGACTTGCTTAATCCAAACAGTGTCAGAATAACAAAACCAGCCCTGCCACCAATACAGTTTTTCTTTTCTTGGCAGTTCTTTTGTCATTAGAGTATAGCCCTGTAGAGATGTACCATCAGATAACTATGTTTTAAAATCACCTGGATATTTCTCTGTGTGGCTTATGTCACCAACTGGCACCAGTTTTTGTTCTTACTAATAACACTACAGTTACTAGCTTTGTGCATATATCTCAATGTTTTTGCCAATGCATCTCTATGATAGATTTGTATAGTAGGATTATTAGGTCGAAGAGTAAATATATGTATAATTTTACTAGACATTTTTAAATTCTCTTCCCTAAGGGCTGTACCATTTTGTGTTCCTTCCTGCAATATATAAGCCTGTCTATTTTCCCCCAGCCTTGTCAGAGGAATGGGTTGTCTAACTGTTGAGTTTTTGCTAATCTGATGCGGGAGAAACAGCATTTGGTGTTGTTTTAATCTGCGTTCAATTTATTATAATAAAACTGAACATATGTTCCTAGTTTAAGTGCCACTTGTGGGAGGGAACTTAGAGGACGGGTCAATGGGTGCAGCAAACCACCATGGCACACATATACCTATGTAACAAACCTGCGCATCCTGCACATGAATCCCAGAACTTACAGTAAAAATAAATAAATAAATAAATTAATTAATTAATTAAGCCACTTGCATTTCTTTTTCTGTATGCTGTTTTTTCATTGCTCTGTCCCTCTTTAGGGCTGCTGTTTTTTTTTTTGTTTGTGCTCTGTTTTTAGAAGATATTTGTAAGTTAGAGAGACTGATAGAAATATTAACGTTTTATCTTTAACTACAAAATATTTTACCAGTGTCATTTGTTTTTCCCAAATATGTTGTGTGCATATATGTCTATGCACAAAAATTTTATTTTATATAATCAAATATATCATTTTTTGCCTTATTAATTCCAGATTGTGAGTCTTTGAAAAGTTTTCTTCGCTCCCAGGCTATAGAGGAGCCCACCTGTGTTTTCGTCTTGTGCTCTGTGACTTGGTTATTTGCATTTAAATTCATTTAGAATTCATTTCAAATGTATCCTGGCATACACTGTGAGGAATGGATCTAATTTCATCTGTTTCCATAAGGCTATTCAGTTACCCCAATATTGCCTCTTAAATATAGTCTTTTTTCCCCTTGTGATTTGAAATGCTACCTTTATCAGAGTGTACTGTATATATTTACTACATTTACTTACTATATACATTTTATACATGAGTTTATTTCTAGATTTTCTATCCTATCTCATTGCCCTTTCTATTAATATGCTAATATCAAAATATTTTTAATTACCAAGGCTTTATTTTCTATTTTAATATCTGATATACCAAGGCCCTTCCTTGTTACTTTTCTTTTTCATGATATTTATGGTTATTCTTGCTTGTTCTTCCAAATGGACTTTATAAGCAAGTTTTCTAAGTTTAGAAGAAAAAGATCTCCAAAAATCTGATGAATTCTTATGGGGATTTTTTTAAGTTCATAAATTAACTTAGGGAGAACTGACAACTTTATAATGTTGGGTTTTCATATTCAAGTAAATTGTATGTCTTTTCAAGTGTTCATGTTGGTTTTATCTCTTGCAGAAGTGTCATATAATTCCATATAGGTTTTAGACATTTCTTGCTAATTTTACAACTAGGTATTTTGTTTTCATTTTTGCTGTTGTTAGTGGGTCTTCTCTTTGATTATATAATTTTTGTTTGCATATATAGGATTTTTATGTTACTTTTATAACCTGCTAAAGTTACAATGTTAGAGCACTACTAAGTCCTCTTATTGTTTGTAGTGGCTTTTCATGGATTCTTTTCAATTTGTATTATAATATATAATATTATCTGCAACCTAACATAGTTTTGCCTTTTTCTTTTCAATTCTTATGATTTTGTTTTTGCTTTCCCATTCCTAACTGCATTGGCTAATACTTCCAACAGAATATTAAATAGCAGAGGGCATCCTTGTCTCTCTCTCTCTTCCCCTGCCTTCCTATCTGTCCATATCTATCTATATCTGTCTACATGCCTTCTAGTGCTTTGTAATTTGTCTACTTGCATTTCAATCACTAATCTACTTAGAATTTATCCTGAAATATTCTGTGAGAAATGTATCTAATTTTTATCCTTTTCCACATAGTTAGCCAGTTCTCCCAATACTGCAGATTTTGAATCATTTGATCATGTTAATGAAGTGAGAAAGGTGGATTCTTACTTTGTAAATCAGACCACTGTGTTTTTGTATGACCCTGCTAGCACACTGAGCACTGGAGACTTAGCCAGGTCATTCCCCTCACCCCTGTTCCCACTGGCATCCAGTGCTCCAACCCAGTGTCTGCGCAGGTTGCCATCTACACATTGGAGACTCTTCTGATGTCAGCTGCCAAGCACTGGGCCGTAGAATCCCAGTTCAAGAGTCAGTAGTTTAGTGAGTTGCCTCCCCTTGAGCCAGCTGCCTCAGTTGAGGCAACCGGGCTCTTGGGGGGAAGAGAGAATTGCACACAGAGATCTGTATGCAATTCATTCCTACCCACACAGAGATTCATCCCTAGAATCTCTTCAGTTGGTGGCAACTGGGTTGCAGAGTGTGTCTGCTTTGGGATGAAGTGGGCAGTTGTTTTCTTTTCTTTTTTTTTTTGGAGACAGAGTTTGCTCTTGTTGCCCAGGCTGGAGTGCCGTGGTGCGATCTCGGCTCACTGCAACCTCTGCCTCCCGGGCTCAAGCAATTCTCCTGCCTCAGCCTCTCAAGTAGCTGGGATTAAAGGTGCCCACTACGACACCCGGCTAATTTTTTGTGTTTTTAGTAGAGATGGGGTTTCACCATAAAGGCCAGTCTGGACTTGAAGACTTGAACTCTTGACCTCAGGTGATTCACCCACCTTGGCCTCCCAAAGTGCTAGAAATTACAGGCGTGAGCGAGTTTTCTTTCTTAATATATAAGTGCCTACCCAACATTTCTAATTTTGTCTCTTAGTCCTCAAATCCTAAAATATGAACTATCTGGTCCTTTACAGAAAAATTTTGCCAACTACTGCTGTAGATTACATATAATTTATTGGCTAAAAAATGAGCTTATTGACAACTGGATTTTGTTCTTCAATATTCCTTCCCATCATTTGTTTCCACAAATATAAACATCAGTTCTTAACTGTTGTCTTCCTCTTATACTCATAACTAGAGTGTAAACTCCTTGAGGATTAAAATTTTTTCTTACTCAACTTTTGATCTTCTCATAAGAGTGCCCATAGTAGGTGCTCAAATGCATTTGCTGGGTTAAATTGACTTGAATTTCCCTAAAATTATCCAGTTAAACACATTGCAGACTATTTTTTCTATGTCAAAGTAAGTTCTCATTCTGCCTTTTCATCACTTTACTATTTCTTGTTGCTTTCCCTAGAGCAGAAAGACTCTTGTCCTGTTGACCTCAAATGAGACTCATCCCTGGTGCTGCCACTGTCACCTCTTATTGATTAAGTGCTTATATCTCTAATGCCTTGCTCAGTTCCCAGCTCCCACATTCCTCCTCTCCTCACAATTATAATTATTTTACTCCCACCTGCAGACCCAGTAGCTTTATAACTTGCCTTAACCCCTTTGTTAGAAAGAAGCAGGTTATAAATTATAAACATAGAAAAATATAAATATAAAATGAATATCTTTTTCATTTTTAATTGTGGTGAGGCATAATTTTACAATAAATGAATTCCTAGGTCAAAGGAAAAGTATATTTTTTGTACTAAAACACTAAAGAACTTTCTAATAATACCACAAGTAAATCAATATTTAAATAAATTACCCAAAGCTTCTTGTTAGAGTACAGAATAGTGTTGTTGCATCTGCCATTCACAGTTATATAATTTGTTAAATTCCTATAATAGGTTATGAGCTGTGGTAGAATTAAACCTGCAGTTTAAGGTGAAGAAATGTTTTCTAGGTTAAAATAATGACACTGTTATTTCAGAAACCAGGCGTAAATCCAATGAAGGCACTCCTAATGGCAGGCAGGGCACCCCAATTCTTATTCTCACCTCCTTTGCAGAAAGTATTTGTGTTCACTTCCTCCCTTAGTTTATTTTCTGCTGCTATAACAGCATATCACAGACTGGCTAAAGTATAAACAGTAGAAGTTTATTTAATTCATGGTTCTCAAGGCTGGGAAGTCCAAGATCAAGCAGCTGCATCTGCATCTGCATCTGGTGAGGGCTTTCTTGCTGTGTGATAACATGGCAGCAGGGCAAGCAAGCAGGCATGAAGCAGAGAGAGGAAATCGAGCCAAACTCACTTTTATAACAACCCAGCCTCATGATAAGTAACCCACTCTGGAAATAATGACATTAATTCATTCATGAGGGAACCTCCATGACCTAATAGCTGCTTAAAGGTCCCACCTCTCAATATAGTTACAATGGCAATTACATTTCAACATGAGTTGTGAAGGGAACATTCAAACCATAGCACTTTTCTGTGTCCAGAGCTAACCCCTGACTTTTCAGCCTTTCTCAGGAGCTCTGTGGGGCTATCTTGTTCCCTGATCCTGCTGGCAGAGGCCCTGGAGCCCAAGAACTCCAGGTTGAAGTCCTAGCATGATTTGGACATGTTATTGATGCTTCCGAGGCTTCCTTTTCTCATTACAAAATTAGTGATGACCACTCTCATCTCTCGCAGCTGTTTGAGGTTTACACAGTTTCTTGTTGAAAAAACGCTGAATATCATGACTGCTCCACAGTGAGTATCTCATGAATGTCAGTGCCTACCACCCACCCAGTTTCTAACCTTCTAATCTGCCATTTGTCGTGGTGGATTGCCCTAGCTCTTCTGTAAATTCAACAAGATACACTGCCATCACCCACCCCATCCTGCAAAGAAAAAAAAAAAAGCAGAAAAAAACAACCCCTTGAGTGCTTTTGACACTTGTCAATCAAGTGGTATTCACCTCCCATTGCTCCCATGGATTTATGAGCCATTTGCCAAAGTAATTTGGTGTTCATACCACCTGAGAGACTGAGGGACTGAGAACTGGAGAGACCTTGGAGATCATCCAGTGTATCCGTTTCATTTCTCACACGATGCCCAGCAAGGCCACATGGATTGCCCAAGGTGACGGAGCTAATCATGGCAGGATAGGGGCCACTTTGCAGGTTTCTGCCTTCCCAGGGCAGTGCTATTCTATGGCACAACACTATAGTTGCTCTCCCTCTGGGTAATAAAAGCCTGAAAGCACATGTCTAAATCTGGTACATTATCTAAAATTAAATTTGCACAATCACAGCCCATTCAATTCAAGAAGCTCTGAACTTTAATTCACTTGAGTCATACTTTTGCAGACAGAATTTTGGCCAGAATGAATTCTAAGTTCTGATGACAAGCTAGACACATTGATTTGGCTTTGGATCTCCTTTCCTAAAAACAAGGCAGTGAGACAAGTGCCACGGTGACCAATCAAATCTGGCTGAGTAAATCTGTTATTTCAGCAAAGATTTCATATTTTTTGCTATCATTAACCCTACAAATCCAGGCCCATAAACCCATTAATGGTGGTGCAAATGTGTATGATACTTAGAGAGTATATCATTCTTTGATGATACCATTTAGAATCCATATTAGCCATTAAAAATATTTAAATTAGCTATTGTGTCCTCCAAATCTTCTACTGGCCTTTTCAGGAGTGGGGACTATTAGGTCCAAGTATTTGAAAATGCTTTGATAATTTTCTATGACATTTACAAAGAGGCGAGTAGATAATGTTATGTTTTATCCTCACATATTTTTCTCACCTTTTAAAACTGGTTTTGAAATATTTCTTTTCATAATTTCATATCAGAACTTTTTGGAGGGTTCTCCAAATCATTACGGTTTTATTCCTGGGGTTTTAATTTAGGGATGAATAATTTAAATTATTTTAATAAACCAACAAGTCCCTTGTAATATCTTTAATTAAGATGAAATAGACAGAAGTATATATCTCTAATAATTACCTTAAAAGGTGAATTGGATCTGACACAGCCAATTCTCTAGAATTATTATTAAAATGTGTGGATTAGATTTTCCAAAATATTTATATTCTATTTTGAAAAATAAAGGTAAAATGAATACTTTGTATTACATTTTTTAGCTCTAAAGAGAGAGGGAAAAAGAAAACTTAATGAACACACAGATTTTTTTTAAAGCACTAAGAATGTAGCCCACACCTAGTCTGAACTTCACTTTTGTTTTGTGAGGAAATCCGGGATATGGACCACTTGCAGTAAAAGGACCCCTACGAGGCTTCACATAAATCTTTATAACTAGCATGTTTACACCGGTGTAACTGAAGGCTGATTCCCTTTAGAGAGCACAGTCCCAGCCACTGATGACCTCATGGCACCAGGCACCGAACAGGATTTGTGAGTGTTTAAGATATAGTGAGCCAAGTTCCCTGCCCTGGTCTTCTGATATGCTGGGCATGTTCTTGTGGCTGAGCCATGACTCCTCCCCAGGAAGCAAGACTGGTGTCACAAAGAAGGCGGGAATCAGTTGACATAATGTGCAGACACTTAATTTATAGAGTTACCAATAATCTCCTGCGTATAGTTCAAATGTCTCATTTATCTCTTTGAAACGATGAGAAGTATCTGAAATTGATCATTTGTTTGACCCAATCAGCAGCCTTTCAATGGCACATATAAGCCATTCACTTCAAAATGTGAAGCAGGAGGAAGACTGAGAAATTTAAGAGTAAAGACAGATTCTGAGTGAAGTACCTACTGGAGAGACTTAGGAACCTAGAATGTGTGTTCTTGGCACAAGGCAAAAGGACCCTAGGGAGTGGTGAGGGGAAATCACAGAACGAAGGATAATAGATTCCTAATGCCTGCCTAGAGACAGAAGAGATGACTGAGACAAGCTGTGGATTGCAGCCGTGAATGCGATAGTAGGGCATCATTTATGAGCATGGGAGGAGAGCAGCATTGGCTCCATATGGTTTTGGGAAGTTTCCCATCTCCTATTTCTGTCACTCTTGCCAGAATGTGTCAACTGGTGGCTCACAGCAGTGTTTCTGAAAGGTGCTCCACAGATCACCTCCGTAATCACCTGGGGCGGTTGTTAAGAATGAAGATGCTTGGGTCCGCCTCCAGACCTCCTGAATCACAATCCCTGGGGCTGGGCCCCTGAATCTGCATTTTAGTCAAATCTCCCAAATGTACACTTAGCATTAGAATCTGAGCACCATCGGAGCAGTTCATTTGATGTGCCACGCAATTTTTTTCCTCTTTATAATATCTACTAAGACTTATATAACACTTCTATTTTATGAAGCACATTTACGTATATCATCTCATTTTATCCTCACAGTAATCCTATGGGATATTATTATCCTAATTCAAAAACAAGTAAATTAAGTCTCAAAACTTTTAAGTGACTTTCCCAATAGTCCACATCCAAGGAGTGGCTCTGGGATTTGAAACACGATCTGTGAATTTCAAATTTGGCATAATTTCCATCAAGATGCTCACTCTTACCTGCATCTGTCGAAATTAGGTAAAGTGTCACCAAGTGAATGTGTGTGTGTTAGTCCAGGTCTTGGAATTGGGTTTACCATAATTGTAGGCCAAGTATTCAGGACAATAAACAGCCTCAGGGGCACAGGTCTTGAGAGTTCAAACCTATAAACCTTAAAGAGATGGAAAATATTACTCCTAGGAGGCTTACTGTGGTTTTTTGTTCCATCAAAGCAAATTACACAGAGACATCATGAATTGATGCAAATTCAGTCCAGTCTCTAGTGCTGCTACTCAATAACATGAACTATACTTGCATTTCTCATTTTTCTTTTTTACTTCTGTGATCCTCCTTTTTGTCATTTTGTGGTTTATTTCTACTTCTTTCCCTCTAGGTGTTGGGAGAGACATGAGAACAGAGATAAAACTGAATGAGTATTGGTGCCTGTCAGCAGCTTTGTGAAAAAGCAGTTGCAACTATCAGTTTATATCAGGTTTTGGAATTATTTTTGTGTTTCAATTATCCATGTTGTCTACATTCCCTATTATCTCAGCTAAGTATTACATTACAGTATTGACATAGCCTGTTAGCAAGTGTATTGCTGCTTGTTCAGTGCAATTGACTGTAACAATTTTCATGACTTTTTTTTAGACAAACACAGCACAAATTATCTCAAACCGACTCTCAGTTATTCAAGGGTTAATGATCCAACATGTGAGTTTTACAAGCCCTTTGCTCCTTCTCTGTCTCCCTCCCTTTCCCTGTATCCCTCCCGTTCCCTAGCTTTAGGTCATTTGGTTGCTTACTGGTGTCTCCACCAGACAATATATAACATTAAACTTAAATTAATCTTTCTCACCATAATAGTGACTCCTTTTGTTTCTTTTAAATTGTTTACTTGTATAAATTTAGGGGGCACAAGTACATTTCTGATACATGGATACACTGTGTGGTGGTGAAATCTGGGCTTTTGGTGTAATAGTGTACATTGTACCCGTTAAGTAATCTGTTAAGTAATCTCTCATCCTCTACCCCGCTCCCACCCTCCCACCCTTCGGAGTCTCCAGTGTCTATTATTCCACCATAGTGACTCTGATGTGAGCTGTGATGAGAGAAGAAGGTCAAGAAGTATAAGTTTTTTCTGTTGTTTTTTTAATGTAAATTTCCAATCTTACCCTTTTCCTCCATTAACACAGACAAATTGAGTTAGTTTTAGCTATGTTATAGGAATATGGTATGCAAGTCCTGTAATTTTCAAAAATCTCTCATGAACTGCTAGGTAAATTGGGTGAAAGGGCTTCAGTTCCTTGATAAAGTATAGAATAAACATTTCATTGATAGACCAAAGGGTTTAGAAAAACAACTGTAAATTGTCCAATATAGCATCCAAGCAATTTAGCATGGTGTGAAAGTCAAGAATTAGCACCTCCAATAGGTGAATTTGAGTTTCATCTTTTCCCCCTGTTTTTGCCCACCCCTGTGGGAGGTGATAATGAATAGTGAAATGGTCAAGTTAGGTCTCAACAGGAGGGAGAGGGAAGGGTGGCCAATGCCTTCAAACAAGTAAGAGATAGCCAGATGTACTTTTCCTCTGCCTTTCTCCAGACTCTAGAGAAACTTCTCTTCCTCTTCAACTAGATGGGGTTGAGAGGTTTACTGAGTTATCTGCCTGACTCATGCTATTGCCAGCAGGCTAGGCCTTCACGTTGAAAGTAAACAAAATCTCATTGCTATAGAACAAGGGCAAAAACTTACAGATGTTCCTTACTAGTCTTTACAAACCAAAGGCAAATGCCTGGCCCCTCTGAGCTACACCTCTGGACCTGAATATCCTCAGGGTGTATAGGACTTGGTGTAGTTTCTTATTCAGCCAGGACCCAATATCATGTCGCAGGAACGTAAAAATTAGTGTGGGTTTAGCTTTCAGGCAGAACGAATCCATTTTCTAGCAGTGGGTTATTGGAGGGAAATCTCTCCATAACTTCTGGAACACATTCTCCTCTTTCTATGAGTTATTCTAGTGAGAGACATAGGAATTGCATTGGCTCAGAAGAATCCAGAACAAAGCAGAGGTCAATAATCCGGAAAAGTATTCATGACTTCCACCAAAGAAATCCTGAGATCAATGGCAGAAACCCTCTCTGGCTAATTTTCAGAGATGCATATTGTATAAGTTAGAATGCAGTATTGGCTAAGTAGGAGACAGTTTTATTCAGGTCTAGAGAAACAAGAAAATCTTTGTCAAAAATAGTAATATTTTAGAGTTGGTTCAAGTCAATATCCCAATCACATGGCATTGTAGTCCACTTGGAATGTTAGCATACTTAAAATTTCTTCACTGGGTCATATTCTAAGTCTATTCAAGACTTTCTCCCTTATTCTAAACAAGAAACTATCATTCCTTTCCAAAAGATAAAATTAGAAAGATAATATACAAATGAAACTCAACATCATGACATGACCTCCAATTAATTTCAGACTAGGCTGGATTCACACTTGTCTGGGAGAAAAGTCTATTTTTGTAAGATGATAACGTTTATTTTGTTTTCTAACTTTAAGGATGAAGACTTACGGGTGTGCACATGCGTACATATGTATAAAATTCTTCCTCTTTCCATCAATAATGTATTGCTTTTGCCTCATTTTATTAATCTATAAAATGGGGTAATAATTTCTGACATATTTCAGAAGACCTTGGCCAGCAGCATAAACATGGTAATATTACAGATTTCATTTCCCAAGGTAACTTGACAGTGAATAATAATCAAAGCATTCAGCCTAGTGTAAGAAAAATAATATTGTGTGGACTTCACACTGCATGATTTTATTAAATCTAGACTTCATGTCTCCATGGCGAGTGGATCCCCAAAGCCCAGGCAGCCAAAATGTTCATGTTTCCTCTGCAAATAAAGTTAACAATATCTAAAGAACATACCATTTAATCCATTGTCATTGTTTTGCTGAAGAATTTAGTAGTGGTGTGTTTGGAGGGGAAGTCTGTTTTCTTTAAGATGTGCTATCCATCTTCCTTAGGCCCAGAAATTACATCCTAAATAATTAAAGTAACAATGCACCTGCACTGAGACTACAGCTAAACTGTCTTAATAGTGGGAATCTGGATGGTCCATGGAACGGGCTGATGGCAGAATTAACCTTCCTTCCTCACAGAAGGCTGCTGAGTTTGGAATCATTTTCTTTATGGCTTTTCCTAATGTTCCTGAAGGAAAAGATCCACAACACCCCTGTCCCCAAATATTCATCCCGACACCATATGAGATAAGATAAGGTGATGATAAGGCTGCCTGACCTCTGTGTTAACTTTAGCAGTTAAAATTCTGTTCTTGTACCAGGAATTCTAATTTACCGTGCACATCACAGATGCAAACGCGTCAGATATTAAACGAGTGAGGATTACTCAGATGCCCCGCTTTGCAGGCTTCCTTTGAAGACTCCAGGGGATATAAAGGCATTTAGCTGTTTCCTTTGCTTTCCCTCTAGAGGCATCTGGCTAAGTCAGGTGGTGCACATTCCACACGCTCCCGTTTATTATATGTTCTCATTCTGCCTTGGCTTTTTCCCTTCCCACTACTCTATCTTTCCTGGCCTTCCCCAGCATCTTTATCCAGAACCAAACATCATGTTTGTTTCTGGGATTTCCATCAGGATAAAGAAGAGAAGGAGCAGGCTCAGGTCAGGGCCACTGCCCGGAAATGGGGAGGTCTGCAGCAACACAAATGCACACACGTGCAGCAGCCCGTAGCCTCCTCTCAAGGCACACCCTGGCTTTGCGCATCAAGTGCACATCAAATGATGACAAAGGCCTTCTGCTCAAGGAGTGAGCACGATGCAGCCATTCCCCAGCTATAAATTACACTGACCTCCTCCAGAAGACAGGCTCCTTCCCTTTCAAGGCTGTCGTAAAGAGGAAAATAGAGCTTGGTTAAAAAGTGGCAAACTGCTTGCTATTTGTTGGCATAACTCCCAAGTGGACCCCCAAGGCAGAATCCCAGGCAAGTTGGTGCAAGTTCTCTTCAGAATGTGGTTCTCTTTTTTGCCAGTCACCGATGTGGATTCTCAGCTGACTTGCTGGAATGGTGTAAGGAACATATTTTCTTTGTCGGGTACAGCGGACAATTATACCGAGTAAGGCAAGCTCCAATGGCTGAGGGTCAAGTGCTACCAGGATAGACCCATCCTGAAACATCTTCAGGCTCTCTATTCACTTCTGCAATGTGCATCCTAATTAGCATCCTGGCCCCATTTCCCCATCTGTGGGGTTTCTGCCTGTCTCTGCATCTGTAACCTATGGTGACCAGGGAGGGAAGGGAGATGTCTGCTCTCTGAGAGCCCAGCGGCAGACCCTCTTCCTGCACACAGAAGCAGCAGGGGCAGGATGGGGGCAGAGGTTGTTATTGTGAAATATTATTTTTTCTCTTCTTCCCATATAGTTTGTTCGTTCTATTAATATGCTTCTAGAGGGCAAGGAGAGGTTCATGACACCAGTACCAAGCCCTCACTGTGAAAATTTGATATATTTTTCTCTGCTGTAAATATGATTTATTTGGATTATTTTCCTTTTACAATCATCTTTTCACAAATAAAATAATAAAAAGTTTAAAAGTTTAAAAATATCAAAAAAGGGCTTATAATGAAAAGGACCCTGATTTCAGTGTCCCTTCCTAGAAACAACTATTTGTAGCAATTTTTGTTTATTCTTCCAGAAATAGTCTGTGTATGTACATATTTATACTTAAAAAACTTATGTGTGTGTCTAAATTTACAAGCGTTTCCTTGGGCCAAGCAACTGGAGCAGTGGGGAACAACTAAGGGATATTGCTCCTTACTATGGTTTTTATGTAGACAGCTTTACACACACTGGCTGCATGCATTACCCTGGGCCTGTCCCCTGTACCCATCTAGAAAGAGCCTTGTTTTCATTGTTGTTTAAAAATATATATACGTGATATATGTATATCATATATATATTTTAGTAACAAAAAATAAAAGTGCGCATATATGCTATACTTCATCTTGTTTTTTCTTGTAGCAAAATATAACTTCAAGTTCTTTTGATATCAATATATGTAGAAATACCACATAAGAATGAACACGTCTTAATGACAGTTTTCAAATGACGAAGACTAGGAAGGAAGGAAGGGAAGGATGCAACATAAAATGAGAAGCATCCTCAGCTATTTATGGCTGTTATTTGTCAAAACGTCTTTCTCTGGGAATCTGCATCTATCATTTTTCTTGTGCGGACAACAAGGGCAGTGACAGTGGGTTTGTTTTGATTGTTGCTGCAAAATCGAAATTTAAGGTAGCCAAACCCAGCTTCCTCAGCTGTTTTCTGTATTAAGGACGTATGAGGTCTAACGGGTCACCCAGTACCCTTCCGAAGGAGAGATGAGGCCTCTTCTCCCCACTGACTGAGTGACAAGGCCACCAGCAAAGCCAGTGGATGGGCTGCTGTTGCTGCTCCCGCAACCCCAAGTCCTCACCTTTGCTCCGAGTGGAGCAGGCAAGCACTTGGCTAAGGAAGGAGGAGGAAATGTGAGTTGTTTCGCTCCCACCCTCCGTCATGAAAGGAGAATTTCTGTCAATGTTTTCCTTTATTCCAAACAAGAACTACCAGCGGAAAGTGTAGCTTGTTCTAATTTCCCTGCCTCCTGCATCATCATCACAAGGAGAAGAGAGGAGAGTCTAGCACGTCTTAGTCCTGAAGGTGCACGTGGGTCAGGAAAAGGTGAAAAGTGGGGGAGACTGAGTTCTGTCTCCATTGCATCCATACCTCCCTGCAACCCGCAGCAAAACAGAACTAGGCCAGTGAGTAACCACGAGAGCTGCTGGGCAGGCAGTAGAGTGTGATGGAGCAGCACCATCCTAGGGAGCCAGAGATGGGACTGAAGCCCACCTCCACCCTCATCTAGCCTGGATACAGTGAACCTCAATGCCACTGAATTCTCACCTGTAAAATTCAGGATAGCATGATAGGGTTGCTGTAAGGATTAAATGAGTTGGTATATATAGGAATAGCTAGTGCTTAATCAGTGTCTTCTTAAGTAATCTCAGCCTCTGTGAGCAAGGTATGGCTGAACTGAATATTCTAAACACAGTTGCTACCCTAAGTTATTTCTGAGACTCTTCCAGTTTGAACAGTGTTATATTGTGCACATCCGGAACATTATTGTGCATTCCAGGCTCAACTCATGGGGCCACCTGGGGCTGGCTCAAGAGAGGCCATTGTAGAGCGTAGCAAAGTGGGTCAGCACACTGGCTTCAGATTCAGACAAGGATGGTGTTGACTCCTCCTTCTACCACCAGTTGTGGCATTTTGAGCAAGTCCTTATTCTTTCTCTGCCTCTGTATCCTCATCTGTAAACTACAGATAGTGACAATTTTTTTTTTTTTTTTGCAGAGTGGAATGTTGAATGAGGTAATACGTATGAAACTGATAGATTAACACATAGTAAGTGTTCAAGAAAATGGTAGATATCATGCAGCTATTAGCCAGTGGCACACAGAATTTCAGAACTTGAAGAACTCATTGAGATTATTTAGTAGATTGTCCCCTGCATTGGCCTCACCCCTCACTCGTGAATGGGAAAGCAGATAATAGAAAAGTTAAGTATTTCAACAAATGTTCTAGAGCCAGTTAGCTGCAGAATTAGGGCTAGTATCTAGGGGTTCTGAGGCCTGAGTCGGGGGTCTTTCACTACCCACAGCTCTCCTTTTGCATGGCTGAAAGTGGACGCAGCATCCTTTTTAGGTTATCAATGTTTCATATTTCTTTGAAACTTTGGACAAGCAATTTTTGAAAGGGTTATGAGACTGAATACCAGGTACTGAATTCTTGTTTCCATCCTGAGGTTTTAGCTGACCATTTTTTTTTATTAATTCATTTTCTTTTATATGGCAAATTCCTATCTGCCTCTCTCTGTCCTCCTCCTTGCCTAAGAAAGCCGATATGCCTTCCCTCCCCACTGCCCTTATTTTTTAAACTACAGTCTGCAGTGAAAACCCTCTTCTCTCAAGTGAAATGAAGCAGCTGGCACCTTTAGGGCTCTCCTATTATCATTATTATCATTTAACATTTATAAGTGCTCACAGTATGCTAGACACTATAACATACAGTACTAAGGAACTTGCCATCTAAATTAGACACAGATAGATCCACATAAAAGAGAAAAATAGAGGCAGGGGGTGAGTGGGAGAGGATGAGGCAAGGGAAAAAGTCAGAGTCGCTGCCACAACACTTCAAACTCTTGCTGAGCCAATGGCTCTAGAAGACTTAGGAAGACATATCCAATTTTTAGCAAAGCGAGATAAAATTGCCCCTAAAGGGATTGTGTGAAACACCAGGCCTTTTTTTTTTTTTTTCCATTTCTGCTGGAGAATTTAGTGAAAGCACCTTGTGAACAGAACTGTCTAAATCTGCTCTCTGCTGCCTTTTCCCATCAGCCCTCCTCAATCCCCCCATGGCCCCCCTCCCCATGCACTTTTGGTTTGAACTCAGAGAGCCAGCAGGGAGGCCAGGGAATAAAAGTGTGGGGTAGCCGGCATGTCTAATTCCATGACAGACATGTGGTGAATCTAACGGCCACCCCTGGAAGCATCTTTGATCTCCAGAGGCCTCTATGCGTTCTCTTTCCCCTCCTTGGGGTCAGAGCCTGTGGTGCTCCCCAATGAGGATGCCCTAGAGCCCTACTAAATGTAATCTCCCCTTTCTGTGGGTCCAATGTTGCCCCCAACATTGGGGCAACATTGTTCTTACAACTCACTCTTGTTCTCCAAATTGTGACTCTTTATCTTCTTGATTATTTTTACTGAACAGATTTACCCCTTAGAACTTGAGAAGGGAAAGTGACATCATTCATCGCTACAGGGAAATATTTCAGCATAAAGCCAAATAGATTCATCATAATCAGAGTGGGATCAATAGCTGAACACTCTAATGAACTAAGGCAAAAAATAGATATTTTAAGTGGTAACACTTCTGATAACCTCCCGTTCGTGAAGGTTGTCCGGGGGCTACCCAGAAAGCCCCTCCCAACAGAGAGCATGAACTGGGAGTTGCCCAGCATTCTTGTATCCTGAGCATTAATGGGTCTCTTGATTTTCTCTTTTTAGCCAACAGCAAATAAAACCAAGAGCCCTCTGTGATAGGAGCTAAGAGGGATAGGAAAATAGCAAAAATACATTTCCATCCTTGAAGGAACACAAATCAAACTAAGGACCTGTTTCACTTGAAATACTAGATAGTGGGCTATACTCAGGGCTAAGTGAGGGGCAAGAAGACAAGTGGTGCAGGAGACAGAGGCCAGAGGGAAGGGCATCGTGCTGAGGGCATCTGCACCTGGCATGGGCTCAGCACCACGGAAATGGGAAAGGCACTACAATTGAGGCAAGGGGAAATGCTCTTCTCACCTTATTTTCTAGGTCTTTCCATCTCTTTTTTGACTGGATGCATTGTCCTCTCAATTCTATCCTCTTTTTCATTCTAGGACCTAAATTGGTTTAATTCTGGAGCATTCCTTGGAAGCAGTATTATTTTTAATTAAATTGAGCTCTAAGTTACAAATGCCTGGAAACCAGGCATGGACTGCGGCATTAGTTCAGGCCAGCCAAGAAGGAGGTACCAAGATGGGATTAGCCCTGCAAGAGCAAATAGGGGAGGGGGCTGGAGCAGGCAGGGGCACTTGCAGACAGTTGTACAGTTCCAGCACCTGTGGAAGGAAGGAGGATTGGGATGAAAGAGGTAGCAACTGAGCAGTTTTAAGAAAGGTTCAGCCAAGTCACCGTGGAGTCCTCCAGCCAAGGTTGCCCATGGGACAGGAGTTTTTTTTGCTGGAATGGACCTGCTTTAGGATTCCCACCACACTCAGCTGTTGACAGGAACAGGCAGTGGAAGGTGTGTAGTCACAGTGGTGGATCCAGAAAGGGAGCGGCTGGGGTCATCCACCACTTATGATCCCACCTCAGGAGACAGAGTTGGTCACCACAACTGCCTTACTCTATGTCATTCCAGAGAGACAATCAAAAAGAATAGAGCAAGTGAGCTATTGGCCTGCAAACCAAACACAGCATTTAGCACTGTTTCATACCAATAACTACCATTCAGGCATGTGCTAGGAACCGAATATAGTTACCGTGTTAAACCTCACAAATATCTTACGAGGTTGCTATTATTAACCTATTTTACAGACAAAAAAATGAGTCTTAGAAAGATTTTGGCCACACAGCAATTGTTGGTGGAGCCAGAACTTAAACCTAACTTCTGGTTCCAAAGCCACTAGGTATATTACTTCTGAAACCACTTCTTGACTGGAGCAATTTATATTTAATTACTGCTAAGCACTAAAGTAGTGTTATTTTCTTATACTACATCATTAAAGAAGAAACCTCTCATAAAATCATGTCAGACTTTGCATTTACTCAAGAATTTTGCTTGGAAAAAGGCACCCCCATCCCTCACCACTACCTTCCATTTTCTAGGGGACCAAAGTAAAATTTTTGCCTGTGTGTTGAGACCGTGGCTTAAAACGGCAGCAACTCCAATGAAATGCCCTTCTTATTTACATGGAGACAATTCCTCAAATGCACACATGTTCTGTAATAATTGATATTTTCCAACCATGACCTGGCAACAAAGACCCAGCTCACAGCCATTTACTGTGCTAAGAAACAAAAGCAGCAGTGAAAAGCCTGCAAAGCTCTCTGAGGCTGGTGTTAATAAATGCTACCAGGTATGCCTGTACGTCTATAACTAATTCTAATAAAAGAGTTAAAACTAATTAAAAACTAATCTAATAAAAGAGTTAAAATCCAAATTGATGCTGTTTCAATTCCACAAAAAAAGATATTAAAACCACAAGCCTCTGAAAACCAAGTTAGCTTAATTACAAAGGAGAAAGGAGAAAGAAATCTGAGGATTAACATGCAGAAATATGTCACAGCTGATGGAAAATGTGGCTCTAATACTATAAGGTTTTCTCTTGAAAAGCTTAAAAGGACACTGTCAAGTTTGACAGGCCCAAAATGTAACACCCACACATACCCCCTGCAGGCAAATATTACATTTGTTATTTTAGCATGGCCTCTTGATAGATATTTCACTATCAGTCTTTGGAAATGATCTCAAGTGAAAAAGAAATAAGTAAAAAACAGAAAGCTTTTCAGCTCTGATCCCCTACTAGTTTGTGAGAATAGATTTGGCAAGAAGAGTGGCACCCACAATCACAACAAATCCAAGTACCTGGTTGGTTTTCTTCACAGCCAAGGACTGGGATTTTAACACTATTACCACCCTCATTTTAAAGGGCTCCCAGCTCTTTACTGTCAAGAGAGCATTCTCAAAAAAACAAAAATGTATACAACAGTCATATCTTCAACCTATCATTCTACCCATTTCCTTTAAGAAAACCACTTCTTTTTTTTTTAAGCAATTGAAATGTGTAAGCAGACCCATCCCCAAAGGCTACCAAAAACATAAGGTTGTCCTAGTCACACTTCAATACAACAAAGGATACAACACTACAAAAGATTGTCATACATACACTAAATAATATTTTAGGCAGTAATTTTCCTCATGCAGAAAGCAAAAATTAAAAAACAGCAACCAAGAACTTCTATATCATGTGGTTTAAATTCAAATAACCTAGGCATAAGTCCTCAAAGTTTTCAATTCCATGTCATTAAATATATCCACAGTTAATCTCTACAAAGTATTGCTCTGATAATTCAACAATCATTCAGTACACCTGTATTGAGTACCTATCCAGGACTGCCAGTCCAGGGGAGGAGCACCTAGGAGTCACTACTTGCTCAAAAGTGTCAGTGTTTATCCGTAAGTTACAGAATCAAGTTCAAATTCTTCAGCCCAGTATTCAAGGTTCTGCATAACTTGGACCCAACCTACTTTGCAACCTTTCTTCTCACAACTGGCCTCCAAGACCTGTGTTGTCCAATATAGTAGCCACAATTCACACGTGGCATTCAGCACTTGAAATGTGGCTGCTCCAAATTGATAAATGTAATCTACATATAGGATTTTAAGATTGATTACACACTGAAATGACGGTGTTTTGGATATATTGCGTTACATAAAATATAAAATTAATTTCAAGGATTTCTTTTTTAGTACAGCTACTAGAAAATTTAAAATTGCACACAAGGCTTTGATTATACTTCAATTGGACACAGCTGTTAGACTTTGCACTTCCCCCCTCACTTGGCTTGTTCTGTTCTTTTCACCTTGACACAGCCACTTTCCAATCTTATTTAAATCCTATCCATCCTTCAAGTCCCTGCTCAAATCTCCTTATTCTAAGTCAGTATTGATATCAGCCTCTTTGAAAAGTGTCTTTTACTCTATGCATCTCCTATAGCATTTTCACCTTGTGATTTGTTTTACACAATTTGTGTGGGAGTTGCAACCATCTCCATCCCACCTCCCAGACTGTATGACAGCTCTTAGAGGTCAGCTACCATGTCTAAAACATCTTTGTTGTCTGAAGTATTAGCACAATATCTTGCATGAGGAAGATAATAAATATTTACTAAGGATATGCTAAATAAATGGATGGATAAATACATGAATGAAAAAATGGATATATGAATCAAGACAGTATGGTATTGGTGAAAAAATAGACATGCAGATCAATGGAACAGAATAGGGAGCCCATAAATAAACCACATAAATATAATCAACTGATTTTCAACAAAGATGTAAAGTCAATTCAATAGAAAAAGCGCAGTCTCTCAACATATGGTGCTGGAACAATTGGACATCCATATATGAAAAAATGAACCTAGACACTGACCTTTTTATCTTTCACAAAAATTAACTAAAAATGCATCATAGACGTGAATGTAAAATGAAAAACTACAAAGGTTCTAGAAGAAAACAGGAGAAAATCTACATGACCTTGGATTTGATGGTGAGTTTTTTGATATTACATCAAGAGCATAATCAATGAAAAATATTGGTAAGTTGGACTTAATTTTTCTAAAATTCTGCTTGTGAAAGACACTTAAGAGAATAAGAAGGCAAGCCACAGTCTAGAAGAAAATATTTGCAAACCACATACCTGATAAAGGAGTTATATTCAAAATATACAAAGAGCCTTTAAAACCAAATGTAAGAAAAAGAACCCAATTTAAAAATGTGCAAAATATCTGAAGACACCATACCAAAGAAGATATACAGAAGACAAATAAGTGTATGAAAAGATGCTCAGCATAATTTATCAGAAGGTGAATGCAAATAAAACAATGATACATCACTCCTTACATAAAAAATAACTAATAATGTGTCACAGATTCGAATGTAAGAGATGTAAAAATAGAAAACACTTAAAAGGAAACACAAGTAAAATTTTATGACCATGAATTAAGCAATACTTTCCTTAGATATGACAACAAAAGCACAATCCACAAAACTAAAATATATAAATTGAGCTTCATCAAAATTGAAAACTTTTATGCTACAAAAGACACCATCAAGAAAGTGAAAAGACAATCCAGTATGAGAGAAAATATTTGCAAATCATATATCTGATAAGGAACTTGTATCTAAAGTATATACATTCTTGAAACTCAATGATATAAAGACGAATAATCTACCATAAAAATGAGCAAAGCATTTGAATCTACATTTCTTAAAAACAAAGGCATACAACTGGACAACAAGCATATGAAAAGATGATCAAAATCACTAGGAAAATGCAAATCAAGCCACAACGAGATACCACTTTACATACACTATAATGGTTATAATCAAAAAGGTGAACAATAACAAGAGTTGGTAAGGATGTGGAGAAATTGGAATACTCAGACATTGCTGGGTGGGGGGGATGTAAAATAATGTAACATCTTGGAATACAGCTTGACTGTTCCACAGAAAGGTAATAGAGTTGCCATATGATCCAGCAATCCCACTCCTAGGTATATGGCCAAGAGAACTGAAAACATATGTCCAAATGTTCATAGCAGCATTATGTATAATAGCCTAAAGGTAGAAACAACCCAAATGTTCATCACTTAATTAATGGATAAACAAAATGTGATATATCTGTAATGGAATATTATCCAGCTAAAAAATGAAGTTCTAAGCCAAGCATGCTAATCCCAGCTACCTGGTAAGCTGAGGCGGGAGGATCGCCTGAGCCTAGGAGTTAGAGGCTAGCTTGGGCAGCATAGAAAGGGCCCATGTCTCAAAATAAATAAATAAATAAAGTACTGCTACATGCTACAACATGGATCAAACTTTGAAATATTATGTTAAATGAAAGAAGCCCAACACAAAGGCCACATATTATATGACTACATTCACAGGAAATTTCCAGCATAGGCAAATATATGGAGACAGAAAGTAGATTCATGATTGCCAGAGGGTAGGGGAGAGGAAAGTGGAGAGTGACTGCTCATGGGGAAGAGTTTTCTTTTTGGAATGATGAAAATGTTTTAAAAGTAGATAGCTATGATGGTTGTACCACTCTGTGAATATACAATTCAGTTTAAAAAAAAACTGAATTGTATATGTGAAGAGAGTAGATTTTATGGTATACAAACTATCCAAATAAAGCAGTAACTTTTTTAAAATTAATATCAATAAATACCTATTAAAAGAGCTAAAATCCAAAAAACTGACAATACCAATTGCTAGTAAGAATGTGGAGCAATAAGAACTCCCATTTTTTGCTGATGAATGTGCCAATGGTATAATTTATTTGGAAGACAGTTTGGAAGTTTCTCACAAAGCTAAATATAATCTTACTGCTTGACCCAGCAGTTTATTGTACTCCTGGATATTTACCTAACGGATTTGAAAACTTCTGTTTGTATCAACATCTAAAATAAATATAGCAGCTTTATTTAATAATCTCTAAAATCTTGCAACAACTAAGATGTCCTTCAATAGGTGAATGGATAAACAAACTGTGGTATATCCATGCAATGGAATACTATTTAGTAACAAAAATGGATGAGCTACCATGTCACGAAAGACATGGATGAATCTTAAATGTATATTCCTAAGTGAAAGAAGCCAGTCTAAAAAGCTACATACTAATACAAAAATTAACTTAAAACAGATTAAAGTTCCAAATGTAAGAGCCAAAACTATAAAATCCATAGAAGAAAACATAAGGGAAGAGCTACATGGCACTAGATTTGGCAATGATTTCTTGGATATGACCCAAAAGCACAGGCAACAAAAGAAAAAAAATAAATTGAACTATAGTAGAATTAAAAACTTATATGTATCAAAAGACACTATGAACAGAATAAAAAGGCAAACTACAGAATGGGAGAAAATATTTGCAAATCATGTATCTGATAAGTGGCTAATATCCAGAATATATTTATTATATATGAACTCCTACAGTATGAACTCCTACAGTTCAACAACAAGGAAACCCAAACAACCCAATTTAAAAAGAGGCAAAGCATCTAACTTGAATAGATATTTCTCCAAAGACAAGTAAACGGCCAGTAAACACAGGAAAAGATGTTTAACATTACTCACTAATCTTTAGAGAAATGTAAATCAAAACCATAATGAGATATCACTTTGTACCTATTAGAAAAACTGTTAGAAAAAACAAACAGAAAATAGCAAGTGTTGGCAGGAATATGAAGAAATTGGAACTCTTGTGTACTGCTGGTAGGAATGTAAAATAATGCAGTCACTATAGAAAACAGTATGGCAGTTCCTCAAAAATGAAACATAGAATTACCATATGACCCAGCAACTTCACTTCTGGATATATAACTAAAAGGATTGAAAGCAGAGACTCGAATAGATATTTGTACATCTGTGTTTGTAGCATCAATATATCAGTGGAATACTATTCAACCTTAAAAAGGAAGGAAATCCTAACACATACTGAAATATGGAAAAAACTTATAGACATTTTGTTAAGTTAAATAAGCCAGTCACAAAAAAACAAATACTATATGATTCCAGTTATACAAAGTATCTGAGTAGTCAGGTCCACAGGGACAAAAAGCCAAATGGTGGTTGCCATGGGCGGGGGAATAGGGAGTTCATGTTTGATGGGTACACGGTTTAAATTTTGTAAGGTGAACAGCTCTGAGATAGATGGTGGTGATAGTTGCACCATAACGTGAGTGTATTTTATGCCACTGAACTGTTCACTTAAAAGTGGATAAGGTGGTAAATTGTATGTTATGTATACTTTACCTCAATTAAAAACTTCAAAGGCCACATACTTCTATGATCCCATTTATATGGCATTTTGAAAAAGGCAAAACTACAGACATAATAAACAAATCAGTGGTTGCCAGAGGTCCCAAAAGAGTGGGGTTGGGGAGAACAGTTGTGTAGGTGAAGCACAGTGGACTTTTTAGGGTACTAAAACTCTTGCATATGACACAGTAACGTTGGATACATGGTATTATGCATTTGTCAAAACACATAAAACTTTATGGCATAAAAAATGAAACCTAATGTGTGCAATTATTAGAAATCACTTAGGAGGTCGAGGGATCTCAAGATGGAATGCAGACTGTGACCTGAGAATCTAACTGTATTATACATGCATGGAGCAACTTCACTGAAGGAGATGTGGGGGAAAGGTGCTGACCTAAGCAGTTTTGGAAATGAACGGAGTCTGTAAGACTAACAGCAAAAGGAACTGGACACAAGCACGGTACTCTAGTTAATAAAATTGTTTCCCCGAGGGTAAGAATAATTCTGATACCACTATATATGTGTGCTGGAATTGAACAATTAAATAAACAGACAGTGAGTAATGGGAATCAGGTTTTTCACTGTTGGAGTGGGAATTTACAGATAAGCAAGGGGCGGAAGATAGAATGGGCCATGCATGCAGTGAAAGACTGAAGTCGAAGACATCGGTACAAACTTCTGTTAAGTTTAATATAGATATAGATGGTGATGTACAGAAATATGTAGAGATATGTGTACACAAGCAGGTCCATACACACATATGTTTATTTGCTTTTTCAGTTGAGAGAACCTGGAAGCAACAACACTCCAGTGGCACACCTTGCACCCAGACCTTAATTTCTAATAAGATTCTCCAACAAGAGAAACCAGTGCTTCTTGAAGAAATGGCTGATTCTAGAACTGAAAGCATCGTATACAAGATGGGACTAGAGGATCTTGAACTATCGGAAACTAAGAAAGTGCTCAAGAAAAGAAAGAAAGCGGCCGGGCATGGTGACTCACACCTGTAATCCCACTTTGGGAGGCTGAGGTGGGCGGATCACAAGGTCAGGAGATCGAGACCATCCTGGCTAACACGGTGAAACCCCGTCTCTACTAAAAATACAAAAAATTAGCCGGGCTTGATGGTGGATGCCTGTAGTCTCAGCTACTCAGGAGGCTGAGGCAGGAGAATTGCTTGAACCCGGGAGGCAGAGGTTGCAGTGAGCCCAGATCATGCCATTGGACTCCAGCCTGGGCAACAGAGTGAGACATCATCTCAAAAAAAAAAAAAAAAAAAGAAAAGTAAAGAAAGAAAACTCAATGATGGGAGGATGTCCAAAGGACATAGGAGCCAAGTGAACTGAAGGAGCTCCCAATAGCCCAAATGGGAACAATTTGAGCAACAAAAAGAAAGTAGTGTTGTATTACAATCCAAAATATAAAATAAATATCTTTAAGTCCATACTATTATAGAGAAGTGATTGAATCAATAAATAAGTCAATGAGAATAGACAAATTTCCTGTGCAGCAGAGTTCCAAATAATTTATGCGGATGGCCCCCAAAGAGCGAAGAATAACTCTCCTCTCCTTAAGTATGAGCTGCATATTGTGACTTTCTTCAAAAGAGTAAAGGATAGAAAAGGGGAGAAAAGAATAACCTTACACTGAAGAAACCTGACAAACACTACCTCAGCCAGGTGATAAAGGGGAACGTCACATGTTAACAAGGTGAACATGATGTCAATAGTGTGTGCCTTTGGTACGATGTGATAAGAATGGCATTTTACTTTTTGGTCTTCCTCCCCAAAACCCATAACCCCAATCTCATGGGAAAAATATCAGGCAATCCCAAATTGAGGGACATTCTATAAAATACCTGACCAGTACTCCTCATACATAATAAAAGACACAGAAACTCTGAGACTGTCATGACCAAGAGAAGCTTAAAGAGATGTAATAACTAAATGTAATGTGGTGTACTGGATGGAATTCTGGAAAAGAAAAAGGATATCAGGTAAAACTAAGGAAATCTGAATAAGGCATGAGCTTTGGCTAATAATAATGCATCAATATGCATTCATTAATTCTAACAAAATTGCTATTCTAATATAATATGTTAATAAGAGGGGAAATTGGATGTGGGGGATATGGGAACTTTCTGTACCCTCTTTACAACTTTTCTTTATTTTATTTTATTTTATTATTTTTTTGGGGACAGAGTCTCACTCTGTTGCCCAGGCTGGAGTGCAATGGCATGATCTCCGCTCACTGCAACCTCCGCCTCCTGGGTTCAAGCGATTCTCCTGCCTCAGCTTCCCAAGTAGTTAGGATTACAGGCACGTGCCACCATACCTGGCTAACTTTTTTTCTTTGTAACTTTCCTTTAGGTAGAAGACCATTCTAAAATAAAGTTTATTTAAAAAATTTAAAATGGATTGTGGATGCCTTCTAATCCTTCCAAGAAAGGCTGCAAAGGTAGAATTTTCAGTGGCACATGGAACAGCACATGTGTCCTATCCCTTCCCTTGCCTGTCACTGCTCTTTGTCTTGGAAAAGAAAGTTCACTAACTGTGATATTATGATTTGTAATAAGATTATATGTACTATATATATTATATAGGATTATATATATGGTCGTTTTTTTCTGGTTTCCAGAGGGATAAGAGTGTCTTTTGTGTGTGAAAGGAATTACTGGTAGCCTCATAATGGGGGCTCATTCCCAGAAAACCAAGGCATAATTAGAGGATTGGGACTTTCAGCCACACTCCTCACCTCCACGGAGGAGAGAGGGGCTGAAGGTTGAATGGCTTACCTATGGCCAATGATGTAATCAATCATGCCTACGTAATGAAGTTTGCATAAAAACCCAAAATAACTGAGTTCAGAGAGCTTCCTGATAGTTAAACATGTAGAGGTTCCTGTAGGGTTGCCCACCTGGAGGGGGCATGGAAGTTCCTCACCGCTTCTCCCATAGCTCGCCCTATGCATCTCTTCCATAGGGCTGCTTATCTTTATCTTTTAAAATATTCTTTGTAATATATGGGCAAACCTAAGTAAAGTGTTTCCCTGAGTTCTGTGAGCTGCTATAGCAAATTAATCAAACCCAAGGAGGGGATCATGGAAACCCCAATTTATAGCCAGTCAGAAGCATAGGTGACAACCTGCTATTTGCAATTAGCATCTGAAGTCGGGGGCAGTCTTGTGGGACCGAGCCTTCAACCTGTGGGATCTGACACTATCCGCAGGTAAATAGTGCCAGAACTGAATCGGAGGACACCGAGCTGGCATTCACTGCAGAGTTACTTGCTGTGTGGGAAAATAATCCCTAGACATCTGATGTCGGAAGTGTTGTGTTAAGTAGAGAGTAAGGAGTAGGAAACATACTTTGTTTTTTTTCCTATATCTCTTATTCTAACAATCAAATTTCTTTTCCCAATTATGAGTTGATCTTTTCCTACTCCTATTCCCACCACCAGGGAGAACTAAAATGGTAATCATCATTTTCTGTTTTCTTAAGCTTCACTTTTCCTCCTACTCTCTCCCACACTCTGTTTTTCCTGTTTTCCTTTACATTATGATCATTAGAATTTCCAAGAAAACACTTATACATCCTCCAGTTTGGTAAATGTATATAAATAAGACCTGAAACACCTGGGAAAAATAATTAACCCCAAATCTACACACTGTGCAATTCTATCAGCTTCCAGAATGAAGGCTTTAAAGCATAACCTAGATCTGAAATCTCCAAAAAAAAAAAAATCAGTAAGATTTTCTTTATTTCATCTTTGTTTATTTTTTAAGTTAGAGACAGAGTCTTGCTCTGTTGTCCAAGCTAGAGTGCAGTGGTGCAATTACAGCTTACTTCAGCCTTGAACTCCTGGTCTCAAGCTTTCTACCTCAGCCTCCCAAGTAGCTGGGACTACAGGCATATGCCACCATATCAGGCTGGACTTTTAAAATTTTTTATAGAGATGGGGTCTTGCTATGTTTCCTGGGCTGGTCTCAAACTCCTGACCTCAAGGAATCTTCCTGCCTTGGCCTCCCAAAGTGCTGGGATTACAAGCATGAGTCACCACACCTGGCCAGATTTTCTTTCATAACGTGTCCATTTACCACATTCTTAAGGAAAGACCTGAGTTAAATTTTGCAAAATCAAGCTAAAAACAAAGGCAAACAAAACCATTTAACATCTCAAAAAAAAGTTAGAAATGTACTTCATGGAATATAAAAAATATTACATAAAGAAGGATGTCATTGGCTAAGTACTTCGAAATAAGTAGACCCAGAGACTGTTATTAAAACCAGTTATGCCTCTAATTTTTACCTGCAGCCAGTTAAGCCAGGGGTTACCTCTGAAATGTCAAACAGCAAATGTGAAGGAATTTATTGCAAGACATATAATTCCCAATTCTGGCTGGTAAAACAAACTTTACGGAGAACTCCTGCACTTTTATAATGATGGAATACAACCTGAGGCAGTATAAATTCATAATCTCTTAGGACAAATAGCCTTTAAAAATTCAACCTAGTATCCAATTCACCATTGAAATGAGTGGAATTTTCTGTAGAAGTCACATGACTTACTCATTGCATAGCATGAAACCTCCCAGTATTGTGATCTCAGACCTACCTATCCATTTGCTCTAATTTTACAGAGTCAACATCATTGAACACATAAGTTCCTGTATGGTTTGTGCTTAAACTGATACAGGCTTTAGGTGATAACTACCTATCAGAAATCTGTTATCCCAGCCTACCTGTGTGTACTCTATCTCGCTTCAATATTATACAAAAGAGACCTACATGTAATACTCAAATTGTCATTGTCACTAAACAAATTTCTTTAAATAAAGACACATAAAAATCCAATTAGATTGTGCATGGAGCACCGTTAGGTTGAAATGCTGCAACATTAACAAGATTAACTTAACCTTTTAAAAAGATTATATTACAGGCAAAGCCACACTGGCATGTGGAAGACTTTGAGCTAATTCTGCACACCCTGAAAAAATTGCAAAATGGCAAATATAAGTGTATCTTGAAAGCCCCTGGGGTGTCCTGGAATCTGGTTCCCATTCCCCCCCTCCCTGGGTTTGATCATTGTAGCCACCAAGGCCCCAGCACACAGCACAGCTCTGTATCCTACAATTTCAGTGGCCTGGACAGCTGTATTAACTCTTCTTTTCTTCCTGATGCTTTTGAAGTAGTGTCAGGAAACTAGTAGCTATGTTGACTTCACCCCTTCCAGGGGAGGTTTCTGTCACTGTGTGTCTTATACATAACCAAATCCAGGTCAGGCACGGTGGCTCACTCCTGTAATCCCAGCACTTTGGGAGGCCGAAGCTGGTGGATCACCTGAGGTCAGGAGTTTGAGACCAGCCTGGCCAACATGGTGAAACCCCGTCTCTACTAAAAATACAAAAATTAGCCGGGCGTGGTGGTAGGTGCCTGTAGTCCCAGCTACTCGGGAGGCTGAGGCACGAGAATCGCTTGAACCCAGGAGGCGGAGGTTGCGGTGAGCCGAGATGGCACCCCTGCACTCCAGCCTGGGTGACAGAGTGATACTTTGTTTCAAAAAAGAAAATCCAAAAAGAATCAGGTTTATGGTGGTCTGGTCACCTTTGGCCAGGCACAGTGGCTCTCACCACCCATATTCCCCGCACTTTGGGAAGCCAAGGTGGGAGTATTCCTTGAGCCCAGGAGTTCGGGACCAGCTTGGACAACATGAAAATATCTCATTTCTAAAAAAAAAAAAAAATTAATATAGCTGAGCATGGTGGCACATGCCTGTGGTCCCAGCTACTTGGGAGGCTGAAGTGGGAGAGGCACTTGAGCAGGGGAGATCGAGGCTTCAGTGAGCTGTGATCGCACCACTGAACTCCAGCCTGGATGACAGAGTGAGACCCTGTCTCAAAAAGAAAAAAAAAGTAACTTTAGATTGTGGTGACACTGGGAAGAAACAGGAAAGAAGGCAAACCCATTCACCCATTCAGGCACTTTTCACAGGATCAGCAGATGTCCTTCAGGAGGGAAAGTTCAGGTCAACTCATTCAAATTCCCATCTACTGTCTCCTGCTCTCTTCTGTCTTGGATCAGACAATTCAAGACAAGTCAAGAAGTCCCTGTTATTGAGTAGTTCTAATTGCTGGCAATATCTGCCTTCTACTGAGCCAATTCTACCTCCCAGTGACATACCAATTGGTCCTATTGGGTCTTGGGAGCTATCAAAAATAGGTCTTCACATTCCGCTTCCACATAGCTTTTTAAATATTTAAAGACAGTCATCATAATGAAAATAATAACTATTTACATTTTCTGGCGTCTGCTGGGTGACAGACAGCACTATGGTAGATATTTGATATATGTAAGTGGATGGGAGAAGGTTCTTCACCTGAAACCCTTCATGGGGAGAGCACCGAACACGTTTGCATGACAAAATAGCACTTATTGGTGGAGGTAACGGTGGGATTCTGAGATCCCAAAGGCCACACTCAGGACAGAAATAGGTTTACTAAGGAGGGTAGATTCTGCTACACGAGCAGATCCTTGTTTTGCTGAGTATCATAAGTTTTGTTTTTCAAGTTTCAAGATAGGAATTGGGAGAGGATTAAATTATCTCACGGAAGAAGGCAAAGGAACTTGAAGATCCTGGTACCCTGGAGGGATAGAGAGAAGTTAGTGAGTCTTGGTGGGAGAAGGATCCCCTGATACACATCCTGACTTGCTACCCAATTACCACAGTGGCAAAGACTTTGCAGAGAACAGCAGTGTGAGGTGGGGGGTTTAAGCATTTTGCTCTGGGACGTGCTGTGTCTATCGCCTACCATATGCAATCTACAGTGAAATCTACATAACTCACCAATGCTTCTATGTGAGTAATTTTTTAAAAAAGATAGAGAAGAGCTCCTGAGCTCTGCATATGAAGGGTTCTAGGCCAGCGAAGAGGGTAACTCATACCTTGTTGTATTTAACCTAAAAATCAGCGTTATGAGGAAGATTATTGCTACTTCATCAATCAGGATACTGGGACTCAGAGAAATACATGACTTCCCAAGATACAAGTGGAGCTGAGTGTATCTAATTCTTTCCACCACACGCCAACTCATCATATTTACCACTGTGACTTACGTCTTTCCTCTAGATTCACATTTCTATTTTCCTCAATTTTTTTCCCATGTTATGCTTTCTAGTTTCCTCCCTATCCTCTTATTTTGTGTACTATCTAATAGTAAAACTGTACTGTTTTCCCACTTCCAGATGAATTAATACAGCAATGCATATTATACTTTTATTAGTGCAACCCAAGTTCTTATTCAACATGTTAAGGGTTTGGGGTTTTTTTGCATAAATTAATACAAACTCTTCCCATCCGTATTTATACATAATTGGTATTTTATAACATTTATGATATTTTTCTGTTTACTAAAGCAATTAATATTTATTGTAGATAAAATTTTGAAATTATGGAAAATATAAAACAGAACAAAAATATCTATAGCTCCACCACTTCTGGGTAATAATTGTTAATGTTTGGAGGCATATTCTTTTAGTCTTTTGTATGCGTATATACACTGAGTTTATAGTCTCTAGTCTGAATCTAAATGCAAACCTAGCATTTATCATGTTTAAGTTTTATTTGATGATTTAGGCTTCTCATTACAATTTATCAAAATAAGTTTGACTTCTGTTTTAATCTATTGCATTAGCTACATGTGGTGGAAACCTGCAGCACTGCCTTGCCAGTGCCCTGTTAGAGGAGCTGCTCCTCCCTCTCCTTTGTCACTATGTGATCACATGGTATGGCAGTTCCCATCATGCCCAACCTCTGCATTTGACATAACTGCGAGCTATCACCTGCATGAAACATTTTCATTTTGTCTCTTGAACAAACCCCCTCGTCTTTATTTTACTTCACTGATCCCTCCTTCTCAGCCTCCTTGGCTGTCTTTTGCATTTTCCCCAACCCTCAGGATTCTATTTCTGATCCTCTGTTTTCCCTCAATTCCTCTTTCCTAAGTGATCTCATCAAGTCCCTTGGCTTGAAATACCATCTATGCACAATGAATCCTACGTTTTATCTCTAGCCTCTTCGATCCTGAACCCTCCCGTAATCCCATACTCCTACTGCCTGCCTTGCTTACCAGATGTCTAAGGATATCTCAGACTCACATGTCCAAAAGCAAATACCTGACACCAGATCCTGGTTCTGCCCCTTCCAGTTCTTATTCCTGAAGTTCTGTTATATGCCTGATACCTTTCTAATTAATCCCTGTTTTAGTTCTTTCACATTGAATTTCTTTTTGTTGTTGTTTTTTGAGATGGAGTCTTGCTGTGTTGCCTGGCCTGGAGTGCAGTGGTGCGGTCTCGGCTCACTGCAACCTCCGCCTCCCAGGTTCAAGCAATTCTCCTGTCTCAGCCTCCCGAGTAGCTGGGATTACAGGTGCCTGCCACCATGCCTAGCTAATTTTTTGTATTTTTAGTAGAGACGGGGTTTCACCATGTTGGCCAGGCTGGTCTCGAACTCCTGACCTTGTGATCTGCCCACCTTGGCCTCCCAAAGCACTGGGATTACAGGCGTGAGTCATCGTGTCCGGCCTCACATTGAACTTCTTTACTTACAACCAAAATAGTACAATTAATATACTATTCTTTTCAGTTTTTTGTTTACAGCAAATCTGGTAAGCATAACTTTATTTGAGACATGATGAACAAAGTTAAGTGGGATTTAAGTTCAGAGCCACAGAAAAGTGATTCCCGTGTTTCATTCTTGTCCATGAGGTTATCATAGAAAATATTCTTCAAATGCCTTGTTGAAACCTGGGTGCATTACCCTTATAATGTTTTCCCAGTGCATTACTTTAATAATCCTAACAACAAAGAAAATAAAGTTCATTTGGCCTGACTTTCTCCTTGGAGCAACCCATCTTAGAAATATTCTGGACTTCCCGCTCGGTAACATCCTGTGTTGCCTACTTGCTTCCTATTTCTGAGAGTTTGAACATTTGCCTGCCTTCAGTTTTCTGCCACCTCTCTCTCTCATTGTCTGAGATTTTGCAGAGCTGTCTGTAAGATCACATCTTCCATTTATTTTAGCAATTTGGAACATAAATCTTAGTGCATTGAAGGTGATGAGACAGATCATCTCTGATAACTCCTGACTCACCTGACTGTTAGTTGGCTTTTTTTTTTTTTAAGAGCATTTTTCCTGGTGAGTAATACAAAGCAGAATGCACATTCAGTAGCTGTCTCCTATCACTGTCAACTTTCTACCACTTTCTCCATATAGGGGAGTCAGCATTTTTCCTGCTTTTCTTGAATTTTTAAAGAAACACTGTTTTTGTCTTTAATTTGTTTTGTGAGCCTCAACTTAGTCTGGGTTTTAGAATTCCTTATAAAATTCCAGCAATGTGAGCCACTTTGCTTTAAAAATCAATCTTTCATTTTTTTCACATTTTATACTTAACATTTTATGAAAGCTTGAGCTCCTTAGAGAGCTTACCGTACAGTCACATCAATGTTTGCCAGATAAAATACAAGACACCCAGTTAAATTTGGATTTCGGATAAATAGCACATAAATTTTTAGTATACGTGTGTCCTGTGTAATATTTGAGACATACTTATACTAAAAAAATTGTTGTTTTGCTGAAATTCAAATTTAACTGAGCATCTCCTCTAAAATGTATTCACTAAATCCACCAACCTTACACGTCGATTTGGTTTTGTTTGGTTCACTGGTTTTGAATAGTTTCAACTTTCCTTATTCACTTGGATTGCAATAATATAATTGGAATTTTAGCTTTAGAAAATCTCCATTCCTCTTGAGTCGGGTTCATATTTTGCTATACAGGGTTTGAGGTACATGAGTATATTAGTCAGCTTAAGCTGCCATAACCAAAGACCACAGACTGGGTGGCTTAAACAACAGACATTTATTTTTCTCACAGTTCTGGAGCCTGGAAGTCCAAGATCAAGGTGCTGGCAATTAGGTTCTCTGTGAGGGCTCTTTTCTTGGCTTGGAGAAGGCTGCCTTCCTGCTGTATTCTTCCATGACCTTTTCTCTGTGCTCAGGTGGAGAAAGAAAGAAAGAGAGACAAACAGAGAGAGAGAGAGAAAGAGAGAGAGATTTCTTTTCTTATAAGGCCAACAGTCCTACTTTATTAGGACTCCACCCATATAACCTTATTTAACCTTAATTACCTCCTAAACGCTCTGTCTCCAAATACAGTCACATTGGAGCTTAGGATTTCAACATGCATTCTGGGGGACACAATTAAGTCCATAGCATGATCTACTTTTTCTCTAGATTGTTTTGATTCTGCTTTTATAAATTCTCAGGCACATGTCTTTCCTCACACAGATTTCCCTTCCCCCCTCATTCTTGTTAACTCAAAGTTAGCAGGGTCACTTTCTCTGGGATCTCTGAAAGAAACTAGCAACAAATCAAAACCAATCAAAAAACAGAAAACAAACCCACCAGGCAGTAGGCGAAGCACTTTATACATCCTGTTTCACTTCATCCCTACGAGATCCACAAGAGATGGTACCTTCTTTTGGATTTCTACCATTGGCATAGAGGCAGGAAGTTCATTTAGGAAGTGATCCCAGGAAGCACAAGTGAAGGACTGGGAAATCAAACAAGGAAAGGTGAGAAGCCAGGAAATGACGTAGGATGAGTAGCGTCCCACTGTGAGCAACTGGGGCTCAGTCTCACTGAGGACCCAGGCCTCAGAATTGTCCCACCAGAAAGCAGGGAGGCTGGGACATTAATCCACTGCCTCTCACTCCCCATGACTTCTCAGGGCATTAAGTGAGAAGCCCACTGGCCCTGAGAAAGCCCCCAGGGACAGCCAGCTCCTGAAAAACCTTTGGCCACTGCACCCACTGCCCTTCTTGACAATGTCTGCCCCGGGTGCCTTTCCTGTGCTTGAGGTGGGAGGCATGGCAGAGGCTGTCTCCCTGTGTGAAAGTTAAACCTAGGACTGGAACAATGGGATATGGAGGTTGAGGGACATCAACAGCCTCTGCTACAAGGAGGCTTATAAATATTCTCATTTTGCCGAAAAAGAAAACATTGATTTGTATGCCAGTATCTAATACCAGGCCCTGGGTTGCAGGAGTAAACAAAACAATACAGCCTTTCCTGGTGGAACTTACTCTCTAACAGTTTAGAAGGGTTGAATAATTTATCTCAGGTCACACAAGTAAAGAGTGATAGAGCTGAAATTCAAACCCAGGTTGGGCTTCACTACTCAAACTCCCTCCTATCCACTTTTATCCATTACTAGAGTTCGAACTTGAAGGATGCTATAGATCACTAAATCAGCTGTCTGTAAGTTAGGAAACTAAGATCAAGAGAATTTATCTGTCTGTCACAAGATAGCTAGACACATCAAAGACAGAAGTTGAACTAGAACTCATATCTGCTGGTCTTTATTCTAAGTATCAATGTTAAATATAATCCTTTAGGCTGTCTCCTAGAAAATCTTATAATTTCCATTTTTACAATTTTATTTGGGTAAAATTGATATACACTAAAGTATATATATTTAAGTGTACAATTTAATATATTTATGCTCCCATGAGAACATCACCTCAATCAAGATAATGAACATATTCACATCCCCAGAGTTTCCTCTTGTGATCACTTGCCTCCCACACCTCCCTCCCTATGTCCCATTCCCAGCAACCATAGATCTGCTTTCTGCCACTAGAAATTCACTTTCATTTTCTAGAATTTTAAATACATGAAACATATAGTGTACTCTGATGCCTGGCTTATGTCACTCAGTGTAATTATCATGACTTTCATTCTTGTGTGTATCGATAAGTAATTTTTATTGCTGAGCAATGGAATATACTCATATATATCGCTAAACCACAGTTTTTGAAAATCCATTCATCAGTTGATGGAGACAATAAGGTATTTCCAGTTTTTTGCCATTACAAATAAAGCTCCAATGAACATATAAATACATATGAATGTAATACCCAGCAGTGGAATGGCTGGATTATATGAGAGAAGTATGTTTAACTTTTTAAAAGACTTCCAAAGTGCTTTCCAACGTGGTTGTACCATTGTACATTCCCACTAGCCATGTATGAGAGTTCCAGTTTTTTCTATATCCTCATCAATACCAGGTATGGTCAGTCTTTTAATATTTATTTTATTTCTTTTTTAAAATAAATTTTATTGTGTATACTAAGGTATACAACATGATGTTGTAAGATACATATATATATATAGTAAAAAAAATACTGTCATGGAACAAGTTAACATAGCCATTATCTAATAGTTACCCATGTTCCCTGTCTGTGGCAAGAGGAGCTATAATCTACTCATTTAGTGCAAATCCTGAGTATAATACACTGTTATTAACTATAGTCCCCATGTTCTACATTAGATCTTTCTACTTGTTCATTCTGAATATTTGCTACTCTGTACCCTTTAATCTACATCTTCTCATTTCCTTCCTTCTACCCTGACCCTGGTAACAATGGAACCACTGTTTTATTCTCCATATCTTTGTATTTGACCCCCACTTTTTGAAGATTTAAGTGAGATCACATATTATATTTTTTGCCATTTTAATATGTGTGTAATTGTATCTCATGTTGACTTTAATTTTCAGTTTCTAATGACTAATGACATTGAGAATCTTTTCATTTTGTATTGCCATTATGTATCATCTTTTCTGTAGGATCTGTGTCTTAAGTCTGTTCCAGCTGCTGTAACATACCATACCAGTGAATACCATAAACTGGGTGGCTTAAAAACCACTGTATTTTATTTCTTACAGTTCTGAAGGCTGGAAGTCTGACATTAGCATGCCAATATGGTCAGATTCTGGTGAGGGCCCTCTTCTGGGTCACAGACAGCTGACTTCTTATTGTATCCTCATGGTAGGAAGTGTGCGAGAGAGCTCTTGGTTCCTTTCAGAAGGGCACTAATCACATTCCTAAAGACTCCAGCCTCATGATATAATTACTGCCCCAAAGCCCTACCTCCTCATATACATTGAGGGTTAGGATCTCATATGTGAAACTTTTGGGTGACACAAACATTCAGCCCATAACAAGCTGTTCAAATTTTTTGCCCATTTTAAAAATTGAGAACCAATAAACTCATAACTGGCAAAATCGTCTTGCTTTTTTTTTCATCTCATCTCATCCTTGTTCTCTTACTCTTTTACTGGTTTTGTTGGTAATAATCTGATGTTTTGTGATTCCATTTTATCTCCTCTGCTGGCTTATGAGCTACTACTCTTTGTTTTATTATTTCAGCTTTTGCTTTAGGGGTTATCGCATATATCATCTTCCTTCAAGTGATATTCTACCGTTTCACAAATGAAACCTTTACAAGAGTATATTTCTATTTCTCTCCTCCTGACATTTATGCTATTGATGTTATACATTTTGTATATGTTATAAAACCCAACAATGATCTTTTAAAGAGATTTAAATAAGAAAAAATCTTACATAGTTACCATATGGTTACTAAGTCCAACATCTTCATTCCATTATGTAGATCCGTATTTCCATACAGGAACATTTTCTTTCTACCTAAAAGACTTCCTTTAATATTTCTGATAATGTAGGTGTGCTGGTCATGAATCCTTGCTGTGTTTGTATTTCTGAAGATGTCCTTATTTTGCTTTGGCTTTTGGAAGATACTTTTGCTGGGTATAAATTGTAAGTTGATAGTTTTTTATTTCCATATTTTTTAAATGTTGCTTCGTTTTCTTCTTACTTATATTCATTTGAAGTGAAATCTATTATCATCCATATTTGTTCCTCTGTATGATTTTCTCTTAATTGGCAGTTTTGAGCTATTAGATTGTGATGTACTTTGGCATATTTTACTTGGTGTTTATTATGCTGAAGGTTCATTGAGCTTCTTAGATTAGTGGGTTTGTAGGTTTCATCCGATTTGGAAAACTTTCTGCAATGATTTTTTTCAAATTTTTCTGTGGTCCTCAGTCTCTCCTCGGCTCTGGAGACTCCAATTACACACATGTTAGGCCCCTTTTTGTCTTCCCACAACTCCCAGATGCTCTGTTCATTCTAAAAATATTCCTTCTCTCTCTGCTTTTATAATTATATCATCCAATAAACTAATCTTTTCTTCTTTGATGTCTGCCAAAAAGGCCACCCACTGTAGTTTTTATTCTCACATTTTATAATATTCATTTTTTGAACTTTACATCAGATTAAAAAAAAACTTCCATGTCTCTTGTTAACTTTTTGATCATATAGAATAAAAATTTAATAACTATTGCAATGTTCCTGTCTGCGAATTCTAATATCTGTGTCAGTTCTGTGTCAGCTTTGATTGATTAATTGATTTCCTCATTATGGATTGTAAGTGGATTCCAGACATTGTAAATTTTACCTTATTGGGTGCTAGATACTTTTACATTTCTAAAATATTCTTGAGATTTGTCCTGGAATGCAGCTAAGTAGCTTGCAAATAGGTTGCTTCTGTTAGTCTTTCCTCTTAAGGTTTTGTCAGGTTGGACTCCCACAGCAGTCAATCCAGGTCTAATTATTCCTCCTCGCTACTGAGGCAAGACCCATCCATGTATCCTTAACCCAGTGTCCTGTGACTCTTCCAGTTTTCCAGTCTAGCTTATGGGAACAAGCTCTGTTCCCAGCACTGGACACTCTTTCCTTTATTCCAGTGGTTTTCCATTTTTGCCTCCTAATGTCTGGAAGTGAAAGACAACGTCTCCTATTGGCAATGCCTGGAAACATTTTTGGTTGTCATAAGTGGGATGTAGGGGGAGACGAGTGGCACTGCCGTCTGGTGAGTAGAGGCCAGGGATGCTGCTGAACATTCTATTCTATATGGGGCAGCCCTACAAGGAATTGTGCAGCCAAAAACGTCAACTGTGCCAAAATGGGAAAACTGTGATCTGATTCTTTCAGACAATTCTTTTCATAGTCTCCCAGAATGCCTTCATGTGCTTGTGCTGATCAGCACTCAGCTAAATACTCAAAGGGGACTCTCTGCAGATCTCTGGAGTTCTTCTCTAGGCAGCTATCCTCTGGCACTCTGTCATGTAAACTCTAGCTCCTGCATTTTCCCTGGACTCTCAGGTCTTTCTCCTCCACTCAGGAAGTCTCCTGCATATGCCTGTGTTTTCCCTCCCTGCACCATGGCTGGAGATTCTCTCCCCTCCCTGCATTATGGCTGGAGATTCTCCCCACTCCCTGCACCACAGCTGGAGATTCTCTCCCCTCCCTGCATTATGGCTGGAGATTCTCCCCACTCCCTGCACCACAGCTGGAGATTCTCTCCCCTCCCTCCACCATGGCTGGAGATTCTCTCCTCTCCCTTCACCACAGCTAGAGATTCTCTCCCTCATCCCCCGCACCATGGGTGGAGATTCTCTCCCCTCCCTGCACCACGGCTGGAGATTCTCTCCCCTCCCTGCACCACGGCTGGAGATGCACTCCACTCTCTGCACCACGGCTGGAGATTCTCTCCCCTCTCTGCACCACGGCTGGAGATTCTCTCCCCTCTCTGCACCACGGCTGGAGATTCACTCCACTCTCTGCACCACGGCTGGAGATTCTCTCCACTCCCTGCACCATGGCTGGAGATTCCCTCCACTCCCTGCACCATGGCTGGAGATCCTCTCAGAGCAGAAAGCTTGGAAGATATTAGGTTCCTCTCATTTGTTTATTATCTCTCAGGGTCACTGTTCTTTGATGCCTGATGTCCAGTGTTTTACAAACTGTCGTTCATATGTCTTGTTCATTTTTGGCTGTTTCTGGTGGGAAAGCAACTCTGGTCCCTGTTACTCCATCTAGGCCATAAGCCCAAGTTCTAAAATTTCTTTCTAAATGTGTTTGATCTTGCCTTCCCTTCCCTGTTGGCTTGCCAGTGTGCTGCAGAGGATTGTTAACTATGCAAGTAGATGGCATTTGCAAGTATGCATGCCCAAGAGCACCTGTGCGTCCACAATGTTTAGACACACAGCACCCGCTTTAATGAGCTACACCTTGCTCACCTTCCCCCTGCACTGTTCTTTCTGGGATTATTTTGTGGCTCTTGAATTTTTAAAGTAGTTTACCCAACAAGTACTTTAAAATTTCAAAAAATAAAATGCCCTTGGCCTAAGAATTCATGTGCCAGTTTTAAGTTTTATTTGATGGTAAATGGTTGAAATAGATGCCCTGGAGAGAACTGGTCCTTTTGGCAGCACTGGCCTTAGGCAAAATTGTTAAGTAGGTGAAGTCTATCTTTAGGGAGCTCCTAGATTCTGCCACTCCCCTCCTCCTATTCCAGAGCCCTTGAGTTCTCTCCCTTAATGCCAGAGCAAGTGCTGCTTTCAATCTTTTTTTGGTTAACATTTAGTTGTCAGTGACTGATAACTTAAATTTGTATTCTTCTTCAAATATTTGCATTTTCATAGAAAGCAAGGGATTAAGGCAGATAGATGGAAAATGGTTTTAACAATATTTGGTTGGAAGTGGCTGCTTGTACTGTATTGAGAAAGGTGACTCAGCAGAAAAGAACAGTGATTGATTAGTGATGTCTGCACATACAAACACAGAAGGTGATAAATTTGCCATCTCTGCTGTAATCTAGAAGTGTTTATTCTATTGGACAATTTCCAAGCACTAGAAATCAAGTGGAAAAAAGACTTTGGGGGGCAATTGAAACTCATTAATGACCTTGAAATCAGCCCAAATATGGCTGTTGACCGGTATCATGTAAGAAGTTGAGACTGCTTTTTCCAAGTGTGACAACAACTTAGTGAAATATCATAAATAGAATATAATGCCATAGAGGTCTTTTATTTCAACCCCTTGGTGTGTCTGTGACCTTAGAGAGTATTCTTTTTTGTTCCCACTTTACCTTTTAGCCATCTTTTTTCGGGCTTGTATAGTAACCCATGTGTGATACACACCTCTAGAACCACTGAAGTATTTCTTTCATACACTACTGCCTTAATGAACTGAAAGATCCTGCAAAGCCCCAAACGTTTCACCTGTTTATTTCCGAGCTATTTGTCACCTGAGTAAAATAATAAGCACCTTCCTAATTAGCATGCAATTCATTTATTTCTGTTTATGTTTCCGTAATATGAAAAAAATGAGGTACATATCTCCTATGGTATAGAATCACAGTAAGGAATGAATATTCTAAACTGATCTTTATAGAAGTCTCTTAAATAAGGTCAGGCTTGGAAACAAAATGAGCAGAGTGCTTACTACATCCTGGGTGCTGTGCTAGCATTTTCACCCAGGTTGTCTTATTAATCCTTACTAAGACTGCTTGAGAGAATACTAGTAGCCTCCTTTCACTATGGGTTGTCTGAATGTTTCCAGATCCCACTGGCCATGAGGTGTGAATGAGATTATGGTGATATTAATACCTGTAGGTTGTATTCATGCAGAGGCTCCAATCTGCATTATGGAGGTCCTCAGTTCTCTCCTGACACTGGCCCCTGGGGATATTTGGAGGCATCTCCCCATGGTCATATACTTATGACCTGTTCATATTCTTTAGCTTCATATTCTGTTCATATTCTTCAGCTTCCTGAGAGGTAGCCACTGCTAGCTGACCAACCAAAGAAGGACCCTTGCCACTGCCTTGCTGCCAGGGTTCTTCTTCGGAACATGGTTGCTCTGTATCAAGTGCCTTTCTTGATGCTGGAAGGTTTCACACCCCACATCCATTGCTGATCTATTGCAGACATGGAAAGGACGTGTTTCTCTCAACTTTCAATTGGCATTTAGTGCTTCAAGCACTGAACCACATTGCTTGTTCACCAAGTGTTTAAGAAAAAAAAAAAGAAAAAGAAAAAAAGAAGCCCCTTTGAAAACAATTCCTTTAGCTTCCACCTGTAGCCCTTACCACAGCCTTGGATTGACTGAGGAAGGTGATTCACTCTATTTCTTATTCTTCCAATATAAGATTCTCAAGCAAAACACTTCTTCCTTACAGGTCTTCTTTCCCCACGCAAATTAACTCATGCAGTCAAAGATCTGGGGAGGGGAGGAAGTCCCACAACTTAGAGTCATTGTCCCATGCTCCTGAATCCCAGTGTAAGTTTGTTACAGCCCTAGATAGCTCTAGTTGAGGAAACTAATGAGGATAGACTGCTGGCCTGAGACGATACCACTAGTAAGCCATGTCCTGAAGGTACCCCTCAAGTTGCCTCCCCACAACAGCCTGCGCCACCCACGCAACATCACTGCACAGGGCTGCCTTTAATCTCCAGGCACAGAATGGCTGCTGAGGTTCCTTCCCTGTGTTTTCCAAATATATTCACACAACCCCCAATTTGCGAGGCTGAGGTCCCTGCAGCTCTCTCCTTAACTCCTGTCACTGCTTACAATTCCAAGTGCCCAATATTAGGCTTCATGGCATTTTATGCAATTTGTACCATAACAAGGTCCGATCTGCCATGAGTTAAGGATGAAAAGTGGCTGCCATAAGGGCTGCAGCTGTTGCTGTTTTAGAAGTTGCCACCTTTTTTTTTTTTTCTTGAGATGGAGTGCTGCTCTGTCGCCCATGCTGGAGTGCAGTGGCACGATCTCGGCTCACTGCAAGCTCCGACTCCTGGGTTCAAGTGATTCTCCTGCCTCAGCCTCCTGAGCAGCTGGGATTATAGGCAGCTGCCACCACACCCAGATAATTTTTTGTGTGTTTTTAGTAGAGACGGGGTTTCACCATGTTGGCCAGGCTGGTCTCGACCTCCTGAGCTCAGGTGATTGGCCTGACTTGGTTTCCCAAAGGGCTGAGATTACAGGCATGAGCCACCGTGCCTGGCCCACCTTTCCATTCTTTTTCTATGTTTCCTCACGTGGATATGGAAACCAGGTAGGATGGTTGTTTCTCAGTGAGGTACCGCATGGTTACCAGGTTCCTCGAAGTTTTATAAACCGCAAACAAGATGTGCTATAATGAACCTCCTCTCTGCAAAACAAATGCCAGCGTGGAGATGAGTCCCCATGTCCATAGAGCTCCTTTTGTTTTGTGACATGGATTTCTTCTCACGCAGGACTGTAACACGTCTGTTTGCATGAGTACGTGCACATTGGATATTAGCAGCCAGTGAGTTTGATTTCTGCATTTAACAAAGAGAGAGCAAGAAGGAAGGGAAAAAAAGATAAAGAGAATGTCTTCTATCCCCAAATAAAAATTTTCTGATTCAATAGTGTTGGAAAAAATCTACACACGTACATTACATGATTTTTAAAAGCTGCACAGTGTGTCTGTCAGGAGTTTGATAATTTTTAAGATATCTTGATGGAACTATATGAATATACTCTTCAAGGTAATAATTAATTCCCTGGGGAGAGCACTTATTAAAAAAAATGGTGTTACTGGATAGGAAAAAAAATACTAAAAAGCTAAAAAATCACCATATAAGCTAGCTGACAGTTAAGTCTTTCAGAAGATTATAGAGGAAAATGTGGGCTTCAAGTGGAGGTCTCTGATTAAGAATTTGATCTTCTAGATAAGCATTGGATAGCAATGTTTTACTCATGTGAGGTCCCATTGAAACATGTCCCAGGGGTTTATCCTAAAGTGCCTCTGGTGCAAAGATGTCTATTCATGTCACACGTAAAGAAACAGTGTAGCAGAAACACACAAAATGGCTCTTGAGATTGTAGAATGTAACCCGAATCTGAAAGTACAAGTAAATTTATAATCTTCATACATATATAGCTGCCATTCAGTATGTATGTAAGTGAAATTATACTACACAGATTTCAATACCTCTAAGATCTTCCATATCAGTCCAAACAGATCTGCAGCATTAGTATTTAATCATCATGACTGTATCAGGATTTGTTTAGCTGGTTCCCTACTGATGAACATTTAGATTGTTTCCAGTTTTTGTTGTTGAAATGATTAATATTAAAGATGATGGGAGCTGGGTGTGGTGGCTCACACCTGTAATTCCAGCACTTTTGGAGGCTGAGGTGGAAGGAATGCTTGGGCCAGGAGTTTGAGGCCAGCCTGGGCAACATAGCAAGACCCCATGTCTTAAAAAATAAAAGATTGTGCTTCATTGAATTTCGTTGTCTTACTAAATCATGGTATTTTGAGAGTATATTCATGGTTATATTTCTCTTGGTGAAACTGTTTGGTCACTTAAAATTTTCTAAATTGTTCTTCAAAAAGGAGGCGTCAAATTGCATTTGCTTCCACAACATGTGAGAGTGTTTAATTGCCACATCCTCACCAATCCTGGTCATTATCATATGGTTTACTTTTTCTCAATACATTGGATGAAAATGGTGTCTCAGTGCAGTTGCTCATTTCAAATTTCAAATCTGCCCTTGTCTCTCCCCTGTTTAGAATGTCTTGAGAGTTTTCCTTCACTCCTGGAATACAGGTTTGCTGTTTCTGTTTGTTTGTTTGCTTTTGAGACCAAGTCTCGCTCTGCAGCCCAGGCTGGACTGCAGCGGCACGATCTTGGCTCACTGCAACCTCTGCCTCCCAAGTTCAAGAGATTCTCCTGCCTCAGCCTCCCAAGTGGCTGGGACTGCAGGTGCCTGCCACCACACCCAGCTAATTTTTTGTATTTTAGTAGAGACGGGATTTCACCATATTGCCCAGGCTGGTCTCAAACTCCCAACTTCAGGCAATCCACCCACCTCGGCCTCCCAAAGTGCTGGGATAACAGGCATGAGCCACTGTGCCTGGCCCAGGTTTGCTGTTCTAACACAGGCTGTGTGTGGCTGCATGGCATGGCCCTGCTTATCCCCTGTAACATTCTATGCTACTGTTCGCCAGCTCTCTGCCTGCTGGCCCCATTGGCCTCCTCTGTATAAGATGGATGCCATGGGTTTTTTTAGCTTTAGGGCCTTTGCTCACAGCGTTCTTTATGCCTGAAACACTAACTCTCTCATCCTATTCTCTTAGCTTATCCCACGTTGACTCATTTTTCATGTTTCACCTTAAATGCCATGTTTTCAGGGAGAACTACTCTAGACACCTAGCAATATGGTTTGGATTTGCGTCCCCACCCAAATGTCATGTCTAATTGTAATCCCCAATGTCAGAGGAGGGGCCTGGTGGGAGGTGATTGGATCATGGGGTGGATTCCCCCCTTGCTATTCTCGTGATAGTGAGTTCTCACCAGATCTGATTGTTTAAAAGAGTGTAGCCCCTCCCCCTTCACTCTCTTCCTCCTGCTCCTGCCATGTAAGACGTGCTTACTTCCCCTTAGACTTCCCCCATAATTGAAAGTTTCCTGAGGCCATGCCTTCTATACAGCCTGCAGAACCATGAGCCAATCTAACCTATTTTCTTTATAAATTACCCAGTCTCAGGCAGTTCTTTATAGCAATGTGACAGACTAATACATCTAGTCTAGTTAGCATCTCCCTGTTATAGGCCCCCATTGTAAATAATGATGTATATTCATTGCACTGATTATAAATGCAATGTTTGTGCAATAATGTTTTAAAATATCCACCAGACCTCCCTGAGGCCACATCTGTCCTATGGGCAACCATATTCCCTGTGCTCAGCACAGTGCCAGCCACACACGCATTCCTGAGCCGTGGACCATCAAGTGAGAGCCATGGGTAGAGATGGGGTGGGGATTGAGGATTGAAAGAAGCTGAAAAGAGTTGAAAACAGCCTCTAGAATTTACTTACTAGTGCTGTAGAAATGGTTCCATCCGAAACTATTCTTGACGCTTCACTATGAGCTTGGCCTTTCACTGCATGCATTTGGGGCCCTACAGTGAAGATAGGTGTCGTGTATTCTGAGCATAAGTGAATTCCACAGTACAGGGGGACTGCAACATAAAGTCGATGTTAACTGCTAGTAGTCCACTAGCAACTTATAAAAGAGGTATAATTTTATTCTTGTATAATTTAAATTAACTTCCATATGAACCTCCATTCTGCCAGAGGAGACAGAAAGTTCATTTTGCTGAATTTGCGGTTCTGACCTCCTTCTCTGGAGTTCACAAAACTCCAAGGGGCTTATGGAGATGGCCTTATGTGATCCTTGAGACTTCTGTTCCCTTTCTCCGTGACTGTGTGCCATTGTACTCCAGCGGTCCTCACTGTTGTGTCCCCATTACTGCCTGTAGCTCCTCTTCCAGCCTGACAGTTCCACCATGGATTTCTTGCAGGATGAGAGAGCCCAGGAATGTCTGCAAGGCTCTTTATGGCCCTGTCAACTTAGAGGAGGCGGGCGACCACTCTCTCTCAAAGGTTTTACAGTGTCTGGGGTGGAGGCAGGTTTTGCCGGGAAAGAGGGTGCAGTCTCCCTGCTCTCATGGCCCTCAAACTAGCCAAACCCCTATCTTTGAAACTCACTGAACTCCTCTTTTCATCTGCTGCCTCTAACTTTTCCTCTTACCCCAAATTGAAGGAGTCTTTGTCTATACCCAAGGGAAAATACCTGTTTCTCTTAATCTGATATTTTACCTCTGTTTAATCCTTTACATTCTCTGAAAGGTTAGGCTTTTGGATGAAGTAGAAGAAGAATTTTTAAAAGCCAGAGATTCACAGTCTTCTTTCTGCTTTTTACCCTGTCATACTCCTCCTCTGAGACCATGAACCCCGGCCAATAACCTGCTAAAAAGTGGCGTGAGGGCAATCTGAGCAGCAGCAAGGTGAAACTTGGAGGGAAAAAAAGAAAACACTGGTTACTTTCAAAAATATCATCTTGTCATACAATCAATATTTCCAAGAGGGGGCAATAAACACACTAAATACAACAGAGAGGTTGTGAAGATAAGCATCCTCAGAAGAGCAACAGATTTCTTTCAATTGGTGAAGAACAACTAAAGCACCTTTTACAGCCGATGGATGAAGGTGGAAACCAGATTTATGGAGATTAAAGAGGTTACAAATTTTTAAAGAAGTTAATACACAGCAAAACCATTGAATGGTAAATGGATAGATATTATGGTATGTACATAATATCTCAATAAAGTTGTTTCTTTTTTTTTGGCAGTACCAATTCTATGTAAATTTTTTTTATAGTTAAGTTCTGGGATACATGTGCAGAACATGCGGGTTTGTTACACAGATATGCATGTGCCATGGTGGTTTACTGCACCCATCAACCCGTCATCTACATTGGGTATTCCTCCTGTGCTATCCCTCCCCTTTCCCCCAACCCCGCAACAGGCCCCAGTGTGTGATGTTCCCCTCCCTGTGCCCATATGCTCTCATTGTTCAACTCCCACTTTTGAGTGAGAAGAAGTGGTGTTTGCTTTTCTATTCCTGTGTTAGTTTGCTGAGAATGATGGTTTCCAGCTTCATCCATGTCCTTGCAAAGAACATGAACTCATTCTTTTTAATGGCTGCATAGTATTCCATGGTGTATATGTGCCACATTTTCTTTATCCAGTCTATCATTGATGGGCATTTGGGTTAGTTCCAAGTCTTTGCTATGGTGAATAGTACTACAATAAACACACGTGTGCATGTATCTCTATAGTAGAATGATTTTTAATCCTTTGGGTATACGCCCAGTATGGGAGTGCTGGGTCAAATGGTATTTCTAGTTCTAGATCCTTGAGGAATTGCCACACTATCCTCCACAATGGTTGAACTAATTTAAATTCTCACCAGCAGTGTAAAAGCTTTCCTATTTCTCCACATTCTCTCCAGCATCTGTTGTTTCCTGACTCTTTTTTTTTTTTTTTTTGGAGACAGTGTCTTGCTCTGTTGCCCAGGCTGGAGTGCAGTGGCGTGACCTCTTCTCACAGCAAGCTCCGCCTCCCGGGTTTGCGCCATTCTCCTGCCTCAGCCTCTCAAGTAACTGGGACTACAGGTGGCCGCCACAACATCTGGCTTATTTTTTTTTGTATTTTTAGTAGAGACGGGGTTTGATTGGGTTAGCCAGGATGGTCTCAATCTCCTGACCTGGTGATCTGCCCGCCTTGGCCTCCCAAAGTGCTGGGATTACAGGTGTGAGCCACTGCGCCCGGCCGTTTCCTGACTTTTTAATGATTGCCATTCTAACTGGCATCAGATGATAGCTCATTGTGGTTTTGATTTGCGTTTCTCTAGTGACCAGTGATGATGAGCTTTTTTTCATATGTTTGATGGCTGCATAAATGTCTTCTTTTGAAAACTGTCTGTTCATATCCTTCACCCACTTTTTGATGGGGTTGTTTGTTTTTTTCTTGCCAATTTGTTTAAGTTTTTTATAGATTCTGGATATTAGCACTTTGTCAGATGGATAGATTGCAAAAATTTTCTCCCATTCTGTAGGTTGCTTGTTCACCCTGATGATAGTTTCTTTTGCTGTGCAGAAGCCGTTTAGTTTAATTAGATCTCATTTCTCAACTTTGGCTTTTGTTGCAAATTGCTTTTGGTGTTTCAGTCATGAAGTCTTTGACCTTGCCTTTGTCCTGAATGGTATCGCCTAGGTTTTCTTCTAGGGTTTTTATGGTTTTAGGTCTTACATTTAAATCTTTAATCCATCTTCAGTTAATTTTTGTATAAGGTGTAAGGAAGGGGTCCAGTTTCACTTTTCTGCATACGGCTAGCCAGTTTTCCCAACACCATTTATTAAATAGGGAATCCTTTCCCCATTGCTTCTTTTTGTCAGGTTTGTGAAAGATGAGATGGTTGTAGATGTGTGGTGTTATTTCTGAGGCCTCTGTTCTGTTCCATTGGTCTATATATCTGTTTTGGTACCAGTACCAAGCTGTTTTGATTACTGTAGCCTTGTAGTATAGTTTGAAGTCAGGTAGTGTGATGCCTCCAGCTTTGTTCTTTTTGCTTAGGATTGTCTTGGCTATACAGGCTCTTTTTTGGTTCTGTATGAAATTTAAAGTCTTTTATTCTAATTCAGTGAAGAAAGTCAGTGGTAGCTTGATGGGAATAGCATTGAATCTATAAATATCTTTGGTCAGTATGGCCATTTTCATGATATTGACTCTTCCTATCCATGAGCACGGAATGTTTTTCCATTTGTTTATGTCCTCTCTTATTTCCTTGAGCAGTGTTTGTACTTCTCCTTGAAGAGGTCCTTCACATCCCTTGTAAGATATATTCCTAGGCATTTTATTCTCTTTGTAGCAATTGTGAATGGGAGTTCACTCATGATTTAGCTCTCTGTTTATTACTGGTTATAGGAATGCTTGTGATTTTTGCACATTGATTATGTATCCTGAGACTTTGCTGAAGTTGCTTATCAGCTTAAGGAGTTTTGGGGCTGAGATGATGGGATTTTCTAAATATACAATCATGTCATCTGCAAACAGAGAAAATTTGACTTCCTCTCTTCCTATTTGAATACCCTTTATTTCTTTCTCTTGCCTGATTGTCCTGGCTAGAACTTCCAATTCTATGTTGAATAAGAGTGGTGAAAGAGGGCATCCTTGTTTTGTGCTGGTTTTCAAAGAAAATGCTTCCAGCTTTTGCCCATTCAGTATGATATTGACTGTGGGTTTGTCATAAATAGCTCTTATTATTTTGAGATATGTTCCATCAATACCTAGTTTATTGAGTATTTTTAGCATGAAGTGTGTTCAATTTTATTTAATGCCTTTTCTGCATCTATTGAGACAATCCTCTAGTTTTTGTCATTGGTTCTGTTTATGTGATGGATTATGTTTATTGATTTGCATATTTTGAACCAGCCTTGCATCTCAGAGATGAAGTCGACTTGATCATAATGGATAAGCTTTTTAATACGCTACTGGATTTGGTTTGCAAGTATTTTATTGAGGATTTTCACATCGATGTTCATCAGGGATATTGGCCTGAAATTTTCTTTTTTTGTTGTGTCTCTGCCAGGTTTTGGTATCAGGATAATGCTGGCTTCATAAAAAGAGTTAGGTAGGAGTCCCTCTTTTTCTATTGTTTGGAATAGTTTTAGAAGAAATGTTACCAGCTCCTCTTTGTACTTCTGGTAGAATTTGGCTGTGAATCCATCTGGTCCCAGGCTTTTTTTGGTTGGTAGGCTATTTATTACTGTCTCAATTTCAGAACTTGTTATTGGTCTGTTCAGGGATTCAACTTCTTCCTGGTTTAGTCTTGGGAGGGTGTATGTTTCCATGAATTTATCCATTTCTTCTAGATTTTCTAGTTTATTTGTGTAGAAGTGTTTATAGTATTCTCTGATGGTAGTTTATATTTCTGTGAGATAAGTGGTGATATCCCCATTATCATTTTCTATTGTGTCTATTTGATTCGTCTCTCTTTTCTTCTTTATTAGTCTGGCTAGTGGTCTAACTATTTTGTTAATCTTTTCAAAAAACCAGCTCCTAAATTCATTGATTTTTTTGAAGCGTTTTTTTGTGTCTCTATCTCCTTCAGTTCTGCTCTGATCTTAGTTGTTTCTTGTCTTCTGCTAGCTTTTGAATTTATTTGCTCTTGCTTCTCTAGTTCTTTTAATTGTGATGTTAGGATATTGATTTTGGATATTTCCTGTTTTCTCCTGCAGGCATTTAGTGCTATAAATTTCCCTCTAAACACTGCTTTAGCTGTGTCCTAGAGATTCTGGTACGTTGTGTCTTTGTTCTCATTGGTTTCAAAGAACATTTGTATTTCTGCCTTCATTTCGTTATTTACCCAGTAGTCAATCAGGAGCAGGTTGTTCAGTTTCCATGTAGTTGTGTGGTTTTGAGTGAGTTTCTTAATTCCGAGTTCTAATTTGATTGCATTGTGGTCTGAGAGACTGTTTCTTATGATTTCTATCCTTCTGCATTTGCTGAGGAGTGTTTTACTTCCAATTATGTGGTCAATTTTAGAATAAGTGTGACGTGGTGCTAAGAAGAATGTATATTCTGTTGATTTGGGGTGGAGAGTTCTGTAGATGTCTATTAGGTCTGCTTAGTCCAGAGCTGAGTTCAAGTCCTGAATATCCTTGTTAATTTTCTGTCTTCTTGATCTGTCTAATATTGACAGTGGGGTGTTAAAATCTCCCACTATTATTGTGTTGGAGTCTAAGTCTTGTAGGCTCTAACAACTAGCTTTATGAACCTGGGTGCTCCTGTATTGGGTGCATGTATATTTAGGATAGTTAACTCTTCTTGTTGCATTGATTCCTTTACCTTCTTTGTCTCTTTTGATCTTTGTAATGGCCTTCTTTGTCTCTTTTGATCTTTGTTGGTTTAAAGTCTGTTTTATCAGAGACTAGGATTGCAAACCCTGCTTTTTTTTGTTTGTTTGCTTTCCATTTCCTCGGTAAATATTCCTCTGTCCCTTTATTTTGAGCCTATGTGTGTCTTTGCATGTGAGATGGGTCTCCTGAATACAGCACACTGATGGGTCTTGACTCTTTATCCAATTTGCCAGTCTGTGTCTTTTAACTGGGGCATTTATCCCGTTTACATTTAAGGTTAATATTGTTATGTGTTAATTTGATTGTGTCATTATGATGCTAACTGGTTATTTTGCCCATTAGTTGATGCAGTTTCTTCATAATGTTGATGGTCTTTACATTTTTGTATGTTTTTGCAGTGGCTGGTACTGGTTTTTCTTTTCCACATTTAGTGCTTCCTTTAGGAGCTCTTGTAAGGCAAGCCTAGTGGTGACAAAATCCCTCAGCATTTTCTTGCCTGTAAAGGATTTTATTTCTCCTTCACTTATGAAGCTTAGTTTGGCTGGACATGAAATTCTGGGGTGAAAATTCTTTTCTTTAAGAATATTGAATGTTGGCCCCCACTCTCTTCTGGCTTGTAGGGTTTCTGCTGAGAGATCTGCTGTTAGTCTGATGGGCTTCCCTTTGGGGGTACCCACACCTTTCTCTCTGGCTGCCCTTAACATTTTTTCCTTCATTTCAACCTTGGTGTATCTGACAATTATGTGTCTTGGAGTTGCTCTTCTTGAGAAGTATCTCTGTGGTGTTCTCTGCATTTCCTGAATTTGAATGTTGGCCTGTCTTGCTAGGTTGGGTAAGTTCTCCTGGATAATATCCTGAAGTGTGTTTTCCAACTCGGTTCCATTCTCCCTGTCCCTTTCTGGTATACCCATCAAATGAAAGTTTGGTCTTTTCACATAGTCCCATATTTCTTGGAGGCTTTGTTCATTCCTTTTCATTCTTTTTTCTCTAATCTTGTCTTCATGCTTCATTTCATTATGTTGATCTTCATTCTCTGATACCCTTTCTTCTGCTTGATCAATTCGGCTATCGATACTTGTGTATGCTTCATGAAGTTCTCATGCTGTGTTTTTCAGCTCCATCAGGTCATTTATTTTCTTCTCTAAACTGGTTATTCTAGTTAGCAGTTCCTGTACCCTTTTATCAAGGTTCTTACCTTCCTTGCATTGGGTTAGAACATGCTCCTTTAGCTCGTAGGAGTTTGTTATTACCCACCTTCTGAAGCCCACTTCCGTCAACTCATGAAACTCATTCTCCATCCAGTTTTGTTCACTTGCTGGTGAGGATTTGCAATCCTTTGGAGGAGAAGAGGCATTCCGGTTTTTGGAATTTTCAGCCTTTTTGCACTGTGGTGGGCTCCGCCCAGTCCTAACTTCCCAGCAGCTTTATTTACACGGTGAGGGGAAAACCGCCTACTCAAGCCTCAGTAATGGTGGATGCCCCTCCCTGCACCAACCTCGAGTGTCCCAGGTCAACTTCAGACTGCTGTGCTGGGAGCAAGAATTTCAAGCTAGTGGATCTTAGCTTGTTGGGCTCTGTGGGGGTGGGATCCACTGAGCAAGACCACCCAGCTCCCTGGCTTCAGCCCCCTTCCCAGGGGAGGGAACGGTTCTGTCTCGCTTGCATTCCAGGTGCCACTGGGGTACCAAAAAAACCTCTTTCAGCTAGTTCGGTGTCTGCCCAAACGGCCACCCAGCTTTGTGCTTGAAATCCAGGGCCCTGGTGGGGTAGGCACCCAGGAACATACAACAGGAAATCTCCTGTTGCGGGTTGTGAAGACCACGGGAAAAGTAGTGTCTGGGCTGGAGTGCACCTGTCCTCAAGGCACAGTCCCTCACGGCTTCCCTTGGCTAGGGGACGGAGTTCCCTGACCCTTTGCACTTCCCTGGTGAGGCGATGCCCCACCCTGCTTCTACTCGCCCTCAGTGGGCTGCATCCACTGTCTGACCAGTCCCAATGTGATGAGCTGGGTACCTCAGTTGGAAATGCAGAAATCACCCCGCCTTCTGCGTTGGTCTCACTGGGAGCTGCAGACTGGAGCTGTTCCTACTTGGCCATCTTGCCCAGGAATCCCAAGTTGCTCCTTTTTTAAATTAAAAAAAAAAAAAGAGGTTACAGGGATTATTCTAAATCTCTCTTGCAATAATGTATTTTATTTGGTTTCAGTTCCATGAAAATGAAAAAAGCAATACTAAACAATGTTTCTTTGCTGGTTTCTGCTAATTTTCCATAGAGTAAAAAATGGCATTCAAATGATATTGAGGCCAAAAGAAGAGCATGGAAACCCCATATGGAAATGAGTACAAATTACTCAGTATCATAGAAAATATATATTTAGCAGTTTTTAAAAGTATCGTTAATTGACGTAGTGAACATTACACTTCCAAAGTCCTTAAGATATGTCATGTAAATGAGTATTTAATCAGTTTTTGAAGACATATCTTTCACCACATTGCCCATGAAATCTCTGAAAGCTTTTATTTCTAAAGTCTGCACGAATGTATATACCACTTAAATTTGAATTCAGCAAACATTTATTAAGCTTCTACTATATACTATGTATAATACTTTCACATAATTATCTCAATCTCCACAATAATCCAGCAAAGAAAATGTTAATCCCACTTTGCAGGTGAAGACACTGAGGCTTAGAGTGTAAGTAATTTTCCTAAGTCACACAGCTGGACAGCAGTGAACCACTGTTCAAAGCCAGGTTTTTTATCTCTGATTCCAGGGTGTGTTTCACCACCCAGCTCAGGCAATAAGTAATTTGGTGATCTGTGAAAGCATGATTTTAGATGAGTCTAAAAATTGGAGGTGAGAAAGCAATTGGTGAAGATTGCTTGATAGAGAACTTTCACAGTTAAAGAAGGAAGAGAATTTGGAAGTAGCTCCAAAGAGAGATGCAAGGAGGCTTTTCTTAAAAGATAGCAGTCCTCAAGCTTCAGCACGTGAGAATTGCCTGGAGGGTCTGTTGAACAGAACCGCTGGACTCCACCCATGAATTTCTGAATCCACAGGTCTGGTGGGGGGAGGGAAACCTCAGGAATTTGCATTTCTCACGAGTTCCTAGGGGATGTTGCTGCTAGTTTTGGGGACTTCACTTTAAGGAAAAGTGTCATGTTTGAAAACAGAGTAGGCCGGGTGCGGTGGCTCACGCCTGTAATCCCAGCACTTTGGGAGGCTGAGGAGGGCAGATCACAAGGTCAGGAGATCTAGACCATCCTGGCTAACACGGTGAAGCCCTGTCTCTACTAAAAATACAAAAAATTAGCTGGGCGTGGTGGCAGGTGCCTGTAGTCCCAGCTACTCGGGAGGCTGAGGCAGGAGAATGGCATGAACCCGGGAGGCGGAGCTTGCAGTGAGCCCAGATTGTGCCACTGCACTCCAGCCAGGGCGACAGAGGAGACTCTGTCTAAAAAAAAAGAGAAAAGAAAAGAAAAGAAAAAAAGAAAAGAAAAGCATGGTAAATTGAGTAAACACAGAGCGAGGAACTAAAGATGCCAGGGAGAAGAGACAGATCTGAGACAGCAGAGGTTATAAGAGAGATTAAAAGAGTTTCATTGATGAGGTCAGCTTAAAATAAACAAGACTTGATCATCTGAAAAAGAAGTGAAAAGAGAAGATGGATGTTGAACCAGAGAACGGATTGGAGAGGAGAGAAACTAGGGAAGCTCACTCAAGTTGTCTCGTTTGGGGTTTATTAGTTGTTTTTATTTGTTTATTTCAAAGAAGGTAAATTTGCCTCCCAAGTAGGATAGAACTCCTCAAGAGGAGAATGGTGAGGTCTTGGAAATCACTACAGGATGTGTGCTGCAATTCCACGGGGGTAATTTAGATGATTACTGAGAACAAGGGAAGGGCTGGGTGAATTTTAAGACATCATCACCCTGTGTGCCTGCTCTCCTCCCTGAGCTTGGGCAGGCTCAGCTCCCAACCAATGAGAATAGGGTGCATTATTAATTATTCCATTTAAATTACAATAGAGGAAACAGTATTTGCTGATGCTGATTTTAGATATTTGCTCGGCCATTTCTTTTTCACTCATCCATTAAAAATGAGGTCAGAGAACATCACTTGCAAATGAGGTTAACTCACTTTAACCTATAGACAGAACAAGGAAGCTTCAAACCAATATTTATTATCATCACCCACACACTGCTACAAGCAAGAGGCTCAGTCAGGCTCACAGCCCATCTAAGTTGGGGAGGTAAGGAATGAAGTTTGTTAATAAGTAGCCTTATCTCTATGATAATATTCTTCTGTGACACCTCTAAAAAGTTCATGAAGCCCTCAGTCAGCCACTGTTCAGATCCAGTAAAGAGATGCTTTTATATGGGGGTTCAGTAAACACTGATTGAATGAGTGTGAGCACTTAACCAGAATTTGGTGAATGACTGCTGAGTTTTAGAAGTGCTGAAGAAAATTAGTGTTGAGGAAAGCAGAAATAAAGTATTGTCTGTGCCTTGGAACAGCCTGATGTCATGGTGAAATGGGAGAGTTCCCTGACCCTGCTCTCAGGATGTGCAGCAGGGCTGTGGCTGCTGTGTGCACACAAACCCCTTACAGGAGGGGGAGCATGCAGACAGGCAGGTGCAGGAGCTGGAGCAAGCACCTTGGGGCTCTGGCCCCACAGTAGCATCTAGGAGTGGGTGCCTGAGATTCCCAGAGCCCAAGTGGGCATGTGTTACAGTACTTTCTTTTAGCTTTGCTATCTGCAGATGGCTTAAGTGTTAACCAGCTCAGTGCCCTCTTGGTACCCAGGTCCTTGTCCAGTGTCCAGGAAGAATCAGATCTTACACAGACTTGAGGATGGTGAATGTGGGAGTTTTATTGAGTGGTGGAGGTTGCTCTCAGTGGGATGGATGAGGAGCTGGGAAGGGGATGGAGCAGGAAGATGACCTTCCCCTGGAGCTTAACTGTCCAGAGGCTGATCTCCTCTCCCCAGCCAAATTCCTCTTGGTGTTCAGATGCTCCTTCTGTTCTCTCCGCCACACCATTCTGCCATTCTTCTGCCTTTCTGTTTGTCTCCTCATGGAGCTGGGGGTTTTGGGTTTATATGGGTACAGGTTAGGGGGGCATGGCAGGCCAAAAGGCAACTTTGGGGCCCAGAAACAGGAATGCCTGTTCCCATTTAGGGCCAGGGTTCTCCAGGCTTGAAGGTGGGGCCTTTGCCAGGGAACTGCCTTCTTCCACCCAGTATTCCCTTGTCTCCTGTCTGTATCAATGGAAGACACAGTAATAAACAAAAATATGTGTAAAACGCCATGTGCTTCTTAAAGGGAAGAGCAGACAGTTAGTTTTGAGGGGAGATATGAAGAAAGACCAGAAGTTTTACAATGGAGTAGGAATAGTAAGAACAGCCTTAGCCATGGCAAGGGGGCTGAGCGGAGTGTTTGAGGAACATACGCTTTTATTTTCTTGGCGGTGGAATGAAAAAATCAACCTCTCTTGATCATGGGTGATTCATCTAGAATAGCACTGGGAATCTTTCATATGTTATTTCACTTAATAAGCACAACAATCCCACAAATTCATTTTGAAGATATGGAGGCTCTAAGATATTCTATAATTTATAAGAAATCAGTACAGCCAAGAATCAGAGCAGAAGCTGTTACTAGCTTCAAGACCTTATGCAAATTTCATACCTTTCTGTCCTTCCATTTCTTTATTTGATAATGGAGAAAATAATATTGACCTCAAAGTGTTGCTGTAACATTAGCTGTTTTGTGAAGTGTCTTGTCCCTTACCTGATGTCATGCCCATGCTTGGAGAATAGTAGCTATCATTCTTCTGTGTCTTATTATTACCATTGCTAACAACTTGTCTGGGGCCATACAGTAAGGGTCAGAGCTGGGCTTTGGAACAAACTTTCTTTAGACTCTAAAAGCCCTGCCTGTCCAAATTCCATGCTTGGTCCAGCTCTGACATGTTAAAAGAGTAAAGGGCCCTATGCATGAGGTTACAGACCTCAACCCCAGGCAGGTGGCAGCATGATTTACTAGAAAGAGCATGAATTTTGAAATATGACAGACCTAGACTTGAGTTCCCATTTCATCACTTACAAATTGTGTAACTTTGGGCAAGTTATCGAGCCTATCCAGTCCTTCTCATGTCTGTAAAATGGCAAACAGCCTTGCAGAGTTGGGGTAAGGACCCAGGAGGTCACATCTATGCAGAAACTGGCTCTGCAAGCAATAGGTTCTTCTTGCCTTTGGCAGGTTCATACAGAAACTTCTGCTCTGGCTTCTGAGCTCCCCCTACAAAGAGCAGCCTATAATTTGAGGAAAGCGGCAGCCCAGTTAGTGAGATATGACGCTACACTGTTAGGAGGGCAGTTCCATTTTTATGCCTGTAGAATTCTTAGTGTAAACATCTCAAAATAGTTGACAAAACAAAGGTGAACGTCCTTTATCACAGCTTATCCCTATTGTTAGTATCATTCTAAGACTCCAAAGAGTAGGGCAGTTTCTAGGTAATTTGACTTCCCTGAATATTATGATAGTGAGATCATTTTTAGAAGGGTGATTAGGATTTCAACTGCATGTTAGGGTCTGTAAATGACATTCCAGCCAGATGGACATTGGTAATGCCTAAAAGTGGCTCTTCCGGGGACTCTAAAGTCAGTCAGTCACTCTGGTGTCCTTTAGCCTGACTTCAACTCCAGACAGGCTGCATATGTACTGATCTCTAGGTAACAGAAGTTGAGTGTGATTTGGCACTCTTCATCCATTGAACAATTAATGTGTATGCATGTCATCAATACCAAGGAAGCATATTGGAAACGAGGCAAGGCTTTTGCTCAATAAAAAGAAATGAAAGAGCTCCTATTATATTTTTCAGAATGCACCTAAATGTTTTAAGGGAATGTCAAAAAGAGTCATATATTGCTCAGGGTCTGAGATAATTTGAAAGTATTTAATCTTTCTCCCTTGTCAATAGAAAATTGCCATACGTATCATCTTAAACCCTTTGATAAATTGTTGTGTTCAAAAACCAAAACTGAGTTTTTGGTTTTTATTCTTAGACAAAAAATAATACAATATAAGGTTTATAAAAATATTCTTTTTTTTTTTTGAGACAGAATCTCGCTCTGTCACTCAGGCTGGGGTGCAGGAGCACAATCTCAGCTCACTGCAACTTCTGCCTCCCAGGTTCGAGTGGTTCTCATGCCTCAGCCTCCAGATTAGCTGGGTTTACAGGTGCATGCCACCACACATGGCTAATTTTTGTAGTTTTTGTAGATGTGGAGATTCACCATGTTGGCCAGGCTGGTCTCAAACTCCTGACCTCAAGTGATCTGCCCGCCTCGGCCTCCCAAGGTGCTGGGATTACAGGTGTAAGCCACTGTGCCTGGCCCTAAAAATATTCTTTATAGGAAATATACATAGTAACATGCATACTGTTTTGAGAAAGAAATTTCAGAAATAAGACAATACCATGACAATCCTAGAAATATTGATCATTTATGGGGTAGATTATTTCAGGCCTCTGGTATTGTTGATATAATGAGATATTTGTAACAAGCACACATTAACTTGTATCCTTACTTTTAAAAAAATCAACATAGAAACCACGAGGGCTACAATAATTTAGATCCCTTTAAAAGCAATGAAAAGAAATGTGCTCTTATTCTTCTTGTATTGGTATGATACAAATGCCCCATATAATGACCTGGATAATGTTTACCTATGCATCTGCCTATAAATAATTTTAATAAATTTCTAAAGGCTGAGCCCTCAACCAATGGAAGGCAAGTTGTAATGTTGGCTCCACACTGACAGCTCATCAGAACAGGCCAAGCTCTGTTTTCTGCTTGGATGTCATCATTCTGTGACTATGAAAGCATAAAACTAGAGACTGTTCCAGCAGGTCATTGTCGCTACAACTTGCTCAAACAGAAATAAAACAGCTTTTCATGCTTATTGATCTTGGACTTTTTGCCATTTTTATGCTCTGTTGACCTGAAGCTCAGTAAGGATGTATTTTGTAAAAGGAGCTGAAAGTTTTCTTTCTCAATAGATGAGACATTTCACATTTTGGCTGCATACAAAAACAATTTCATTTTTTTTTCTTCCAAATGCATTCTGTCTGTGACTTTAAAAGAATAGTTGATCTTTAAGTAACACATGTGATATTAGTTTTTCCATTTTAAAATAATCACATTATTGCAGACATTTTAATAGCTGTAGAGGTTGCTATGTATTAACATGATTCATGGTCCTTGACAGCACTGTCTCTGAAAATCCCCCAGGAATGCAAAATACAAAACTCCACACCCGTTCAAATTTTACTGCCTGCAGCTAAAAGAAGGGAAAGAACTTAAAACTGTTGAAACCCTTCAACTTTAAAAGCATTAATAGATGGTCCCAGGGGATTAAATCTAAATCTTAATGTGTAAAAATCAAGTTAATAACCAGAGACATTAATATGGCTGCATTTGATTATTGTGATAATGCAAACAATTAGTACTGCTAAAGTGAGATGTATTAGCTTCCTACTTGCCCCTCACATCAGTAAGGCACTGGAAACAAATGGAAATAAAACATTTTACTATGAGGTTTTTTGTTTCCACCTTTGTCTTTCCTTCCCTGTAGCTGACTCATTTTTGAAATTTTATTTCAGACTAGAATCATCTTTTCATTTTGCAACTACAATTTCTACAACACGGGTGGCAAATGATCAAGGATCATCAGTTCAGCAATGTCACAAAAATTATTCATACAACCTTCCTTAGTATCAGCATCTTTCTAAATCTTCATGATAAATGAAAACAGAAGGGAAAGATTGAGAAAGGGTAGGGAACAAAGGAAAGGTAAAGGAACCACATGAAATAGACACCATTGAATTTTAAGTCCTTAAGGTTTTTTAGGAGGTGACAATCGGCACCTTTACAGTTGTTTTAACTCCACATAGCCTGAAGCGTTGGACAATGTTCAATATGCATTTTCTTGATGGTGGCTTCTGAAGAAAGGCGGATAACCATGGCAAACCTGCCTCTGAGTACAATATGTCCCCTTATTAGGCACATTCCTACATTTTCCTTAATCTAGTACCAGATGAAAAAGTGGGCTTCCGGTTGGTGGGCAGTGGGAAAGAAATCCCTGTAAACAAAGAAGTCGGCTAGCAAGCAATAAGTCTGGCATTGTGAATAAATGAGTCAGATACTCTGCCAACAATTAACTGATGTTAAAAGACATCTGCCCTTCATATTGAAGTTGACAGGAAAGAAATATAAGCCTTATATTAAAAAGCCATTTAGATCTAAACTTCATGAAGCCTCAGCAATCTAAGAAGTCCGTCTGAAACAGAACCAATATTCTTTTGGGGTGGGGGTGGCCGGGTATCTTTTAGATCCTCAGAATTTTAAAACGATTTGATTTTGCTATTGAAGGAGAAAGGTGAAATTAAGGTAAAATGAGTGAAGAGCTAGTAAGATGCATTTCGAAGCAAATGAAAACAAAGGAAGCTTAGAGAATGGACATTTTAGTGATTTATTTTGGGGGGGGGTACTTAGACGTGTTCTGGCCTATGTCACTTGAAACCTTTTAGTTTGCTTCTCAGTTCAGATCTGTGTTGTGCATCAAATCGGTGTCCCATTCGTTATTTTTGTTCAAGCAGTGTCTGCAGGGAATTCCAGGGGACCATTTTAATAAACAGCAGCAACAATGGAATATTTGTTCACTTTTCTTCAGCAAAGAATCTGAGAAAAGTGTGTTAGAGGTAGGGAGTGGGTAGCTGTCAGTAGCTGCAGCTCCCTGAGCCTGACAGCCTCGTGACAGTTACTAATATCAGCAGATTTAATGTGTTTAGTCTAGTTGTAAGGTTTGTGATGTGTTTTTGATTTCCTGCTTCAGAAATGCGTTTTGGCTAGAAAACAGTGAGCCATACAATTCTTTTTCTTACCATACCCCAGTCAGGAAATTGTTACCTTTGTACCCAATTTATGTTACATAATAAGTTACTTACATGCACACTAAGATTCTTACTTCTTGGCCATTCAATCAACGTGTGAACATGAGCGAAAAGGTAATGAGTCCTGCGGTACCTGAGTTTAGCCGAAGCCCCGTGCCAACATCTAGGCTGTGTCAGGATTCACAAAGTGCATTTTAGTTTTCTTTCTCACTGATGCTTCAGCTTATCTTTATTCTCCAGGGACTGCGAAATTGCCTCACTGTCTTTTAAAATCGTTGCTCTCTTTTGCTTTAGAACCAATCTGGAAAAGCATATACAAATCACCTGCAAAACTTGGACGGAGCATTTTTCATGTTTTGCTATATAGCAGTGAGTGGTTTATGAATCTTTCTTTCCCTTGAAACTCTTAAAAATATTTTTTTTTCCCTTTTCTTAGTACTGATTTAGGCATCAAAGGTTGGGGGGAACCTCACAGTGGGTTCCTGTACCCTTCAGAGCTTTTAGTCTTACTGGTTTATTCTCCTGTTTCATGCATTGTAATTAGCCAAATCTCATTTTTAACATGGTGTTTTACTTGGTGGTCCATTATGACAGGAAAGCTTGGGGTTCAAAATTAGTTTGTAGTTTACAAATCAGATTTGTTTTAACTAAATGTTGTTTAAACAACCGTACATTGTTAATTATTCTTAATTCAGTGTAGAAAAAAAGACATTGAAGAGAGAGATATTTAAAAATAATTTAGCTAGGACATATCTGTATTTCATTTTGGGAGTTTCAAAAAATAAATTTCATTTTAGTCTCACAAGTTCTTTATTAATATACCTATGTCCTCTTTTTATAAATCAGTATATAAATAACAGAAATTGTGGAAAATATGTTGAAAGAACAGTCAATACACACTAAGTAAAAAGCTTCCCTGCTCCATTCAGGAACACCCTCTTGATATAGTTAACAACAACAACAACAATCTATACAGATATAGAAGAACTACATATTTTTAAAGCAAAGAACAAATAGCTTTTTAAAAATTAAAATATAAGAAAATCTTATATAAAGCTTGGGGCAATCAGAAGGAAAAAAAAAACCTGACAAAATCACTGCAATTTTGAGACAACTGCTATCCTTTTTTGTGTATTTCCTTTGTCTATGGGAAACAGCATTAGATTTTTCAAGTTAAAAAAATACTTTATATTTTATGATTTCAGAGCTCAAAAACAAGAGATCTTGTTTCTTTAAAACAGGTCTTAAAATCAAGCACGCCTGAAGGGGAACTGGGAGACTCCAGGGCTGCCTCCCAGGTCAGTGGGCAGCCGGGATGCACCCATCTTTCCCGGCGCAGGAGGATTTCCTGCTGTTTTTTCAGGAGTGACCTAGAAGGAGGTTAATGATTCCAAAGAAGGACTTTTCCCTCAGGGAAAATTTAATCTGGTGACCTTTTTCTCTATCTGTCCATTTCTTTTAAGTCATAGACTCCCTTCATTTAACTTACATCAAGCTGTTTTATTTTCTTCAAAAACACGGTTAAAGTGACTGCTTTGCTTTCATTTAACCCTTGCACTGGATACATTTCAAAAATGAAATCTCTGTACAGATTTCTGTACTGAACTGGGTTTACAGTTCTCCTTTCAAATCCTTATATTTCTTTCTCCCTCCAAAAAAAGAGAAAAGATTGTCAATTCTTATTAACACTCCGAAATCAAGTGCTATTTGCCTAACTCCTACAATTGTCGTTCTCAGTGGTCGCACACAGACACAAGGTGTTCAGAATAAAGCAATACTTGGTAAATGGATACATTCTTTTAAAATATTATTTGAGGGTGTTTTATTGGTGAATGTTGGGTTTACTAGTGCACTCAGTGTTAAGATTGTTGAAGGAAATTTTATTAAGAAATATGGTGGATCATGAGGTCAGGAGATTGAGACCCTCCTGGCTAACATGGTGAAACCCTGTCTCTACTAAAAATACAAAAAATTAGCCAGGCGTGGTGGTGGGCGCCAGCTACTCGGGAGGCTGAGGCAGGAGAATGGCTTGAACCCGGGAGGTGGAGCTTGCAGTGAGCTGAGATCATGCCATTGCACTCCAGCCTGGGTGACAGAGCAAGACTCGGTCTCAAAAAAAAAAAGAAAAAAAAGAAAAAAAGAAATATGTAAATGATGACAAAGGTCTCTGCAGAGAGACTTTAAGATTATAAGAAAATATCAGCTTTATCCAGCCAGTTTCATTTTTTTTCTACCTGAATTAGGCAGACATTAGTGGATCAAATTAAGTGTAAGAATATAGTAAAATAAAGCTATAATTATTTTATTACTCTCATGGGTTCATGCTCTTGGTGCAATGAGTTCTTGAGGGTAAAGTAAAAACAGAAACTGCCTTGTGCTCAAAGTTGTCAGTTTTTTAAAAACAACTTTTTATTCTGTAGCAGAGCCAGGACATTTTCAGCATGATCATATTACTCTGTTTACTGCCAATATAAATTGAAAAGAATATTTCTTAATTTCCAGCTTTATAGTGTTCCATTTCAAAACATGGTCAATCCAGAATATTGTGATGTCTACTAATGTATAAAATGGTCCATGCATAGATTATCTAATATTTAATATGCTATACTGCATATTAAATCAAGAATTCTGTTTTTCTTCCCTTGGGGCAAAAGCCATTCCGAGACAGATGACGGTAGAACAAACAACGAAAGAAAGCTCCAGTTGATCAGCTAGTCAATTTCCATAGGCTCAATCCATCAATAAGCATGAATTGAGAATCTACTGTGTTCTTACTGCTCTGCATAAATGATAGTTAGGACCAGTCTTTGTTCTCAGGTTATCATGAAACTGAAAATCATTATTATGCATGGGACAACTAAAGACCAGTTATATGTGAATTGTTGTAGCAGTGACTACAACAGAATGAAAAAACTACAGTAGCATATAAAGAATTTCATCTTACAAAGTGATTTTATATACACAACTATAATTCTGCAAGTCATTTGGTGCTTCAGTTTCTTTAGGCTAAGCATACTCATCCATACCTCACAGGGTTGTTGGAGAAATCAGATAATATGGAAATATTACATGCCAGGCATTGTCCCAAGCTTTACAGGTAAGAAAATTGAAGCCCAGAGAAGTGATACAATTTGCCTAGGGCACAACAGGCAATTAAGGGGCAAAGCTCAGATTTTTAAATCTTCTTCTGTTAGTATCCAATATGGTAGGGGTCCCCAACCCCTAGGCCACAGATCAGTACTGGTACTGTTAGAAACCAGGCCACACAAAAGGAGGTGAGTGGTGGGTAAAGGAGTGAAGCTTCATCTGTATTTAAAGCCACTCCCCATTGCTCACCTTACTGTCTGAGCTCTGCCTCCTGTCAAATCAGCAGCGGCATTAGATTCTTATAGAAGCACTAAGCCTATTGTGAACTGTCTATATAAGGGATCTAGGTTGCCAGCTCCTTATGAGAATCTAATGCCTGATGATCTGTCACTGTCTCTCATCACCCCCAGATGGGACTATCTAGTTCCAGGAAAACAAGCTCAGGGCTCCCATTGATTCTACATTATGGTGAGTTGTATAATTATTTCATTATATATTACCATGCAATAATAATAGAAATAAAGTGAACAATAAATGTCATGCACTTGAATAATCCCAAAACTATTCCCCCCACCCCAGTCTGGAAAAGTTGTCTTCTACAAAACTGGTCCTTGGTGCCAAAATGGTTGGGGACTGCTGCAATCTAGAACATTGCTCATATCAGCAAGTCCAAAACCAAACCAAGCTCACTGCCTCCTCAACACCTGTTCTGCCTCTGCTAGACTGTAACTCAGTTGATGATATTTCCATTTGCTGTTCCACCCAAGCCAGGGATCTGGGAGTCATCATTCCTTCCTTCGTCTCCCACCCAACCACCCCCCAAGGTTAAGTTCAACCCCTAGATTTCCCCTGAGTGACCTACAACTGTATGGCCACTGACAAGTCCCATAATTAGAGCCCTGGCCCTCCAGGGCCTGGCTCACTTTAATAGTCCCCTGACTAGTCTAGACTCTGCCTTTCTCTTTCCCCCTTCTCTACATCCTACCATAGGGATCTTTCCAAAGCACAAATCTGATCCTATTATCTCCCTGCTTCCATCCTTCAGGGGCTCCTGTTCCTGCTCCTGTCCTGCCTCCCAGTACAGCCTTACCTCCTGCACTTCCATTCACCCTTCTCACTCTGCAGTTCCAGACTACTTGTAAGTCTATGCCTGTTCACATCTTCATCCTTTGTATATTGTACCCCCTGTATTTGGAATATCATGTCTTCTATATTATCTGGAAAGCAAAACTTTTGGCCATCGTTTAAACCCAGGTTCTTTCTTAGGAAGGAAGTCCCTGCTTCTCTATATCCAAATGGTGTTAGTTGCCCTATTCTACACACTCCTGAAGGATCAAGAAGCTGCATCTCTTTGTACTTATCATACTATTGGGAAACTACTTATTTACATGCCTATCTACCCTAATTGAGGGACATGATTTTTATTTCCTTGTGACTTTATACAGTGCCTGACACATAATAAGCTCTCTATGAATTCTGTGTTGAATTCCAGGGAGTGAGTGGGCATCAGAGCTGGATGCTGCAGGGTAGCCAAGGAGGGAGAGAAGACGGAGAAAAACTGATGATTCAGGAAAGATGGGTGGCATTGGGAACCTCGCAGGAGCAGAGTCCCAGAGAGGTAGGCATGGGCATGCAACAGGAATGGATCATCAGGATTCTGGGATTTAGACTCAAGGTCATGTGCATATGAATTTTAAAATACTGAATTATATTTTGAATGATGAAGTCTTCTTTTTCTCTATCCTTGGCCATTGGAACTCTTCCTTAGAAGATATACATTTTAGTTTATAATCTAGGAGTATAACTTTCAAAGGTTTATTTGTAAAAAGTAACAATTGCTTAAAAGTTTTTTTGTACTGTAACACTGCAGATTCAATTTCAAAGTGTGTCCCTAATTTTAGTGTTCCAAAGTTGAATAAGCAAAACTCTTCTTTATCTCTCTCTCTCCTTCCCAATCTCTCTGTGTGTATGTGTCTATATATATTTTACATTATCTTTTACAATTTTAAACAATGTTATCATGTGACTAGTTGCTCACCATTCAGATCTTTCTAGGCCAAAGAAAACTATCCTAACCCTTTACAGAAGCAGTGGGCCAACCCTTGTGGCTGTACAGATTGGTCTGCACAAGGGAGCCGGCTGAGGAGGTGAGTGTTGGCTCAAATCCAGCTGGCATGCTCCTCCCCAGGTGAGGGGGTGTGGGGTTATGTCCACCAGGGAGGACACCTCCATGTAATTCACACTATGGCACTGCCTGGGCTAACACTGCCCTGCAGAAATCCTTCTATCATTATTTTATTTTATTTGCCTTTTCCCTGACCTGTTCCTGCTCTGTTAGGTTTTTATTAAAGTGGAACAACCAGAATTGCAGCAATATTTCAGCAGGAGATGCCCAATGACTTTATAAAAGGGTTTGCTGGTATTTTCTAGTATTTTGTTCACTTCTCGGATAAAGCTGCACAAAACATACTCGTGTCTGTGGAACAGCACATAGGAACCTCTTTGGTGGTGTGCTGGCACCAGCTTGGACCAGCTCCTGGAGCCACTTCTACTCATCTCTTTCCAACTCAGCATTCTGTGACATTACACATCGATAGTTTGAAAATGGAAATGATGGGAGTATTTCCACCACAGAAATTGTCAACCGTCACAAATCAAGGCTTTTCCCCACAACCCCAAGAGAGCAGATGTGCCAGCATACTACATACCTTTTCTAGATGCTAATGACTTTCTAGAACCAATAATCTTTCATGTAAAATAAATGTTTGAACCACTGTTTCTACAGAAGACACATTGCCTTACAACTCTGACATTGAAATCTATATGCCACTCATTGGGGCCAACTTTTGTGGTCTCAGCGATCTTCAGTGGATCAGGACTTCCCCCTTGCTATCATGAGGCTTAGAGATATCACTGTGTACTTTCTTATACACATCATTCACAAAATTCCCAAATGTGCCTTCTCCTCACATGAATTTATTGATCTCAATTGGAGTCCCCAGAAAAATGCTTGTTTGTTTCTTTAGCATACATTCATTTCTCTGTGTGGGGCATCTGTGTGTTATGTTATGTATGTTCTAGCTAAACCTTGAAAAAATATTTTATTTAATCCTATGGGAACTCAATTTGTAATCATATCTTTTATATGAGACTCTTCTAAAAGACATGGTGGATTGGAGCATTGGCCTTAATTTTTCGTTCATGCTGTATATACATCCTTTGCCATGTCACCCCACCTCAAGGCAGTGTGCTTTCCTTTCCCTTGACTTTGGACTCACCCATGTGACTTGCTTCAGCAAATGAGATGTTAGCATTTATGACATAAGCAGGGGCTTAAAATAGGCTTCATCGTTGGGCTTGTCTTCTTGTGCCTCTGCCATAGCTATAAAGAGAAAGTGCCCCTGTTAATTTGCTGGTGTAAGGAGGATGAGAGACATATGGCACAGGTCCGGACCCAGCCTGCCCCTTGGAGTCAAGCCCAGATTAGATTCACTGAACCCAAGCTGACATAGAGCTATTCGAGCAAGAATAAATTATTGCCATTTGAAAGCTCTGGATTTGAAGGTAGCTTGTTATGCAGCATTATTGTGGTAATAGTTGACTGATATATCATGTGATTTGCATGAACGTCATGAATTTTGCAGAAACCTCCTTTTTTTTTCTTTGAACTGAGTTTATTTTAAACAAAAACAAAAACATTTCTGGTCAGTCAAAAAACAGTTATTGAATACCTACTATGTACAAGTTGCTATTCCAGAAGCTGGAGATTCAAGGGCAATCAAGAAGGAGAAGTTCTTGCTTTCAGGGAGCTGATATTCTATAGCTGTGCTATCTAATAATGTAGCTACTAGCCATATGTAGATATTTAAATTAAATAAAATTTAAAACTAAATACATAATAAGAGAAATATTTAAATAATTATTAAATAATCAACTAAATAATCAATTAAATATTAAATAATCAACTCAATTACATTTTAAAATGTAGTACCTCAGTCTCACTAGTCACATTTCAAATGCTCAATAGCCACCTGTAGCTAGTGGCCACTACACTGTGCATGATAGAGACCATTTCCATTATTGCAGATAGTTCCACTGGACAGTGTTATTCTAGAGGGAGAATACAACAAAAAATAAATAAACGGACAAAGTAATTTCAGCTAATGATAAGTACCACGAGGAAAACAGAACAGAAGTGATGTGTTATGGAGTAAGTAGAGAGGGTGCTGGATGCTGGGAAGAAGCAGCCAGGCAAAGCTCTGGGGGTTGCTCCTTTTGGGCAGAGAGCACTGTAAGTGCAAAGGCCCTGGAGTGAGAAGTAGCTTGGTATGTTTAAGGAATGGAAAGGTCAGTGTAGCACGAGCTGAGTGAGGCAGGAGAGGCGAATTGAAGGGCAGGAAGTCAGATAGGTGCAGGGGCCATATCTTGCAGGGTCATACGTGCTGTGGTCAGGGGCCTAGGTTTCGGTCTAAATGCAATGGAAAAGCAATGGAGGATTTTAGACAAGGAGTGACATGATCCGATTGGTATTTTTTAAAAGACTGCTCTAACCACCTGAAGCTGATCTCGTAAATGTCAAGTTCTAGATACTGAGATAGAAATGGATAAATGTGTCTCTAGAGAGATGAAGAAATAAATCTAAGAATGTTATTATGATAAAGGAATCTATGTACACATTTTAAGTTGTGTATTCATTACTGCCATATTTATATGCTACCCCCAAATCATTTTTAAAAACGAAAACTTTGTGTGGGTCCTTCTAAAAACAGGAATATAACTTCTGTCTAAGAAGGAATCACAGGGCTGAAGTGAAGGGAGCATCTGGAGCTGTCTTACAAGGGATCCTTTCTCTCCTGCCCTCTGTAGGGCTTGGCAGAGGCACAAAAGGGTGGTCAGGGCACCAGCATGGGGAGGCATGGTGGATCATGACGAGCTCAGCCCAGGCAGGGCAGGAGGATCATTCTGGAGGGGCCTGAGAAGGTTCTAAATAGCAAGTGGGGAAAAAAAATCAGGAAGCAAATCATAAACCACCACAAAAAGAGAGGAATAAAGTCATAGGTGTGGGATGACCTAGGATAAGAGAAATAACTACCTGAAAAAACAAAGGCAAGAAAGGGCAACTTTGGGTATGTATCAATTCTCTAAGTCTGCAGAGGTGCTAAAGTCAACAATAAAAAAAGTTAGCAAAAATGTATCTCATATTGTTTCTAATATGAGGAAGACCAAATGATTTATCAACAATATGGAAACACCTGCAATGGCCCTTGTTACAATTATGTTATACATCTTTTTATAAAACAATTAAGGATGATTCTTCTGTGAACTAACTGTGACTTGGAGCAAATCCCTTAGCATCAGAGACTTTGTTTCCGTATCAGTAAACAAGAAGCATAAAGTCAGTTCTCATGCCCCTTAGATCTCTCTCGGCTTTAAAGTGAATAGACTGTATGATTCAAGATAGATTATTAAAATTCCAGAAAGTCTAGATATGTGTGTGTGTGTGTGTGTGTGTGTGTGTGTGTGTGTGTGTGTAGTTTAGAAGCGGGCCACTTTTCCAAAAGTTTGTTTTGAAATAACTACATGTAAGAGAAGAAAAAGAAAGAAAAAAATTGTTAACTGAGCTGGTTTTTTTTTTTGTTTTTTGTTTTTTGTTTGAGACAGTCTCACTCTGTTGCCCAAGCTGGAATGCAATGGGACCATCTTGGCTCACTGCAACCTCCATCTACTGGGTTCAAGCAATTCTCCTGCCTCAGCCTCCCCAGTAGCTGGGATTACAGACATGTGCCACCATGCCCGGATAGTTTTTGTATTTTTTAGTAGAGATGGGGTTTTGCCATGTTGGCCAGGCTGGTCTCAAACGCCCAGCCTCAAGTGATCTGCCTGCCTCTGCCTCCCAGAGTGCTGGGATTACAGACGTGAGCCACCGCACCCAGCCTGTGACTGAGCTTTGTGCTAATTGAGTCAAAGGCAATATTTATTTGGAAACAGTAGCTGGACATAAATCTGTATGACAGAGGAGATATTGTATCCTTACGTGTGCTGAGAAACATTACAAATGTGAGAAAGAGAAGGATGAAGCAACCTATTTGCCTGGAAACATGGAGCCTGAAATAGCTTTCCCCATTTCTGTTTGGCAAGACTCTACCCATCCTTCAAGACCCAGGTTGAATGCCACCTCTTCTGTGAAGCCCACTTCAGCCTTCTTATGCACAGTCTCTCCATTTGTCGTGCTCTCAAATATTTTGGTAATCCCATCGGGATGGTGCATATCTCATTTTATTACAGTTTTTATAGCCATTTTCCTTCTTTGCCAAGCCCTGCGCTCCTGAGGGCAGAATTCTGATGTATTCTTTTGCCCGCCCCCCTTATCCCATCATGCAGTTCCAGTCACAAAATAAATATGTAAGTGTGTGTTGATTTAATGATGTATGGTTAAAAACTATAGTTGACATGAAGAAAATTAAGTAGAAAAAGAAAAAGGAAAAAAACTGTCTTAGTTCTTCAGTTAAGATAGAGATGAACTAAGATATGAAGTACAATATGAGAAGATGCAGAGAAAGAACTATGGAGTGACTGAGCAGGAAGAAAAAACGAGGCCAAAACAAAGAGAAGGTGAAAAAAGAAAAACAAAGAAATCCAGCCACTTGACAGATAAAGACATCAGGAACACAAGCAAAGATGAGGGTAGAGGAGGGAGCTGAAGACAAATCCAGAGAAACGAGCACAGGGGATCATTTAGTGCAACCTTCTCTCCCAAGCACAAGGTTGGAGAGATCTGAGAAAAAAGAGAGAAGTGAGGCCCATAAAAATGTCAAGTGATAATATAAAGAAAAAAGACAGAATATGAGGATTAGTCTTAGTGGGTGAGTTTTTGTTGGGGCTGAAAATAAATAATTTAAGAATATAGGTAAGTGAAGAGAAGATTAATATTTATAAAAATTAGTTCCACCAGGATAGAGATACCATATGAAACCTTACAGGGAAAAAAAGCTCAAATTGTTTTGGAGAAATGTGGCAGAAAGGTACATCCCATTAATTGACTTTACAATGGGCACTGGGTCCAGCACTGGGTGCTTGGCAAATTTATTTCTTCAGACTAAAAAAGTTAATTTCTTTCTTTTCATACCTGAGAAATCACATAAACATGCTCTTTTACTTCTTCACACATCTGACTAGAAAATAGACTATAATAGATGGCAAGTGGGTGGCAAGAAGGGAATAGTAGTTAATATTTATGCACGGACCATTATTTTAGAGAGTTTGTGCTAAAAAGGGAATCCATTTGGTGAGAAAGTTTAAAAAGAAAAAAAAAACAAAATTACCTAGAAGAGAATACTAAAGCTTCTAAGAGCTGCTTCTCTAATGGGTGAGTTTCTTACTGAGTTCTGGAATAATTTATTTACTGTTTGATGGTGTGAGCACTTGCCAGCCCCTGATCCCTTTCTGTTCTGGGGAAAACACCACCATGGGTGATTTTGGAAAAGGACAGGGGCTCTCCTTTATTTATCAAGGGTGAGTAGATGGTCCTTTTTTCTGCACTCTAGCAGGTAGGCACTAGTATGTGACCTCAGCTCAGCCAACAGGTGCCCCACTCAGAACTTAGGGTCTTTGGGAAATGATGGGAAGAGGCCAGAACAGCTGGAGATGATGCATGGTGGCAGCACTGGCATCTGAAGTCCAGCAGTGTCCACGCATCCTGCAGCATGATGTCCTGACCTGTGTCCCAGCAGCAGGAACTTGACTGAACTTTGATGGACTTTACCCTCTCTTGTTGCTTGTTTATTCCCTGAATTTCCTTCTTCAGCCTTCCTCAATTCTGGAAGCTACCTGTTCTCCTTTCGTTGTACTGCTTTCTTGCTTAAGTTAGCCTAAATTAGTTACCAAGAAACCCAGCTGATACACCAACTTATTGTAAGTGGTGATTAATGAAGTTTTAAATAAAGGAGAAGTCCTCATTAGGTCATTTATTCAATAAATACATTTTTAGCAAATATTATGGTTCAGGCATTATGCTAGGTCCTGGCAAAACAGAGCTCACTACTTCATTAAAACCCTGTTGCTACTTATACTGACTAATGAAAGAGTGTGATATGTAAACCACATATATAATACCACGTGTATTAGCTAGCTATTGGTGTGTAACAAATCACCACCAAAATAAGCGACATGAAATAACAAGCATTTATTATCTCATAGTTTCTGAGGGTCAGAAATCTGGGTGCAGCTTAGCTGGGCATTATAGCTGTGGGTCTCTCACAAGGCTGTGAGGAATATGTCTCATCTCAGGGCTTGGCCAGAGAAGGAGCGATTTCCTAACTCACTAGTAGTTGCTGGCATGTTTATTTGTTCACAGGTTGTGAAATTGAGAGCCTCAGTTTTTTGCTGACTGTTAGTCACATTTGTCTCATTTCCTCGTTAGGAGGGTTTCTGCTTCAGAGCAGCTCACAATGTGGCAGGTGGTAGGTAAGCAAGTGAAAAGAGCCAGAGTGGAAGATGGAGGCGGGGGTGGGTGGGGGGAGAGAGAGAGAAAGAAAGAGAGAGAGAAAGAAGACGGAAGAAGGAAGAGTTTGAGAGAGGGCAAGCAAAACGAAGTTTTGTACTCTAAACTCAGGAGTGGCATGCCATCATTTTTGCCATATTGTAATTGTCAGAAGCAATTCACTAGGTGCAGATGACACTCAGGAGTTGGGATGACACAGCAGCATGAAGACCAGAGCAGGGGTCATGGGCACCATCTTACAAGCTGCCTGCCACACCACAATAAATACACATACTTTCTCTGGGTCCTCTAGAAATATAAAGGCTGATGGTGGGGGGCTGGGTGGGGGGCTGAGTCAGGGCAGAAAGCAAAAAAAAGTGGGAGATCAAGGGTAGCTTTCAGGAAAAAGTAAAACTTGAATGAAGTCCACACAAAAAGGGTTATTGAAAGTGTTTCTGAAAAATAAACAGAGAAGGATGGGAGAAATGTGAACCCCTGAGGCCACCAGGTTACATCCTGTAAAAGCTTCTGCCAGAATTTACACTGTCAGGTTGCAGTAGTGTACATTAATAGTTGACACAACACTCAGTACTGTAATAAACAGGAGAAAGATTAAAGGTACTGAATACATTCACCAAAAGGCAGACAGGGTGGGGTTTCTAGGGAGTGCCCAGAAGGCAGCATTGCACACAACAGGCATACTCTAGTTTTAAACCTTGAAAGCATCGGGTTTAACATCCAAACGTGAGATGGAGGTTTAGAAATATGATTGGGGAAACCAGTTAATAATGAAGGCAGGTAAAATCATTAAATAAAAAGGATAAGGTGATGACAGAGGTATGCTTCTGTACTGGCAATATCAATCAATTTGGAAAACTATACAGTGAACTGAAAGCCAGTTCATGTATCTAGTCAATAAGAAAAAGGAAATAATCTCTGAGAATTCAGTTCATATGCAGTTGACGCATCAGAGGAGAAGGTAGATTGCAACTTCCAATTATAATGAATATTTGAAGACAGTCAGGGTACAGAGTCAATAGAAAATAAATGCAGAGGCAAGCTGGTAAGAAAGAAGAAAAAATGGGAAAATTAGGAAAGAAGGCCTCTTTAAAATCCTACTGCTATGTTTGGGAGAAAGGATCATGTAAGACAAAATTAAGAAGAGAGACTAGAGGAGGGCAAGGATAAAATAAAAACTTGGGAAATACAGGAGGGGGTCCCTATGGAACTGATTCTGCCTCATCAAACGTTTTTAATTCCATTTTTTATACATAAGTTATAACTGGCAACCTCTGTTGAGACTGTTTTTTTATTGCCTTATGGAAAAGCAAGGCCAACATGATTAAAAGGCAATGTATTCACCTCCCAGGGAAGGGGAGCTGGGAATGATGAACCCAAGGCTTTCTTCAGAGTGACATTTTTATGTTACAATTTTAATAAAAAATAAGGAAAAAGAGGAAGAAGAGTGGAGAAAACACTTTAAGTTTCATCTTCTTGCTTTGAATGATAGTGGGAGAGGTCAGTACCCTTTAAAAGGAATAGAAAGGTGATCCCTTAGAAAAGGGCAGGATATGAAAACAGCAAAGCAGCAACATAAAGATTACCACGTGGGAGATAACAAGGAGGGATTTGAATACCACGAACTGATAATACTATATAGATAACCTGAGCGAAAACTGCTCACATAAAGTTTCAGTGTTGCAGGGAAAATAATGTGATAGAAACGGATATATTTTGCATATATATGAAGTCTTTAGAGTTTACAGTGGGTTGATAACATCAGTCAAAAAGAACAATTGTGGGTTTTGAACCCCACTAGTCAAAAGAAATAATACTTTAAATTTTTTTAGAGGAGGGGACAAGTCACGAACAAGAGCCAAAGTTCTCTGTGATTAAAAACTCTGATAGGAACTTTTTGGTCAGAATTTTTTCTTTGGAAGATATTGACTCTATTTATTATGAATTGAGCCTACAAGAGGCCCAGTGTTGAAGGGCAAATAACAAGTGTTTATGTAGCATCAAAGGTGACACTGAGAATGATTACTCTCTTTCTGTCTCAAATCTGTATCCACTTCCTTCTTCATCCATATTTTGATCAACCTGATGAACATCTCTGAAAATTACTAAGTAGGAAATGATGATGATGATCATTGACTAAGAGGGCCTCACAGGGTTTTATGAATAAAAGGAAAAAACAGAGGTTAGAAAAACTTATATGCAAAGAAATTTATATACTGTTGAATTGGGAAATCTTATATTTAGCATGAAGCTATCCAAATTGAAAATATTGGTACTGTAGGCAGACAAGAATGAAACGTCTGTACTCAGTTCAGGCTTGGTGTAGATGGCGTTCTGTCATCAGAATTCTCTATTAATTGGTTATCTCTGCATGTCTTGATTATAGTGGTAATGAACGTTCATAAATATTAATTCAAAGATACCAAAAATTTATGAAGCACCTTCTAAATCATCAAAGACAGGTTAGATGCTGTTCAGCAACACTCCACAGATAAGTGAATTTACTGTGTTCTGATTCTTTGAAAATTATTAATCTGTGTAATCGAGAGCACACATTTCCAAACTGCAGGACAGCAAATAGTTTATTTAACTCTTAACAATTTCCAAACATGTACAAGAAAAATCCCTACACCTAAAATCCTGTTATTTATACCATGCCTCTAGTGCACAATGCATCTATTTTTCATTATAACACAAAAAGTTTATGAGTGTCTCCCCTTTTCTGAAACTCCAGCTTTATAAAAACCTGTTTTATTTTCCTAGAAATCTAAAGAAAAAAATATCCTCAAAAATTATTTGAACTCAGATTATAGGGCTTTGATTTCTTTGAAAATAAGATTCAACACAACATAATATAGATCACTTATTTTAATGAAGAGAAATTTTATAAACCTATTTATTCTGCTACCACTGTATCATGGTAAAGAGATATCTACATAATCTTTAATATTATCTTTCAAAAGAGCTGGTGCTCACAGATGGCTACATTTTTTCTCTGCTATGTACAGTCTTTAACTTTTACATTTGAATTTTATCCTTTTTATTAACTGTAATGACCACTTATTGTCAAAGGGCTTCTTTTAATTATCTCTGGATTTTAATGACCAATATTCTAATTTTTATAAACCGTAGTGTTAACCAAATATTATGGTATTTTAATAATTACATTAAACTATACCAAAGAAATCCATTTGTGCTCATTTGGACAAAAACTTAAAATTTTGGGGTTATAAACCAAATTACATGTTCTATTTTCAATGTATAAAATTAATTCAACTGTGTACACTTTCTAAAACTAAAATATTTACCAAAGGCATGATTATCTAGGGACATATAACTTATGAAAAATTGTTTATAATAATTTTTTTTAAGTGAGAGAAACATAATTTGCCTTTTTAGGAAATATAACTATTTCCTCTTTATTTCATTATTTATAAATTTTGTATTTCTGATGACAGTAATTATTTTTAGCATATGCCAGTTAAGTTCTACAAATATATACTATTAGCAATACTTAAAAAGGTAGATTCAATTTCTATCAACTGTTTTATTCCTTTATTGTCTCTTTTAAGGGTACATGTTCATTTTTTTTGTTAGTAGATCACTTATCTATATCCTTAATTCTTTAGAATTCACAAATCAGTACTATCTGGTTTTTCTAATATGCTACAATCTCTTTTCTTAAGATGATGCCTCACCTTTCAGTTACCTTTAAAAGTAGCTTGCAAATATTATTCTACTGAAAGATCCCTCTTTTCTTTTCGCAATTTCTGTGTGAAGAAAGGATATTTTCTCTCTTTTATTGTTTTAGTGGCTCAATAAGGACCTTTGCAGTGGTTATGAAAGCCTCAGTAAGAAAAGATGACAATGTGAAACCTCTAGTTTTAAACGTTTCTATACATGTTGAAATTAAATCTTTAAATTTCAATGAATTCGTGTATTATAAAATAAATGAATAATGTATAGTGTGCATTTAAAAAACTTTACCTTTTTGGATATAGTCCACCACCAAGTAGAAAAGTCCTCAACGCATCTGTATCAGAATTTTTTTTAAAGGGGTTTAATGACTCAGATTTTATGAAAGAAAAGAAGTCAAGTAAATAAGACTAAAAAAAGATTGAAAATAGAATTTGTTATTCATAATGACAAAATACATTTGCCATATTTATATATTTAATGTGGATTTTTCCATGTGACGTTCTTAAATGCTTTTGCATTCAAACATTGCTACCCATTTCATAGATTAAGAGGTAGAGTGTGGTTATGAGTATGCAGGATGGATATTAAGTAACTTACTGAGAATTAGATGGTGGACAATTAAAGGAACTGGGAACTGAGTATAGTTTTTGTGGACTAAAAATATTGCCTTTCCAAATGCATCACTAATACTTTGCACAAATGTTAATTTAAAAGTCCCTTATATGTTGTTCTAACAATAATGTGTTAATATGTATATACGTGGATGTATATACATATATAACACACACATATATTTTATATTTTAAACACACAGACACAGACACACACATTAGATTCAGATGGACTTTGATTAAACTGCCCTTTCATAGGACTTTTAATTTAACTCTTGTTAAAAATGCTCCTCCTTTAAAAGAAAGCTTCTGTGGAGTAATATGACTGATACAGTCATATTACTCAGGCAGGTAATACACTAGATTTGAACTAACTTTCAATATTAAAAAAAATCCGAAATCGGTCTTGAAAATCTTAAAATATTACATGAAATTGTTGTACAGATAAGTAGACATGTGCTAAGGATATTTATATAAAATTATGAGCAGAGTATTCTCTTTGTAATTGGTTTAGATGCCAGATTGCAACTTTGACACTATTACTTATAACTTATCAAAGACAATTTATGCTTTGCAACTGACATTTTAAAATTGGAGATTTACTTGAACTGGTACCTAATGTGTTTTCTGTAATTAATTCCTTTGAGGTCAAGTTTCATGGACACAGGTTTCCTTTAACATTAATCCCTCCTTTAGCAATATCTTTATTGTTGGAATTAACAGTTGAAAAAACGTTAATCTTTTTTTCAAGTAAGAGTCTCAGTTCCAGATATTGTTTGTTTCACCAATGCAAGACATTCTGAAAAGTGCAAAATATCTTAAAAGTAGGTGCTGTGGAGTCAATGCATGAAAAGAGCCAGAAGTTAAATCAATCATATGTTAATACGAAATGGAAAGTTTAATTATGTAGCTACTTAAGTTCTTAATAGAACTCGGTAATGAAGGGTCTGTCTCATTTTAAACTTTATACTACTATTCAGGTTATTTGTAAATAATACCTAAAATTTATAAGCTTTATATGTTTTTGCTGGTTATTCAGGAGATGTTAAATAGGTTATTTGGAGGACAGCACAATTTGTTGGATGATGATGTTCAAAAAACTGTTGAATGAAAATGAATGACGTTCTCATTGTAGCTGGTTTCCAGTTTTAAGAATGAGAATAATACATTTAAAAGTTGGGGGATAAATAACTGAATATATAGTAGTTTACTATTCCCAAAATGAATTTTGTTAAGCATGAAAAAATGTTTATCAGTTAGGCATGTTTACCTTTCTGCAGTGGCTAATTATGCTTTTTCGCATCGTCCAAAGAAAGACAAATCTTAGTTTTCCTTCTTTAGCATCTGTGTAGCCTCTATCAGGTGAATTGGACAGTTTACATTTTTGGTGTCTGTTTATATACGAAGCATGGAAAGTAATTGCGAGGCTACTCAGCAGTGTTTAATGAAATCCAAGTGCTCACCAATTCCACATAATTGATTAATTCACATGGAATACGGTGGTAAGGGATGCTGAAATCAGTGGGAGTTTTGCCTACCAGATCTGTCCCTCCAAAAGGTAGAATGGGTGATGTTTTATCTTGGACTTCAAGACCCCTTAATGAGACCTAAGAAAATATTTGTCTTGTCTTTAGTAAAATTCCTTGCACATGGTTCTTTATGCATTATTACCCCATCATCAACAACAGCATCCAAATATTCACAAAGTTGCTGCATTCTGCTCAGAGATGATGGCTTTGGCTTCATGGGTGGATGTTGGGGTTTATGTTTAGAAACATAATCAATGATCTTCCCCCCCTTGGTAACTTGGGGGGAGGAAATTAAAGTATTTAAAGATACGTTTCAAAAGCATTTTACCTATCTGTATAGGTCAATATTTGACAGATTTAGGTTAAAATAGTTTTTATGTTTGTCTTTTGGGTGGTTGGTGCTTTAACCTCCCTTAAAATGCTATGCAGTACTATCCCAAACTGAAATATCAGGCTCTTGAGCCAGATCTAAATCTCTGAGCTAAGGGTTTTATTTATCTCTTAATAGAGGAAGGCAACAGAAATACTAACATTGGGAAATGAAAGAACAATTTTAGAGTAAAGCAAAGTAGACTACTTTGAGAAAGAAACAAAAAAAATCAACCCATATAGAAAACTTTAACAAATTAGGGTACGCGTTAGTATTACGTTAGCAATTTTTCACTTTCCAATAAAACCAGGATTAGATGCCATCAATATTTTAGATAATATCACACATAACTTGGGACCACACATACATGGCACCATAGTATTCTGCACACATATGGCTACCACACGAAAGGAAAGTCTTGTAAAAACTTGGTGTTTACACATTTTTCCCTTTCTGAATGATTTCTGTGAAAATGAATGTATAAGGTTATGTATAAAATCTAGAATCCTTAATGTACCAACACAGATTCTGCAACAAAAGTTGCTTTATTTCACAGTCATGCAAAGTTAAATTTGACTACAACTATGATTTCACTTTAGGAATTACTGCAGATGGATTGAAAACTCATTTAATTATAATGAAGATATTGAAAAAAAACATACTGTATTTGCAGCTATCCACATGAGGGTCCAGGCAGTTTACAGGTTAGACTGGAAAAAATACAACTTCCTTAAAGCTTTGATGTCTTTGCATGGTGGCTTAATAGATAGCTGTACCTTAATTTTACAGAACGGAGAATTTTTAAAATCTGATTAAGAACAATAGTATTTGTACAAAATTCTGCCTGTTTTGTGTAATTAACCGTATTCTGAATCTCTTAATTTCCACCAAGACTTGTGAATCTAAGCTCTACTTGGTAGCCCTCTCAGGCATTTATAACTTGACAAGCGTGTCCAATCAATAAATAGCAACAACAATAATAATACTAAAACATCCTTTCCCTTAAGATAAGGTAAAAGAAGGAAACAGGTGATGGTTTCTTGTTTTGCGATGGGAGCAGGTGAAAAGTTAGAAAACAAAACTGCGAAAAGAAACAAAAATTCCCACCGACCTGCAGACATTTCAATTTATTTTAGAAACTATTTTCTTGTACACATATTCTTAAGTGCATATTTCCTTACCTCTTGCTTAAAGAAAAAATCAACAGAAAGCTTTATTTTCTGGACAAAGATCTATGTCAATTTGAGAATGTTAAAAAAGTGAACTCAAAGCTGTCTCTTTTGAATCACATTATGACATTCGTCAGCATCAATGACTTTCTCTAAACGAGAAAATAAAAAAAAAGTCCAAATAACTTGCCTTTATAAAGATTCCAAGTAAGAGAGACTTGGCAGGTCTGCGGTTGCCATAAAAAAGATTTCCCGAGTCCGGGCAACAACAGCAGACACACTTTTTTAAAGTCCGACAATGCAAAAGCCAAGCAATGAATTTCCCCCCTCCTTTCTTTTTCTTTTTCTTTTTCTTTTTTTTTTTTTTTTTTTTTGCCCCCTCAAGAACAAATTGTTGCCTCCTTTTACATCCATCCTACCAGAAGGGGGACCTTTCCACTTTCAGATGCTCCTCTGCTTTAATTTCTGAAGAGGAAAAAAAGCGAGCAGAAGAGCCCCGAGATCCGCCGTGGAGCTCTAATAACGCAGCTGCGGCGGCGGCGACGGCGGCGGCGCGGGGTGTGCGAGCGGCCGGGCGGGCGGCGCGAGGGGCGGCGGCGCAGGAGCGGGCGGGGCGCGCGGCGCGTGGGAGGCGGCGGCGGCGGCGGCGGCGGCGGGCGGGGCTCGGGGCGCTCGGCCGCCGCCTGGCTCCGGATCCGCGCGCCGCGGCCGGCGCCTCCAGTCCGGGTCTTGGCGGGCCCCCTCCTCCCTCCCGCTCCCCGCGCTCTCGCCTTTTAATCATGCCCCTCTGTCTGTGTGTGAGTGCAGGCAGGCTGACAATGATTTCCTCAGTGATTACGTACAGAGCGAGTCCCTGCGGGTTAGGGGCCCCCTCTGGAGCCATCCTGATGGCTTTGGGGGCCTTGCTTCCATTTTCCATTATTATGTGGACTACCGGAGCGACAGCGCAGTCCAAGACCTTGCAGGTTTGTGATGAGGAGGGAGCACACAGCACACTCCTTCTCCTCCTCCTGCTCCCGGCTCTCCTCCTCCTCCTCCTCCTGCTCTCGCCGCCGCTGCCGCCGCCGCTGCCGCCGCTGCTGCCGCCGCCGCTGCCGAGGCAGCCGTAGACTTTAGAGCCCCGGTCCAGCGCCAGCCGCCGGCGCCGCGCCCCCGCCCAGAGAGGGGCGCCCCGAGCCCGGGCCCCGCACACCCCCTGCACACAAGCAGCCCCGCACACCACCTGGGGGCCGTCGGCTCGGGTGCTTTGGCTTTTTCTTTTTGAAAGAAATTACTTTAGTGTGGGTTAAGAAAAAAAGGGTGGGGGGAAGGGAGAAAAAAAGTATTTTTTTCCCTTTGCTTATTTTCGTGGCCCGTTCGCATCTGCCTCGGATGGTGGGAGATTTTTCTTTCCAAGACCTTTTCATCGCCTTGCAGGGTCGATTTCCCCCCCTCGTCCCCCCAACTACAAAAGAGCACGACTCGCTTTGTAAACAAATCAGTGTTATTTGTTTTTTTCCGGTGGGGGGGGGGGCGGATTTGTTGAAAAGGAAAAGCGGTAAAGAAAAAAAAAATCACCCAGACGCTTTTCTTTTTATTAGTTTTTTTCTATTCGCATGAACTATGTGAATTTTGATTGAGGTGGAAATAGTAACGGATTTTCTCTTTTTAGTGTAGCTGACGGCTCTTCAAACATTGTCTTTGGGGTTTTTTTTTTAGCTTTTTTTCCCTCCTTTCCTTTTTTCTTTTTCCTTTTTTTTTTTTTTTCTTGGAGATTGGGGGTGGGGGTCGAAGGCTGGGAAAGTTTGGTGCAGCAGCCGCCGCCGCCGCCGCCGCCGTCGTGCAGAGCGCGGAGCTCGGGCAGCCGCGAGCCCCGCGCGCGAGCGCGAGCCGGAGCCGGAGCGAGGAGCGGAGCGCGGAGCGAGGGCGCGAGGGAGGCCGAGCGGAGGGCGCGAGGCGCCGCGGCCCGAGGGGCGCGCGGCCACGAGGAAGTATAGTTTCTTTCAGGGCTGAATTGAAACAACTTCAGCTGTTTGCTTTTAGGATGTCTCGCCGCAAGCAAGCGAAACCGAGATCCCTCAAAGGTAAGGAGGAACCCCCTGCTCCCCGCTTTCCCCCATCCGCGAGTGTCACTGTGGGTAGCGGAGCGAGGGCTGCGTGGCTGCGAGGCGTGTGCGCGCGTGAGTGTGAGTGTGAGTGCGGGGGCGCGCGCGCTCCCCTCCCCGCTGAGCCCCTAGGTGGAGTGAGGGTGAGGTGTCGGGGTGGGGGGAGACGAAGACGGGAGGAGGATCCCCGAATGGGGCGGCGGTAGAAAGTGGGCGAGAAAAGACAACAACAACCGAAAAAAAAAAAGAGAGAGAGAGAGAAAGAAACGAAATTATCCGGAGAGGGAGGAAAAAAAAATATCCCGTCTGAGATCTACATCTGGGCTGGAGGAAAAAGTTTCTGTTGTGTGTTTTCGCAAAGAATAAATATGCAAAACCGTGCGGTGCTTCTTTTTTCCTTTTCTTTGGAAGAAGAAAAAAGTCATCTCGGAGGTGGGGAGCAGCCCCCGCTCGTGACAAACGTGGCCCGGGGTCCCGGCCGCCGCCTCCCGCCCGCCCGCGTCCTGCTTGGGTCCTCTCCGCACGTCGCCGGAGTAAACAGACCCCGGCCGCCGGCCGCGGGCACCGGACCCCGGCTCGGGCCTCAGAGCACCCCTCTTGGCCATTCCCAGAAGTTGACCGCCCCTCGCCCCTACTTCTCCCCGCCGCCCCTGGAGTCCTTTGCGTTTCGCGGTGGGGTCCAGCTCTCCGTCGTCCCTGTTGGAGAGGGAAGTTGCGGGGCGTGCGTGCGGGATTTTGGGGGCGCACTAGCTGGCTGCGGCGGGGGCGGGGGTCCCTGAAGTTATCGATCTGATGGCTGTGTTGGAATGTGGCGAGGAGAGTCACGTGGCGGCCTCCTCCTCCTCCTCGGCCGCCTCCTCCACCTTCGCGAGCCTCCTTCCGAGGAAATCGGGGGCGGGCGGCCGAGGGGAGCCGCGAGGTCCGGCGCTCCGAGGCGGAGAGCGGGGAGGGCGGGCGGCGGAGCGCGAGGGCCGGAGGAGGGGCGCGCGGGCAGGACGGGGAACCGGGGCGAGGGCCAGGGGGCCAGCGCTGGAGGCGGCCGCGGCCCCCGCGACCCGGAGGCGGAGGACAAAGGGCGGCTGGTGCGCCCGCCCGGGCCCGCTGGGTCCCGCCGAGGTCCGCGCGGCCCGGCCCCGCCCTCTGGTCCCCGGCGGCGCAGCATCCTCTTCCTCCTGGCTGCCGGGCCGCGGCGCCCCGTGGCCCCGGTTCCCGCACCAGCTTCCCGACTCGCCGCCGGCCCGGGGAAAAGGGGTGGGCAGGGCCCGGCGCCCCACGCCTCCCGGCCCCCGGCCGCTGTGCATTTTTGAACTCGATGAACGGAGCCCTCACCGCACACACAAAGCCCTTTCTTTCTTCTCCTGGGAAGGGACGGGGTGGGGGAGGGCCTCGCAGATTGGAACGCTTGCTTTTTTCCTAAAGCGCAGAAGTTTTAGTTCGGGAACGAGGTGAATCATTGGCATGTGTCTCCACACAGTGTGTCTGGTGGTTTCCGTCACATGGGCCCCTCATTTTTCTGGGGGAAACCTAGACCCAGGGCCTGAAAGATCCAAGTGTCGACAGTGAAAAAAGAAACGCCACGGGCGTGCGCGGGTGTCAGGGTAACGGTGGACCAGGCTCGCGCCGGCGAGACTTGCCCGAGACCCCGGCTTTCTTGAAAGTAACGCTGAGCGAAGTACCAGGACAAACCTCTTCCTAGTCACTTGGAAAGAAGAACTTTCCGAGTTGAAGTAGGATAGCGGTTAGTGCCTGTCCGGTGGAAAGGGCTCCAAGAAGCTTCTGAAACCCCGTGAAGGAATTTGGGAGGGATTTTTCTTTTCAAAAAAAAAAAAGTTTATTAAAGTTTGCACGATTGGCAGTTTTGTTCACTCGCAGCTTCTGAGCATTTGGTTCACCTGCTTTTGGAGTGAATTTACAGCGAAAGTTTGGTTGACTGTGAATGCGTTTGTTCCCAGTGCTTCCTGAAGATGATTTCTTCTCATGCACGTAGGATTTTATGGGCAGTAAAGGGAATCCGTCAGTTGACGGTATTCGCTGGGCAGGTTTGATAAGTCGAACTGCAAAATACCTGTGCAGTTCTTAGGTTAATAAGCAAAAAATGGCAAGTGAAGAATGAGTAAAGAGGACATTTTATTCTTTTATCGTCATGTTGCAAAATTATCCAAATATCTTCCCCACAAAGACAGCATCTGTTTCAACTGCTAAATTCTAAATAAAATATTTACACTAAAAACAAAGATTTAGCTTCCATATTCTGTGTGGGCGCGGAACACAGTGCTGTTCTCTCCTATCAGCTGCTTGGACAACTCCCAAAAGAGCGAATGGCCTCAGGTGGGCTGGCTGGGCTTTTGGGGATGAGAAGCTGAAGACAGGAATAAAAATAGTACAGTCCTCACTGAAGAGCGGATTGTTTTTCTTCAGGGTATGCCTTGAAAAATTCATATGTAGATGAGCTATACCAAACGAATCATTTTGATATTAGTAGCGGTTTTGAAGAAGAGGAAGGGCATTCTGGGTGGCTCTTGTTAAATACCTAGCCTTCTCTTCAGTATTTTGATTTCCCTATGTCTTCTTGGAAGGGTCTCCAATTTTTCAAAATGTGTTGTAGGAGTGTTCTGAGTATGCGGATTGTCCATTATATCATTCAGAAGGTCACACTTGGATCATAGAAAAGCCAGAGAGGTGTTATTATGACCTGTGTTCTGGTATCATATTAGTAGTAATATGCAGTGAACAACACTTTGCTATCAGCAGGTATAGAAAGGCAGTCCTGTTGTGTTTCTTCATTTATGAATAACTGATTAATAGGTTTGCAATTAAAAGATAAAAAGTCTGATTTTATTAGATGAGTGACAGTATTTCAAAACCATGTAGATTATAGCCAACTTGAAGGAGGCATTGGAAACCATGAAAATGCAATAGGCCCTTCTAAATAAAACATGAAGTTCTGCACTGAATTTCCAACTTCTGTCTTACATGCATACTAGTACTTTAACCAACAAGATGTAAAAGATATTGCTGACATGACTGTCAATTTGATATAATTTGAAACTTGTATCTCAGGAAAGTCATTTACCTAAGGCAGATAAAAACATGAAGACACAATGTCAGTTAGGTTTGGAGTCTGTATTTTCAACCAAATGCTTAAAAATACAGATTACCAGGACATTTCTATTAACAGTTGAATTTATTGTGTGAATTCTCATAATTTAGTACCCTGAAGGAATAATTATGTTTACTTGAAAAAGTATGCTGGGTTTTTTGTTTGTAGGAAACTTCAGTGTAATTGTCCTAAGAATCCATCTCCTGAGAGTAGGTACCATATTTCTAGCTTCAGTGGAGCAGGTCCTGGTTGGTCTACTTACCTCCTCTAAAGTACATTAAACCTGTTAAACACCGAAAAGATTCACTTTTCTATTTGTAAAAGCTGGAAATATATTTTGAAACATGGAACTCCTTTACCCCTCCTGCCTTTCAAAGCCCTAGCATCAAAATTCTATCAGCCCACATACAAAGTTGACAAACTTATTCTGTCCTTATGGTACGAATCTTCTGGATAACCCCTTCTATTTAATGAAATAGAGAATTGAAGCCAGTTATTAGAGGCATGGATGGACAGACAATTAAATGAGTCACTCTTTCTGCCCCATTTATATTATTTGGATATTTGTCTCAATTCCTGAGAGTAGACATGGTACTTGAGTAGATTACCTGACTCAAAATAGTTCTCCTGTCAGCTTATTTTTAGAGGCAGCAAATCAGTTGCATCAAATTGGTCAATTGTGACCTATTTCTATTTTTCTTGCTGGCTATTTATTCTCTTTCTTGTGGTGCCTCTCTGATGGAAGTTTCTCGGCCATTTTACCTAATAACAAACAATTTTTTTTTGAAATTTACTCCAAAAAGCACTGTAAAAAGGAAAAAGTGGTCCACTATATAAAGGTGTGATATATTCAGTAAGAGCCAAGTTATAAAGCTGGGAAGGAGAGAGGGGAGCACTTAGTCATTTAGATGGCCAAGTTAAACACAAGACACAATTAGGATATCTGAACCCTCAGGTGTTCATAAACCCATACCAGGGACCTCTGGAGAGGAGTGGTGGGAACCAGGGAGAAAGAGAGCCCCAGAAGTGCCTTGTTTAACTTGGCCGTCACAGTAGCTAACCCTTTGTAACTTGGCACATTTTGAAGTTATCACACTTGTGATTGACCTTTCCCCCATTTACCTTCTTTTGTACTTAGGAAGGTTTATTTTATTTTATTTTTGAGTAGAGTAATTTATTTAGAAATGTAATAGAGTGGCAAAACTTAGTCTGCAATTTAAAGAAGAAATGTAAACTATAGAATTTGAATGTAAAGGCAATGGATTTTAAGCCTGAAACCTTTTGAAAGTAAGAAAACCTGTGTATTAGGCTGTATTCTCTAGTGGAAAAGCTCTAAAAATTGTAGGTGTTAGAAAAGCCACCTCAGGGAGCTTGTACTGGCCCTGAAATTTAATAGAAACATTAAACTCTGCAGTCCTTATTTAAACACATTTTTTTCTCTTATGTTCAAAGTCAAAATATATATACTTACGGGTAGACAGGTGAAGTATAACCAAAAAAAAAGTGTTTCTCTTATATTTCATATGTTTCATTTCTTAGACAAAAAAAAACCTCATCAGTAAAGATTGAGTTTTGATTTTGGAAATGATGACATAATTAGAAAAAAAAAGCCCCCAAGTTTGTGTGTAAAGGTAATTGTTTTAAGACAGTGCAGTGCTTTGCTTTTAAGAATTGCAATATGGCTTTCCCTCAAAATTATTTTTAGATAGGTTGTGACTCCCTTTTTTCATGATTAGATTTTAACCTAAGGTAAGTTTTTTAAAAAATAAGAAAAGATACATACACACACAAATTAGAGAGAGAGATTTTTTTTCATGATTGTACAGGCAAAAATACTAATTGGCATACAGAAATGTATGCTTTACTTTTGGACTTGTATGCTAAAAAGCCTGATTATTGGAAACACTGCAGAAGCTCAAACAGTGTTTGACATCCATACTCCTTCAGACACTTGCAAATGTTCTTCTATTTATCTATCAACCAGTGACTGTTTCTTCCCTCCACCACCTTTAAATTATACTGACTAGATGTTGAAGTCATTAAATTCATTATAGTCCAATCAGTAGACAATCCGACATAAACAAAAACAGCAATTACAGTTGGCAAGGATCCCATGAGTGCTAGTCAAAGTTCCAGAACTGATGGTCCAGTGAGTCTCTTCCAAAACGCCGGTTTCACGATTTCAGCACTTCTGGCAGCATCTTCCTAAAGTGAGGGCACACAAATTCATAAGATTCCACTTGGCCTTAAAAACAAAAACATCTGTTTTATGCATGAGTGGATTGTTGTCTTTTATTCATCCAGCCAAAAAAGGACAAAAAATAGGATACTGAACATAAAAGCATACATGTAAAAATGAAATTACAAAGGGATTTGAGATTAGCAAGCAGCCTTTTATAAAGCAAGCTGTTAATAATTTTTCTTTTTTGTTTTGCCAGAGTATTTCCATATCCTTTAAAAACCACTGTAGTTATCCTTACTGACAGCAGTGACGTCTAACAGTGATGACAGAATTTTTCAACTTTTTGCTTCCGGTAATTATACTTAGTTCTTTGTACTTGCTTATTTGGTCTAGTGCAAGACTCGTAGCATATTTGTAGGAGATTTCTTTTCACCTTAGAGGAACATTTGTACCTGCCTCCCTCTATTTTTAAAGGAGTCTGTTTGTGAGGGCTCGTTAGTCTGGTAAATTCTAGTTAAATACTTGTTGACATAAGTTGAAGCATATTATTAAGTATACTTGCTTGAGTTTTCATTTTGATGTAAAAGCATGTAATAAGAAGAAAGAGGTTTTGATAGTAGAAAAGAGTAGGTCTACTAAGATCAATTAAGAATTTTATTAAGGGTCTCTTTTTCCTATTAATGTGTTTTATTAATTCATCTGTCAGGATTCACATTGCTGGTTTACTGTCATTAATTCTGTTGCCACAGAATACATTCCTCATGGCTGGATTTAATGGATACTATGTTCAGTTTTTCAGTTAATTTTAAGAGGGAAAGTGATTTTAAGACTTGCAGTATTTGTTTATTTTAGCAGCTGTCTGCATCATTAAAAATGTAAATATTATCATTAAGTAAGATGTGAAAGAATGCTTTTGAATTGAATGAGATTTTGATACAAAGGCTGATATTCCACGTCAAACCTGTAGCTAAGTATTTTCCCAGATGTATTTAATTTTTTTCTTCATTGACTCCTGTTGTGCTGTCAAAGGTTAAAGTTAGTTCTAGGGGTGGGGGAGATGCATGCAACTTTCTAATTCCATTTCAATTAAATCTGAAATGTTCCTGTTTTTTGTTTGGGGACTACATGGTGCTAGGATTGCATATACCTTGTTTGTTGTAGTGAAAGCGTACTTGTCTGATTTAAAATATGTTCTGCAACAGTGTTATTACAAAGCAATTAAAACTTAAACATTAAAGTTAACATTAGTAAATTTAAATAGCTCTGTTATAGTATTAATCAAATAGTGTAAGGAAAGCTTTTAAATGGTTTAAATAATTATGCAACTCCTGGCATAAAAAGCCCGACACAAGATAAATCTCTGAAAACTAAGTAGAATCGCAGCTTTTTTTTTTTTTTTAATAAAAAACTTTAATTTTAGGCACCTTGGGCTTTTAGCATGCATCACATTCCACCTCTAGTATAAGTAATTATGCCAGTTTAGTAATTATTAGAGATGAAAGAAATTCAGTAAGATATGAATTCTTTAAAACTTCAGTAGCTTCAGTTTTAGCAGGGATAATGATCAAGCAGCAGTTATCCTGCTGCCTGGGGACCCTGCCACAGCTACAAGCACTGGGCTGATCTTGTGGGTATCATTATTATGGCAGCACATACTATAGTTAGTATTTCTACTCTAGTTGTCAGATTGCAGAGGTTTATAATTTGGTCATTAAACAAATTTAGATTCCAATATGACTGTGTAAAAACTCCCCTTTCTTAGAACACTTTTTAAAAAAAGATTAAGTTTAAAAATTATTATTTTGGGGCAGCATCTCTTTTAATTCTATGGGATAGTAAATGCTTTGAAAAATCCTGAAAAGAAAAAAAATGTGTATGCCTGTCATTTTTATGTGTGTATGTGTTAGGTACGTGTTCATTTTGAATCTTATTTTTAAATAAAGATGATTTGGTTTGGAAAGCATATATACTATTCCCGCATGATCATAGCTCTCCCAATCTGAGCAAGGTCAAGTGATTGACATTCAGAATATTTGTTTTCATAATAGTGCAGTTTGTTGGATTTATATTTCAATATTTTGGTTATGATAATTTTTTTGTATATGTGAAACCCAAGAGTTTACGTCCCTCAGTTATCACAACATATTGTGACACACACATACATAGTCTATATACACGGAAACATACTCTAAACCTTCTGTAGGAAATGCACTTTGTTTAGTAAGTCCATATAAGTGTTAATAATGTTTTAAGGGAAAAATTGGATTTTTTTCCAATTAAAATTGGTGTCAAAGAATAAGATTTCCTTTTTGAAATTAAAATCAGCGTATCATTGAGTCTCATTATTTCACTGACTTTATTACCTTCTCTTTCCATCTTATGATTGGCTTTTTCTCAAAATTTATTATCCCATCAGTATACTGTGAAGGATATGATATGTCAAGATGGAAACTTATTTACCTGATAGGGACAAAATCCTCATTGATTACAGACAGTTCCATATATTCATACAAAATACATTTGTTGAAACCTGTAGTGAGGTGAACAGTCCACACAGTAAACTATAACTTGCCATATTATAGGAGTTTCTGTGACCTGGAATCTAAAAAATATCACTGTGCTTTAAACTTTATATTGACTTCAAGAAACAATTTCCAGCATTTCATACGTGTTCTTAGCTAATATTCTTATCTTTCACAATAGAGCCAGATTAGGTCCAGTTAGTGCTTGAATAAGACTACATATTAATTGCTTTCAGCATTCCTAATGATTTAGGTTGTCTTAGTTGTGTTAAGTTTATCAGACATATGCTTTTTATTACCACTATCAGCACCTTTTGTCTTTCATTGATTACTTTTATACATTAAGAAAAAGAAGGCCAGGCGCGGTGGCTCACGCCTGTAATCCCAGCACTTTGGGAGGCCGAGGCGGGCGGATCACGAGGTCAGGAGATCGAGACCATCCTGGCTAACACGGTGAAACCCCGTCTCTACTAAAAATACAAAAAATTAGCCGGGCGTGGTGACGGGCGCCTGTAGTCCCAGCTACTTGGGAGGCTGAGGCAGGAGAATGGCGGGAACCTGGGAGGCGGAGCTTTCAGTGAGCCAAGATGGCTCCACTGCACTCCGGGCTCCAGCCTGGGCGACAGAGCGAGACTCTGTCTCAAAAAAAACAAACAAACAAACAAAAAAAAAACAAAGGAAAGAAAAGGAAAAAGGCTGTAAAGTCTTCACAAACATTGATCTACCAAGTACTAATGAAGCCAAAACAGAATCATTGCTTGAATGCTGATGTATGGAGTCTGAAGTTCCTATACATAGGGGGGTTTGGGGTTGTCAGTGTGCAACTTGCAAAGTTGTATGATGTTTTGCAGACATGAGGCAAGGGTTAAGAAGAACTGTGGGCTCAAGGGAGTGCATATTAATTCCTGGAAAGAGTTGAAAATAAAAACAAACAGTTATGGTCATAAGTATTGTGACTTGGATACTAGTGCTTGTAGGGAAATGGTTGCAGAGCAGGAAGAGCACGGGGGCATACTCTGATTTGCTGTGTGTTTTGGCAAGCCATTTACCCTCTGTACTCTAGGATTTAGACTTTCTGTCACTAAAATGAGGAAGCTTATTCATCATTTAACAAGTTCTGGGGGTTTTTGTTTTGTTGTGTTTTGGTTTTTGATGCCCGTCTTATCCCAGGCACTGTACTAAGTTCTGAGGATTCAGCTGTGAACCAAACAGATATATAAGCCTTGCTCTTATGGAGCTTATAGTCTAGAAAACTGGATGAGAGTCTACATACTTTCCATTGCTTTTTAGTTTTTGGAAGAAAGCTCTGCAGGTGAGGAGAAGGACGTACGTGTGTATGGTATGTTAACTTTTTCTGTGAGTTGGGTCAGATGAAGCAGTTAGACAAAATGAGTCTCAAAAACATTTTTGGCACCGAAAGTTTGATGAACTATACTTTTTAAGAATTGCTAGCTTTGTTTTTCTCTTATAATCTAAAGGGAAATATGTCCACTTGAACTGAAACAACTAAGCACAATATATAGAACTTTTACTTCCCACTCTTTTGTACTTAGGTCAGTGATGTTGCAATATCTTTTACCCCTCCTAAAAGTTCTGGATAACATTTTTGAAAGTTAATCGTGCAATGGTGAAGCTAATTAATTTTCTAAATTGTTTAAAGAATTTAAGGCATCCTTTAAAGTGATTGGAGGTTCTTGGAGAATGTGTATGATGTTCATATTAAAAAACAGCAAAACTAAACTTCAGTTAGGAATCCCTGCTATACAAAATTGAGGTGAAAGAAGTTGCAAGGAACTTATTCCATTAAATGTGCAGGCGTAGAACACTAGGGAATGCAGCAAGTCGGTACTAAAAAGTCCATAGTGTGCAGGTTTGACTATTTTTCCCCTGAGAGATAGGTGAATGCTTTGAAATAAACTTTTACTGAATCATGGATCTTAAGTGAGACAATTTAAGGATAATGATATTGGGTGTCTTGATGGTCTTCGTGTTCAAAGATGTGAGCACTGGAATGAATGGTGATGGTGGGGAGTGTAACTGACCGAAGAAAAAGATGATCAACATGAAATCCCTTTTGCCTCCTCCAACATCATATAGGTCATTTACATAACTATTGCATCATTATACCAAATTTTTAATCTTCAAAATAAAACCATTACAAGATAATAACACCATTTTATAGCTCCTGTTAAAGGTAGCTGTTTTTTATACTTGCCGATTTGCATATTTAAAACCCAGTATGAGTGTGATGGGCTGGCAGACCTCTATGGTGGCTTTTTATCTCTATCTTTGTCCCTGTGTCCCTAGGCTAGGAGAGTCCTTAGCCAGTTGCCTGCCCTATACTAAGTGCTCAATAAACTTCAGTGGAATCAGTATCACTTCATTTCTTAACAGTCAAAAAAAAGGTCTCAGTGACTTCTGAGTTCCCTTGTAGCTCCAACATCCTAGAATTCTTATGTTGAGAAATTGTGATTCTTGCAAGTTGATCAATAATTCATATTAATGGGGCAAACATACTTTCAAATTGTGAACTTGACTGAGTTATAGCTGATGGAACAAAATCAAAGACTGGCAAAAATTTCCAAACGCAGTTTGGACAGCCTTACTTTCCACTGTGATTTCTTATCAAGACCACCCATTTACCTTTGGCCGTCCAAAACATTTGAGCCAAGGTCAAAGTGTGTTGTTTGATTTTGTTATTTATTTATTTATTATTATTATTTTTTCGAGATGGAATCTCACTCTGTCACACAGGCTGGAGTGTAGTGGTGCTATCTTGGCTCCCTGCAACCTCCACTGCCTGGGTTCAAGCGATCCTCTCACCTCAGCCTCCCTAGTAGCTGAGAGTATAGGTGCGCACCATCACGCTTGGCTAATTTTTGTATTTTTAGTAGAGACAGGGTTTCATCATGTTGGCTAGGCTGGTCTCAAACTCTTGACCTCAAGTGATCCACACCTTGGCCTCCCAAAGTGCTGGGATCACAGGCGTGAGCCACCACAACCTACCAAAGTGTGTTGCTTTAAAGACAGCATTTTAATTTAGTTTGACTAGCCACCTTCAATTCATGTTCATCTATTTGCCCAAATGCTGGTATTCTTTTCCTGCAGCAGCATGTCCCAAACCTTTAGTGATGTCCATGGCTTCACTTTGAATCTCTTCTAGGCTTAGATTGTGGATTTTCAAGTCGGTGTTGTAATGATAAAGGCTTGAATATTGTTTTCATCTCACATCTTGTGAGAGGCTTTTTCCGACCCACCTAACTTAAAGTGACCCATCTCTGTTATTCCCTTATACCCCATATGTCAAAGAAGTTGTGGCACTTCATTTCCTGGTTTCTCTATAAGCCTTTTGAGAACAGTTTGGTGTCCCTTTTCTTTGAATCCCCGTAACCTACAATGTAGACAAACAAATGTAGACACACAAACAAATGCATTAATTCAGCCAGTTGATTAATTAACAAATATTTACTGTGTTTTACCAGTCATTTAGCAGTCTAAGAGTGCTAGCAGTTGAGAATGCTATGAAGGAGACATATTGTCTATATCCTGGTAGAGTTATGATCAAACAGTGGAAACATATTAAATAAACAAGATGCTAGTAATTTCCATTCCTGTGAAGGGACAGCACCGATGTTAATGAGACTATTTAACAGCGATATCAGTGAGGTCAGGGAAGGATTCTGGAGGAAGCGCTTTCAAGCAAATCCTGAAGTTTCATATGTTTTCGAATGAAAGATACTGAACATGGTCATGCATTCTAAAGGATTTTTTATTGAGCACCAAGTATGTGTCAGGTTCTAGGGAGACAATATGGAACCAGTCAGACCCAACTGCTCATGGGTTTCATGGAACTAACAGTCTATGAAGACATATTATGTGCCTCTTTGTGTCTCTCATAATGTTAACTTTAGATTTTACTTAGTTTTACAACAATAGTGTTCTTTCAGTTCACACAAATGGTATTCCTTTTGTGTCATTGGCACATGGCTCACTTCTGTGCAAGTTCTGGCCATATTTTAATTGTGGGCCTGGTTTTCCCATTCTAAGTAAACTACCTACAGCTACATTCATTGAGTTTTCCATTACCTAAGTCTGTTAACTTTCAAATATCTGGGTTTGTTTTAATCCTTAGAATGCTCTCTAAATACTTGATCAACTCACTCATTCTGGAATTGTGAGACAATTTAACAACTGTTCTCTATTTTATGTCTTAGCTATTTAGGAAAATATATGTTAGTCATCTAATTATGTTTCTGCTTATGATCTTTGTAAATTCTTAGCACAATTTTCACATCAAGGAGGTTAGTAAATACTAAACTGTGATAGTGCATCAACAATTCATTAGTATATTCTGTAATTAAAAAGAAAATGACTGGGCGCAATGGCTCACACCTGTAATCCTAGGATTTTGGGAGACTGAGGCGGGGGGATCGCCTGAGCTCAGGAGTTCGAGACAGGCCTGGGCAACATGGTGAATCCCCATCTTTACCAAAATATAAGAAATTAGTTGGCGTGGTGGCACATGCCTGTGGCCCCAGCTACTTGGGAGGCTGACGTGGGAAGATCACTTGAGCCTGGGAGGTGGAGGTTGCAGTGAGTCGAGATCACGCCACTGCACTCCAACCTGGGTGACAGAGTGAGACCCCATCTCAAAACTTAAAAAAAAAATGTAGAAAAACTGTGAAAGATTGTGAAAACAGTAATATGTCTACTAGCACTTTTTTCCACTTTCAACTCACATTTCCTATGCCTTTTCTGTTGTCTTTATTCTTAATTGTAGTTTACACACACACACACACACACACACACACACACACACACAAAAGTCTATGAGAGGTTGTTTGAATTCAACCCCTAACCATCCACGTAATTCTGTAAGAAAGGTCAGAGTGAGATGCATCGGTACTCTGGACGGCCGATTATATGTTGCCCCTTCCAACTGTTCCTTAAATATCTGTTCCATGGTTAGACAGAGACAGTGAGTATAGCTAGCTGGGGTAATGTACCCAGGGAGCTAACTGGGCCAATCTTAAATTGTGATGTATATATGTGAGTGTTTTTTCTTTTCCCCAAACAAAAGCGGGAGGTCTCTATGTTGTCCTCCTTCCTAAATATATTTCCTAGCAGCCCTTCCATATAAGCACTTATGATCTCTCCCCTTTATTCTAATGACTTTGCAGTATCCATTGTATGATGGGCTGTTGTCTAGTCCATCCCCAGCTGCTGGTCATCAGGGTGTTTCTTTTTAGTTACTTATCTGTGTTGCAGGAAGCATGCATACATTCTTGCTGATATGTATGATTTTATATACATGGGATCAATTCCTAAAAATGGAATTGCTGGTTAAAGATAATGTGCATTTAAAATTTTAATGGATACCGCCAGTGTGCCCTCCAAAGAAGTAAGACCAATTCACACTGCAGTTGGCAGCAGGGTTAGAGAGTGCCTGTGTTTAAATACTTCATCCTTACTAATGCGACTTGTGAAAAAACAAACTGGTATTTAATTGACATTTTAATTAGCATTGCTGTAATTATGAGGTAGATTGAGCATCATTTCAATTGTTTATAAACTATTTGTATTTATTTTTCTGTGAATTGCCTTTCTATTTCCTTGGGTTTTTTATCTTCTGGTTTGAAAGAGCAGCTCATATTATTAAGAAAATTAGCTCTTTGCCTGACTTATGTGTTGCAAATATTTTCCCCAGTTTGCCTTTTGACTCTGTGGGTGGTAGTTTTTTCTCTTTTGCCATACAGAACTTCCAAATTTTTATTTTTGGTATTGTCAGCGCTTTCCCTTGTAACTAATAGATCTTGTGTCTGACATATTATAGAAAGGATTTTTTCCTAATCTTTCTTTTCATTCTGTGTTCCCCATTACACTGGCTGCAGTGTCTTGTTCCCCCACCTCCATCTCTGTGTCCCCAACCTCGCAGAATATTTCTGGGAATATAGTAGGTGCTTAGCAAACATTTATTAAATGGGGGAAGTATAGTGTAGTGGTTAAGAACATGGGTGTTAAACTAGACTCTCTGGGTTGAAATTCTAATCTGATTGACCTTGGGAAAGTTATTAAATCACCTTGTACTACAGTTTCTCCATCTGTAAATGAGGGTCCTACTAGTACCTAATTCAAAGAGCTCTTGTGAGAATTAAGAGTTAATTAGTGTAAGCTCTTAGAATAGTGTCTGGTAGATATGAAGTGCCTGGTAAATGTTTCTTTTTACTCTCAAAGGTTTTCTCACTTTTGTACACACCATAGCATACAACTCTTTTCTATTCTAGAAAGTTCCTTCTTGCTGTGGTTGAAGATTGGGAATTTTTATGTACCTGTGTGGTAGCACATAGCCCTTTCTGAAGCCTGTTTTGTGGGGGCTAGAGGGATTCTCACAAAGTCTTTGCCGAGTTCAGTCTGCCACGACAGGTACCTTCACCCTGGCCAATGCATTGATCCAGTCCAAAATCTAACTTTGCTTTGCCAACGTAGATAGAATTAAGAAAGAAAAATTACTGCAGAAATTCCAATTAAAAGATAATGGAAGCATAAAGTGAAGCTAATTAATTTTAGCACCTCTGCCATCTTTTTTTGGTAAGTCGGATTGGTGTCTTTTAGGTTCCTTGCAAAAGGGCCAGTGCTAATTTACAAAGGTAGTCTAATTGTTCTTGGGAGAGGAACTGGAGACAAATAATTCACATATCATTATGAAAGTTTAATCATAGCAGATTTATTAATAATCCTTAAATTAAAAAGATAAATCTGGGCTTGGGTTTACAAAAGAATTAGTGGAACGAGGGGATGATTTTCTGCATCACCTCAGTCATCAGTAAATTTGTCTACAAGCATTTTCTTCTTGGCTTCAGAGAGAGATTCTGTGTTGTCTAGAAGCACATGTGGGTATAGAGATTGAATGTGGAAGGAGAATACAGGAATGGTCTGCTGACTGGCGGTTAACTCCCATCCATGCCTGGCTGTGTCTAGCCGGTGCTTTAATTTTATTTGAGACCTTATTTTGGGGCAGATTGACATTGTTTTCCTCTTGGTTTCTTCTTTATTCTTTCTGCAGTAAATCCTAACTGTTCAGGTTGTTTTAATTTCCCCTTAACTTCCCTTGCTTGTTCAATCTCAAGTCTTTCTCTCTTCAGTTTGTGAAATCACCCAGGCCCCACTTCCAGATTGCTTGACTCTGCTGGCCCTTTGGGCTTTAGAAGCCCAGCCTCTGTCCGCGCTCGCTGGTTGACCTTGGCATTCACTTGTCCGGTGATACTCTTCGTAGACACTATCTTTTCTTTTAACTTTAACTAAATGTAAACTGTCATAAAGTTGTCTTTCTATACCGACAAAGTCTAAAACCTTAATATATCCAATCAGATGACTTTCAAATAGCCATTTATACTTTTTTCTTCAACCTTAATGCTAAATGAAGTGAGAGAATTAGTAATGAAAATCAGAGTGGGGAGAGCCAAGAGGATTGAGCGAGGCCACTTTTAATGAGTGGAATATCTTTAAATGATAGAAAGTGACAAAGGAAATTTCACTTTGGGATCGCTTAATATAGATATTCTGGAAAACACTTTTAAAAGGGTATTGGGTGCGGGTGCTAGTTTAGTTTCCCGAAAGGTCAGCCAGGGCTGGGGATGGACATCTGGTTAGGCGAGGTACAGAGTGTTTTGAGGACAGGAGAGGATACAGATCATGAGAGTTTAGAGCAGGGAAGACCCTAGAGATGACCCACTTGCTGTCTCCAAGACCCAAAGACCTTAAGTTACGTATTCCAGGTCACACCATGACTTTGTGACAGACTAGGGAGGAGTCTCAGTCTCTTGATTTATAATTCTAGGAACTACCTTTCATGGCTATACACATTTTAGGTGATGGGAGGAAAAGTGACTTTTCCAACCCTCTCAGACTTTTTCTGAAAGCAAAAATTACAGGCTCACTGCTCTGAGAGCATCACCTTCCTTATTCTAGTCTGAGCAGTGGAATGTCTCAGTGCTTTGGTCCTGTGTGCACAATCGGCATGTCACAATGAGTAGACACAAGGGACCCGCTGCCTGGTGGACCTGTGTTTGAATCCTGCACACTATTAACAAGCTACATGTTATTGAACCTTACTAAACCTCAGTTTTCTTACCAGTAAAATGTTAGGAATAGACCTTGCAGGACTGTCATATTAACAAACAAACATAAGGTGCTTAATGGATGTCTGGCTCTTAGCAAATCACTAACTGGTAATAGCTTTCTATTCTGGATGAAGTTCTCTGGGAAGCTGGGGAGGCCTGCATGTTTTATCCTCTTTATGTTTACCTCGTTTGCAAAGTCTCTAGGGGTGGCACTCAGTATTGCGGCTGCTTTGCCTTTTTGTGTAGAGAAGAAAATATTTCCCCTTCTGGAGAAAGCCTAAGAGGAATTGTGTGAACTTTTATATTCAACTCTTAGTAACCATTATCTACAATAAAAGGTGGGTAATGGAGCTGGAGGAGAGTTGAGTTCACTATTTTTGACAAATACCTTATGTGTGGGCACCTGTTTAACGTTTCAAAAGACACTGTGTCTTCCTTTGGCTTTAAATGTATCCTTTGTCAGTTATCATTGCTCTCATTTTATAGGTGAGAAAACTGAGTCACATACACTGGGCCCATCCAGTTAGTATGGCTGAAGCAGAAAAAGAACTTGAAAGTGGGCATCTTTCATCCCATACTTTTCAAATGAAGAAGCCAAGACTCGTCATAAACCAAATCAAGATGTAGAAATAATTAATCCACTGGCCACCAGATCTCTCCTCTGATGTTCCTTTTGACTTCAGGCATTTAGATCTGAGTTCCCTCTCCTTTTCTACTCTTCTGCCTCTAAGAGAAAGTTACTTCTCCAAGAAAAATATGGTAGCATTAAAAGCAGTGGAATCCTGACAAATCTGTAATTGTATAATTAAAGGCTTTGTCTTCTGATTAAAAAAAATTGAATGCCTCTGGAAGCTGATCTGGGAGATATTTTAGTGGTGGTGGCAAGGGGGTGCTGGAGTGTTTTCTTCATTGCTGGTGAAATCTTGGAACTACTGCCTTGTAGAGGTTGAGTAGACTTTCAAAGGTCTTTCTTCTCCGTGCTGTTACTCAAAGGTCAAGAGATTTGCTTGGGTGGAGCCCACCAGCTTGACTTCTGGGAAGAAGTGAGTGATGGTTGTGCCTGCAAAGACTATAGCAGTGCACCTGGCTTTGGGCTGACTAGCCCCTGGTAATACCACACTGCCTGTATTAAACACACCATGAAGCAGATAGAGGAGAAACAAATTCATATTTCCCACTGGCAGATTAAGGCACTTTACCATCCTGAAATTATCCCTGTTTTCTTTTGTTCGAAATATATTACATTTGATACAGTTTTTCTTCATGGCTGTGAAAGATGGACATACCCATTGCAGGGATAGGTTGTCCCAAGGACTGGTGTGGCATTGATACCTTCTGTGGAGGCAATTGGGCATGACCTGTCACTGTTTCTGAAAAAAATTACTCCAATTCTGACATCCTAGAGATGGTATTTCAGAGACAGGATGTACTTTTTTTTTGGGTGGTGTTGGCTAAATGTAAGGTTTCAAATGTGTTGGATTTTAAAAAAATACAAACAGCAACAGCGGAATTGACCAGATTATTTTCCTTATTATTCTCTTTTAAAAGTAAGATGAGCCCTGGCCCTTCTGCCCACCCTCTGAGAATATGCTCCCTCCGCGTATATATTTACATATATATATGTGTGTATATATATATATATATATAGAGAGAGAGAGAGAGTGTGTCCTTATTAAACCACATGCTTATTAAACTACATAGTAAAAAAGCAAAACAAATAAATATAGGTGTTTATTTATCAGCCATTTCCTCCTATGTGTGATTGATTTCGTTGATATTACTTTATGCATATTTGGAGATTATCTGGAAATAATCATTTGAAAATATGTTTACATATAGCATTATACGATAAAATATATACTACTCTAGTATATATGTATATATACATATGTATAGATTTGTATATGTATATGCTACATTATATACATAAATACTATACAAATATATAATATGTGGTCACATTATCCTGACAAGTCGAGATTGAGACAATATAAGTGGGAACACATTTCCACGAACAACTATTAATTTACAGTTACTATGATAATGGCGTACACGTTCACTTTTAGTTCTATCTGGGTAGCTCTGTAAATTGTGTATTGATTATGCTAATGGCACTCGTGTCTTTATTACTTGTCTGCAGATACATGCAGATTGAATGCACATTTGGTGAGGTGGTCATTCTGTAGGAAAAAGTACATTTTTAAAACCTGGCTTTTGGAGAGATTGTATTAAAACTAAAGAAAAACATTAGACTCATATGGACACCTAAGGAATTATTTTGTGTCCTAGGAAATGAAAAGTGCAGTTAAAAAATTTAAAACAAATGATGCTCTTATATTATCTTTGTTTCAGATTCCTTAAGGAAAGTGTTACAGAAATGGAACTAAATCAATAATGATCTATTTTTATAGTTTATTTTTGGTTGTGTGGCTTTTCTTGTTTTGTTTATCAGGATGAAGGAACCTTCGACATTTAGGGTTGTATGTATTTTAAAATTTATTAGACCAACTAGGGGAAGACACAATGAATTCCTTTTTTTCAATTATACATAAATTTTCTTGTAGTTTATAATAGCTCATAAGGTATAAATCACAGCCTCTTTTTTTTTTTTTTTGCTGTGATCTTTCATTATACAAATTTGTGCCTTATGTTATAGGATTTTTCTTTTTTTAAAATTTCTCTTTTCCTGAGTCATCATGTTACCAAGGCAGTTGTTTTGAAAATGCTTTCTTATCTTCCTAAGTGGGATCATTTCTTACAAATGTAGACTTTTCCACTTAGAAAAGAAAAAAATCTGTTTTCATTTGTTTTCAAATTATTTTTCTTTTTAATGGCAGTTTGATTCCCAGTTTGACAGCCATTTGGAGCTGCTGAAGGGGAAAAAGAAAGAAAAAACCCAACATTTTTTCATGTTCCTGGGTGAAATAAATCTGTTTAGTGGAATATTAAATGCCCAAAATGTTTCGATTAATTTTGGCAAACTTTAGACAAATCCAATTGTTCTTGTCTTTCAAATATATGATTGCAGTTAAGGAGAGGAATTTCCTAAATTTAAAAAAAAAAAAAAAGAAAAAAGCAAGTCCAAAGTCACTAGTAAAGAGAATTGAATGATAATATTGTATTGATTTTTGTGAATGAGGTTGGGGTTTACCTTCTCAAAATGTGAAAGTGAGTATTGCTACATTGCAGCAAGCCAGTGTTTCCTGATTCAAACAAAACACTTTCCCCCCAAGCTAATGCCTCAGCAATTGTTGAGATAGTTAACTTTAGGTGTCCAATTCAGAAATGTTGCAATTTGACTGGCACTGTCTAAAATGGCTGAAAAAATACAAACAGTTGGTGTAAGTATTAGTATGATATCGTTAATACAAAGGCATTTAGCCGCAGATTTTTCTTTGCTTGGGGAAACTAATGCTTTCTAACTGTGCTACTAAGACTACATAGACTTATTTAGTAAAGAGGAGCCAGATTCTTTCGCAAATGTCCAAATGTCTAAATCCTAGGTTCAAAAATTGGTTTTATTTCTTATTGTAGCTGTCTTGTCTGAGAAGCAGTTTTCAGTATACCTGGTCATTATGTACTAAAGACTACACAGAAATGTTTTCAAATAATTTGTTTTCCTCCAGAGTGGATTTTTTTTTTTAGCAGTTTTAAAGTTGCTTTACTATCGAGAAATTAGTGCTTGATTAGCTGGATATTAAAAATATTTGTGTGTAGTATCTTTCTTATGTAAAATGGAAGAAGGGAGTCCTTGAGGCTCGGTTTAAGATTGAGCATGGAACTACAGAAGCTGGTTTTGTTTCTTTTTGCAGGAAGTTAGAGACTATATGAGATTCAAATGTGTCATTGTTGAATCTGAAGGCATCAGGGTAGTTGGAAGAGTGAGGCATTTCAAATCTGGCAAGAAGAAAGGCTCATGCCAAAGCAAAACAAAATAAAAACAACACGGTTACAAAAAGACTCTGGGTATTTTACTTTAAGCCCTTCATCTAGAAAAAGCTTCAGCAGGGTACTTTTTTCTTTCTTTATTAGCGTAGGTGATTTTGAGTTTGTGTACCCATTTCACCCTTGTGTCATCTCTTTCCCCTGCTGCTCTGTCGCATTCTTTGTGGTTCCTTACCATATTTTCTTTTAGGAGAAGGCTGTGTGCACCTTTTAAAACAAGTATTTTAAATTTATTGGGGTTTTATGTTATTAAAAGTAGTAGTCTGGTGTTTTGACTTTGTCTGATGAAAAGAATCATGAACTCCAAGTAAAATCGTGTTAACTTACTTAAACTAATGGTTAATGATATATTTAAAGAAGAAATAAGAAAGAGATATTAGAATCAATGTCTCTTTTGGTTTTCAGTTTAATTTTATACTTATTCTTCTTTGGCATTGTGTGTGCTTAAAATAAAGCTAAAGTTAAAGGAGTCTTACCAAAGATCCTTGAAGTCCTGAGAAGTGTCTTTGGGGCCCCTGGAAACCTCTGGTACTAGGTTAAAAAGTTAGCTGGTGGCTGGGCATGGTGGCTCACGCCTGTAATCCCAGCACTTTGGGCAGCTGAGGCGGGTGGATCATGAGGTCAAGAGATCGAGACCATCCTGGCCAACATGGTGAAACCCTGTCTCTACTAAAAAAATATAAAAATTAGCTGGGCATGGTGGCACGGGCCTGTAGTCCCAGCTACTTGAGAGGCTGAGGCAGGAGAATCGTTTGAACCTGGGAGGCAGAAGTTGCAGTGAACTGAGATTGCACCACTGCACTCCAGCCTGGCGACAGAGTGAGACTCTGTCTCAAAAAAAAAAGAAAAAGAAAAAAGTTAGGTGGTGTGATTTTTCTGCCCAGTTTTTCTCCAGCTTTGGCACTTCTTTGTCACTATTTAGGTAAGTGAGAATATGGGTAAAAGAAAAAACCTGGATGTGAAGATAGTGAGAAAAGCATGCTCCTGTCTAGGAATGGCTCCACCAAGCATGGTGCCTGGCAAACACTGAGACAGCTCTCCACTTTCCTCTCTTCACCATCCATCCAGATCCTGTTTCCATAGTGGCTCCCAGAACCATTATTTCCTTTCTGCCGTTGACTTAGTTTTCACTTTCTACTTACTTCCTGGTTTACCCTGTAGCCTCTGGATTGGTCTCTTTGCTTCCAGGTCTGATCTTTGTCCATGCCATCCTCTCAGTTACCAGTGGAGCATCTTTGTAAAATGTCAATCAGATCATTCACTCCCCTACTTAAAATCCATCAGTGATTTCTCATAGCAGTGAGGTTAACATCTGGACATTACACTCACAGGAGTTCCTTCGTGCTCTAGCCGCTTTTCCAGCCTGCTCTCTGCCGCTGCCTTACTGTCTGTCTGGTCTATCCCTCCCTCGCCCCCATTTTGAATAGCAACACAGGTACTTGCATTTCTTTGAAGTCATCATGTTGTTTTACGTATCTGTGGCCTTACCTTTGTTTCTATTTCCTAGAGAGCTGTGTTCTTGTTCCCAGTGTTATGTGGCCTTCAAAATGTAGCCCAACTTGCTCTTCTTGGGATAAAATTTCCCTGCCCCGATTTAGATGCCCCTCCATCTGAGTACTTATCCCTCTTGCTGTAGTCGTTGACTTACTCTTCTCTTTCTCTCCTTGTGCCAGTCAGGCCTTGTCATGAAATAACATATGCAGAAAAGTGATAAGTTTCAAATGGCAAACTTGGGTAAATGGACAAAACCACTCAAGGCCAGGGAAGACAGACTTGCAGTTTCCAGTCACCCCAAGCTGTGCCTGGTCACCTTGAGGATCAGTATCCCAAAACACTTGAACTTGCTTTTGACCCACCAGTTGGGAAGCGGCAGCAAATTGCAAACTTCTTGGGACAGGAATTTAGACGTTGTATCTCCAGGGCCTTGATCAACTGGCTGTTAACCACATAGGTGCTCAAGAAATGTTTGCTTACTGAAGTTGTGACAAGGCAGCCATAGAAATTCATTGTGAAGTTAAATGACTTTAAGGTAGGAATATGTTAGTAACTACTACTAACATAGTTAGTTACAAACTACTCTTTGTATTAAAGTTGGAGTACTGAAGTTGCTTTCTTCCATTGTGTCTTTCTTTTACCAAATTTCATGTTAAAGATAAAGGGGGAATAGGCCAGCGCGATGGCTCACGCCTGTAATCCCAGCACTTTGGGAGGCTGAGGCTGGTGGATCACAAGGTCAGAAGATCGAGACCATCCTGGCTAACATGGTGAAACCTGGTCTCTACTAAAAATACAAAAAATTAGCCAGGCATGGTGGCACGTGCCTGTAATCCCAGCTACTCAGGAGGCTGAGGCAGGAGAATCGCTTGAACCCGGGAGGCGGAGGTTGCAGTGAGCCAAGATCACGCCACTGCACTCCGGCCTGAGCCAAAGAGCGAGACTCCGTCTCAAAAAAAAAAAAAAATTAATAAAAAAATAAGATAAAGGAGGAATAATGGAAGAAAGAAACTTGGGTATATCTTTCTGATTGGAAGAGAAGAAACTTTTGTTGCAAAGTGTGAAAGTGAATGCGTGTGTGTGTGTGTGTGTGTGTGTGTGTGTGTGTGTGTGTGTGTGTTTAACCTCCCCTAAGGCTAATTTCCTCCCATTCAGCGTCCTCCTTCAAGGAATTTCACTGTAGATAGTGGTAATAAATTCACAATTGGCATGTTCTCCTTGATAACAGTACATCTGTGATATTTCTCTTTGGTCTTCAAGGACCGTGATAGACCTGTAGAACAATCAAGCAAAACCACAGAAAGTCTAAACTTCAACAGTGCGATTTTGTTTAACACAGAGATCATTCTTTCTGTCTGAGAAGATTTTATAGACAAAGGAAGGAACAAATAGATTACAGGTTCCTTTTCTTCTTCTGTAAAACAATTTAACAACTTTCAGAGAATAGAGTGGTTAGAAAATAAACATTGCAGAAAGAGGTAAAAGGAGCACATTCTTATCCGTGACCACAGAGCTCTTTGGACTGGTTGGTGCCCAGCCAGGTGTCTGCCTGGGATGCCCATCATAATCCTGCTAAGTTGAGGCCGATGTGGTTCCGGGGATGCTCAGCCCTTAGCCACCCCATCGATTGCTTTTTTTGTTTGTTTGTGTTGTGTTTGTTTGTTTACCTTTAGTTGACAGTAATAAAAAAAATGAGGCAGCAGACCAGCAGGCGAGTGCGGGACAGACGGCTGCACAGTCTGGCAATGCTGCCTTCCTTCATTAGAGTCTGCTTGCCATTTTATAACAGTGTGCGATTTATTTCCCCTAAATCTGTTTTCGTCTTATGGGATTTCAAGTTAGAATGCATATCTAGAGCCCAGAAAGCACAAAATAATGATCCCGCCCTTTGGTTTTTGCAAACCAGGAAGGCTTTCTACTTCTTGTTAACTCTTTGTAGCCTGAAGGTAACTTTTTCTCTGTTCTTAAAAAGTATAAACATAAATCAGGGATTAGGATTTGAACATACTTGTAGGGGAGGAGTGCTTTCAGATATGGTTTATTTTAAACAGATACTCTCTGATTTTCTTTTTAGGTGTGGGACTTCTAAATATGTCACGAAACCTAGAAGGCTAGTTGTGAGTACACATATGAACTTTAAATACAACATCATTAGACAGTTAATTACGTTTAGTACAAGATGGTTGTTAACCTGAGATGCATCATTTGCAGTGATTTGGGGAGATTTTGGTGTGGAATGCATTACTTTGAATTATTTGTTTACTTATTTAGCATGGAATTCCTGGATATGTGACATGGGTTATAATGCCTTTTTAATTTCAGACAATATCCTTGAAAGAAAGAACTCGGGCAGCTTTCTAAAGTCTCAAAAACCCTCTATTTTTACTAGTTCACTAGCAGTGTAGTGTTGGGGCCACTTTTTCTTTAATTTTTTTTTGTGACAGTTTTAGGCTACTGAGATCCTGGAGGTCATGGTCATCACAGTGAAGCTAAGACTTGTTTTTTTCAGACAGTATGTATTTTTTAGTTGGTAGTTTCTTGAACTCACTGGGCACTGTGTGGGTTGACTTAAGATTGAGTAATTCATGCCATGGCTGTTTAATTTGGTGACAAGCTGGCTATGATCAGAGAACAAACTGTTAGGAAGTGGTCCAGTTTTAAGTTTGCGTGAGTATATAAGTGGAGTATTTTGGGTTCATTCATCTCTTGCCAGTCTTAGTTGTTAAGTAATCTTCTTGCATTCATATTTACATCATCCTCAGAATCTTGTGTTTCTGCCACTCTCATAAAAACTGACTCTGGTTTTTAAGGTAGAGCTTCATGCTTGGAATTAACCAGGAAAAACCTCATTTATATCTCCAGCAAGAGGGACAGAGGGCCTGCACTGTGTACTTGCTGCCAGAAGTTTTTATAGTAATACTTTGTATCTAGGCTCTGGCTCTTACCATTAAATGTGCTTTTTATAGAGTACCAAGTTATAAATGTAGTGCAGCTACGGCATATTAATCTTACTGCAGAGATTTAATGAGGCAGTTGTTTTGCGATGGACACTATTGGGAGCAGAGAGCGACAGAGTTTTACTTTACCACTGAGCTGCAGAAATATTCCTTGCCTGGTAATAATTATAACCACATGATCTCTTAGTTTTTCTTTCTTTTGCCAGTGCTTTTCCATGCAAAAGTGGCTTGGAAGGAGGTCCATTTTGAGGCAGTGAAATGGATTGGAAATTGGGCTGTTTTCTCAGTAGTTTGACATTTTAGCTTTGATCAGGCATGGGATCCTTGTTGCACAGAGAGAAATATGTAAGATGAGTTTCAAGAATACAGATAGTCTTTGCCAGTCCACTGAGATGGCTTTTAGATATTCATTACTTTTACTTGACTTTTATATAGGTTATAAAAAGTAAATGTGGTGAAACCTCATTTTTACATGGACAGAATAGAATTTCTGCTGGTTGGCCTTAAACTGATCCCACACTTGAAATTAATTGAAGTCCATGGGTTTATTGCCTCCAACACTTTTAAGCCAGTGCAATTTTTCATTTTCCCCACAGTTGTAATTTTATTAAAGCAAGTTATAGCAATAACAATTCTTATGAACAGGAGGATGAGACGAAGAAAAGAACCACCTGCCAGAGAACACAATCAGGGAAAAGAATGCTTCTTTTACATTCCTATTTATAAGTAATGTTAACAAAATTGGAAACAGAAAGCTGCCACTTACTTTTGTAATAATAATTGTGCGTGTGTTCCAAAATTCAGCATTTTATCCAATCAGAACGGTATAAATCCAGTGTCCCACAGCACCCTTTTCAGAGGATGAGGTGGAAAGTTGGTTGAGGAGGTGAGATCATTTGTGCTGAATGCAACATGTTTGCGCAGCATCATTTAGGGTAGGGGGAGAGAGAGTGGTGCCTGCAGCTATGACACAGTTTGTAGTTGCAGTGTAGAGAGTTTGGGGATATTTTAAAATATCACCCTTTGCGTGGATTTATAGCACAACAATGGAGTTGGAAGAACAATGATCCTTCCTGCAGTGGTGCTGGGGGCAGGGCAGTACTTACAGGCATGGACCTTGTATTTATAACCCCTTAGGTTGAAGTCAGAGGTTTGAATGGCTAGCAGAGTAATACAATTATTTTTTATGATTGGATCTCAAAGGACTTTATAAAAACTACATCACTAAGTCCATGTGCAATTATTGAAGTGTAGCCACCTGTGGGAAAGAAATGGTTGACAGTGTAAGCTTTCTAGAATCTTCCTACATCAACTGGCATTAGGGATGCAAACCCCTAGCACAAATAAACACATCTTTTGAATGGGCAAAAAAGAGTTTTTCATGAAAGTAGAGGCTGGAAAAATCTTACAAGGAGAGAGACTGAGATTCCAGTACTCATTACACCAAGGCATCATAGGCTATAATCGAACCCGCTTCCCAGAGGGTCCCTCTTAAGTGTTGACCTAAAAACAAATTCGCCAGTTGGCTGGAGCATGCATCCTAAAGTTGCAGCAGAAGTGAATAAGCTTGACTGACTTCAGTCCCTGAAGGGTTCTATCTGCAATTGCAGAAGTGGAAGCAAAACTATTTTTTATTAGTCTTAAAATGACCCTCATTTTAATAACTAGCCACAGTGTTGGAAGCATGGACTGGGGTCGGTTCTTCAGCTTTTGAGAGCGAAGCCATCATGCATTCTTCTATGTTTGTATTTTTGATATTGGATTCATGGAAAGTGTCCATATTCTTGAATAATAAGGAAAGTGAGTTTTTATCATTTTTCTCTGTATAGTACTTAAAGTATTCACAGAGTCTCCTTATTTAAAAACAAACAGGTCTGCAAACTGGATGTGTAGCATTTAAATAATCATATTAAAAATCAGACCTAACAGCGACATTTCCCTGAGTGTTATCAGTTTTTTTGAGAAACTAGAAACTCATGCTAAACAACCAAGAGTATTCATGAGTGCATACTGCCTTCCAATAAGTGTTTTAATGGTGTGGGGGTCAATTTGCCATAGTTGGGACTGTTATTTATTTTCCTGAATTGCTGTCTAGTTTGGCAGTGTTTCATCACTTGGTTTTAGTTTGTTGGAGATCTTTGAATCATTGCCATTTTTTTTTTTTTTTGCATCTGTTGCCCCAGATGAAATATTTGAGAGAAGCAAACCCAAATGTGGTGGGTCCTGTAGTATCAGCTTTGGAAAATGTAGGCATGCTGGTGCTTTTTACTTTACAGGTAACTGGTCTGTTCCTGTTTACAGAAAAAATACTGGTAAAGGACTTTTAAAGGTAGTCTCTATTTTTTTCTCCTTCCGTTTCTCACCATCACTAAATAATATTTACTAAACACTCACCTGGACATAGAACTCTGCTTGGCAGAGTACAAGACAAATGCAAAATCCCTGTGATTACTCCCCCAGGAATGAGCAGTCTAAATCCTGGTATACCGAAATGGGCACTGTGTAGAATGTTGAGATAATAATTTTCCAGATGGCAAATCAGCCCAAATTACCAATGTACTTAAACAGTGTGTTAATTTTGAAAAAACCCAACAAACAAAACTACGTGCTCTTTGAGATGGGAATTTTGCTTTTTTTTTTTTAAGAACCCAAGAGATTGTCAGATACATGGTGATATAAGTTGATTTTGGCATATGTGAATCGTTGGAAGGGTGGTGATATAGTTGTTTATTGAAGATGTGAAGGAAAGCTCTAGAACAACTGCCAGACAAGAAAGGAGTATAAGTGACTTGTAGAAGAAGCATTCATAGAAACGTGCTATGTGCAACATAGCAGAAAACAATCTCAGAGAGCAGGATATTGGTGTGGCGTTCATGGACTTTTTTGAGAAATACTTGGTTATTTTTGATTCTGTGGATTCTTGATTGTAACATTTAATGAAATATCTAAAGTGTTAAATAGCTGGGCATGGCAGTGTGTGCCTGTGGTCCCAACTACTTGGGAGGCTGAGGCAGGAGGATTGCTTGAGGCCAGGAGTTGGAGGCTGCAGTGAGCTATGATAGTGCCTATGAATAGCCACTGCACTTCTGCTTGGGCTGCCTAGTAAGACCCATCTCTAAAAAGCAAAATTAAAAACATTGAATATATTTGTATTTAAATTATCATATTTATTGTAGCCATTAAAAGTAATATTGTAGTCATATAAAAATGTGGCTACAGATAATGCCTTACGTATTTCTTAGGTATCTTGATACAGTTATTTTGTAACCATTTCATTGACTAGTCAAGGCCTTATAGAAAATAGAAATCTCTAGTTTAATTTTACCGTATTTTGAGATATAGTTTATTTATGACTTTGGAGGAGTTTTTGCTACTGGAAATCAGTGACCCATAAATTCAGTCACTGATTGTATTATCCCATTATCTTAATTTCCCCCAAAGAGATACTCTTCAGCCCCCTCCCCACACAGTTCCTTTCTTCCTCCCTCTTTGGGAGGAAATGACTCAAAGGACAGCGTAACTAATCAAAAAGCGTTTATTGAGCTCTAAGTAAAAGCATTCCACGTGCTTTTCTCTCCCCGCACCCCCACATCTCTCCCTGCTGTTTGTGTATCATTTTTAGGGTGAAAATGGAACTATTTTTAGTTTTCACAACATTTAGCTTTTCAACATTGGTAATGCCAACTCAAGTTGTTGACTTCATTATTATTTATAATTGTTTTTCATATATCTTATTTCACTTTTTTGGATAATTTTGAAAACAAGAGACATACATTTACACTTGAGTTTGCATTTGTAAGAATGTTTTGCCATGTGATACAGCTTATTTTGCTATCACTGTCTAACAAATAATGGAGTAGCTGTGTGTTTTGACCAGTTTATAAGTAAAGGTCAATTTTGTGCCTATGGTAATTGGCTTAGCTTATTCTAGACTTTTGGCTAATTCTGGTAATTTCCCGTGAAAGAGTATATTTAGCAGAAAAAGAGTTCATTCTTAAGCACAGTGGGGGGGTTTTTTTTTTTTTTTTTTGCATTGGAGACTGTTTAATTTTAAAAGTGATTTATCTCTTTTAAGCGAAAACTAAAAGGCTATGAAAAAAATGGTAAAGTCAGTCTTAAGAGTGGGTGAGTGATTTGATGGGAGAGAGAGGAAAAGGGCTACATGGTGGGGAAAGGGAAGAAGGCCTTTGATAGTCACTAACTGAATAATTTTAGGAGAGGCTCACTTTTGATTCTCCTGTAATAAAATCTGCAATGAAGCCCTCCTATTGCAACTTCAAGGAAAATGGTGTTTCTGTTTTTGGTAGCAAGAAGATTAAATGTTACTTTAAAAGAACCTGTCTTTAAACCCCATACTTACAGTGTTGATATTTTTCAGACCCCAACTGTAAACTTGAAGACAAGACTGAAGATGGAGAGGCACTAGATTGTAAGAAGAGGCCGGAAGACGGGGAGGAGTTGGAAGACGAAGCTGTGCACAGCTGTGACAGCTGCCTCCAGGTGTTTGAATCGCTGAGCGATATCACAGAACACAAGATTAATCAATGTCAACTGACAGGTAAACAATACTTATCACTTTTTTGTCTTCTTGTACTGTTCTATTTCTGATTTTTTCAGTTTGTTCCTTTATGTGTTTTTCTCTTCAAATTATTTTATTCCTACATTTGAATACCTAGCTAAGTCTAGAGGTGCTTTTGAAAGAATTCTGAGATGGTTGTTTGGGGTAACCTCAGTGTCACAGCCCTCTTAGATTTTGAAATGCACCTAAATGTCAATAGCTAATGAGTGTATTTTCCTTTTTGCTTTTTTTTACATGATGCCATTTAGGAGCAGAACATGAATATTGGATGACTAATATATTTTAAAAATCCTTTGAATACCTTTTCAAAGACAGCATGAGAAATGAACATGTTAGCTTAGATAACACTTCCTGAAGGAAACCTTTTCTGATCTCCCTCTGCCTGAGTTAGCCACATTTTTTTGTGTTCCCATAAAGTTCAATACTTATCCTTGAGCACCACAGTTCTCACTGGGTATGTTCATTTTTCCATCTCACTCGTTAGACTGAAAGCTCATGGATGGCTGAAACTGTGTCTTATTCATTCTCGCATTATCTAAGCCTAGCACAATACCTGGCCTATAGTAGGTACTCATTAAGGCTGGCAAGTTATTCTGCTATGCAGTTCCTTGGAAGAGTCAGATTTAAAGTAACATGTTGCATAGCATGTTTGATGTAATGGCTAAATAAAACTGGGACTCAGTTTACCAAATATCTACCCCACTTAAAATATATCCTACAAGAATGCATCTCTGAGCCTGGGTAGGGCATTTTAGATAGAACTCTGTAAGATACACATCATTCTGCTCTTTCTGTTTGAAGCTGATGCCACTCCTATGTGTGTGTATGTGTGTGTCTCTCTTTCTCTGCCTCTTATTTTCCCAACACAAATCTTTCTTCCATTAAGCGAGTATGGGAAATGTGTTTACTGGACAAGTGGTTCTCTGACTGTTTTCCACAGCATATTCATATTTTTATAAGATTTTAAAGTGTGTTCTATTTTAACAAGGTTTTCTGAATGGATTATTGTGGAATGTTGGATTAAATCCATTAAATAGGCTTCTTTATTAAAAGTGCCTTGTGGCTCTTCTCTTCAAAGAGGGATTACAGTGAACAAGTTTATTAGGCCCCAGAATCATCTTCCTTTCAGAAAACCCATAAACATTTTCTGGAACTGAAGTTTGAGAATTGATGTTGCTTATATAAATATTGGCCATACATATATATTTTACAGTTTATATATGCTTCTAGGGAGCAACTTTTATTTTGATACAATTCCAAACATACAGAAAACTTGAAAAAATAATATAAGGAACTTCCATATCATTTACCTGATTCATCAGTTGCTTACATTTTTCTCCATTTACTTTATTATTCTCTTCTTCCCTCTCCTATAGCATCTCTTTCTTAATCATTTGAGAGAAAGTTGGAGACATCATCACACCTCTATACATATATCCTTTGTATTTCTGAAGAACAAATCTATTCTCTTACATATCTATAGTATACTTACTGAAACTGAGAAAGTTAGCCTTTAGGCCAGGCGCGGTGGCTCACACCTGTAATCCTAGCACTTTGGGAGGCCGAGGCAGGTGGATCATCTGAGGTCAGGAGTTCAAGACCAGCCTGATCAACATGGTGAAACCCCGTCTCTACTAAAAATAAAAATTAGCCGTGCGTGGTGGCACGTGCCTGTAATCCCAGCTACTCAGGAGGCTAAGGCAGGAGAATTGCTTGAACCCGGGAGGCAGAGGTTGCAGTGAGCTGAGATCACGCCATTGCAGTCCAGCCTGGGCAACAAGAACGAAACTCTGTCTCAAAAAAAAAGAAAGTTAACCTTTAACACAAATAGATACTACTATCTAATTCACAATCCATATTTAAATTTCAGCAGTTGTCTTAATAATGTCTTTGGTAGCTATTTTTTCCCCTCATCCACGATTCAGGATCATGCATAACATTTAACTGTCATCTCTTTTACCTCCTTTAACCTGGAATGTTCTCTCAGCCTCTGTCTTTCCTGACCATGACATTTTTGAAGAGAAGCTACCAGTTAGTTTACAAAATACCCATCAATTTGGGTTTGTCTGATGTTTCCCAAGGATTAAATTCAGGTTTCATAGGCTCCTGTAGTATTCAGGCTCCAAAGAAGCCTGAATCACCAAAGAAGTGATATTGCACCCTTCTCAGTGCATCAGATCAGGAAGTACATGATGTTAGTTTGTTACCATGTTGATGTTGTTAACGATGAATGTTTGTTTAAGGTGGTATCTGCCAACAGTTTCCATTATAAAGTTACCATTTTCTCTTTGTATATGGTTAATAATTTGTGGGAAGATAACTTTGATACTATATAAATATCTACATATTCATAAAATGTTTACCCACTGTTTCTTTCTTTTTTTTTTTTTTGTGATGGAGTCTTGCTCTGTTGCCCAGGCTGGAGTGCAGTGGCGTGATCTCTGCTCACTGCAACCTCTGCCTCCTGGGTTCAAGCGATTCTCCTGCCTTAGCCTCCCAAGTAGCTGGGACTGCAGGTGCATACCACCATGCCCAGCTAACTTTTTGTACTTTTTAGTAGAGACAGGGTTTTGCCATGTTGACCAGGCTGGTCTTGAACTCCTGGCCTCAAGTGATGCGCCTGCCTCGGCCTCCCAAAGTGTTGGGATTATAGGCATGAGCCACCACACTCAGCCATGCTCACTGTTTTTATGTCTATTGCAAGTTCATAATTTATCTATTTGTTAGCCTACTGTTATATTCTTTCTTATTCATTTGTTTATTTGTATATTCATGTTACTGTCATCTCTTGGGTTTTTATTTTATTCAGTGGGTCATAATTCATTACTCTCATTGTATTGATACCCAGATTGCCATAGATCTAGCCAATGGGAGTCCCTTCAAACAGGATCCTGTATGTGTTTAATATGCCTCCATCATTATTTGAGAACTTTAGTTTCTGATGCAAATAGATGCTCCAGAATCATCATGGTCTTTTCTTGTCCTAGTCCTGCAATCAGCCAGCAATTTTTCTTTTCTTTTCTTTTTTTTTTTTCTTTTTTTTCTCCTGGTTCTTTATGAGGACAAAGGTATTTAGAAACCAAGATATGGATACTATGTATGCTCAATGCTATAGGTGTACCATTACTTATGGACTTCAGTAGACAGAAGTAGGAAATGTACATGCATACTTACTATAATATATAATACACTCATAATATGGCTCATAAAATTCACACATATACAAGTATATGCACATATGTGTATTTTTCTCTATCCAATAAAAACCATATGTTCATATTGATACCTCCCATTCAATTCAGTACCTCAGGTACATCCTAGTCTTTTTCCTTGGTGTATTTCTGCTGCCTTCTGTAACAGAGAGAAACCTGGCTTCCATTATCCTTATTAATATGTTTACTCATTTGCCTGAGCCTAGAATATACAGTAAGTAGTTTCAAAATTGCTTGCTGATACCACCATGATAGGCAAACTGAGTTTAATATTTGTTTATAATTGTTAATGCTGTAATTTTTAGTGCCACATTTACATACAGTGAAATTCATAAATTATAAGTATATAATTTGGTGAATTTTGGCAAAATAAATACACCTATGTGACACGCCCTTCTTAAGATATAATTTCTTTCATCCCAGAAAGTTCCCTCATGCTTCTTTCTGATCAATAATGCTCCACTAGAAGTAACCAGTTTTTGAGCTGTTTTAACCATAGATTCATTTTACCTATTCTAGAACTTCTTGTAAATGAAATTGTACGGCGTGCACCCTTTTTTTGTGTGTCCAGCTTCTTTTGTTCAGCATAATGTCTATGAGATCCATTCATATTGTTGTGTATATAAGTAGTGTGTTTTTTATTGCTGTGTAGTATTCCATTATATGAACATATCATTATTTGTTTTACATTCTCTTGTTAGTGGATACTTTATTTTTAGTTTTTGAGTATTATGAATAAAGTTCATAATAGTCAACCTTCTATATGGATCTTTTTGTGGACATATGTTTTATTTCTCTCGTTAGGAATAGAATTGCTGGGTCATTGGGTGAAGGGCATGAGATATGATATGTTTAATCTCTATTAGAAACTTCCAAACCCTTTTTCAAAAACTCCCACCAGCAGTAGATGAGAATTCTGGTTGTCGTACGTACTTGCTAACATTTATATTATCCGTCTTTAATTTTGACATTCTGTTGGGCATTTATTGGTATTTTTTGTGGATTTTCTAGCTCATATATATTTAATTGACTTCATTTAAGGTGTATTTTTCCTAGAACATATCATTTTGGGAAAATCCCATTAAATGCAGATGATTAGTAAGATGCCATTTTCAGTAGAATAACTGGTGCTTTAAACAAAGCTTTGCTCACGTAGAATCAGCACTAACATTAGGATAAAGACATGGGAACTTCAGCGTTCCCACTGGACTGACATGACAGTGTATATTCATCTAGCAAGAAATCATGGCTTTGGTAAGAGTGGGTCCTCTCTCATGTTACAAGTTATTTTAAAATTCATATAATTTAGAAAACAACCTTCAAATTCTGCTTGGTAAGTGGTTAATTTTTACTGAGTGCGTGCCCTATAGTTATTCTTATGTTCAGCTCTATAAAATTGAATCGAAGCAAAAGGCATTATTCCTGTCTCATACAACTTTAATAATACCTGTGCAGGAAGTGCTGAATTTTCCACACATGGTATGGCAAAGATTATGAGTTACATTTTTTAAAAAACTGGTAAAATGTTTGGTTTATTTTGGTCTGAAGCTTTCTGAAAGTAGGGAATCTGTTCTGTGGTCACATACTACAGCAGGTTAGTCAAAGGTAGAAAAGTAGAGGCCGGGCGTCGTGGCTCATGTCTGTAATCCCAGCACTTTGGGAGGTTGAGGTGGGCAGATCACCTGAGGTCAGGAATTTGAGACTAGCCTGGCCAAAATGGTGAAACCCCGTCTCTACTAAAAATACAAAAAAGTTAGCAGGGCATAGTGGCGCACGCCTGTAGTCACAGCTACTTTGGAGGCTGAGGCAGGAGAATCGCTTGAACCCAGGAGGCGGAGGTTGCAGTGAGCTGATATCGTGTCATTGCTCTCTAGCCTAGGCGACAAGAGTGAAACTCTGTCTCAAAAAAAAAAAAAAAAAAAAAAAAGTCTTACTTGCCACTTGTTGAAGCACATGTCCAGAGAGAGTTATCTGATGGGTCTTGTTTTCCTGTTTATTGTTGTTCAGGATTATTTCTTTGGGAAGGTGGTAGATTCGGGAGGCAAAGTGTAAGTGGAGGCCAAGGAGGAAGCGAAAAAAAGGGAGAAATGAAATCAGGAACGATCCATGTTTGTTGAAGGTGTTAATGGTGTAGCTTGAGTTGCCTGAAGGTTGCCCTCCAGTCTGATCTGGAAAAGATTAAAGACACTTGGAAGCATTTTAATTAAAAAAGTAATATGATGCTTTTGCTTTCTTGCTTGGTTAAAGCCTTTTAGTGTAAGTTGGGAGGTCTGACAGTTCCAGTGTTGGCTTCCCACTGCTTGAATTCTCTTCTTGCTGCTTCCCCACCCCCCACCCCCCACCCCTGGCTGACAAAGTGCTGGATTTAGCAAAGGAAGGTATTTTTATATATACATTTTTTTTTTGCCTCTTGGTTTTATTACTTTTTTCTTTCCTTTTTTTTTTTTTTTTAAATTCGTTTTACCTTTTAATTTCATTCAGCCCCATTTGCATCTTTGCTGATTTTCCTCTCATTCCGGTCCTTTCTCCAAGATTCTTAATTTCCCTGTCCATATTTTCCCCTTTCCTTTCTCCCTGCCCGTTCCATGGTCTTATCTTGCTGCTTTCTCAATTTATTCTTTGTTGCTTGTGGATTCCCTTCTATTAATCTTGAAGTCGTTACTGACATGTTTGGCCCTATACCAGCTAGACCATTGCCTGAAGACTTTTTGATGAACAATCTGTGTAAAGAAAGAGGGAATCCTGAGCAGTGTGCTAGAGGGTTAATTATAGAGTATGATTAGAAGTGAAAGCTATCTTACAACTTGTTGATTTGCAAAATAACAGAAAAGGGATATATTCTATGTGCTGATGCCTATGTGGGTTACTCAGGGTAGTTCTGTTATGAGAGAGCCATAGAAACCCTGTCTTAGGTTCTTCCCTTCTTTTAACTGAGGGTTTTCTTGGTAACTTAAGATCTGTTCCTTTGGTGACTTTCATCCCCAAGGGTGACGCACATTCCTTGGAGAGCCTGCCTTGATGAAAACCTATTCACTCCGTATCAAAAGTCTTGAAACTGAGCCAAGGCCAAACGAAGCCTTTGGAGATGAAGGTCAAATACAGAAGAACAAGATGATCAATTCTAGACCCAGATTTGAAAGTCAGCTATAAGATTATGTGCCAGGTAAAATAATGATTAGCTGTCCACGTGGACTGAAATTTTAGACAGTGGATCCTGCAGGGATAAAGAAAATGCGAGCTCACACACACCTCATGGAGTCTGTCACTGAGAGGATATTCTAGTATTTGCATATTTTTCTGGACAAGCATCCTTGTTCTAAGAAAGAACAGAACAGTCCCTGAAGATAGCAAAGGACGTGGTGACACTCACAGATGAGTTCTCTCTCCTTTGTCTCATGGTGCAATTTTCCTGGAGTCTACAGTCCAACATGTATAAGTAAGTTATGTATCATCCCTGCTTGAAGGAATAGGGGGAAAGGTGAAAGAAAAAATTAAGTCCCTCTCTTCAATTTTAGCAATAGATGGAAACCACCTGTCTTGCCCCAGCCTTGCTGTCTTTTTCCTGGAGGCTAAGAAGGCAGGGGAATCAACACTCTAATGCTGTTGGGACTCTCTGATGCAGAAGACAGATTATCAAAATATATATTTAAAGAAGGAAAAGCACAGAGAACCTCTCATTTTACTAATCCACAAACCCTATCATTTCTTGCCAATTCCCTCAGGGGGTGGGGAGGGCTGGAAGCCAGAGGGGTCTCATCACACTGCTCAACAAAGATTTAATAGCAGGGTGCTATGGGGAAGGCTGAGATTACAGAGACTTTGTTATGCTTACAAAACTGAGTAAGAACTAGTATTGTAAATCATCAAAACTAAGCTACACTTAACAGGATAAATGTATAAAGTGCATTTGGTAATACTCTATGCTTGTTGTTCTGAGTCATTTTTCTCTTCTCTCCTGCTAATTTGCAAACTTGAGTTGTCTGTTAAGTGTTCTTTCACATCATTAATGTGAATTGCCTGGGCATAATCGCAGAAAAAACTAAATAGCATTGTGTTAGTTCTTAACCCTCTGGTCTACCATACTATTGGTAGATGAGTGTGTAGAAATATGTGTGGTAGTAATTCTGCTGTAGCTTTGGGGAACATTTGTAGACCAGATATATAAAGCCCTACCCAGGGTTGTAGCTTCTTTACAAATATTCTTCCTGTTCACATTTTTTAGGAAAATGAACTGAATTGATGAGTGGATGTTGTTCGTCAGTGTAAAGTAGTATGTCCATTTAATTTTGTTTTAAATCTTATGAAACTTCCTGGAAGCTTCATACAATTTTTGTAAGCTGAAAACTTTTAGACATCTGGAATATCCTTATTATTTGGCCAAAGAATTTTTTTAAATGTGAAAGTGAGTATACATGTGTCATATGGTTGTGGCAAATTAAAGACTGGTTCATTCCAATGAACAATAAAGTGCTCTAACAGCTAGTTCTGTTGGCAGTGGGAATAAGGGAGATGAGTAGTTTACAGAATGAAGCATCGTTTTCATAAAAGCAGATTGAAACTGCTTAGAACCTTTTTTTTTGCTGTTTTCCTTATCAAACCATTAGTTGAAATAAATTACATGAAATAAATGTGATATTTCAACTTTTTAGTTCATATTAATTAGGCTTAAGGCATTATAAGTTTTATTTGCATATTTCTATATTAATTTCTATATTAATTCATTATTCATACTTTGTTATTAATCATTTAAGTGTTATTAATTTATGTTTCTATATTAATTAGGCTTAAGGCACTATAAGTTTTATTTTCCTGTTTCCTTCCATTTTGATCAGTTCCTCATTTTGTACCTAAAGTATGTCTTTTTTTAGCCTACTTCATTCTCCAAATCTCCCTAAGCCCCCAAAATGCAGTTTCATGGCCTCCATAGATTCCATTCTCCAGCCCATCTCTATATGCATTTTACTTTTAGACTAGTGATTTCTAAATGCACTGTCATAATATGTATTTACTAATACATTACATACATACATGCATTATACAACATTCACAAAAACAGAAATTAAAAAATTAGGTAAAGATGAAATAAACAGGGTTTAAAAATAATTTTATGTTATTTTGGTAATTCATTTTAATGGCTGTTAAAACTGAAAAAAATACTTCACAAAACCTCCAGAGAGAATGTATGTTATTCTTTCCCATGAGGTTGTTATCAGTGGTGGGTATAAGTTCATATTTCAAAGAACTTTCCTGATAATCTCACTTCTGTGCTTTTGTTTTGCCAACTTTCAGTCAGCTCTGATGAAACGGTTTCTCCCCCTCCCCTTTCCCTTTCATATGGTAGGTGACAAGGAGCTTTTACTTGGTGTGAAAGGGCCAGATTTGCTGTTTTCTTGTTGATTACTTGTGCTTGACTATCAGTATCCTGCAGTTTTTTTTTTTGCAGAAAACTTTTAAAAATCAGTTGTCAAAATCTGAGGATTTTGCATGAATTAGATTAGTTAAAATTAAATATTCTGATCCGTAAGTCCAGTTTGCTGGACACTGTAGACTGCATTAGTATGAGATGGGATAAAAGGGGCTGGAGAAGCCAGCCCACCCAGCTGACTGGAGTACTGTTTATCTCCTTGCTCTCAGGAAGGTCTGGTTAGTACCTGGATGGCTATTTCTGATTGGTGTCCGTTCTGATTGGTTTCTGACTATTCAGAGTATCCTCTCTCCTGCACGATAATGTACCCTGTATTTCAGAGACCACTGTTCTTGACTATCACTTATTTCATGAGGTGAAAAACGGCTCACCAAATCTTTGCTCCTCTCAGTTTTAGAGAAAGTGGTGGGGCTGAGTGTGTCACTTTGTTCAACTGTCAGGGCTCCCACCAAGTTCTTCCATGCAGTTACCAAAGACAAAGTGATCATCTATAGTTGGTTCCAACTTCTTTTTTTTTTTTTTTTTTTTTTTTGAGACGGAGTCTCGCTCTGTCGCCCAGGTCGGACTGCGGAGTGCAGTGGCGCAATCTCGGCTCACTGCAAGCTCCGCTTCCCGGGTTCACGCCATTCTCCTGCCTCAGCCTCCCGAGTAGCTGGGACTACAGGCGCCCGCCACCGCGCCCGGCTAATTTTTGTATTTTTAGTAGAGACGGGGTTTCACCTTGTTAGCCAGGATGGTCTCGATCTCCTGACCTCATGATCCACCCGCCTCGGCCTCCCAAAGTGCTGGGATTACAGGCGTGAGCCACCGCGCCCGGCCTGGTTCCAACTTCTGAACCATAGGCTGAGTATGCTTCCTTTTCCGGTTTTGGAGGTAAGGTCAGTTCAATCATTACCTAGTATACAAGCTTTGTTATTTCCACATTGATTTTGCTGCAGCAGAAGTTTTTGAATATTAGTACCTGGTCTGCCATTCTCTTCTTGATATATTTGTAAAATTCGCTATCAAAACATGGATATAAAATAATTATTTTTAGATCTGTTATTTTCTCAAAGCTCTTTGAATGCTTGTGGGTATTGTAATTGGGATTTATGAAAGGACTGTCTGTACTGATGAATATGTTTTCCCAGTATAAGTGATGATCTATTACATTAATTAACTTATTAAAATTAAAAAGTTTGGATCTTGAAAGGGTAATATAAGAAACATTTCTCTGTAATTTTGATGTCCATATTTTATTAGGCATTTTTACTTTTAGCCTGCTTGAATAACTGGTGATTCACAAGAAAGCTACTGATTATGAATGAAAAGTTCTTGAAGGATGTAATCTCCTAGAAATAGAAAATAAATGAGTCTATTCACTTTAATTTTTACAAGTAAAACCTAAGTGGAGAATATCTTATATTAGTTTTAACTGTATTCATAAATCACCTGTTTCTTGACTAATTTGAGTTTTTAAAAATTAAGTCTTTTGAAATGAATAGAATTCAAGAAGAAAATTAGCATTATTTGTCTGTAAATTGTTTTGCCTTAGTTGTGTAATGAATAATGAATATATAATGATCTAACTGTGGTTTCAGGATTCATTTGCCAAAAATTGTAAATAAAATGTCAAGAACACAAGCCATGGGAGAATATCTTCAAGAATTTCTCCCATGTCCTTGATGGTCATTGATGGTAATCAAAGCTGTCAGTTTGTCCGTGTGGAGAAGTATAAAAATTATAAATGAAGGGCTCTATTTGGGATGTGGAGACAGTGGGGTCTCTTTTGTGGGGAAGATGAATTAAAAGAGACCCACTATTTCTTAGGCCCTCTGCAGTCATTTGGTCTATCTTGTAAGCACCAATGTTTAGCTATTTGGATACAGTTGTGTGCACATAAGGGCTCTGCTACCTTTAACATGTTTTCAAATGTGAAATTCAACATGATAAAACTTAAGAGGTTGAATTTTTTTTTTTTTTTTTTACATTTTTGCTTGACTCATGTTGTTTTTCATGTTCTCTACTTACGATGCTCGTGACCTTTATCTGTTTCCTTTTATAAGGAGTGGGTTACTAAAAAAGCTGTTAAAAGTAGACTATTTCCACACCCTTCTCTTTGTGCTAAGTCTGTGTTTGGGGATCTTGTCTTTAGGGAATGGTAGCAATGTCACAGAGATCTATGACCTCTTAATAGGTCTTGGGAGGGGAAAGCAGGAATCATTCTACACTGTGCCTCAGGGCTTAGTTCCTTTAAACTTCAAGGAATTGGACTGGAACTCTTCACTCCTCCTTTCTTTCGGTTTTACCTTCAGGGGAAATTGATCGATTAGAGGTGATTATTCCACAAACTCTGAACCCTTTCCCCATCTTTGTTCCAACTGGAGCTTCTCAAAGTTTAAAGGGATTGTGTCTCCTGGGTGAATTGTAGAATGAATTTAAGTAGGTTATTGGGCAGAACTCTTTGAACACACATTAAAAGTGCTAAAAAATATATTTGGAACAGAAGAAAATATTTGAAGCAAAAGGGTAAGGAAACATTCGTTTCAATATAATTATAATTTAATTATATGGGTTATTTTTGAGCAAAAGATTAGCTGTTAGAATGTAGAATCATAGTGCTTCAAACCAAGAAAATAACAGGGTCAATGCAACAAATGGGCAAATGTTCAAAATCTGAAGGGTGAGTAAGAACCCAATAGGACCAAAGATAATCATAACTGATTGGGCGTATATATGTCCTCTATTAAACACAACAATATTCTATTAATTGATGGCTTTCACTATTTTTTTCAAACTTAATGAGAAAGAATATATACCTATTCTCTTTTGTTTTCTTTGCATGTATAATATATATGCCTTATGGACACTATATCATCTTTGAAATATATTTAATACCACATCAATTTAATCTTTTCCCTCCCTCTTTTTTTTTTTGTTTTCTGTTTTTTGTTTTAAATCTGACTCTTAGACTCTACCTACTTATAGAGCAGAATTAGCTCCCCCTGGTGACTAATTAAAAATGTAGACAAGGATGTTTGGGGTCATGAGCTTCCTTAACTTCAACCTTTAAATGCATAATTAATATTAGTATGTGTATAGTAGGCATGTACACTGAACTATTTTTCAAGTAAAAATTCCAATTAGTCTTGAGAAATGCTGATTTTAATGTCAGTTTATCTATGTAATGAAGACTCATCCATCTTATGTGGCTTTCTTGGAGTTGTGCCCATTTTGATGACCTCAGACATGTTGGTTTTCTGCTGTGGGAGATACTAGAATAGGAGGTAGATATTCAGATCTCTTGTGAACTAGTAACTGGTTATAAAAGCAGAAAATAAAAGTAAGAGCAGCCATCAACTTACCTATCTCTATCATTCTTGCAAAATAAACTTTTATAGAAAAGATTGTCATTGTTAAAAAAATTTAAAAGAAATATTGTTTTAGAAAAAGCACTATTATACATTCAAGCACTAAGATATATTTTTTTGGTTGTGCCAACAAAACATTTTTCCATTTAATTTATGAATTATTTAAAGTGTATATTTTTATTACTCAGATTGCCTTTAAACTTAACTTCTTCTGTTTTATAAAACTGTTCCCCCTCATAATTAAATTATCAGGTTGACAGACTCTTGAGAATGCTTTTATAATCTTTTTAAAAAGAAATCTGTCAAATCTATTATATACTTACTATTTCTTATACCTAATTTTATTTTCTATGCAAAATATTTGCTTTTCACCAGTGTTTTATGCTGGTTATTAAAAAGCCATGTCTTGTGGCTGTATGGTCTGGTTTAATATTTATATTCAATATTACATATATTATCCTGCATTTAAAGGGAAAGATTTACAGTTTTATGTGAGAGCTCATATTTGAGTTGCTCCTTTGTTCCTCTTGTTCTGAATAGTTTTCTACACTTTTCTGCCCCTCTCTTTTTGCTTTTCTTCCTTTTCCAAGGCCACAGTTTTTGGGTACAAGCCTTAGTCCATTGATTTGTTCATTTCTTTTGTTTTTCCACCAAAGTGTCTCTCTGTTGGGAGAAAGAATACCATCTTCTAACCTCAATCATTTCTTACCATCACCTTCTGTGGCCTGCAGAAACCTAAGCGGAGCTTCTCTTGGCGTTATTGATACTATTTTGTCACTTGGACTGAAGCGATGGTTATGAAGCAGATTAGATGAACACAGCATCCCCTTCCCCCAGTTAATTTCTGCCTCCTTCCATTACCGCTAACTTCCTTCTGCAAGCAGTCTGCCTGCCCTTTGCAATTCATTAGTCCCAGTGCCTAGCAAAAGAGCAAAGAACCATGCTTTGCTTTAAGTTTTGCTAATGGTCACTCACAGATGGAGCTTAAGTTGGTGCCTGACAGCTATATAGTGATAGCTTTCTTCTTATGAACACCAGACTACAACTGACAAGTACTTAATAATATAAATATTATTATATTGATTAGATACTGCAGTTTGGCCTAATAAAATGTGAAGTTTAAGGCACCATTTCTTGCTACACTAAGAAGACCATCCACAAGTAATGAAATGAATAGCACCTCCCAGTAGTGTGTTTTCCCAATACCACTATGCATTCATCAGCAATTCAGTTCAATAAACATCTACTAAGATCCTACTCTTTGACCAATAAATCACTGGAATAGAGGTTCCAGCATATTCTGAGAAAAAAAATAATTTTGGAGGGGCTGTGGCGGGTGGGGGGGGGGGGATGTCATTAAGGCCAACTTGGCACATTGGGGTGGTTTCCTGGAGCACATGATGTCTTTGGTGATGAGCAAGAGTTAGCCAGGCCGAGAAAGGGGAAGAGGTGCTTCAGGTCGACAGAAGAGAAAGAATAGGAAAGAGGTATGAAGCAGCATAGAATCTGCTGGGCAATTTTAAGCTGTAGAAAATGTGTAAGATGGAGAATTAATGAGAGAATAAGAATGTATTAGTTATTCATTGTTGCATAATAATTATTCCAAAAGTTTTTGTATAAAAACAACAGCCATGTATTTTCTCAAAGTTTCTATAGGTCAGGAGTTTGGCAGCAGCTTTTCCCGGAGATCCTAATCCAGAGTTTCTAATGAGGTTGCCATCAAGGTGTCAATCAGGGCTACAGTTACCTGGTGGCCTGGATGGGGCTGGGGTATCCACGCTTTTTTTTTTTTTTTTTTTTTTTTTTGAGATGCAGTCTTGCCCAGGCTGGAGTGCAATGGCGTGATCTCAGCTCATTGCAACCTCCGCCTGCCGGGTTCAAGTGATTCTCCTGTCTCAGCTTCCTGAGTAGCTGGGATTATAGGCATGCACCATCACGCCCAGCTAATTTTTATATTTTTAGTAGAGATGGGGTTTTGCCATGTTGGCCAGGCTGGTCTTGAACTCTTGACCTCAGGTGATCCGCCCACCTTGGCCTCCCAAAGTGCTGGGGTTACAGGCATGAGCCACTGTGCCTGGCCTGGGGTATCCACTTCTTAGCTTAATTGTGTGGCTTCTGCCTGAAGACCTATCAGGAGGCTTCACTGCAAGGGCCTTTCTGTAAGGTAGCTCTTGACATGGTAATTGGCTTTTCTCAGAATAAGTACTCTGAGAGAGACAGACAGACAGACAGCAGAGAGAGACAGATACATCAATATGGGAGCTGCAGTGTCTTTTATGACTTCATCCTGGAAGTGGCATAACATTACTTCTGCCATATTCTACTGGTTACACAGATCAACTCTAGTGTATGAGAAAGAATTATACAAAGGCGTGAATACCAGGAGGTAGGGACCATTGGAAGCCATATTGGAGCCAGTTACTGCAATGAACCAGGAAAGGAAGGCAGGGTCTGGAAATGGGGAGGCAATGCCAAGAGCTTAAATTTGATTCTCTGGCCTGCATTTTTCAGACTGCTCTGAGGAACTTCACAGATATCACCCAGCTAGGGGTGGAGGTAGGGAGTTGAGTTAGCAGGGATTCTCCATTCCCTGCAACCAGCGCAGCCCAGGATGAATATTCAAGTCAGATTCCATTTGAGTTTTGAGTTTAGAGGTTTAAGAATGTTCAATAATTACTGTTTTAGGCAGTGGGTAACCATCAAAGATTTTATGCAGGGGAGTGAACACATATTCAGATTAGATTCTATTTTGCAGAGTTAGATTGGAGAAGGAACATTGTGGGGAAAGGATTTGAGATAGGAAGCTCTTGCAATTGTATTAGTAAGAGAAGACAGGATCAAAACCAGTGCAGTGGTCATAGGGTAGAGAGGGTGGCCAAATTCAATAAATATCTAGGAGGTAAAGTCATTCAGATGTAGTAATTGATTAGTTGTGTCTCTGAATTCCTCAGCTGTATTGGGTGGCCATCACTCGATACTAGGAAAAATAAAGAAGCAGGTTTGGAAGTTAGAATGGTGGGTTCCCTTTTTGCTTGTGTTAAATCTGAGATACTTTTCTGGGTAGAATTGTTTAAAGCACCAGTTGTGTACTTAGGCCAGAACCCAAAGGTAGACATCAGGCCACTTACATACTTTTTTTTTTTTTCTTGAATTGTGGTTTAGTTTTCCCTTTATGAGTTGTCTAAGTTTCTCTCCAGCCTTACTCCAATTTTTGTAACATTGTTTCTGATTCAGCTTTTTTTCTTTCTTTTTCTTTTTAGTAAAGAAGGATCTCTTCTTCTCAGATTGATTACTACTTATAAGGCCTCTTGTAGCTGGGATTGTTACAGCAAGTGGAAATGACACCCTACAAATCTTATCTGTAAAGGCAGGACATTTAAAGCATTAAGGCTGGCTAGTGTTCTTGTCTTTCAATATGAGGCATTTTGACATACAAGGTTTAATGCCTTATTGAAATCCAGCAAATGGAAGCTAAGAAGGGTGCTTTAGTCTCACAGGATTAGAGCATGTAGGGTTTTCTTTCCTTTTTGAAAAAATATACCAAGGTCCATCTCCATGGGAAATCTTATTACTAAGGAATTACTGGTTATGCCCACCTTTCCCCCCCAAAAAAGAAATTACCAGACAAATTTAATTTTACTGTTCATTGCTTAGAATCTGTGGCCATCTCGTGAATCTTAACAGGCTGCTTTTATATCTGATTTTCAGACTTGCAGTTTCCCATCATCTCCCTTCGTATTATTTTAATTAAAAATTCCATTAGCTTAAAAAAAATCAATGTAATCATTCAGTAGTAATTAATTCTTACCAATCTTCTAAAGGAGAAATGAATTAACAAAACTTCAAAATGTTCAAATGAGTAAAAAGTGTTGTGTGGTTAATGGGACTGGTAGAAATGTCAGTGTAATGGATAGAGGGGTGGGTTCTGGCAAATGGCTGACTAAATTGCAAATCTCAGTTCTCCCAAAGCTGGTTGTATGTCCTTAGACAGATTACTTAAATGTTTAATTGAACATTTACCTGTAAAGGTGATAACATTGCCTGCCTTTTGTGGTTGTGGCAATTAAATGAGCTGGTAGATGTATCATCATGGCAAGGTGTGTGGCACACAGTGAAGGGATGTGATAAACATTATCTATTATTAGTGTTAGTATTGTTGGTATTATTAAAGAAGGTAGTGTTTCCTGTAAGAGTAACTCACATGAGTCAGATTCCAGATTTGAATATCTTCCAGAATCCTGAGATATTTTGAAAGAATTAGTATGAGTTATTATTTGCCATTCCATCTTAAAATTCTTCCCTTCTAAAATTCAAAAAGAATTAATGTGTTATTGTTGCTAAGGGTAACTGGCCAAATGGAGGAAATGAAAATTAGTTTAATTGCATTCATTACATTTTTAGGAAGGTCTTGATGTCTAACATTCTTTAAATAAAGAATGTTATGTTTTAGGAATAAAGAAGAGAGACCCAGTTTCCCAAACCCAATGAATAAAATTAACGTTTTATTCTAAGTTCTATACAAAATATTAAAAATTAAGGCCCTGTCATCAGTTTTTAGCCTGCACATTGGCATATATAAGAAGATAGTCATGAATGGATATCACTAAAACATTTTATCCTTGTAGCTTATTTATTTAGTAACACAGAATTATCTATGCAACTTTTAGAATGGTTTTAAAAGATTTCTCGTTTTATAAATTAGCTCAAAAATTAGAAAATATATTAATCTGAGTTTAGTACAATGAAAAATATTGATACCTCATTTTTAGTAGGCAAGCGTAAGCATCATGGAATTGGTCTAGCTATAATAGATGTTCAGGTGATCAGTAGTTTGGAAATCATCTGGTCTAAGTGAGTTCATTTAAATATGGGAGATTTGTACTTTTGCTTTCTAGGAAAATAGTGCCTAAAGAAGTGCATTTGTGCGACAAATGACCATAAAGATAACTGCCTGTTTTTGCAGCACATCAAACATATTAAAGAACATACTTATAGTATATGTGTTAGTGTGTTTTGCTATATTCACATCTTTTGCTGAGCATTATGAGGGCACAAAAGAAATGTGAGTCATGAAACCTATTGCCTACAATCTTACTGTGCACTTAAGGCAAGCGTAAACACATGTACAGTATTTGACAATGACAGGTGTACCTGAAAATGTGTGTTGCCTATGGCAGTATATCATTATATACCAGAATGGCTAATATGGATGGTAAATTCTGTGACTCTTCAAAGAAGGGAGTGGCAAATGTTCACAGGAGCTGATAGGAGAGGTCTTGTGGAAGAGGCTGAAGGTGAACTCTGCCCAGAGTAATCATTGGGAAATTAAAGGGAAGGTGTGGGATGGAAGGGATAGGCAGGCGTTCAGGGTAGAAAATTGCAGATGGGTAAAAAGACCCCGAGGTCAAATTCTGGTATCGCCTCAGAAAATAATTTCATAAGCAGTAGAATTCTGTCACAACATTTGCACACTCAGAATATTGAAGAGTTCTCTGGGGGCACTGTGTGTGTAAAAAGTGCTGTAGGTTTGCACACACACAAAAAACCGAATGTAAAGTCAGTTACTAACCTGGAAATAATAAAAATCTGTTTCACATTAGGTTGTCTGATGAGCAGCTTGAAGAGAATCAGGTAGGGTAGAGTTTATGAACAACTGTTGGGAAGTGAGTTAGGTTGTGACAGTTTTAGAATATGCAGAATACAAGAATGTATGGACTACCACATCCAGTCTCTTAATTCAACAGAAATATGTTGAGCCTGTCTCAAAGAGACTGTATTTGATAGTAGCATCTTTTGCCTTAATGCTTTTGTTAAAATGTCATGAAGTGTCTTCAGGTGTAATTTTCATTTAAGTTTTATTCTTACTATGCTATGAACCTTTGGTGCTTATCAAATGTAAATTTTCTTCAGTGAAGGAAGAAATTACTAGCACAGCCATTAATAGTTTAATGAAAAGTCTTATTGCTTCTTAAAATTTGTATTTTCATGGTGATTGACAATTGTTAATTAGTTAATCCTCTGTCGGTGCTCATGAGGTAGGTCAATATTATCTTCATTATAAAATGAGAAGATTGAGAAATCAAAAACTTCAGTGAATTTCCTGAACAACCTATTTCTGTATTGACATGGCAAAAACAAATTGAGTTTACTCTCAGATTATTTTTTTAGTTAACCAAATATCTTTGTGTTGAATAATTGACTATCTCAGATATCTGTTCCTCCCTGTACAGTTAAAAATCCATTTATACCAAGTGTGAGTTTGGGCCCCAAAAAGTAGATTTGATCTATGAGCTTAGATGTCAAAGGTTGAAAGTAGCATTTGGATGAATTCACAAGCTAAATAATTATATATAATAGGAAACCCCAAAATAACAACAGCTTGAATTAGAAAGAAGTTTGTTTCAGGCCAGGCGTGGTGGCTCATGCTTGTAATCCCAGCACTTTGGGAGGCCGAGACGGGCAGATCATGAGATCAGGAGTTCGAGACCAGCCTGGCCAACATAGTGAAACCCCGTCTCTACTAAAACTACAAAAATTAGCCGGGCATGGTGGCGGGCACCTGTAGTCCCAGCTACTAGGGAGGCTGAGGCAGGAGAATGGCGTGAACCCAGAAGGCGGAGGTTGCAGTGAGCCAAGATTGTGCCACTGTGCTCCAGCCTTGGTGACAGAGCGAGACTCCGTCTCTCTCTCACACACACACACACACACACACACACACACACACACACGAAAGAAAGAAAGAGTTTCTTTTTTTTTTCACAGAATTCTAGAGATAAGCAGTCCAGAGCTGGTTTGGGAACTCAGTGGTCCTTTAGGCACCAAGACTTTTTTCTTGGTGCTCTGCTTCCTAGCACATGACTGCCATTGTCAAATAGGCTACAGTGGGTGCCAGAGTTCATGTCACCATGTCCTGTTGGAGGTTAGGAAAAGGAGGAAGGTAGAAGGGCTAACAGGCCCTGCTGCCTGAGTTGATTCCCTTTAAACAACCTTCCCATAAGTCCCATATTTTGAGGTGTGCAACTGATAGTGTCTCACACAATTAGTATATTTGAATATTTATATTTTACATTATTGTGTAACATTTTGTATTGCTCACGATTTTTTTCGTCTAATGTCATGTATTATTTAGAGTACTTGCTAAAACATAAGAGCTTTTAAATTCCCAATATGGGCAGACCTTTTTCTCTGGTTGATAACTTACATTCTTAAATTATTTAGCAAATAGCACATCAAATTTTCCCATGGAGAAACTGTTTTGAATCCAGGGCAGAACTGCAGTCTAGGACTCTGTGCTTTATCCACCTTCATTCTTTGTTTTGAATGTGTCATTACTCCTAGAGAGGAAAATAAGGAAACATCTTTATTATAGAAGTGTTTAATATAATCAAATCAGGCATCTTATGGATATATGACCCCAGGGAATGTTTGCCCAACCATGACATAGCACATGAAACTTCTGTGTACCCAACTGACCTCAACACTGTCTTATTTAACCGTGGGAACTCCACTTTCCAGGAAAGTATCACAAAATATGCTCCATTCTATATGTATCCTCAGAAATGGAGGCCAATTAGTGCAAGGCTTGTCGCACACCTGCTTTTGGGATGTGAGGTGTCACCTAGGTGCTAGCCTACCACTGCTAGCTTGAGCCATGGAACCACGGAGGTGGTGTGCCTAGGTAAGGGCTGTTGTGTGACCTGCCTGCTTCTTTACTGGTGTGCATGTCGTATGCCTCAGAGTGCTGCCACACACCTCTTTCTCTCACCTCTTTCTCCACAGCCTTTCCCAGCATCTATAAACAAATGGGTATTGGGAAAAAACGATACTAGATAATCCATGCAAATGAAAAAGCTTATAGAAGTAAGAGCTTTTCAATTGGATTCTGAAGAACAGAAGGTTGGAATGGAATGCTGAAGAATGGGGAGAGCCTTCAAGTTCCTTTCTATAAAAGGGAAATTGAGACTCATTGTCACTTAGTGATTTACTGGCTCTGTCATGATTTAGACATTGAACTTCTGACTCCAAGTCCAGTGTTGGTTTGCTACAATTGTTTCATCAAGGTGAAATCAATAATGAATCACACCACAAGCTGTTACCCAAAAGCATATTCTGGATGGAAATAATTGCTTATTAGGGGGTTGGTACCCTTGTCTTCAGGTATAGACTTGTGTGTTCCAGAGGTTGCACCAGATATTTATCTGTAACTAAATGGACTCTGCAAACATCCCCTCCTTACCCCCCACTCCATCTTTTTGAGTACTTCTCCAGTCCCTAGCTGCTACCCCATTCTTTGGGAACAAGCTAAGAGAAAAAGCCTGGTAATTTCTAAGAAGGAAGACTTTCACCTATTAGGGGCTTCTGCCAGCAATGTGAGAGCTGCATCATTTTCCTCTGATGGACAGGTCATGAGGACAGCATCAGGTCACCATTTTGGCATGAAAGCAGGCTTTGAGGCTCTCAGAACAATTGTTGGTATTTTTGGAAGTCAACTCTGTGTAGGGAGTGTTGTTCAAAGAGGTAAAATGATTAGCTGCTGCCAGGTCTCTTTTTTAAAAAACTTTAGTTTTTGTGAGTATGTAATAGGTGTGTATATTTGTGGGACACATGAGATGTTTTGATATAGGCAAGCACTGTGATCAAGTCTCTGCAATTGCAGGCACTTCTCTGCCTTTTGAGTGGAAGGGTACAGAGGGCAGGAGGCTCATTCTCAGAAGCTTCCTGTCTTTAGTTGTTATACCAGATATTATCTGCATGGTCCGAGTCCTTGTCAGTTTTCTTGCTCTACTGGATATTTTTAGATTTCTCTACTCCTGTGTGAGACCCCTTTCCAGATTTAAATACATCTCTAATGTATCCCCAGTGTATATTCCAGAAACACCGTAAAACTGGGTATAGATATGATGGAAGAAAAAGTAAGTTCCAGCTCTCAGGGACTCATATTTGCTAATTGGAAAAGTTATGGATGCTTTCAAAATAAAAAACAAGTTTATAGACAGTCTTTCTCTTATAGCTGTTGCATTGTTAGAGAATTAAAATATAAGTCATAGGCAATGATGATCCATCTTTGTACTTGCAATGCTCGGGAGAAACATAAATGTTTCTCACCATTGTTTGATGTTTGCAAATTATTAATATGTATACATCTTTGAGGGTGGGAAAGTATTTGACTGAAGAATCAAAGAGAAGGAGGGAGGAGCAGAAAAGATTTTCAATATAAGCATGTGACTTTTTTCTATCCTTACTGAAATTAAAGTTAAATATTTGTAAATGTTTTTGAAGAACTTTACTGTTCCTATTAGGTTGGTGCAAAAGTAATTGCGGTTTTCACAATTAAGAGTGATGGCAAAAATCACAATTACTTTTGCACCAACCTAATATTATAACGTGCAAAGTTTGCAGTGACTTTTTTATTTAAGTTTGCTTTGATGACACTCTATGATCTTTCTAATACATCCAAAATATTGAGCTTTTAATAATAAGAGATGGAAAGAGATGCCAACATAAGACTGTTCTCTTGTTTATACACTATTAGATCAAAACATGTATTTTCTAAATAACCATTTCTATTATATTGTCATCGAGTGTGTATATGTCTACCTATCATATTGCTACAATAAAGTACTATAGAAATTGTTACAGTTATTTATTGCTAGGTTATGAAAGTTAGTAGCTACAAAACAATAAGAATTTATTACTTTTATTGCTTTTCAAGATTCTTTGGATTGATTGGTGGATCTGCTTTTCACCAGGTTGATTGGGAGGTCCACAGTGGTCTTACTCACATGGCTGGTGCTGGCTGCACTTGGGAGCTCAGACTGTACTGTCACTGGGGGCTGTGGTTGTCGCTTTTCTAACCAGTCCTTTCCACATGTCTCGTCTGGCTTTCACAGCATGGGTCTAGGTTCCAAGAAGGAGTACTTCAGGGTCTAAGTTGCAGTCTCTTGAGGCCCAAGCTTAGAAATAACAGCGATACTTCTGTGTTCTCTGTTGGTTAAAGTAAGTTCCCAATCCAGCTCAGATTTGAGAGGATGGGAAATAAACTCCACTTCTTGATGGTGGAATAGGAAGGTCACACTGCAGAGGAGCACGTGGGATGGCAGTTATCGTTGTGGTCACCTTGGGAAACATAATCTGCCACCGAAATCAGAGTCTCTCTTATTATCATTTCTTCCAAGTCTACCATGTAAGTTTAATTGATCTTATGCTTTTAAGTGAGAAATAGGAAGCAAGGACTTATACAATGTAATTTCTTAAACTGTAGTCTTTTGTTCCCTTGTATCATGGGTCGCGTTTATAGAGTGGTATGTCTTTAATGTCCTAATTCTACTCTCAGATGTCATCAGGAATCTTTATTTATAAAAGAAGCATTAGTCAACTGTGGTGGTTTCTCACCCTGACCAGTATTGGGCAATCACTTTATGAAAGACCTTACAGTGTTGTTCCCCAACATATTTTAAAACCTGTTAGGGGTTTTTTGTATACAGCACAGTAATTGAGTTGTATTTCAGGTATTTGTCTCCTAATGAGAGTACTGCATAGTTACCATAATCTTGAATTTTCTAATTCTGTTTGTATTCAGAATTCTTCACAGTTACTTTTCCTAACTTATCTTCTTAGTCTGTGGAGAATTTTTGTCTTAGATAGTTGTCTTGTTCGCATTTACATCACTCACTGTCTTTCTCTCCTGCCCTCCTTCATTGGACTTTGTAGCACGAACATGTTGGAAGCAGTTTAGCTTTTGTTTTGTAAAGTTACATGTTAGTATTCTGTGTATGGTTTCCTACCCAGACCTCATGTGGCCCAAGCCCTGGTATATGTTAAGCAAAGGAAAGCTGACTTTTCCTGATAGGGATGAGTCAGTTTCCTTCTGCATCAAGATGTTTATACATGGGGACAGATGCAGAGGATGACAAACCTGGATCATGTGATCTCCAGATTGTTTTTCTTTGCTGGATTTCCACGTGGGAAGTGGTAGGATCTAGAATTTTGCTGCTACTGCGCCCAGGATGTCCGTTGTCCAAGGTGTATCCATGTTTGTGGTCTGGCTGTTTGGCAAGGAGCCAACGCTGCATTGTTTTGGGGCATGGTCACTCTTTAAAAGAGGAGTGTGATCCTGCTTGATCAAGTGAAACTGTAGAATGATTTATTTCACTCTGTGAAGCTATAGGTGTGTTAGTTACAGTTACTACCTGTGAATTGCTTCCAATTTTCACAGTATAAGATGGTATTTCCTTCTCCAATGATTTTTTTTAAAGCATACTAATTCTAATACTAGCCTTTCATCATGATTATTGTTGCTGAAAGTACATAGGGCCAATGTAATCCCTAGATTGGTGTATGATCAAGGAAATCATATAGTGTGCCACTTTGATGACCCGCTGTTCCATTTTTAAAATATAAAGTATGTGGGTAAACTGGATATTGAATACATTCTTAAGGGCGAACAAAAGTCCTAGGGATAGAGTGGTGGTCTGCTTCACTTTCTCTTGTGATAGGCAGGAAGAAGGAAGGATGTATAGTGTAATTGCATCACTTTATTTGAGACTTAAATTTGCTTTGGCAATAGCAGCTAGAGAGAGAGAGATGCCCTAAGGAGCCTAAAGTCTAACCTCAAATTTACTCTGACCCAGTCCACATGCCGAAATACAGGTAGTATATATCTGAGAGATATTCTGATTGTATGATTTGGTCCAAGGTTCATTAATTGGCAGAGACCTTTGACTAAGACATCATTTAGAAGAACTGGCAGATTAAATTGAAAGTATAGTTCAATGACTTCTATAAATTTTGTATTTCTTTGGGTGGTTATATACATTTCTTTCTCTCTGATTTAAATGAAACTGAAGACTAGTCTGTGCTCTCTGACAATAGTAACTCAACAGTAATTAAGAGAAGCAATTTTTCAGAATAATGAAAAGAATCTATATAACCAACATCGGCACCTTTTCATCTAATGCAGGTGAATAATTGAATATGTTGCGTGTAGCCCAGGACCTGGTACATAGAGAGTCCCCAGTAAATGTTTGATGAATGAGTAAATGAGTCTCAATTAGTGAATGTACTAATCTATTAATAACTCAATCAAAAAGTCTAAGAATGGGAGGGAAATATTTCTGTACTAGGATTTCTAAGGATTTATGAAGATTGTTATAATAAAAAGGGAAGTATTTGAAACTCATCTCAGTCTTCTAGCAGAAATAAAGACTAAATATATGAATGCCTTAAAAACAGAGTTTTTATCTGATAACTGGTAGAGAAACTGTTTATTTCTTTCTATTTGCACTTTCCCTAAAGGACCTATGGTTTGTGTCTATTCTGTGACCATAGTATAACAGAGTACGTATTTGTCTTCTTGAGGATAGCCATCATTCATTCATTTTCTCTGCCAGTAATATGAACTTTCATAGTATTACGATATTGTTAGTTTCTTAAGTCATACTGCATTTAGTGGTATTCGCATTCATTTTCTATATTTTCTTGTGATAAATTCTGTTATAGTCAAAAAATTTCAAAGCACCCTGGCAATGATTTATTTTAATATCTGCGTGAGACTAAATACACAAATAAGAAAGGATTTAATATGAATTTTTCATGGATTTGCTGTAACTTGAATATTGTGAATTGATTTTGTGCAAGCTGTCACAGACCTTCTGATTAGCACATACTTACTAGAACATCTCTGTTAGCAAAACTGGATTACAAAGTGTAAATGCCAGGTATTTGTGCTTATTCTGTTTAGCATTCTCATGAGTTTCTTTACGTATATCTAGTGTGTTACATATGTTTTGAAAGAGTACCTACCTTAGAGAATGTGGCTCTTGTTTTATGGCCCATTTTAATTCAGTATATATATATATGTGTGTGTGTGTGTGTGTATAAAGGGACATGTATATGTGTCTATATATATGTGTGTGTGTGTATGTGTGTGTATGGGAAAAATGTATAAAGAAATGGTTGCTACTTACAAGGCTTTACAATTTATGGGGTGACCACACATACACACTTAACAAATACAGAAAAACATAAGACTTTTTTCATTCATTCATTCAATACATATTTATTGAGTACCAGCTATGTACCAGGCACTATTTATTTCTTATACTGAAGATACAGTCTTAAACAAGACAGGAAAGTTTCCTGTTTCTTAGGAGCATATTGTCTAGTGATTATGATTAAGCACAGCAAAATATAGAGAGATACATCCTAGAGAATATAAATAAGCACCAAAATGTATAGTCAAGACATGAGAACTTAGTGGAGCTCACCATTTTCCAGGAAGGCCTCCTTCATGTCAAGGAAGACTTGAACTTGACCTTGAGGAAGAGAAGGTATTTGCAGAGGCTCCCAGAAAGAAAGTTAGATGTGTACACCATTGTGTGACCTGAGAAGGCCAAAACACTCTCTAAAGAACAGTGTTTGTTCAAAGAAAATTCTCTGATTCTCATTCCTGTTCCATATGCACCCTCCAATTTCCACAGGTTAAAATCTCAAGACTGTCAGCGATGGGGTTCTATTAGAATAAGTGTGACTGAGTATCTTTGAAGAAACAATCTCAGATCCCAAATCCATAGCAAGTCTAGGCACATAGTATATATACTACTTGCATATATGAAATTGATGCTGAAAGTGTGCAAAAGTATCTCTAGATAGAAGGATTCAAGTGCTATAGTATTACTAAATAAAAAATATTTGCAGAGAGTGGTGGCAGATGACAATAACTTCTTTTTGAGGAATTTTACTTTCTTGTACCTAGTGCTCCTATCAAGTGGGATATTTTCATCAGGGATGATAGAGCTACATAGAATTTTGTAAATTTATAGGAATAAAAGGGAATTAAATAAAATAGACTCTAAGTAACAAGGTCTAAAATTGACTAGGGCCATTGAAACAAAAAGATGGATAAGGAAGTGAATAGAAGGGCATACCTTCAGCTATTTCTGTGTTGTCTGTGATTGTGCAGTGCTTTTAACCAAGGTAACAAGGGCTAAGATGAAAGTAAAATCTCTTGGGCTTCATATCTGTCAAATTAGCAAAAAGTGTGACAATTGTAAGTGTTGCCACGATGTGGAGTAATAGACACTGCTGGCGGGAGTTTAAATGGATAGAACCACTTTGGGAAAATGGTTTGGCATTATACACTAAGTTTAAGGATATGTAAACTCTATGACTCAGCAATTTCATATCTCCATACCCTGGAGAAACAGGTATGTATGGGAGACAGGTACATGTACATGTATATTCATAGCAGCATTGTCTGTGATAGTCAAAACTGAAAACAAACCAAATGTCTGGTACACAGAATAAACTGCATATTCACATAATGGAATATTTTCTTTTAATGTATTTTATTTATCATTTTAAAAATATTTACTTTTTTTTTTTTTACTTTTTTGGGTACATAGTAGGTGTATATATTTATGGGTTAAATGAGATATTTTGATACGGGCATGCAATGCATAATAATCACATCAAGGTAAATGGGGTATCTGTCACCTTAAGCATTTATCTTTTGTGTTACAGACAATCCAGTTATACCCTTTTAGTTATTTTTAAATGTACAATTAAATTATTTTTGACTATAGTCATCCTGTTGTGCTAGCAAATACTAGGTCGTAAAGCATTCTTTCTAACATAATGGCATATTATTAGCAGAGAAAATGAATGAATGATGGCTATCCTCAAGAAGACAACCCCTGCAAATGTCGAATTGACCCAAGAAACAAGATGACAAAGAATACATACAGTATGGAACCATTCACATGGACTTCAAAACTAGGCAAAACTAAATTATACTGTCTAGGGTTGTATACATAGGTGTGATAACAATAAAAGAATGGAAAATCACTATCACAAAGGTCAGGTTAGTGCTTACCTTTAGGGTAGAAGGAATGGGTAGTGATGAGGAGGGACACTTGAGGACGTTTTAGGTGCTGACAGTGTTCTATTTCTATACTAGTATAGTAGTTATATGAGTGTTGTTTATAATTATATCAAGTTGTTGCTTTTCTGTATTTTTATGTAGGTATATTTCGTCAATTTTTTTTAAAAGAAACTATGTGAAAGAGATAAAGGATGTCGCAGATAGCAGTATAGAAAGATTTCTGCCCAAACCTGCTCCTTTTTTTTTTTTTTTTTTTTTTTTTTTTGAGACAGAATCTTGCTCTGTCGCCAGGCTGGAATGCAGTGGCACGATCTTGGCTCACTGCTGTCTCCGCCTCCTGGGTTCAAGCGATTCTCCTGCCTCAGCCTCCCTAGTAGCTGGGATTACAAGCATGGGCTACCACACCCAGCTAATTTTTGTATTTTTAGTGGAGATGGAGTTTCACCATGTTGGCCAGGATGGTCTCGATCTCCTGACCTTGTGATCTGCCCCGCTCAGCCTCCCAAAGTGCTGAGATTACAGGCATGAGCCACTGCACCTGGCAGCCTAAACCTACTTCTTAAGATGTAAGGCAATTATGCAAAAAGAGGACAGGTTTGCCATGTACATTTTCGTTACATTTGACTGTAATTTGCACATGGTGAAAAACAGAGTTTGCTACTAGTGTCTAGTAATTTAAAAACGAAAACCTGTTTTTCCAGAGTCAGAAGAAGACATCCTAGGCCTATAGAATCAAATTTGACAACTAATTTGTAGCATAATTATTTTCCCATGCTTTATGCATATTTATTGATTGATGCAGTCTCTTGAATTATACCTAGAAGCAAACTGACCAGCGGATCAGCAGAAAATTAACAGCAGGAAAAAAAAATTAGTATACATGTCTTATCTAGAGAAATGAAGAAATTTTTATTGCTTTTATCATTTAAAAATCATTTGTGAATTCCTCTTTAAGAGAAACCTTTAATAGTTTCCCAGTAGTACCAGCACTGCAGAGTATTATCCAGTAATGAAAGAGAATGCTAATAAAATCATTTCTTTTTTATATTGTAATGGATCAAAGTTGCAACTTCAAAATACCAATGATAAAAATGAACCTTTTAAGATTGTAGGTTACTGCTTGCCAAAGATAATATTCATTAACTAGAGTTCACATCTCATGCTCTGGATTAAAGAAATTATTTGCAAGCAAGTAAGAAAAAAATTATCTTTAATTTGCTAGTCATAAGGCACTACTTTTTTGAAAGAGTATTGTCTCTTAAAAATGGATTTTTAATTTAAATTATGAAACAGTCATAAAATATCCTCTGGTAGAGGCTTTGATGGTTTGCTTGAAGGTTGGATTGTATGCAAGAAATTGTGGAAGCACCATTTGCTAGAAATAAATTGCCAAATTGATTTATTTTCAAGACAAAGCCATACAATACTATTTAAATACCTAAAATATAAAAATGAACACTAACAAAGCAGCCAACGATTCCACAGTAGAGCATAAAATCTCCAAGTGTTGTGAAGAGTATCATAAATACCTATCTTAAGAAGCTCAATTAAAGTTTGGAAATAATAATTTTGTTGTTAAATCTCTAAAGAGCTGCAATAGTGAGATCACCTTGAGGTAGAATCCAGAAAAGCTAGTTTTAAATATTGTACTCCTGGAGCAATGATTGATTGATTCTCTAGTGTAAATTTCTTGGTAATGTCTGTTTAGAGACTTCTAAGAAATTAAGGAATTTGTGTGTGTGTGTGTGTGTGTGTGTGTGTGTGTGTATGTGTACATGTGCAAGCAAGAAAATCTGTTAATGCAGCAACAACCCTTTGTGGAGCCCTCATCTGGGCGAAAGGTAGAGGAGTGTTTGCTAATAATCTCTGTGTGATAGAAGATAGCTTATGGGTTTTCTTTAATTGTGTGGAATCATATGTATGATTTTTCTTTAATTATTGATTAAAATGATCACTAAGCAACAGGGTATCCAGAACTTTTTGGTTGTTTTATGTTCTGTTATCGCCTCTTCTTTATTTACCTTCAACTGAGAAAACAAAAATATTGACTTAGGAATAAAGGCAGAATATATATGGGAAAACCATTGGGCAGTGGACCCAGAAGTGACCTTGGAGATCATTATATACAGTGGATTCAAACTGTGCTTTGGGGATCTCTGGGGCTTCCTACAGTATGAGGAGAGCAGAGTGGAGATGGGCCCTGGGGACTGGACCCTGAGGGTCCTACCTTGGATTCAGGTTGGGTGGTTTTATTTATCTTGGACTTCCCCTTAAAGTTTTGTTTAAAGAACAAATAAAAACAGCTTGAAAGCCACTCCTTTAGTAAATAATCCCCTCATCTCCCACTTTCATGTTTGAATTAATTGCAGTCCAGTAAAGTTGTAGCTTGTTCAAGATTTCACTGCTGGTAGTGGCAGAAGCAACAACAGAAGCCACATGGTCATGTCTAATGGGGCTGTTTCCCTGATAACGTTTTGCTTTCCACTATCCATACCCACCTACTATATCTTGTATTTCTTAATGATACACGCCATTATTTACCACCTCACTATCCACTTCCCTGTACTTGAGCACAAGCTACTTTTGTGTCATGTCAGGGACACAAAAGAAAACACAGTTAGTCATGATGTTACAAAAAAGCTCTGGGGAGGATTTAAAAATACCAGTGTTGAGAAGAATTTGTTGGAAATGCCCTTTTTGTGAATATGTGCCATTATTGTGCCCTGACATTAAGGCAACTCATGTGAAATGTAAGTGCAGTGACATGGTACAGATGGTGACTGAGAGGCCCAAATCTCAAATAATGATGAAATGAAATTAGACATTTTTTTCACAGTAAATCTATGAGATTCACCAGAATAAAGTATCCGACATCTGAGTCAGCATCACAGTTTGATATGGGATACAGCAAAAAGTGGGAAACTGGCAGGTGACATGTGTAAGTGTTGGTAGACATGCTCATTTGACTTTATTCAAACCAAAGACTTGCCCTGTGTTTTCCAGGGCAAAAAATAATATGTGGCAGTTTAAGACAATAACCTTGGATAGCACTTTTTCTTCTTTTTATTCCCCTCCTTTTTTTCTTTCAATAAATATTCATTGAGCGCCTATTATGAGCCAGATACTGTCAGGTACTAAAATATTTCCTGTACCAAAAGAAGTTAAAAAGATGATTTTTTTTTTTCTTGGTGCAATGATTGGAACTTCCAAATGACTGGAATGAGGATGTCTTAAATCCTGACAACTTTTCAAGTACAGTTGTATCTAGAGAGGGTGTTGATTATTGTATTCTGGAAACTCAGAAATTCTATTTTCTCGAGTTTCCTCAATTGAAAAATAGGAATACCACTTGTAGAGGCTTATGTTGTATAAATAATTGCAAATATAGTATGCCGAGGGCTTGGCGAGAAGGGTGGCAGACGTCTACAGAGAGTAGAATTGTCTGCAGGATCTGTGGCATTTATTGACTCAGGGATCTTTGGGTGTTTGAATGCAAAACCCAGAGAGCTGACCTGTATTTCTCCTGGTGGAAGATGAGCCTCACAATTCAACTAACTGCTTAGGAGGAAATTAGGCTTCCTATGAATTAAGTATACGTTATTGTAATCCTATATCTGAAGCTCAAATTCATTACTTACTCTTATGTAGCTGTGTTTAATTCCACTACCTTTACCTATGAGTGACAATAGCAAGGGATATTGTCAAATAAGATGGCCACATTCAAACATTCCACATGAGGATTTGGGAGGCTTTCCTAAGCCAAAATGCTGACATGGAACATTTATTCATTTTATTGCATTTAATTGGTATCTTTTCATGTTGAGTGTAGAAATGGTCACTTTAATGTTTACATTTTTGTATGTTTTTACTTTAGACGGAGGGTAAAATAGAGAAATTGATGTCAGCAGTGGACAATTTTCAATGAGAAGAATTTCACTCGTGCATTATTTATGGCCACATGTGAAAGAAAGAACCTCCATTTCTTATCATTCAATTATATCTTGGTAGAATTCTGCACTGGAGCCCCAGTCATTTGGCAAGTGTATTAATAGTTTTGGTAATGTGACTAATGCTAGTCCTCTGTAACAGTAGTTCCGTTACTGGCCTTTCCTCAGGCACCCCACAAAGCTTTATATTTCGTCTAAATCAAATTTTGGGTATCATAAAATGGAGTACAGTGATGGAAATGAATTCATTTACCCATCCATCCATCCATCCATTAATTCATTTATTCATCTTTTCATTCAAGAATATGGCTTACTATCAGCTGGGTGCAGTGGCTCACGCCTGAAATCCCAGCACTTTGGGTGGCTGGGTGGGTCTCTACTAAAAATACAAAAATTAGCCAGGTGTGGTGGCGGGTACCTGTAATCCCAGCTACTCAGGAGGCTGAGGCACGAGAATTGCTTGAACCCGGGAGGTGGAGGTTGCAGTGAGCCAAGATCACACCACTGTACTCCAGTCTGGGTGACAAAGTGAGACTCCGTCTCAAAAAAAAAAAAAAAAAAAAAGAATATGGCCTACTGTGCATCAAACACTGAACTTCTACTTCAATAGAAGTAGAAATTGCTCTCTAGTTAAAATTTGGTAGCAAACAGTGGTATCAGCACCTCCCTGTCTACTCATTTGCAGTCAGTACTCTGGGCTCCCAGCGAGGGGCCCAGGAATAAGAGCACAGAATGCGTATTTCACAGGTGTTAGTGCTTGGAATGATTGATGAAATTTAAATTTGGAATAAAACACCAGCTTTTTAAGGTGTTCATAATCACCTAGATAGTCTGATATTAACCCTTAGATCAATTTTGGGGAGTAAAGTATAAAATTTGTCTTTCAGAGGAAGGCCAACAGCTGGATTAGAAGGTTCTGAATTTTAAGCTGCAGTTCATCTTGATACTATTACTAATCAAAGCGCCTTCTTCAGTTACTCTGGATGCTTATAAACCGCAGACTGCATGCAGTTCATCAATTTGGCTGCTTTTCCATAGCTGCTATGAAAATTGCAAACAAAATTGCTTTTCATTTTGCTTTGACAGGCAGTTTTAATTTTATTCATCATTTTAGCAAATTGTATAACATTTCAGTTGTGTGCAGCATTGCTTTTTGTCTTTTTTTTGCACTGTATTTATGCCGAAAATATGAAAACAACAATAAAGAAGAGACCAATAATGGCATGTTGTAGTTAAAAAGGGCTTATTAAAAGGATATTTTCTGCCTGGGTGAAAAACTTTCTTGAACACGTCATAAATAGTTTATAACACACAGAGCTACACTTTTATTGTGTGCGGAAGTTGATTGTCTAGCTAGCCGCATTTTTAAAATTAAAAAATAATTTTCCCCCCAATTTTGACTTTATGTTTCGTTTACTCAGACCCTTTCACAGCCTAATTAGGCAATGACTATCTATCTGAAGTCATCATAAAGACCAAGTAAATCTTGGACACACAAGAGAGTTGGGGGTAAGTGGGGAATGCGTTGGTTAGGGAAAGATGGAGGAAGCACATAAAGATTTATCTGATAACAAAGTATATACATTTTCATTTTGTAGAAAAATTACTAATACCATCACAGCCAATGGGCTGGTTTTATGATGCGCTTCCCGAGCTCTTCATTGTAGTTTCAGCAATATGAGAAGCCCTGCAAGCATGCAATAAAAACAGAGCCGACTTCGTGCTCGCCTTCCTCATTGATGCCTCTTGCACAAGGAAAGTTCTGTTCGCATAATCACTGAGGGCTGGTGGCATGCTCTCTAACCTTGAATGTGAAGGGACTGGGGAGGGAGGAGAATCCTTTCTGCCAGGGGTTTAAAAGAAAATAATGTTTATTCACAATACTTTTTAGGACATAAAGACTTTTATTTAAGATTTACAAGATTGCTGGTAAGGATGATTCATAACCGAAGTCCAGTTTTCCTTAGGGATTAACCACCATGGTTTGTTTTTTGTTTTTCTAGCATAGCAACCGAATTTCATCATTCATTTTGTCATTTAGCAATAGAAGACAACTTCACCAAAGAAGCTCACAGTACGAGTAAAATTGGAAGTAAATGGAAGCCATATGTTGTTGCTGTAATTTCCAAGGTTAAAAAAAGCTATAGTTTTGGCTATTGCCTTTTATTCTAAGGAGAAGGAAAGTTAAAAAAAATGCTTTTATTATCAATAGCCTTAAGTTTTAGAAAACATATTTATTTTGTTAATGGCAGCATGAAAAGCTCATGACCAAAGTGTTTGGAGCAAGGCTGATGTCTGGCAGTAATCCATTTCTTAACTTATGTACAACTGTGGAGTTATTAATGCTAGTCAGGTTATGTGCAAGGATTCAGGAAAATTCTTTATTCCTCATTGACTCCTGACAGTTATTGTACCTAGGAACTGGGTAACGTGTTCTGAAGTGAGCAATTATGGAAATGTTTACTTCACTGGCTGCATGTAAATGTGTGCAGAGAATGTACCAGAATTTTTCCTTGGGGGTATTTAATTCTCTCCAGGGCAATGAAAATCAAATGATTTCTTTTTTTTTTTTTTTTCAAAGCTGGGTTTTTTTTTTTTTAAGTGTTATAATGCAGCTGAATAATGATGAATACAGTAGAGGAAAAGGAGAGGGAGAGAAAAGAGGAAAAGAGAAAGAGTGAGCTACCCACGGATCTGGAAAGCGAATTTCCCTATGGAAGCTAAAACCCGAAAGGAAAGAGTTGAGGGTAAAGGTGGACAGAAGGCTAGCCCTGTCAGAGACTAAAGTTTGCTGGGGAAGATGAGGAAAATGACTACTGTCATATTCTGCAGTAGTACAGTGGTGCTTGTAATACATTTATCTTTGTGAGAACTTAAGCAATTGGCTCAGTATTGTTCACATCGGAGGGCATCACATTTGCTTGTTAATTAAATGCAGTATCAGTGCTTACTGTCCCTGAACAGTTGGGGGAAAAATCCAAATATGTATGCAGAGTTATGAAATTTCTATGGATGCAAATGGATTTTGTGCACATCACGCCCAGTTTATTGATGTTGCCCAGTAGAGGTTTTTTCTTTTCTTTCCCTGTCACCTATCAGGTTTACAACTCTTGTTGCTGAAACTATTGGGGGGGCATTTTCAGTATTATATCTTTTCTGAGAGGAAAAAAAATCATAAGAATTAAGAGATTTCATGTGAATCAGAATGAGATGTTTTCAGCATTGTGACATTTCTAAAGCAAACGAGTTCTGTGAAAGTCCATTGTAGACAGATACAAGCAAGTAGAATCCTAATGCTTGGTCAAGAAGTTGGATACTTATCTGCGAATCTGAAGTCACACAGTCCTTAGTGAGAGGAAACTGGCTTCAATTTAATGCTCTTTCTGAGGAGGATGACTAGTTGTATCAAAGTAATTTTTTAAATTTCCTGCAGATTTGTTTTTACAGTAGTGAAAAAAATATTAGTTTAAATTGGCCTCTGTGGTCATGTGCCTGTCATTGGAATAGAGTTAGATTACATTAATAAGGAATAGTTGCTGACCTTTATACTCTCTTTTTTTTTTTTCTGAATTTCTCCTGAATTTCTTAAGGAGGGGTTTCATAAAGAGGGTTTTTATGTCTTGCAGAAAATTGAGTTTTGTAGACATTACCTAACTCTTGATTTGTCACACCGGGATCAATAACATTTCGCTGCTCTTAAACACACAGAATCACAGGGGACACATAATGTTTTTTATAAGTGCAGTAAAGTTAACGTGTTGTTGAAACAAAAACTCCTCTGACAGTCCTGTAATAAGTACACTCTGAAACTAGCAAATTATCTGTAATACTAGGAAAGGCAGGAAGAGCGCTTAAGAGTACAATATGTACGTTGTTGGCATTAAGCGCTGCAAGAATAAGAAATTAGGATTTGCTGCTCTCTCCTCAGTTGCATGTCAGAATGATTACGGAGTCAGTTTCCTCAGAAGAGAAGCCGACCAGGCCCCCCAGGAGTGTTTCTTGAGGCCACGTTTTTACCAAGTTTGCTTGGTATGTTTGGTCTCTTTGTTCTTTGAGGATATTCTGTATTAGTTACAGAGAAGCATTTTCCTTATAGCAAAGAAGGTATTTTAAGCTAGATAAGAAAAATGGGCCATTTTCTTCTCCTGTCCCCAAAGTCCATGTCTGGTCCATGAATTTTCTTTTGGAGTATTCACTGATATTCTAAAGATGTCTTCAGCAAATATAAGTCCCATATGATGTAATTTGCAAAAGATATTTGGAATTGAAACCACCCTTGTATGTGCTTTCATTTCCTCAGTCCAGGGAGTCCGAGGATCTTGTGTTAGATTAGACTAGGTGGGCACGCTTTTAACCGCTGAGGTGCCTTGGCCTAGACTCTGCGTCTTCCCCTCCTCCCCTTTTCGTTTAATTAAATTTCTGATTCCCCTTTCCAGACCTTCAAATCCCGTTTTTCTTTCCTCCTACCCAAATGGTGTTTAGTTGTTACTCAGCTTCTATTTCAAGAAATGAAAAAATAGAGATTATTTTTAATATCTGAGAGATATATAGTCTATGAGATGTGACTGATTATTGTATGACCTTTGTTTTTTCTCAACATTTGTTTTTCTTTAGGAATAAAATAGTAGCTAAGATTGGAAATCTGTTTCAATTGAGAAGAATGGGTGTTTTGTTGGTGGCAGACATTGGCTCTCCTCTGTATGGTGGTAGGTAGGGCTGGAAGCTGATGATGGCTGATGTGCAAATCTTGTCATTTTATGCAAGCTGGTGCTGTTCATCCTCCAGCTCTTTGCAGAGAATGTAGTTTTATGTTCATTTAATAATTATCCATTTTGGTTGTACTTGTCGGGGAGAGCTTCTTGAGCCCCATCAGTTTTTCAGAGAAGCACCACTCAAGCTCTTCTGCTGAAAATGTTTTTCCTTCCCTCCCTTCACTTCATTCCACTCTTCCCCTTATCGACTCTC